>NC_000016.10:86380682-87021959 GCF_000001405.40 Homo sapiens | reverse complement strand
GCCAAGATTTTCAATAAAGGACCAGACAGCAAATATTTTAGGCCTGTGATTTGCAGAAAATCGCTGTCACATATTTTTCTTTTTCTTTTTAACAATGTAATCGCAGAACTTTGGGAGGCTGAGGCGGGCGGATCATGAGGTCAGGAGTTCGAGACCAGCTTGACCAACATGGTGAAACCCCGTCTCTACTAAAAATACAAAAAATTAGCTGGGTGTGGTAGCGTGTGCCTGTAATCCCAGCTACTCAGGAGGCTGAGGCAGGGGAATTGCTCCCGGGAGGCAGAGGTTGCAGGGAGCCGAGATCATGCCACTGCACTCCAGCCTGGGTGACAGAGTGAGACTTCATCTCAGGGAAAAAAAAAAGTGAAAAACACTCTCAGCTCATGGGCCCTGTGAAACAGACTGTGGGTCAAATTTGGCCACAGGCTTCTTATTCTGTTCCTTATTTTCATTCTGCTTGTAGTAAATTTGTATCCTAGTTAAACTCAATAATTTTTTCTCCCCTCTTTTTTTTGATGTGATTGTCCTCCACTTTTGGGAAATTACCTCTGGTAGCTGATCTAAGTCAGGGAGCTCCTTTCTTTGCTTCTGTTTGTTCTCATATACTGTTAACGCTTTGGTAGCTGGTGTGCTGGTATTTCCTGGCTCCTTCCCCGTCCCTCCCTGTTATCTGGTCCCACTCTTCCTTTGTCTCTGTCATCCCTCTTGTCTCAGTGTTGAATCTGCTGTCAGCAAGGGCCCTGCCCTGGAAGGAAGCCCTGGACATTCATTCTGGAGAATCTATGGAGGTCAGCCTACCCTAGACTAGACTTCTTGACATCACCTGCTTTTAGTTAGAAACTCCTCTCAGCTTCTGCCACAGTCCTGTGGTTTGTCATGTTTGCCTCTGAGCATCTGTTGGCTACTTTGCTGTTCCCTGATCTCCAGCCTGCCAGAGCCCTGGAGCTTCCCTTGCTGTGCCCTACACAGATGCTGGTGACACACAGGTACTTGTATTTGGTGCCCTCCGCCACCTGATTGTATTTGTAGTTTGGGGACAGCTTGTCACCTCATTTGCTGTTGAGGTTGTCTAAGGGTTTAGTTTTGCCTTCTCATTGTTCTGTCTGTTTTTATTGGAGATTTGGGAAGGTTCGAATCTGTGCTGCTGCATCCCTATCCCCTGAAATGAAACTTGACAGACGCAATGAAACGCCGCAGGAGACAGTCAGCTTGCCATCACCAGGAGTCTCCCAATTTTGGTCAAGTGCAGAAAGAAACGCTGGAAAAAAGCCCATGGGCTTTGGAGTCAGCTAGACCTGGGATGCAGCACTTGCATCTCCACCATCATTTCTGTGCCTTTGGATTGGATGCATTTCCCTTGTCTGAGTCTTGGTTCTGTCATCTCTAATATGGGAGAAACAGTGACAACCACATGGGGCAGGTGGGACGAGGACATGGGAGGTTTCCCAGGGCCCTGGCCTGGGGCTTGGTGTGTGGGAGAGAAGTTTCTGCCCCGTGACCCTGGGGACTGGGGAAAGGGGTCAGGATGTAGCCCTCAGTGTAATTTCTTTTGGGGTTCTGTGGGCGAAACTGACCACACAAGCATCCCAGACTAAAGTGCGAGTTGACATTCCTGGCTCTAGTTTTCATCACATCTTCCTGCTTTACACCAGGAGAGTCAGCCTGGTCCAGGTGTGAGTTTTTGTCTTAGACTTTAAGAAGGGGAATGGAAACACCTGAACACTTGATCATTACATGGCACGTCTCTTGCTGTGGGAGGGCCACGGTGCCCTCAGGGACAGCTGACCTATGGAGGACTTTTGGCTCTCAGTTAAACGTCTCCTGACTGCCATATGCATGTCTTTATTTTTTCCCCATTGCCTTTAATATTTTATATATATATATATAATATAATATATAACTATATATAACAATATAACATATAAAACTATACATAAAATATATAACTATATATAACATATATAACTATATATATAACTAGGTAGCAATATAATATATATAACTATACATAAAACAATATAATATATATAACTATATATATAAAAAACACCCACACGTACACTCATTAATTAATTAATCTACTATATCTGATTTTACTTTTCTCTGTTCCTTTCTAATGTGATCATTCTAATGTGTCTGTACAAAATAATCAAGTTTGTTAGAATTGTGTTTAAACAAAGAGTAAATAAACACAGAATGAGTGTTGGAGGCATAAATAAAGCCCATGTGTTTTACTATGCAGGTTTGTTGTGTGTTCGGGCACTCAAAGACTTTCCATGCCTCCTTCTTAAATGAGTTCTGGATCACCGAGACACCTGGAGAGTGGACAGTGAATAAATCGGATGTCTGTACAGCACACATGGGCGATAAAACAGGACTCAGTGCAGAGATGAAAATGACATCTCACAATCACAACAGTTAGAGACCAGTTTACAGCCAAAGAGAACTCCTTTTCCCAGGGTGGAACTGAGGCTGTCGATCGATGCTGCAGATTCTCAATTCCACTGGCTGCAGGGGTTTTTTTGTTTGTTTGTTTGTTTGTTTTGAGACAGAGTTTTGCTCTGTCGCCCAGGCTGGAGGGGAGTGGTATGATCTCAGCTCACTGCAAACTCCGCCTCCCTACTTCAAGCACTTCTCCCGTCTCAGCCTCCCGATTGGCTGGAACTACCAGTGCGTGCCACCATGCCTGGCTAAGTTTTGTGTTTTTAGTAGAGATGAGGTTTCACCATGTTGGTCAGGCTGGTCTTGAACTCCTGGCTTCCAGTGATCTGCTTGCCTCAGCCTCCTAAAGTGCTGCGATTACAGCTGTGAGCCACCATGCCTGTCTGGCTGCAGTTTTTATTTTTTTTATTTTTATTTTTTTTTTGAGATGGAGTCTCGCTCTGTCACCCAAGCTGGAGTGCAATGGCACGATCTCGGCTCACTGCAAGCTCTGCCTCCTGGGTTCATGCCATTCTCCTGCCTCAACCTCCCGAGTAGCTGGGACTACAGGCGCCCGTCACCACACCTGGCTAATTTTTTATATTTTCAGTAGAGACAGAGTTTCACTGTGTTAGCCAGGATGGTTTTGATCTTCTGACCTCGTGATCCGCCCGCATCGGCCTCCCAAAGTGTTGGGATTACAGGCGTGAGCCACCGTGCCCGGCATGGCTGCAGTTTTGATTTCCTGGTTGGGTGATCCAGGTGGCCTATATATGCTCAACAACTGGTCGGCATCACTCTTCACTTGCGCTTGTTTGGCCGAGTGGCAAGGAGAGGAGCGTGGGGTGGGCCAGGTGAGGCAAGTGCAAAGGCGTCTTGCGGCAGTTGCCTCCCTGCAAGTGTGTTTGGGAAAGGAGCTGCCAGCAAGGGGAAGGAATGAGCTCCCCTCCTCCTCTCCCGGCCTATTAGGACGTGTGCAGACACTTCTTGTACCATCTCTAGATCTTCATTCTGGCGTGCAGGGCAGGTGAACACACGGTAAACTCAGGGGCCTCTGTCTGCAGCACGGTGGAGTCAACATGAGTGTAAACCCACAGGCAATCATGGAACGCTCCCAAGGCTCAGTTTTCACTTCTGTGAAATGGGAATAAGGCACACCCTCTAACATTATTGTTGGGATGAATTGTGGTCATGTCTATAAGTTTTAAGAACATGCCTAGTATATAGTCAGAGATCCATAAATAATTTTTTTTGTCATTATTGAGATAGAAAGGTTAGCCACCTCCAAGAGTTATCCATTCAATTGTTTTATTATCTTTCTCTCCCACCAAGCTGTCAGTTCTACGGCGCCCACATAAATTGTGTTTGTTTTGTATGAAGATGTGACAGTTGATTTCTCGCCTGGGGTAGACAGAATAACAGTCCCCCAAACAGTCCATATCCTAACCCCTGGTACCTGAATGTGTTACCTTACATGGCAAAAAAAAAAAAAAAAAAAAAAGACTTCGCAAGATATGATTGAGTGAAAGAGCTGACACAGGAGATTACCTTGGATTGTTCAGGTGGGCCCATCTATAAATAATCCAGGGAGCGTTCGGTCTCTGGCAGAGGAAGGGAGGTGAGGGTATAATGAGGGCTTTATCTCAGTCTGGGAGTTAGGCAAGGCAGCCCCAAGAGATTCAGGTTCAAGGTGAGACTCAGGATGGCGGCACTGGCCCAGGAGAGGAGGCTGGGAGGAGAGCTCCAGGCAGAAGGGCCAGGGTGCAGAAGCCAGCTGAATTCTCACAGCAGATGAGGTAGCCTAGGTTTTACAAAGGCAGAGCCCACCGGATGGGTGATCTGGGTACCCGTGCACACAAATGAGAAAATAGCAGCTCAGAAAGATCAGGAACCTTTACACATGAGAAGCAGGAGAGGGCGTTGTGCTTGATAGAGTAGATTTCTTACTCTCTCCGTCAGGAGCATTTGTGTGTGGGATTATTTCCTGTTTCCTGGGCATCCCTGAGGTCAGGCTGGTGACTCACAGCTTCTTATTAGGTTGGTACAAGCCACTGCAGTTAATGGCAAAAACCGCAATGACTTTTGCATCACCTAAAAGGCTGATGAAAAGTCTCGCTCACAGGCAAAGGCAGAACCCTCTCCAAAGCCCATTCCAGCTTTGTATGCCTAGAGCTTTGGGAAATAAGCTCTGGGGGGTTTGCATTAGCCACACATGTCTTCTTCTAGGTGAGCAGAATCCAGAAACATTGGGGTCCAGCCTCTGTGTGCCATCACCTCTGGATCCACGGAATCTGGCAGAGGAGAAACTGGATGTGCCCGTGACAAAGGGATGGGGGTGGGCAATGCCTCGGGTTCACATGCTGGCATGAGCCGGGCAGACACTCGTCACTTGCAGCTGCAATTCTGAGCTCCACTGTTGGCCCCAGAAGAGGAAATATCCCTTCAATTGCCCCAGCCATGCAAGAAACTTGTCCGTCTGTGTTTTCCTTGCAGTTACCGAAATCCTCCGGCTCATGTTTAACGTCGGTTCCAGCTTGACTTTTGTTAAAATGTTGAAACCTAATTTTTTCATTGAGCGATTTTCAGTTTGAGGCCAGCATCAAATTAGAAGCCTCCCCACTGGCAGGGACTGGCAGTTGGGCAGGCGAGAGCCCCACACATGCTTGGGATATTCAATACACTGAGTTCTGCTCGGTACAAGAAACCCAGTCAGAAAATCCTGATTTATGGTGGTGCTCAGGCTTCCTGTTACTCTAAACCATGAAGGTTTTGAGCCGCACCCTGCGTTCCTGGCCAGCGCAGCTGCCTCCACCACCTTCCCTCCTATCGCCAGCCTCACCATTTATATAATAATGTCAGGAATGGAATAATTGACTTTCCAGGACTTTGAATTGTCCTGAACTTCAGTCTGTCTCTTTTTTTTTTTCTATTGAGGTGAAATTCACATAACATAGAATTAACCATTTCAAAGTGAACAGTTCAGTTGCATTTAGTGAGTTCACAATGTTGTGCAACCACCACGTCTATCTAGTCACCAAACATTTTCATCACCCCAAAAGGAAACTCTGTTCCCGTTAGGCAGCCACTCCCCATCCGCCTTCCCCCCAACCCCTGGCAACTGTTAATCGTCTTTCTGTCTCTATAGAATTTGTCTATTCTGAACATTTCATAAAGCAGAATCATATGCAGCCTTTTGTGACTGGCATCTTTCATTTAGCATATTTTCGAGGTTTGTTCATGTTGTAGCATGAATCAGTACTTGATTCTTTTTCATGGTTGTATAGTATTCCACTACATGGATAGACTACAATTTGCTTATTCAGCATCCATTGGTGGACATTTGGGCTGTTTCTACCTTTTTGGTTATTATGAATAATGCCACTGTGAATATTCATGCACACATTTTTGCTTGAGTCCCTGTTTTTATTTCTCTTGGGTATTTACATGGGAGTAGAATTGCTGAGTTGTGTGCCAAATCTATGTTTGACTTTCTTTCTTTTTTTTTTTTTTTTTTTTTTTTTTTTTAGAGACGGAATCTTGCTCTGTCACCCAGGTTGGAGTGCAGTGGTGCAATCTCGGCTTACTGCAAGCTCCGCCTCCTGGGTTCACTCCATTCTCCTGCCTCAGCCTCCCGAGTAGCTGGGACTACAGGTGCCTGCCACCATGCCCGGCTAATTTTTTTTTTTGTATTTTTAGTAGAGACGGGGTTTCACTGTGCTAGCCAGGATGGTCTTGATTTCCTGACCTCGTAATCCACCTGCCTCGGCCTCCCAAAGTGCTAGGATTACAGGCGTGAGCCACTGCGCCCAGCCCTATGTTTAACTTTTTGAGGTTGGGGAGAGTTCCCTGGAGGAGGTGCTGTCCATGTGAGGACCCTAAGGAACAATAGGAACTCACCTGTGTGTTGTGGTTGGATGGTGAAGCAGAGTGAAGGTGACAAAACCAGTTCCTGGAGGCCTGCCACTGACATTCAGCCCTGACCTTAGGCCTGAGGCTACCCAAACCATGCCCCCCACACTGCTGAGGGCCTATGGAGTCTGGGCTGTGTGCTGGGTCCTCCTTAGGCAACCATCATGTGGAGGAAAAGGCGTCAGTATGCCTCAGGAAAGAGGCCTTTGCACCTGGTGGGGCCTGGCTGAGACACTCCTGCCACCCCTATGCTCATCCAAACAGGCCAGAGTTCTGATCCTGCTGCGTTGTCCCTGCCCAATCCTACGCTGGAGCACACTTTGGAGCCGCCTGCATGGAATTCCAATTCTGGTTCTGCAATTTCCTTAGCCGTGTGGCCCTGAGTCAGTCTCTCTACCACTCTGACCCTCAGCGTCATCATCTAGGAAATAAACAGAATTGCAGCAATAGGGAGAGTCAACAAGTGCTGTCTGTCCTGAGCACTCACTGTTTCACAGAGAAGAACTCATTTAATTCCCACAGCTCTGTCTCTGGGACAGGTGCTATTGTCCCCATCTCACAGATGAGGAGACTGAGGTACAGAGAGGTTGACAGTTGCCTGGGGTCAGATCCCTTAGTAAATGGCAGAGCTGGGCTTTGAGGCAGGCAGTGAGAACACAGGCCCTTCACTCATCATTGTATGGCCCTATTGTTGCTGTTAGGTGGTACCATAGTTTCAAATGAAATTTCTCAAAGGTCAACAGAACGGGATAATGAAGATTGTGTTCCCACCCCTCTGCCATGGCCAGTTCTGCCCCTCACACATTCCCAGCCACTTCCCCCTCTCTTGCTTAATGTCGAAGCTGGTCCTAAGCACTCTATCATTGTATCTGTAAATATTTCAGTGTGTGTCTCTAGGAGAGGACTGCATTTTTCAGCATCTACCTGCCCCTCTGTGTTCCTTGCACACCCAAAACTTTCAGCACTAGCCCTGACACACAGGAAGTCCTTTGTGTTTGCTGAATGAGTGAGTAAATGAGTGAATGACTGAGTGAAGGAGTGAGTGAATTAGTGAAGGAGTGAGTGAATGAGTGAGCGACTGAATAAATGGGTGAAGGAGTGAGTGAATGAGTAAAGGAGTGAGGGAATTAGTGACTCAGTGAGTGAGTGAAAGAGTATATGAAAGAGTAAGTGAGTGAAAGAGTGAGTGAATGAATGAGTCAGTGAGTGAGTGAATGAGTGAATAAGAAATGAGTGAGGGAATTAGTGAAAGAGTGAATGAATGGGGGTGAGTGACTGAAGGGGTGAGTAAATTAGTGAATGAGTGAGTGAGGGAATGAATGAGTGGGTGAGTGAGGGAATGAATGAGTGGGTGAGTGAGGGAATGAGTGAGTGAATGACTGGGTGGGTGAGTGAGTGAGGGAGTGAATGAGTGAGTGGGTGAGGGAATGAGTGGGTGAGGGAATGAGTGAGTGAGTGAGGGAATGAATGAGTGAATGAGAAAGTGAGCGAATGAGGGAGTGAATGAGGGAATGAATGAAAGAGTGAATGAGTGAGAGAAAGAATAAGTGAATGAGAGTGAGTAAATGAGTGAGCGAGTGAATCAGTGAATGAGCAAATGAGGAAATGAGTGAGTGAATGAGGGAATGAATGAGTGAGTGAATGAGGGAGTGAATGAGGGAATGAATGAAAGAGATGAGTGAGGGAAAGAATAAGTGAATGAGAGTGAGTAAATGAGTGAGTGAGAGAATCAGTGAATGAGCAAATGAGGAAATGAGTGAGTGAATGAGGGAATGAATGAGTGAGTGAATGAGGGAATGAATGAGGGAATGAGTGAGTGAGGGAATGAGTAAGCGAGTGAATGACTGCGCGAAGGAATGAATGAAAGCGAATGAGTGGGTGAGGGAGTGAGTGGGTGAGGGAGTGAGTGAATGAGTGAGTGAGTGAGGAAATGAATGAGTGAGAGTGAATGAATGAGTGAGTGATCCCATGGAGCCAGCTGGCCAGGACCTCACGTTTTCTGTGGATCCCATGTGAGAGTCACTCTTTCGTTCCCCAAGAGCTAACGAGGAGCCCTGGCTGCCCTGAGCTGGGAGGGCCGGAGACCTCCCTGGAAACGAGGCCTGCGACCCCTCAGTGTAAGTAGGTGACAATTTATGACAGGGATAAGCGCGCCTAAGCCTCAAAGAAAAACAGTGCGTGTTTATGCAGGGCCGCACTTCCAGCCTGCTGAGGCCTCTGCAGACGCGGCTTGGGAGGCTGCCGCCCGACCCGGGCCAAATTGGACAGAGGTGCAGAGAGCCAGCCCACCCACTTCCCACCCGGCCCGCCGCAGCCTGCGTGTGTGGGGCAGCAGCGGGGGGAGTGCCCCTGTCTGTCTGGAGGAGCGGAGGCCACCTGCGTGTTCCGTGGGGTCCAGCCAGACGGGTCCCTGCCTCAGCAGCTGGAGGGCAGCGTGTGGGCTCGCCCTCTGGCTGCCCATAATTGCATCATTGTGTCTGTGAACTTGCAGTCGAGGGCAGGGTTGAGGAATAACGTGGATCTTCCGAGCCCAAATGTCTGCCCTGTCTTGGTTCTTTTCAATCCCGCTCACCCATGCTAACCCAAGGCCTTGTCTGCTGGCCGTGGCTGCGGTCTCCAGCATGTGTCTCCTCCAAGCTGTCTCCAGCCCTCTTGCTCCGTGCTCTCATCCTGTCTCATTCACGGACCCCTATTGGCTCCTGCTACTCAACTGAGGCTGGCAGTCCTGAATTCCCAACCGATACTCGTCTTTAGGGTTTGGGGACAATATTCCTGGGAAATCACAGTAATTCGTGAAATCATAAGTTATTTTACATCTTCCAAAACACTTCATGTGATTTAAATAAGAATGAGAGATCCTAATAGTAAACGGGAAATCATTTTTCTGTGATACAATTAAATCAAAAGTCCCAGCGTGTTTTATATTAAAAAAAGACATAATGATAAATACTTGGCTTAATGTTTTATATCATTATCTTTTGACAATATTATGTCATTTGGTAGCATTTCACATTAATCTGTCCCTTATTCAGACATGTGATAACAGAAAATATTAAAAGAAAGACACAATAACAAAATAAACCTCAAAAATCATTAAAAAATTGAAGTACCACAGATATTTAGTGTAGTTACCAATCTTACGGTGAAATTTTAGAAAACAGTGTACTAATGTTTTAGGCCTGTCTGAAGGTCTTGATCTTTGCTTCATAACATTAATCTGGACGTAGAAACGTTTATTTTGCTGTTAACGTTGTTTGGATTGCTGAGCGTGCATCCCAAAGCGTCTGCGACTGTGCGTTAGGTACCTGTTGCCTCATCTACGTTTCTTTCTTTTTTTTTTTTATTATACTTTAAGTTCTAGGGTACATGTGCACAACGTGCAGGTTTGTTACATAGGTATACGTGTGCCGTGTTGGTTTGCTACACCCATTAACTAGTCATTTACATTAGGTATTTCTCCTAATGCTATCCCTCCCTCAGCCTCCCAACCCCACGACAGGCCCTGGTGTGTGATGTTCCCCACCCTGTGTCCAAGTGATCTCATTGTTCAGTTCCCACCTATGAGTGAGAACATGCGGTGTGTGGTTTTCTGTCCTTGTGATAGTTTGCTGAGAATGATGGTTTCCAGCTTATTTCTTTTTTAACGGTTTCCTTCTTAACAGTTAACAGAAGACAATATTTTGTCTCCTGGCTCTTTGGATGGTTTGCCACTGAAATTGGGTTTTACTAACTGCGATTGAAGATCAGTCTCTGATTTTGCTTGGTGGATTCTATAGTAATATTCATTCCTTCTTCGGTTTGCATTTCTTCTTAGATCTTTATAAAGTTCTATGTGCCCTGGAGTGCCTATTTCTACTCCAAAAGCATGCCACATTCAGATCTTCTGGAAGTGTTGACAGCCCCACACCGAATCATGTATTGAAATGGCCAATTTAAGGACTTACTTTGATTCCGTAACTTGTTATTTCTTGGAACACCTCTCATAGGATTTGTATAGAGTATTCTATGGGTATAAAGGTATTCATATTAATTTTATTTGCAAGAATCACTCTGTATTCGTGGCAGACCCTGACCTCACGGTTCCAACATGACAACTGCAGTGAGATCAGCAGGTTGGAGGCACTGACTTGATGGTCCCCTCCCTCCTCCACACTCCACCCGGTTCCCAGAGATGTGGACCTGCACCATCGTCTCCGAGGGCCAGCATTTCCTGGGGTCACTTTTGAGGACTTTGTTGGGTTCCTTCAAACTTGTAACGTCTGTATGTTGACTGTTAAGCTTACTTCTTGCAGGAGAATTAGGACATATTTTCTCATTTTCTTGATTTTTCAACTGTTTTTGATTTGGGGGGTGTGAGGAATGCTGAGAAACGTATCTATAATGACAAACACCTGCGAGGAATTCCTGCACTGGAACCATGAGTTCAGACTCTTCCTAAAGAGGGTAACCCAGTGACGAGTAACACACACCAACATGTTGCCGACAAGGTGCTCTGGTGCGTTCACACATGCGGATGTGCAAATCACATCCAAAATAGATGTCATCGCACGACCATAAGACAGGAAAAATGTAAAGTTTGATGGTGCCAAGCCCTGATCTAGACACATCTCGGCTTCACTGAGGGCTGGTAGAGGCCCTTCCTTTACCTCTCCCCAGCAGCTCCTGGTCTTTGACTGTGTGGGCTGTGTGCCACCCTATGTCACACCCCGGGATGCACATTGTCCCTGTTACTTGCTCAGCAGCCCTAGGTGGGAGACACACACTTCTGATTGCCAGCTCATGGGGGCACAGAGCAGAGATGTTAGGGAATTTCTTACTTCACCTGTGCTCAGAGCCACTATCTTCCAATGTGTTAAATGCCAAAAGCATGACCACATTCTACTTGCTCTGTTCATTCATTTCTAGGCAAACATTACCAGGACTTAGGGAGGGGAGGTACAAATCCTTCCCTCACCACCCTCACCACCTTTGTCCCCAAGGTCCTGTTATTATCCTCATTTTATAGGTGATGGATCCGGAGCCTGCGGATGCTATGCACCTTGTTCAAGGGCATCCAGTGAGTGACAGAGCCAGGCACGTTCCACTGTGATTCTAGACTTCCTCCTGATTCTAGAATTCCTCCTGTTTCCTGTTCTGGCATCCCAGAGTCAGATAAGTTGAGCCTGCCTGCTGCCCGGCTATCCCAAGAGGAGAAAGGTGGCTCAAACTCTTTCTCTCATTCTCTCTTTCCCTCTTTCTCTTTTTATTTTCCTGTAACTTTAAAAAATAATAGGTTTTATTTTACAGAGCAGTTCTAGGTTTACAGAGAATTGTGCAGATAGCACAGATTTCTCATTCCCTCCATCTCCCCTCCTAGGCTCCACTGTTTTTAACATCCTGCATGAGTGATGTACATTTGTGACAAGGGATGAAACGATATTGACATGTTGTTACTGAGACCCACAGTTTACACCAGGTTCACTCTCTGTGGTGTGGTTCTAGGGGCTTTGTCAGATGCACGGTGTCCTGTATCCACCCTTACACTGCCAAGATAGGTTCACTGCCTCAAAGATCCCCTTTGGGTGGGACAGTTTATTTTATTTTATTTTATTTTATTATTATTTTTTAGACGGAGTCTCGCTCTGTCGCCCAGGCTGGAGTGTAGTGGTGCGATCTCGGCTCACTGCAAGCTCTGCATCCTGGGTTCACGCCATTCTCCTGCCTCAGCCTCCTGAGTAGCTGGGACCACAGGTGCCTGCCACCATGCCTGGCTAATTTTTTTGTATTTTTAGCAGAGATGGGGTTTCACCAGGTTAGCCAGGATGGTCTCGACCTCCTGACCTTGTGATCCACCCACCTCAGCCTCCCAAAGTGCTGGGATTACAGGTGTGAGCCACCGCGCCCGGCCTGGGACTTTTTTAAAAAGTACCATTCTGCCTGTAAATGTCCCAACACAGTTCCTGGTATATACCAGACACCCAAGGAATTACAGTCATCCCCCCTTTACCGGGGGACTATTCCCTGGCTATAGACCTAACCAGGGTCTGCTCCATCCCCTAAATGATGCTGGCCCCCAGTGCGAGCCTTGTCAGCAGAAAAGGGTCCCAGAAAACAGGATCACGATGCTGGCATCTTTAAATAGATGAATGCCACCAGGGAGTGGCTTCCACAGCTCTGCAGGTCAAAGGGCCACTTGTGTGGGTTGTTGACTTTGGGCTGGCCACCACGGACCTACCAGGTCGTGACATCACAGCTTGCAGGCTGAGCAGCTCAGCCACAGATCTGCACCCGATGATGGAGGGCACAGAAAACAAGAAGTGACAACAGGGGCCACTGAACTTAAACTGGCACAAACAGTGATGAATGATGGGGTTGGTTTTTCATGCTTGCCTGTCCAGAAGGTGGCTACAGTATAGGATATCCTGGCTTCCGGCATTCCTTTCCAAAGGAATTAGATCAGAAGGAGGCTGTTGGCATCTGCAACAGGTTGTCATAATGTTGGTGCAAATAGAGTGAGCTGCAGAGGCTAAATCATGGGCTGTTACAGGCGATGCTGGGAATGTGTTTCAGTTGCCTATTGCTTCCTGACAAACAATCCCCACATTTAGTGGCTTTGAGTAATAGTGATTTTGTATTTCTGTGATTTTCTGGGCTGGCGGGGTGGCTCAGCTCACCCTGTGTCTCCAGGGCCATTTGCTGGCTGCATTCAGCTGGGAGCTCCTTGATGTGCCACCCGGCTCCTCCCTCCCGTGTCAATCCCCAGCGCCCCTTCTGGGGGCCTCACTCTAGCAGGAGCACTTGTGCTTCCTCACATCATGGCTGCTGGGTTCCAAGAGGCCACACCCAATTTGCAAGCTCAGGAAGCCTTTGCTTACATCACATTGGCCAATGCTCCATCAGCCAGAGCAAATCACAGGGCCAAGCCCAGAGTCAGTGTGGGAGGGGGCGACCTAGGCTCTGAATGCTGGGGGACTTGTGATTCAGTGTGGCCCACCAAAGTCACTGCCGGCCCAGCTTGGAACACCCCAGAACGCACCCGAGAGGTGGTGGGCCAGCTTTCCCTTCAGCAGCACCAAGTCTGCCCACTGTGGTCTCCTGGTGCCCATTTGTAGGTCTGTACAGTGTCAGTCTCCAGCCCCTTCCAGCCCACCCAAGGCTCACTAGGAGAAAAGGGATGCAACTTGAAGCACCTTGATGAAAGGTCCCAGCCCCCAGCCACCAGCAATCTAATTCTTTCTTGTTCATCAACGATGACTTTCCGAGGTTTCATCTTGAAAGGTGGCTGTTCCTCTTCCTGGTACTGGTTACCACCCTTGCCTGTCCTCATGGGAAATCAGGAGCCACCCACCTCAGTGGTTTTCAAACATTGTTTCATTTAAGCCTTCCGGCCACCCTGCTTTACCTGTTTTAGAGAAGAGGATGTGAGGCTCAAAGCATGAGTTGGTACCAGGACACAGCCAGCCTGTGAGGCCCCCGAGCCCGCAGCCCACCGCTGTGCCCACAGGGGCTCTTCAGACCTCGTGGTCACAGTGCGGTGGGCTCTGGTGTGTGCCTGCCACGTGCGAGGGGCTGCTTCCAGCCTGAGGCCCAGACATCCTGCAGACATACAAGAGCGGAGGCAACTCATTTCTGCCTTTGGACCGTGTGTACAAAAGACTTGTAGCAGCATCCATTGATGATGGCCCAGTTCTTTTTGTTCCTAATTTTTAAACACAGGGTTCCCTTTCTTTGGCATTGGGAAGTGGAGATGCTGGTGCTTTCTGTAACACAGCTGATTTTCTGGTGTGTGAGCCCCATGCAGCAGTGGATGCAAACTTGGGTCTCAGCCCTGCAGAGGTTTCTGGTTGAGTGTTGTAAACTTGTCACTGTTGTGGTTTGACAGAGATTTGACTGAGGGCTCCCCAGCAGAGACCAGCTAGGCCCAGTTGGGCCCCAGGGAAGCAGGGCTTGGCTGAGGTTCCTGCAGCCCAGCCCAGCACCTCACTCCTGGCCTTGTAGGCCCAGAAATGTGATCTGGTCTGTGCCCTAGAAGTGCTCAGGCTCTGGAGGACTGACTCACAGTAACCTAATTCACGAGAGACAGATGCAAACCCAAATGCCAGTGTGCTTGAGTGCAGCGAGGAAGGAGCAGCAGTGGGGGCAGATGTCAGTGTCAGCTGGTCAGTGCAGTCCCTTTCCGGGTCAAATTACTCCTTTATAGTGAGCCCCCAAGTGTCCAGTAGGCTGGATGTTCGTCAGCTTGGCCAGCACATTCCTCCCTGTGGGAAAGCTCTGTGTGAGCTGGAATTCTACTCAGAAGGTTGCTCAGTGAGTGCGGAATCTGAGCTGGGGTGTGGGCTGGAGGGTCTCTAGGGTGAGTGGCAGAGCCAGCTCCAAGGCTTGCTAGGGCCTCGGCCAAGCCTGGGTGGACCTGTGGGCTTGAGGTAGGGGAGAACAGAGCTGAGTCCTTGTCTCTGTGCAGGCACGCAGGAGCTGGGTAGTCTTGGGCAGGTCTACTCACCTCTGAGGCTCCTGTTCCTCCTAACTAAAATCAGGCTTGGCGCCCCACTCTGCAGAGGGCCCCACTTTACCCCCACTTGCTCTCTGTCCTGAGATCCTGACCCCCACTTCTGGGTGGGTTGGCTAGTGGGGCCCCCTGGCGTGACATGGAAGAGTGGGGAGCAAAGTCAGGGTGTGACCCCCCCAGCTCCCCACACAGGAGAGGGGTCCCGTGATCTGGCTGGGTGCCCATCCCAGGCTGCAGCTCATCCTGGCCGGTCCCCTCCCACTGCTGCCACCTCCTGAGTTCCAGCAACCGCAGTAACTTCCCCCTCCCAGCTATTTATTATACCCTTTTCTGGGGTCCCCAAATGTGAGCCACATATATACATTCCCATGTATTTACTTTTGGTTTTATTTTTTACAACTTTAAACAAATAAAGCTCATCTTAGCTCCTAGGCTCTACAGAAATGGATGGCAGCCAGATATGGGCTGCGGGCCTGATTGCAACCCCTTTCCTCATCTCCCCCGGCTTGCCTGTGCCACCCGCTTCCGCAGGGACCTGGGCTGATGAGTGGTCATGATCATGATGAGATTGGATGTTCCAGCACAGAGCTGCCCAGCAGCTGGGGCCACCATGGCTCTGGTGCATTGAGGGATTTCCCCTGAGCTCACAGTATGTGGCCATGGCTGAGGGTGTCGGTCCAGTCTCAGGGCCACAGCTGCCCTTGGAGGGGGACCTGAAGGAGACCCTTCAGCACTGGGGTCTCTGTCACTGCGGATGCTGGGCTCTGGCTCTTCTGAGGTCAGGTGGGGCTGTCACAAGAGCGCATCTCAGTGCTGGAGGTCAAGGAGGTCCGTGGGCTAGCACAGAACAAGTGACTTCACAGAAAAACCACGGCCCAGTTGGAGCCCAGCCTTGCAGCTCTGTGTATCTCACAGGTTATGATGTGACAGGGAGGAGTCCTTTCCTACCTCCCTGCAGGACCCCGGGGGTCTCTGTTCCCCAAAGCATGGCCTCCTGTGAGCAGTGGCAACTCCCAGCCACACTGGCCTCACTTGTGGATGCCCAGGGGACACCTGTGGGCCATCAGGGAAGCATTTGGTGGAGGAAGAGTTCCTAGCGGTGGCAGGTGGTGACAGGTTCCTGGGAGGCTCACGTGGTTGGGTTCTTTGGACACCATCACGACTCACTCATGGGGCAGCAGGGCCCCAGGTCCCTCTCTCTTTAACAGTGTGGGTCTTCCAGCCAGCTTGTGGGGCACCTTCAGCTTTGACTGTTCTGACTCTCTGTTTGTGCAAACTGAATCCCGACCCTGCTTGTCTGTTGATCTGTTTACCTTTGATCCATGGTTTCAAATTTAGCTCTGTCCATTTTACCAGAGTATTTGTTTGATTAAGGGGCTTCTGCTGTGTGATAGCCTCATCCCAAAACATGATGATCTCACTGGTCCAAGCTCACGGTGCATTTGTCTTTGAGTGGCTCAGGGTCAGCCCAATGTGCTGTTGACAGATGCAGAGGAAGTATGGGATGCTTCCTGGCCTGGCTTGTTGCAGATTCCCAAGTGCGGGCAGGTGGGGGCTTGCCCTGGCTCTCCTCCCCCACCCACCCTGAGCCTGTCCTTCACTGGAGCATCTGCTGGCTGCCCGTGGCAAGGTCCAGTTCCTTGGATCCTGCTGGTCAAAGGCTTATTGTCTATGGTGCCAGAGGAGCAGGCTCAGAGAGCAGAGACTTCCCTCCTCCCGACAGAAGTCACCCTGCTGAAGGCCTTGGGGAGTGTCATCCACAGATCAAAGTGCTTCTTCCTGTCTGAGGATGAAGACACTGGCAAGAGAACAAAGTCCTTTGTTTTAAAAGGAGCATCCAAAATGATGTCACATGGACCTCATATGCAGTGTGAATGATCCTGGCTTATGTCATGTGGGCATTGTGTGTAGTTTGAATAGTACTGGCTCACTGTCATGTGGGTGCTCATGGAGGCCATGGGGCCCTCTCTTCATCCATTGTTTCCTCTTTGTGTCCAACTGGGGCCACTTTCTGGCTCATGCCTGAAGGTGAGAGGTCAAGTTTGTGAGGTTCCTGAGGGTCTCGAACAGGGTTGGAGAAAGGAACCTCTGGGATTCAACCCAGCACATCAGCCAGGCTGATTCTTTTGAAGTTTAAGTCAATCATAAAGATTTACTCTATATTTTCCTCTAAGGGTTTTGTAGTTTTAACTCTTACATTTGGGCCTTTGATCCATTTTGAGTTAATTTTTATATATGGTGTGAGGTAGGGGTCCAGCTTCATTATTTGGCATGTGGATACCCAGTTTTCTCAATCATTTATTAAGGAGACATTTTTTCCCCCTATAGAATGGTCTTGGCACCTTGTCAAATAAAGTGACCATAGAAGTATGAGTTTATTTCTGGACTGGGTTCTATTCCATTGTTCTATATTTCTATTCTATGCCAGTACTACGGCGACTGATTGGGGTTTCCAAAATTTGTAGTAAGTTTTAAAAATCAGGGAGTGTGAGTCCTTCAAATTTGTTCTTTAAGAAAAAATGTGGTTATTTGGGGTATCTCCGAATTGTATATGAATTTTAGGATCAGCTTTTCCACCTCTATAAAAAGGATTGTTAAAATATCCATGCAATGGAACATGACTCCACCACAAAAAGCAGTGAAGCGCTGACCCATGCTGCAACGTGGATGGGCGTGAAAAACACGATGCTGCATGAAGTAAGCTGGTCACAAGAGACTGCATGTTGAATGCCCCATTCAAATGAAGTGTGCAACACTGGCGAATCCATAGAAACAGAGAGCAAATTGGTGACTTCCAAAGGCTGTGGGAAGGGGTGAATGGGAGTGACTGCTAATGGGTGTGGGGTCTCCTTTTGGGGTGATAGAAATGTTTTGGAATAAATAGGGGTGGTCACACAACATGGTGAATGTACTGAATGCCAACAAGTTGTTCCCTTTAAGAGTTAATTTTGTCGGCCGGGCGCGGTGGCTCACGCCTGTAATCCCAGCACTTTGGGAGACCGACGTGGGTGGCCGAGACCATCCTGGCTAACACGGTGAAACCCCATCTCTACTAAAAATACAAAAAATTAGCTGGGCGTGGTGGTGGGTGCCTGTAGCCCCAGCTACTTGGGAGGCTGAGGCAGGAGAATGGCGTGAACCCGGGAGGTGGAGCTTGCAGTGAGCCGAGATCACGCCACTGCACTCCAGCCTGGGTGACAGAGTGAGACTCCATCTCAAAAAAAAAAAAAAAAAAAAAAAAAAAAGAGTTAATTTTGTGAATTTCATCTCAATATAAAAATAATTTAAGCCAGACCCTGCCACTTCTTTGTTCAATCCCCTCCAGCACCTTCTTGCAATGATGAAAGAGAAAGGCCTCACAAGAGCCCCCTCATTGGTGACTCCCCCCAACTCCACCCCATGCCCCCCACCCCCTCTCTCCTTTGTTTCTCTCTTTAGCACTTCCACTGAATGACATGCCAGATATTTATGTTATTTATTATTTTATTTTAAAATATCGTTTGTCTCCAAACTGAACACAAACTCCATAAGAGCAGGGACTTGACTCATCCCCTGGCTCACTGCTGTGGCTCCAGGCAGAGAACAGCCCCTGACACTTAGGAGGTGCTTCCTGGTTATTTGTATGAATGAGTGCCACAAGCTCATTTCCACCTCTCTCAGGGAGGCAAGTTTTCTGCCCTGGAGGGCAGCATGGCCTCCCCAGGTATTTGCGGTAAGTTTTTAAAATCAGGGAGTGTGAGTACTTCAACTTTGTTCTCCCCAGCTTATCACTGTGGGGCTCTTGTTTTCTCTCCCAGCTTCAGGTGAAACATGAGGGAGGGGCCCTGGTTGGCCCAGTTACTTGAACCAATCCCTGGCAGGGGGAGAAGGGCAGGGCACTGGGGACTCTGACTTCCCAACCTGGCTCATGGACTTGGTCATTCCAGTCTTCCTGGGGCCTCTCAGCCAGACCCAGGGCCAAGGCTGCCTCAGTTTACCAGCCTGCATCACTTGCTCTAAAATGTGCAGCCCAGAGCAGTCCAGTTTGTCCCCACTGGTCAAGGGCAGTGGAACCTACACCCATTGGTGCCATTCTGGGTTTTCCCTGCCCTTTTTCTCTTTCCTGACCATCTTCACCCTGCACCTCCCCTGCCAGGCAAGCAGCTGCTTCTGTCCACAGAGGAGCTCCCATTCTTCTCTCACAGCCAAGCCACAGATTTTGTTTCAACCTCACCACCCACCATGATTGCAACACACAGAGCAGAAGTGTCATGGAAAATGAGAAATATACACATGGCAATCTTTTCTCCAGAGGACACAGGGAGTCACAGCCCACAGTTCAGGAAATAACAGACAGCAGTGTTTCCAGTGGAGTCTCCTGGACTCCCTTTGCTCTAAGTGGTTAGTGAAGGTGATGCCAGGATGGGAGGGCTGGTCATGGGGGCCCTGGAGGGCACACTGGGGAGAACAGAGGGAGGAAGGATGGAGACCTGGTAGGAGTGGATGTCACACTTAAATGGGGTCCTTGAGGGGAGTTTAATGGCATCTTGGCAGAGGTGTGGCAGGGTTGGGGTTAAGTGGCTACCCAGGGTGGAAGCCTAGAATCTTGGTGTGCAGATGAGCAGGAATGGGGAAGCGAATCCTCCCATAAGATCCTTTGTTCCTTTTTATGACTGAATACATCCCACTGCATGGAGAGGCCACATTTCTTTATCTACTCACCAGCTGATGAACACTTGGGTTGTTTCATTTTTGGCCACTTTGAATAATGCTGCCATGAACATTTGTAGTGAGTCTTTGTGTTTTCTAGGTTTTAACACATAGGTTTTCATTTATCTTGAGTAGATACCTAGGAATAGAATTGCTGATTTGCAGAGCAGTTTGTTTAATTTTTTGAGAAACTTCCAAACTGCTTTCCAAAGTGACTGCACCATTTTGCACTCCCACCAGTGATAGAGTTTGGCTCTGTGTCCCCACCCAAATCTCACTGTGAATTGTAATAATCCTCACATGTTGTGGGAAGGACCCGGTGGGAGGTAATTGAATCATGGGGGTGTGTTTTTCCCATGCTGTTCTCATGGTAGTGAATAAGTCTCAGGAGATCCGATGGTTTTATAAAGGGGAGTTCCCCTGCACAAGCTCTCTTGTCTGCTGCCATGTAAGACATCCCTTTACTCTTCCTTGTCTTCTGCCATGATTATGAAGCCTCCCCAGCTGTGTAGAACTGTGAGTCCATTAAACCTCTTTCCTTTATACATTACCCAGTTATAGATTACCCAGTCTTGGGTATGTCTTTATTAGCAGCATGAGAATGGATAATATAACCAGCATCACAGGAGGGTTCCCATTTCTCCACATCCTCTCCAGCACTTGTTATTGTCTGTGTTATTTATGATAGTCAGTTCAGTGGGTATAAAGTGGTATCTCACTGAGGTTTTAAGTTGCATTTCCCTAATGGCTAATGATGTTCAGCACCCATTTCATATATGTATTAGCCATTTGTATATCTTCTTTGCTGAAATGCTTGTTCCTATCCATTGTCTTGTTTTGATTGGATTTGTTTGTCATAGAGTTGTAGTGTTCTTTATTGTATATTCTGGGTCCTTTATTGGATATGTGTTTTGCAAATGTTTTATTCTCAGCTGTTGCTTGTCTTTTCATTTTCTTAGTATTGTATTTTGAAAATCCAAAGTTTTAAATGTTGATGAGGTCCAATTTGTTAATTTTTTTTTTTTATTTTATGGATTGTGCTTCTGATGTAATGGCTAAGAAATCTTTGCTTAACCCAAGGTCTCAAAGATTTTCTTCTGTTTTTTTTCTAACAGCTTTGTTGTTTTAACCCTTACATTTAAGTTTATTATCCATTTTGAGTTAATTTTTGTGTGTGGGGTGAGACAAGGGCCTAAAGTGATCTTTTTGCATATGGGTATCCAATTTTCCCAGTTTCGTTTATAGACAGACTATTGTTTTTTCAATTAATTGTCTTGGAACTTTTGTATACAATCATTTGACTACCAATATAAGGGTTGATTTCTGATCTCTCTGTTCATTCTGTTGATGTATGTCTCTTCTGATACCAGCATCACAGAGTCATGAAACCATAGCTTCTTTGCACATTTAAAAATCAGGATATGAAAGCCCAGGGTATGAAAGTTTCTTTTTATTCAGAAATGTTTTTGTTTACTCTAGGTGTTTTGCATCTTTACATAAATTTTAGAGTCTGTTTGTCAGTTTCTGTAAACAGAGCTTGCTGGAATTTTGATAGGAATCACACTGAATCTATAGATCGATTTGGGGAGAATGTACATTTTAACAATCATGAACCTTCCAATCCATGAACATGGGATGTCCCTCCATTTATTGAGATCCTTGATTTTCCTCTGTGAAGTTTTATAATTTTCATCAGCCAAGACTTGTACTTTATTTCTAAGTATTCTCTTCTTTTTGATGTGATTGTGAGTGGAATTGTATTATTAGCTTCATCTTTTGATTGTTCATTGCTAGAGTACAGAGACACAACTGAGTTTTGTACATTGATCTTACATCCTGTGACCTTGTGTATTAATTCTAATAGTTGTGTACAGTGTATAGTCCTTAGGACTCTCTCTGTGTAAGGTCATGTCATCTGAGAATATGGTAATTTTACTTCTTCCTTTCCATTAAGGTATTTTATTTCCTTTTCTTGCCCGATGGCACACCCCTGAGAATTTGCAGTCACACCTCTGATAGGTGTGGGAATTCAGTCTCTGCAGCCAGTGGCTTATCCTTTTCCCATCTGAATTTTGCTGTGAAGTGTCCAGCCACTCCCACTCTCACCCTCCAAAACTGGATAGTCATGGTTGAGGGAGCTCTGCAGCCAGACTGGTGGGTTTGCATCCTGGCTCCATTATTTACCCACTGTGTGACCTCGGGAAAGTTAAATATTAACCTCTCTGTGTTTCAGTCACCTTGTCTTTACAGAGAGGATGTTGGTGATGCTGCTACCTGCCTCACAGGCCTGTTGGAAAAATTTTATGAGTCAGTTCACATAACCTAACCATGCCAGGTGCAAAGTCACCCCTTAATACATGTGAGCTATTCTTACACCCTGTTGAAGGTGAAATCAGAGAATGTAGAGACGGTTGGTGGTTGAGGACCTGATTATCTTATTACACTCTTATCTTGTGCATGAAGAAACCAAAGCCTGGGAACATCAGGGAAGCATCTAAGGCCTCTGGCAAGCTGGTGTATTCATGACCTTCTCTTAAACTCACTGCAGACGCCAAAGGGTGGCCCAGATCCTCCTGATTACTTTTCACTTTGCATTTCACTGGTCCTGAAGTCTCTTCCCCTATGCCCATGTTTAAGATGAATTAAATAGCAGCACGGAAACACAATTAAACTATAGCCATCTGGGCACATTTTGGTCCAGATGGGGGTTCACTGTCTGCTGCTAACGCCATCACCTGCCTGCCTGACTGTGTCCTGGCTCAAATTCCTGGTAAATCACGTGTTGGGCTTTTTCCCTAAAAATAGGCTCACAGGCATCCTCCTGACTCAGCCTCTGGTCTCCCTCTGGCTGAGAATGGTTCAAACCAAGAATGAGTGTGATGAGTACAGACACAGAGATGGTGATAGAGAACAGGATGGGAACACGGAGGGAATGAACGAAGAAGGAAGAAGGGGAAAGGGACAGAAAGTGGGGAGAAGGAGAAAGAAAGAGACCAGGAGAGAGAGAAAAAGAGAGAGAGAGAGAGCGTGTGCGAGAGAGAGAGAGAGAGAGAGAGAGAGAGAGAGAGAAAGCAGTGATGCCTGGATGCTACTGAATGTGGCAAAGAGGACTCCAGGTTACAGGTACAGCACAGCGACAATCATGACAACACAGAATCACAACAGTGCGGTGACAACCATGACGGCACAGTGAGAATGATGACAGCACAGTGACAATCACAACACACTGAGAATCACGACGACACAGTGACAAACCCAACAGCACAGTGACAACCATGACAGCACAGTGAGAATCACGACAGCGCAGTGACAATCACAACACACTGAGAATCAGGACAACACAGTGACAAACGCAACAGCACAGCCACAATCATGACAACACAGAATCACGACAGCACGGTGACAATCACGACAGCACAGTGACAGTTACGACAGCAGGGCAGCAACAATGACACAGCAGGAACAACAACACAGGAACGACAACACAACAACGAAACAACAACTCAGCACCAATGATGACAACATCACATCACCAAAGATACATCAACATTAAAAACCACAACACAGCAGTGATGACAACAGCACCAATAACATGACACACACAGCACCACCGTGACAGCAACACCAACCCCAGCAACAGCACAGCCACAACACCACAACAGCGTGACAAGGACAGCAAGAACACAGCAACAACAGAGCAACACAGCAGCAATGACAGTGCATCATCATCAACAACCACACAGCAACACAAACGTCAGGACAACTCGGCCACAGCGAGAATGCCAGCAACGCATCATGATCAAGAAAAGCACAACAGCAACATAGCAGCCACAATCACACAACACAGTGGGAACAACACTGCAAAGTGGCCACAACAATGCCAACACGCACACAACACCACACCCCCACCATACAGCAGCAGTGATGACAACATGGCTGCAGCAGCAGCAACCACCCCAAGCCAGCTCCTCGGGCAGGAATGGGGCAGGAGGCCGTCCCTGGGCCCTGGGACTCCTTGGGCAGCAGCTCTCCTTGCTGGTTGGGCAGCGCCACGCAGGGGCGGTCAGGGTGCCTGAGAGCCTCCCTGGAAATCCAAAGCTTCCAGACCAGGACACCCGACTCCAGCTTCCAAGGCGAGGCCTCACTTCAGCCGTGATGGGCAAGATCCAAACGCCTTGGTGATCGCAGCTGGGTTCCTCTTGCCCGTTAATACTTTTTCCACGCCACCAAGAACTGGATAAAATTCATCTGGGCACTTGTCACATGCAGACCTCAAGTATTCAACCCAGGGGTCTCATTTATAAATGAAGTTAAAGAAACTCCAAGATTGCTAAGTGTTAAACGTTTTTTGTCAAATAATAATTTCTCTGGGGAAACTGGGTAACTTTCTTCCCTTCTTCCCCCATGCTTTTTTTTTTTTTTTTTTCCCTGAGACAGGGTCTCACTCTGTCATCCAGGCTGCAGTGCAGTGGCGTGATCTCTGCTCACTGCAACCTCCGCCTCCTGGGTTCAAGCCATCCTCCTATCTCAGCCTCCTTAGTAGCTGGGACTATAAGTATGTGCCACGATGCCTGGCTAATTTTTTGTATTTTTGGTAGAGATGGGGTTTTGCCATGTTTCCCAGGCTGGTCTCGAACTCTTGAGTTTCACCTACCTCAGCCTCCCAAAGTCTGGGATTACAGGTGTAAGGCACCGCATCTGGCCCATACCTGTGCTATTGTATTAACACAAGAAAAAAAAATCTTAAGA
This sequence comes from Homo sapiens, assembly GCF_000001405.40. NCBI lineage: Eukaryota > Metazoa > Chordata > Mammalia > Primates > Hominidae > Homo > Homo sapiens. The sequence continues at coordinate 86,997,706 of NC_000016.10, read as the reverse complement.
GAGGTGTATAAAGCAGAATTCAAAAGCAACTACTGAGGTCCAGGTCGGTCATTTCATAGCAAATACAGAGCCATTTGCTTCCCCATACACTGCTGGCTCCCTCCAGGAGGAAGGACAGGGACCTCCCTCAGGGTCTCATCAGTCCACTCGCAGGGTGGGAGCCGGTCAGGTGTCTCTGGCTCTTGGAGAGTGGCTTCGGTCGCCTTAGTGGTCAAGGGAAGTGTGTTCTGTGACATTTACTGCAGAGCGGGCCAGGGACTATCCTCCTTACAGCATGTCTTGAGAGCTGAGATCATTTTTTTTTCTAAATGAATGTGGCCAAGCAGATAAAAAGAGGACAAATAAGGAGTGTGTGCACCGAAGCCGCCCCTTGAAGGCCAGGAGGGAGAGGGCTGTGTCCCGGGGAGGCAGAGGCGGGCACGGCACTGTGGAGGGGTATTCATTAGAGGGTTCACCCACTCATGGTGAGGGGGCTCAGCTAGCCCCCCGAGTGGGCTGGCCTCAGATGTCTAGAGATTAGCCTAGAGCAGCTGACTAGTGGGGGTCTAAGGACAGATAAGCACGAGGCCACAGAGCGCGTGACCCACAGGGAGCTCGCTGTCTTTCTGACCGAAACACTAGTTGCCTCTGTGATCTGGTGCAGGTGTTTTCTCCGCGGAGCAGAGGTGCTCAGGGAGGAGAGGAGGAGCGGACATCAGCACGGCTCTCGGGGTTGACACTGATCACGTGCCACCACTGTGTCAAATGGTTCGGAGGCTTATCTCACTGAATGCTCAACCTCTAAGACTTCGGAGGTGGCTACTCCTTCCATCCCCACTCTAAAGATGAGGGCACGGAGGCCGGAGAGCCCCAGTGCCGTGCTCTTGGCCACCCACCCAGGAGAGTCTCCATGCACACAGGCACATTCCAGGCTCTGACAAGTCCTGTGGTGAAAACAAATGGAAAAACCTGTTTAAATGTCTCAAATTCCACTTTTCTCAATGCCGGCCCTACTTCATTGAGTTATGGTGCAGATGAACGGTACCGGGGCCCCATGTGGCCTCAAGTCTGTGCACATGGCCAGTCACCTAAATACCAGCTTGAGAAGCTGCACGCCTCAGAAAAAGTCCCCTTCCCCCTGGAAGGAATCTGGTATGTAGAAAGTGCTTGATAGGCATTACTTGAGGAGTGAATGAGTGAGTGACCTGTGGGTCTCTGTACTATCCTTGCCTGGCTGGCACTCGCCTCCCCCATGGCCCTCTCCATAGTCCCAAGTGTTGGCTGGCTGGGTGAAATGGGGCAGAATCACGTCCTTTTGGAAAACAAGGAGCTGCAAGGTAGGCTAGCCCGGCCATCGCAGATGTGGCCTGGGACTTCAATACTTGTCCCTCTCGCTGCCACCCACGCCCAGTCGTTTCCAGCTTCTAGTGAATGTAATACGGTTGTGTCCATAACCCCAGGCTTCATCCCCCACCAGAGCCCCTCCAGGCAGGAGAGCCATTCCTCTACAGGAGCCTCCCTTCATGAAGGGGGAAAACCTTTCCCCACCCGGCATCCCCGGAAGCTTCCCCAACCCTGTTGGCGGGAGTTTGGGTTTGGATGCTCACCTCAATGTGAAGGCATTGTTGGAGTCTGGTGGAGGCATCTGCATTACTAGCCCCTAGAATCTCAAGAAGGATGGTTGGGAAGGCTGGAAAGACCACATCTAAAGCTCTCAGCACAGTGGCGCGTGCTGTCTTGATGCTCATTCTTGCTTTGAAGGTTGCTGTTGTTTCTCATTCCCTCACCCAGTCGGCACATCTTGGTTGAGCGCTTGTTAATGGCATGAACTGTTATCATCGCTTTACACATTGTAACTCACGATCCTCCTCACAGCAGGGCAGAGGAGCGATGGTGGCTTCTGATTTCAGAAGGGGAAACGGGCACAGGATCTAAGGTGTGTGTCTGACCTTGCACACAGCCGGCCAGTGGTACGCGGGGATGCAACCCAGGGCGCGGTCCCCCAGCCACCGCCTTGCCTTCCCCCGTGCTGGGTTGCCTAAGCTGGCTGGGCTTTCCCATTGCTTGCTGCTTCCACCACCTTGACCGCATCTGGTCCCCATGCTGAGGGGCGGCAGACGTCATTACCCCAAGGACAGATTGGGGCCAGCAGTGAGCTGTCAACTTCTGCCCTCCAAAGAAATCCGGGGCTTGCCTGACTAAAATCCATTTAAGAAAATTAACCCTGCGACTCTCACTCTGCTTGGATTTTGTGGGCGGCAGGAGCTGCAAAGTACTTAAAAGGTGCAAGGGCAGATTAATGGAGTCCATATGCCTGGATTCTAAGGGTCTCTGTGCTGGGTGGGCTTATCAAGTCTCTTGTCATAACAAAGGGTGGGACAGTTCAAAGGACTGGCTCTCTCAGACGCTGGGCTCTCACGGGGGCTCCTCTCCAAACCCCGCTGTACAAATATTGTCATCTTGCTCTTGCCTGGAGCCCTTGCCTCTGGCTTTATTATTTTTTTTCTCCTTTTTACCCTTTGACAGTGCAGTAGGGCACTTTGTGAGAAATCTTCCTGTAGAAGGACTGACTTATCACTCCACTTGGGAGTGAAACGACCTCTGGTGATCCCTACCTGGGCTCGTGGGGCTGCAGGGAGGAGCAGCCCAGGGCACTGGTCCAGCGTCCAGCGTGACTGCTTAGAGCTCACAGCCTGCACCGCGGGAGGCACCTCCCTCATCTACACAGTCCCGGTGGGGAGGATGATGAAGCCATTGTTGGAGCATGTCTGCTGGGGCGGAGCAGCAGGCTGGACCCTGTCAGCGGGGTCATTATCTGCCCACTGGCTCGAGTGACAATGAGTTATCATCATCGGCTGTTCTGTGGGAGACACATCAGGCCATTTCTTGCAGATTCTTGGGAGTGGGACATGATTTGTCCAGATTGGATGTCTACAAGTGCCTGGAAGATGAGATAATCTCCAGCTCTCTGCACACAGACTGAGCTTCTCCTGGCCAATGACTCAGCTGTGGTCTGGACTGGGGGGTAAATGTTTCCTGGTTTTGACAATGCGTTTAAGTTACAGGCTTAACTTCCAGGCTGGGTAAACGAGCCTTTAAAGAACTCCCAGGGATCCAATATTTAACCAGAAATTAACTAGCATTTCCAGAACACCCCCTGGCCACAAGGCTTTTTACAGAGATAGGAGATAATACTTAATAATAGTGTTCCCTATTTGTATTTGATTTGGATAAAGGGTCCTGTGTTCTGAATTGTCCACTTCCTCCAGGAAGCCTTCTTGGAGTATACCAACCTCCGAGTCAACTCTTCTCTCCCTCTTGCTCAACATCCAACAGTTGCCCAATCCTGTTGGTTCTTTCTCCATCACTCATTTTGGGTGGGTGGGAAGTTGCGTGTTTCAGAGGTAAAACCACACTTCTCTGAGCCTTAGTTTCCAAATTTGTAAAATCAAAGAAGTGATAAAAGTCTTTGCAGGGAGGCTTAGTAGATTAAGATGAAGCCGAATTGTGGGGTAGATTCTGGCCCCGTGGGAGCTCGGCAAGGCGTGGTTTCTGCCGTCCGCTGCTCTGCTGCCACTTCTCTGTGGAGCGGTGTTCATCTGGACACTTAGGTTTCCTTCCTGGGTCTAGACGAGCTTTCATGATCGTCTTTTGTCCCACACGTGGCTTTCGTTCCCCCACCATCCTTCTAATCCACCCCTGCTCTTATCTTGGGCTCCCCAAAGGCAGCCGGCAACTTGCCCGTGGAGCAGTGGTGGGTTCCTTGGGAGGTTGTCCAGGGCGCATGGGTTCAGTGGCAAGTCAGGAGGAGCAGGCTGTGCGATTGACGTCGCTGCTGGGGCACGGGGTGCAGTCCCACCGTGACCTCCTAAGACGTGCACAGAACACCTCCTAGAATTGTCTGCCCAAAAGGAGTACTTATCTATGGATCTCGTCCCTTCATGGGTCAAGCGCTGACTCCCCACTTCCCTGCGGTGATGTGGAAGGCCCGAGGGGCTTCCTCAGCCTCACGGCACTGGAGAAGTTCTGGGAAGGACTGGAGACCAGCGGCCTGTGCTTGTGGCACAATGAGCCAGCACGGAGGGGCTGGAGCCTGCATGGACTGGTCCGCCTGGCTGCGGCGAGGCCAGCTGAGGTGGGTGGTGGGGGGTAGGGGGTGGATGTGAGCTGGCAGCGGCTGTCCTGTCTGTCTCCTTGCTGCTGATGAATCTCCCCGCCTCACAGGCCTGTCTCCTGCCATCTTCCCGCTTATAAATCCTTCTGCTCATCAATGTTTCCCCAAGTATGTCAAAAAAGAGCTCCTGCTCCAACAGGGCTGAGAAATGCTGCATTAAGCAAATCTAGTTGGATTCCTTACTGCAGGACTTCTCAGAGGCTTGACTCTGTTAACATCATATTAAGAAGGAAGTGGGGGGTGTAGCTTTTTCTAAATGTCTTCATGATGAAGCTCTTACCTTCTAGGTGTGTATTACGAGACTCAGGTTTCCTGGAGAAACGCTAGTATGTAGAAATGCATCCAAACTCCTTTATCTGAAATGTGAGGCCCTTCATGATCTTGGGGCCAGTGGTGTTTTCTAGCCTTATTTTCTCCCATTTCTCTTCCCACATCCTCAACTCTGACAAACTCATCACGCCCCTTAATTTCTGGCCTCTGGATCTTTGCTCATGCTGTTCCTTCCAGCTGGAATGACATTCACTCTCCTGGGTCATGCTCTCTTTCAAGTCTTTGCTCGATTGGTGCAACTTCTCCAGGGCTGGCTCTGAAATCGGGCAAGCCCTGAGGCCCACCACCCAGCCTCTGTTACAGTTTTTTACACATAGATCTCATCTGCCCTACTAAACCATGAGCTCTGCAAGGGAAGAGTCATGTGTGATTCACCACTTAGCCAAGTCTTTCTGTAGCAGTGAGGCTCTGCTATGCTATGCCGCCCTAACAAACAGCCCCCAAATCGCAGTAGGTAACACAACAGAAATCCAACTCTCACTCATGCCAAGCCCACTGCAGTTTCAGGCAGCCCACCAGGGCAACTGTCCTCGGCATGGTGACTCAGTGGTCCAGGCTGATTCCCTCTCATTGCTCTGTCTTCCCAACATGACGCTTTCACACTTGCCAGAGAGGGGAGAAAGCACACAAACTTGAGAGTAAGACAGTCCTGCACGCTCTTTTATGGCTGAGTCTGGGGATGGCCCAGGTACGTTACCGTGCTGACAGCCCACCCCGAGCCACTCATGGGAGACTCTCTCTAGTGACGGGAGAGCTGAAAAGCACAGTCTTCCTTGTGGCCAGGGCAGAGGGAACCTTGCATTTGTGCTCATTGGCAATGTCTAGCATGCCCATTTCCCTTTTCGTCGCGTGCACACCCCACTCTGGCAAAACCTTCATGCCCTGCACTAGAAGGAGCCCTCAACACATTTACTCAGTGGTGGATAAATGCAAGGTGACCCCTCCTGTCTTTGGAATTCAGAGCACTTGCAGCCTGAACCATTCATTGGGCATTTGAACAAATGTTGTCTTGCAATGATATATGTGGTTCAAATCTACAACCAGAATGTGTCCCAGGTGATGCTCCATGAAAAGATCTTCCCTTGCCCCATCACTTGGGGAAATCCAGCCTCCTCTATCTGTTTCTTAGAGATTCGCGGTGCACATAAGCACAAGCATATTCAAGGCTCTAAAAAGTCCTGCAGTCAAAATCAATAGCAAAACCTGTTTACATTTCTTTAACCCTGCATTCCCCAAATCTCTCCCCACGTTAGGAGGTTGTAATGCAGACTAATTGCAAGTATGTTTACAGTGAGCACGGTGCCTGGTGACTAACAAGTGTGCAGTAAATGACAGCTGGTGTGATTCACTCTCTCTGCACCTCAGCTTTCCCATCTATAAAGCAGGGGAGTTAGGTGGATACACCCTGTGATTCTTCACATCCGATATCTATAGCGAATCTCTTGGTGTTTTCACATCTTAGGGCTTGAGTCAATGTGGGGGCATGGGTGTCTTCCTCAAATGCCTGTATTCCCCTTTCTTGTGAAGCCAGGGCTGGAAGATTAAGTTTGAGCCCGACCCATCATTTTGGTCATAGACTGACTCGCCGTGTGTCTTGCATAAAATACTTTTCTTCCTGTGTCTCATTTTTTTTCTTGTATCTAAAGTAATGGGCTTCATTAAATTATCTCCAATGTTTTTTCTGTTCCTAAAATTTAGGATATCATGATTTTCCTAACTTTTTTCAGCGATGCCTAACCAGTTGATTTCTAGGTCATTAGAAAAATGCCGTATTCCCATTCAAGAGCCTCCTTGCTTACCCACTGAGATTTCTCAAGGATTTAACTGTTCAATAAAGAGTTAGGTCCCCGGGAAAGGCAGGGCATCATCCAAAATTCTTGCAAGAGTGTAAATGACTGATAGGGGAAAAAACTTGCCAGGGAACAGTGTGGTGAGTCTCAAGAACTTAACTGTTCCATAAAGAGTTAGGTCCCTGGAAAAGGCTGGGCATCATCTGAAATTCTTGCTAGAGTGTAATTGACTGATAGGGAGAAAACCTGCCAGAGAACAGTGTGGTGAGGAGCAAAGGGTTAGAGTGAGAGAACAGCAAGTGCCAGGATCAGGATAGAGGGTGCCCACTGAGGCACTAGAAGTGGAATTTGGCTGGGTCATTGAAAATAAACATTTCACTTCATTTGGGAGTGAAAAGGTGAGATTCTGATAAAAAAAAAAATTTCTCCCACACTTTTGGCTCAATGCCTGAAATTTTCACCACTCAGTTTCTGAGGCTGCAGCAGCCCCCTCACCTTCACAAGAGCCATCCCCTGGGAGATGTGCGTGGTGAACCCCCTTCCCAAAGTAGGCAGATGAAAGGTTCCTTCACCATTTTCTCGGAAGGAACAGAGTTACTGTGACTTCCTTTCTCTGTGGCCTCATCTCAAGCCTCAGTTAATAAATGCTGATGTGGTTTGACTGTGTCCCCACCCAAACCTCAGGTTGAATTGTAATGCCCACGTGTCCGGCGACGGACCTGATGGGAGGTGATTGGATCATGGGGTGGATTTCCCCCAGGCTGTTCTAGTGATAGTGAGGGAATTCTCGCGATAGTGAGTTCACGTGAGATCTGATAGCTTAAAAGTGTGTGGCACCTCCCGCTTCATGCTCTCTCTCTCCTGCTCTGCCGTGGTAAGATGTGCTTGCTTTCTCTTTGCCTTCCACTACAATTCTAAGTTTCCTGAGGCCTCCCAGCCATGCTTCCTGTTAAGTCTGCAGAACTGTGCATTGTGTAAACCCCTTTTCTTCATAAATGACCCAGTCTCAGGGAGTTATTCATAGCAGTGTGAAAACAGACTCATACAAATGCCAAACAGGTATTTATCTCTTCTAGTGAGTACATTCAAGACAATATAGAACCAGAACAAGTTTATGAAGGAAGGATTCTTTGCAACTGGGAGGCACGTGAACATTGGTGATTGAAAATGCAGAGCTGGCGGTGGCCAGCTGGGTCTCCTGGTAGCTCCTTGGACAAGTTTCATGATGTCTTGGCACCTCGGAGTTCCCATCTGTGAGGTGGGGATTCTACTGCTGCCTACCTTATAAAATTGTTGTGTATCTTAACAGAATTAATACATACTAGGCACTTGCAACTGGGCCTGGCGTGTTTTGCAAGCCTCTTCACTATAGAAAAACCATTGGAAAATGCAGGGAAAGCTCAGAGAAGAAAACAAAAATCACCATTAATATGCCACTTCTAACATTGGATGTGTACCTTTGCATTTTTATTTTACCTCATATCTGTAAAAATGGGGTGCTATGTGAGGTTGCACAGGTTGTGCACTGCACAGCTCCAGGTGTCATTCACAGAGATAAGGATAAAATGGCTCCCCTTAAAAGTGTTCAGTGTACAATATACATGCAGCAGTGACAATACGCTGTGTAATGGCTTTCTCCCCCTTACTCTACAGTGAAGCTCTTTCTCAGCCAGGGCATCAAGCGATCCAGTGTTTCATAGAACACGCAAGTGGTTCTGCCTGCAGAAGGCAGCCTGACTCGTACTGGGGCTTTTCTAGGTCTTGCCACCTCTGATACCTTCAGGCCAGGGCTCTGGAAGAACAGAGTTGAAAGGGATTTGTTATTACTCTGACCAATTAGTCTCTGGTTAAAGGTTTAAAGGGCTTAAAGAGACAGGACTGAGGGCTGAGCCAGAGGGAGAGGAGGGAGAGAGCGAGGGCTGTGTTTATGGAGCAATAAAAGGAACATTACGCTTCAAGGCTCTGCTAAATGTCTCCACAGAAGCCGGCCCTCTTGCCAGCTAATTTGGGGCGTAATAAATACTAATCCCACAAAGGGGGCTGTTGGAAGCCATCGGAAAGCCCTATCTCCCTGTAATCAGAGCTCCATGAAACTCCCGTCTCCCTGTGCTCACGACCTGCCAAGGCTGTGATGCTGTGCGTGGGATTCTGCAGCCTCAGAACCGACCACGCCTGCCCTCACCTCCGCCTCCCCTTCCTCCTGGGGCTCACCCTACAGCCAACCTGGGGGCCGCCCTCTCTTGGGACATCTTTGCGAGGCCACCAGTTACACAGCGCAGCTCTGCCTCTATCAAGACCTGCCCCCAGTGCCGGGGGCCGGGGGAGGTCGGGGTGTCACAGGAGCCCCGCAGAGCAGCAGCAGCACTCTGGATGGTGCGTCACGCACGTCACCTGTGTCATAGCATTTTGCCCCACTTCACAGCTGAGGTAGGAAGCCACCGCCTGCCAAGCCACTTGTCCAAGGGTTCACAGCCGGAAGTAATGGAGTGGGATGTGCGCTCAGGGCACCTCTAACCCCTCCACCACCTGCCCTGTGTGGAAACTCCCGCTCTTCCCGGCGGTACGGGCTTCCCAGAATCTTCTCACCCTGAGGACTTTTCCACTCTGCAAGGCACCGGAGCCCTCACATCCCCTCAGACGTGATCCTCCTACAGCGAGAGGCTCTGGAGGGCAAACGTTCTCCTTCCCTGGGCCCCTCACACATTTTGCCACTCTGGGCCTCAGTTTCTCTAACTCTTAGCTGGTGCCAGCGCTGACCCCACCCCACAGCAATGGTGCAAGCATCTGGATCCCGTGTGTGGAGATGCCATAGCGAAGGCCCAGGCCTTGTGGGCTGGCACAGGCCTCTTCTGGTGGAGCCTCTTGCACTCTGTCATTCCTTCCCCTCACCCTCTTTCGCTGAGCCCCCTTCCTCCACCGTCCCAGCCGTGGCAAAGCTGGGTCTCACCACGTGGCCCTCAAGGCTAAAAATAGCACAGGGGCAACTCGGGTTTGCCGATGACCTCCGCAGTTCGGTCAAGTGTACGTGGCCTCCCTAAGTTAATTAGGGCCAGCCCCAGACCCTACACATCTGTATCTGGGCTCCAGGGGTGAACAAGGTCCTGCTCTCCAAACAACGGGGCGACACAACGGCCGGTGCACCGTGCATGTCTCTGCTCTGTGTGTCCCTGCTCTTTGCTGGGGACACTTTCTCTTAGAGCTTCTCCCTGGACTGCCAGAGCCAGGGCTGCTGCGGAGCTGTGGCCAGTGCGGGGGACAAAGGTGCACAGGGCAACTGTGGTGCAGGCCCGGGTGGATGAGAAGACGGCCCCAAGCCACTGTGCCCCTGTTCCTTTCACTTTTGTCTGTGGTCCTCTTGTGCAGTGACAGGTGCCTGGAGGCAAAGGGGACACCCTGGGGGGATGGAAGCTCCCTGAGGGTGACAGCCTGTGAGTGGGCACCAGCAGCAGCCCTCCACACGCAGGTCTCCGGGCACGGTCGCGGGTTCCTCGGCTGTCCTAACAACCACGGCTCGAGGGCGCACAACAGCAGGAGCACTTTCTCTCTTGGTTCTGGGGCCAGACTTCTCAGTGTGGGCAGGGGCTAAAGGCTCCAGAGGAGGGTCTTTCCTGACTCTTGCAGCTGCTGGTGGCTCCAGGCACCCCTTGGCTTGTGGCCGCATGGCTCCAATCCCTGACTGTCTTCACCGGCCTCTCCTCTGTGTGTCTCTGTGTCTCTCTCCTCTTGTAAGGACACAAGTCATTGGGTTTAGCGCCCACCCTAGTCCAGTATGACCTCATCCTAACTCACACCTGCAGAGAACCTATTTCCAAAGAAGGCCCCATTCTGAGGTTTGAGGAGGCTGTGAATTTTGGGGAGATCCTGTTCAACTCTGTACATGCATTGTCCTGTAATGCTTTATTCCCGTTTCCCAGAGGAGAGGAGAAAACTGAAGTTTGGACTGGTTAAATGGTGATTAGGCCAGAGTGAAACTTAAAAGCCACTGGGTTTTGGGACCCCGCCCTCAGCCTGCGTATGCCCTCAGCCTGCATATGCCCTCAGCCTGCGTATGTGCCTTCAGCCTGCGTATATGCCTTCAGCTTGCGTATGCCCTCAGCCTGCGTATGCCCTCAGCCTGCATATGCCCCCGGGGTACCAGAGGGAAGGCTTCTTGTCGTCTGACCCCTGAAATGGAGATGCTTGGGGGTGTCAGCTGCCGACACAATGCGCAAGGCCTGGGGTGGGCAGGAGGGGGCCAAATATGAGGAGAAAAGGCTCCGCCCTTCCTGGGGGCTTCTCTGGGAGCTGGGTTTCAAGCACAGGGACACGGCACACACAGGAGACAGGGCAGGATTTAGTGCAGGGAACTTCACAGGTAATGACATCCGTAGGCGTTCAGAGGAGGGGGCTGGGGCCAGGAACTGGGTACTTCACGCAGCTCTAAAGATGCGACTTGAACAGCAGGGTCCTGCTCCCCCTCCCCCTCCCCTCCCCTCCCCCTCCCCTCCCCTCCCCCTCCCCTCCCCTCCCCTCCCCTCCCCCTCCCCTCCCCTCCCCCCTCCCCCCCCTCCCCTCCCCTCCCTGATCTGGGAGTGGCCTGTTGGGAGTACTCTACTCTCGTGGTTCAACATTGTGTTAGTAAGCGATGGAAAGAAAACAATATTTAAGAAACATTCCCAGAGTGGCCTATGCTCATAGGAAGTCAGACCTTTCCCTCTGAGCACACACACAGCCAATAGCACACTTACACGTTTTAAAAACAAAAGTGGGATTATTCCGAAAGTTGATATTGACCCTTAAAAGAAGTGGGCATTGGTCAGTGCACACAGTCATCCGATATTTATCGAGCTGCTACCGTGTACCAGGCATAGTTCTAGGACCCAGGATATAGCGGTCAACACCCAGATTCTCCCTCCTGGAGCTCCCAGGCTAGGAGTCAGTTCCCTTATCCTCAATGAATGTAAATAATCCAGTGTGAGGAGACACCATAGCAGGGTATTCTTGTTTTTTAATGAACACACATCTTCTGAAAATTAGGACCATGGCCGCAGAAGAGGGTCTAGGGAGCTGTCTCCACAACGCACCGGGGCTCCTGCGAAGCTGCAGATTCTGGCCTGGTGGTCTCAGGTGGGAACTGCATCTCCTGTAGGCTGCCTGGAGCTCTGGTGCGTGACCCCCAGCTTGTGGACCTGACCACCTCTTCAGGGCTGGAAAGGGCACACCCACCCGTCCATGTGTCAAAAACCGTGTTAGAGTTTTTCATGGGATCCTTTCAATATTAAATAATATTAATAAATAATGTTAAATCCCCTGCTGTCATGAATATGTATATTTATAATGCATTTCAAAGAAACGAATTACCCAGATGAAACCTAAACTAAAAAGGGCCCAAAGCCAAAACACACTGAGTGACAACGTGTGCCCAGAAGTGTGCAGGAGCCGTGGGAAGCACAGCGTGGTCCGCCCTGGAGACTCAGACCTGAGGGCGGCCGTCATCCGCTCGCCAACACACCTACTGAGCACCTACTGTGTGCCAGGTACTGTCAGGTCCTTGGACCCAGCGGCAGGCAAGTGGTCACTTTGGACAGTGAGCAGCCAGCTGCTGCCCAGTAGCAGGAGGTCACAGCGAGGTGGCACACCCCCTTAGGTCTTGTCCAACCCTGCAAGGGGTTTCAGCCCTGCAGCCGCCCCAGGCCCACTGTTGTCTTCTTGCTACAAGAAGAGCAAGAAGAGGCGTGCATGGAAAAACTTCCTGTGCCGGGAAGTCCAGGGCCTCACACTGAGAACAGGAGGCAGAGCTTGGAGGCCCAGTGCCCCCACGCCTTGAAGAAGCAAGTGCGATGCTGTGGCCAGTCTCCTACAGGCCTGTTGTCTGCCACATTCTCAGTGTTTCCAGAGGCTGTTCAGAGAGCCTTTGGGGCAAGGGCAAGGCTGGGCCACCCGCAGCAAGCCACCCCTTCTCTCAGGAACCAGCCCACATTCCAAGGGCAGGGGGCCTTTCTGCCTGGGGATTTACTGCCTGAGCAATTTGTAAGTAATTAGCCACCATGCCGTGATTAGAAGCTTGCATAATTATGGCAGGTAATTGCCTCTTCACCCAGTGGAACCGTCCCTCCAACCAGCACAGAATGTCCTTTCAAAGCAGTGACAGTTGCCCTGGAGGCCCTTGGAGGGAGGTGGCTACACCCTGGTTTTTCAGCCACTCTTGGTGACGGCCCACTGGGGTGTCATCCAGTGGGTGCCAGGCTCTGACGGCTGCTCAGCCCTCCCTCGATCGCTTCCAGATGCGGTCATTGGACATTCCTCCACTTCTATAAATAGTCATCCAGCCTGGGCATCGTCAGCAGAGACAGACAGGTCCGTGGCCCAGCAGGGTGCAGCCTGGGGGTCTTAGAAATGCTGCTCCCCACTTCCATTTCTCCTCCTCTTTCCTGATTTTCAGGGCAGGCCCAGGCGCTGGATGGCTCTGGAGGGAACGCTGGGTGGGGTGAACATCCCAGTGGCTTTTACAGGTCGGGGGCTTCCCCAAAGTGCTCCTAGCTGACAATTTGTGTGCTCTGGGAAGACAGCCCATCAGAAGTGGCAACGTGGATGCGGGACCCAAGTTCAGGGGAGTCTGAGCGATAGGAGATTTGAGATGGAGACTTTTCCTTTCTGGCCACTTTCTGCTTTGCTTTCTGGGCCATATTTTAAAGGCCTCCAACGTCAGGGGTGGCCCATGTGCCAAAGATCAGCTCTGGAACCTGCTTTCATGAAAATCGTTCAACATGGATGGTTTTTCCTCATTTTCTGGCAGTGGCTGGACTCAGCCCTGCACAGAGCTAGGGGTGGCCCAGAGGACTCTAGGCCGCCTTCCCCTGCCCCCATCAGATGCATGGATCTATAAACACGTCAGGACAGTTGTAAAAGAGATGGATTCTGCATCCCAATGATACCCCCATCGGTCTGTCGCCAGATAATTCACGACTGGCTTTTATGATCAAGTTCCCTGGGTGTGCATCCACGCCGGACGACCCAGGGCCCAGGGCACAGCTTGGAGCCAGACTGTCCCGCTCAGACCCTGGCTCTGCCCTCACTTGCTCCCTGACCTGCAGCAAATTACTCACTATCTCTGTGCCTCAATTTCCCCAACCAATAGAAGGAGGATAAAAAGCAGAATGTTTATAAGTGGAGTTGATAATGGTAGGTGCATAGCAAGCCCCTCGGAATTCCTTTTTCTTGTTGTTGGTAAGGTGATGGAAACGTAGACTCCTCAAGTCCGTGCATACCGGTCCCTTAACCCGTGCTTGTTCATATTCTGCGCTTGAGGTGAGGGTTCCAGGAGGAACCCTCAGGCTTCAGTGGATAATGATATATGTTATCTTGTTTGATTTGCGTAACATCCGAAAGCTGAGTATTATCAGTACAATTTTATAGATGAGGAATCTGTTAAGTGAGAGAAGGTGAGCCCCTTGATGAAGGCAGGGTTGCAATCAAACATAGATCTGAGTCCATAGCCCTCAACCTCACCTCAACTCCCAGCCTCCACCCCCAGCCTCCACCCTCAGCTTCCATCCCTCAAGTTCTACCTCCAGCCTCCACCCTCAGCCTCCACCTCCAAACTCCCCAGCCTTCACTCCAAGCCTCCACTCTCAGTCTCCTCCCAGCCTCCACCCCAGCCTCTACCTCCAATCTCTTCCAGCCTCCACTCTCAGCCTCCTCCCAGCCTTCACCCCCAGCCTCCACCCCTGCTTCCCTCCCCTAGCCTCCACTCTTAGCCTCTCCTCTAGGTTCTACCCCCCAAATTTTACCCCCAGGCCTTACCCTTAAGATTACCCCAGCCTCTACCTCAGCCTCAACAAACTCTTTTTTTTTTTTTTTGAGATGAGGTCTCACTCTGTTGCCCAGGCTGGCATGCAGTGGTGTGATCATGGCTCACTGCAGCCCCGACCTCCCCATGCTCAGGTGATCCTCCCACCTCAGCCTTCTGAGTAGCTAGGACTACAGGTGCATGTCACCATGCCCGGCTAATTTTTGTGATTTTTTTGTAGAGGTGGGATTTCACCATGTTGCCCAGGCTGGTCTTGAACTCCTGAGCTCAAGCAATCCTTCCGCCTTGGCCACCCAAAGTGCTGGGATTGCAGGAGTGAGCCACCACGCTGGGCCTCAACAAACTCTTGAGAAGTCCAGTCCTGACCTGTGCTTGTGTACAGGCTGCCACACATATTAGTTCCAAATTTTAAGTTGCGAGAAACGTGTATGTAACACAGTAGAGGAAAGACACAGGTCTCACCCAGATGTGATGCAGACGGAGGGCGACGTGGAGAACCGACGTCTCACCTCTGCAGCTGCTCTGGTGCAAACTCATGTCCATCAAAGGCTGCAGAAGCACTCTGTGTACTGACGTGGAGGCTCCCAGACCAGGCTACTGAGTGGAAAAGCACAGTAATGAACAGTAGCTGAGTGCGCCACAAGTATTTGCTTGAGAAGGAGAGTGGGGCTGCACGTTGACCGGGCTGGGAGCTGTGTGCACAGCTTCGCCTGAGGAAGCCAGGAGGTGGGGGACAGAAGGGGACAAAGTTTCTGAATCTAGACCTTTTAAATCATTTAGACTTCAGAATTGTGGAGATGCCTTTCCCATTAAAAATTATTAAAATTGGCTGGGTGCAGTGGCTCATGCCCATAATCCCAGAACTTTGGGAGGCTGAGGTAGGCAGATCCGGTGAGGCCAGGAGTCCAAAACCAGCCTGGCCAACATGGTTAAACCCAGTGTTTACTAAAAATACAAAAATTAGCCGGGCATGGCAGTGGGTGCCTGTAATCACAGCTACTCGGGAGGCTGAGACAGGAGAATGGCGTGAACCGGGGAGGTGGAGGCTGCAGTGAGCCATGATCACACCACTGCACTCCAGCCTGGGTGGCAGAGCGAGACTCTGTCTCCAAAGAAAAAAAAAAATATTAAAATCGTTTCAATCCTTTGTTATCTAATATCCATTTTAGGATAAGCCTGGTCTTTAATTTTTACTGAGTCACATGCAGTGGGGAGCACTCACCCCAGGGTGCCACGCAGGGGCTTTTCCAGCATCCCCCACCTGCATGCAGCTGTCACCCAGGCCAGTGCATGCAGGGCGCTTCCCCAGTGGACGGTGCCCCTTCCACGGGAGGTGCTTCCATCTGATTCTGCCACTATAGATCAGCCTCTCTTTCTTTCGTTCTTTCTTTCTCTTTCTTTCTTTCTTTCTTTCTTTCTTTCTTTCTTTTTCTTTTTCTTTCTTTCTTTTTCTTTCTTTCTTCCTTTCTTTCCTTTCTTTCCTTTTCTTTCTTTCTTCTTTTTCTTTCTCCTTCCTTCTTTCCTTCCTTTTTTCTTTCTTTCTTTCTTTCTTTCTTTCTTTCTTTCTTTCTTTCTTTCTTTCTTTCTTTCTTTCTTTCCTTCTTTCTCTCTTTCTTTCCTTCCTTTCCTTTCTTTTCTTTCTTTCTTTCCTTTCTTTCGTCTTGCTCTGTTGCCCAGGCTAGAGTGCAGTGGTGCAATCTTGGCTCACTGCAAGCTCCGCCTCCTGGGTTCAAGCCATTCTCCTGCTTCAGCCTCCTGAGTAGCTGGGACTACGGGCGCCCGCCACCACGCCCAGCTAATTTTTTTTTGTATTTTTAGTAGAGACGGGGTTTCACCGTGTTAGCCAGGATGGTCTCAATCTCCTGACCTCGTGATCCACCGGCCTCGACCTCCCAAAGTGCTGGGATTACAGGCGTGAGACACTGCGCCCCGCCACCAGCCTCACGGTTTCTTGACTTGGATGTAGCGGGGCTGTATAGAATGCGCTCTTCTTTCTCAGCCGAATGAGCGGTCCATCCACACTGTTGCTTCTAGCGGGTACAGAGATTTTAAACAACTTATTTGAGGGCGGCTCTCTTTACTGCTTGGCTATTTGACATTTCATTCCATGAAACTTCTAAGGAAAACACGTTTAAAAGATTAAGCCAGGAGCAGTGGCTCATGCCTGTAATCCCAGCATTTTGGGACACCAAGGCGGGTGGATCACTTGAGGTAAGGAGTTCAAGACCAGCCTGGTCAACATGCAAAACCCCGTCTCTATTAAAAATGCAAAAATTAGCTGGGCTTGGTGATGGGTGCCTATAATCACAGCTACTTGGGGGGTTGAGGCAGGAGAATCACTTGAATCTGGGAGGCAGAGGTTGCAGTCAGGTGAGATCATACCATTGCACTCCAGCCTGAGTGACAGAGCGAAACTCTGTCTAAAAAATAAATAAATAAAAAATAAATAAATACATCATGTCCATGTGTCAGGAACAATATTAGAGCTTTTCATGTGATCCTTCTAAAATTAAATAATATTAATAAATAATGTTAAATCCCCTGCTGTCATGAATATGTATATTTATAATGCATTTCAAAGAAATGAATTACCCAGATGAACCCTAAACTAAGAAAAGGGCACAAAACCAAAACTCACTGAGTAACAGTGTGTGCCCAGAAGTGTGTGGGAGCTGTGGGAAGCACAGCAAGGTCCACCCTGGAGACTCAGACCTGAGGGCGACCGTCATCCACTTGCCAACACACTTACTGAACACCTGCTGTGTGCCCGGCACTGTCAGGTCCTCAGACCCAGCGGCAGGCAAGTGGTCACTTTGGACAGTGAGCCGCCAGCTGCTGCCCAGTAGCAGGAGGTCACAGCGAGGTGGCACACCCCCTTAGGTCTTGTCTGACCTTGCAAGGGGTTTCAGCTCTGCAGCCACCCCAAGCCCACTGTTGTCTTCTTGCTATAAAGCTTCTCTTCTGCCTCTTTCTGCAGCTCCAACAAATGCCCTGAAGCTTTCACAACAGTGTCAGTCACGGCTCCCCAGAGAAACGGAACCAATAGGAGGATCACTCTCTCTCTCTCTCTCTCTCCCCCCCCACATCCATCTATCCATGCATGTATCTATCTATCTTCTATCTACCCATCTATCATCTATCTTCTATCCATCAGTCTTCTATCTATATATCTATCCATGTATCCACCTATCTATCCATCATCCATCTATCAATCTATTCGTCTATGATCTATCTTCTATCTATCCCTCTATCATCTATTTATCCATCTATCTATCCATCCATCAGTCTATCCATCTGTCATCCATCCATCAATCTATCCATCTCTCTATCCATCCATCAATCAAACTACCCATCAATCTTCCCAACCATTTCTTTCTATCTATCTATTTCTCTCTTCCTACCTATCTATTCATAATCCATTATCTATCTCTCTATCCAACCATCCATCTACCCACCCATCCATCAATCTATTCATCTATCTATCATCCATCCAATTACCTATAAATCAATCTATCCATCCTTTTTCTTTCTACCTACCCATCCATCATCTAACTATCTATCTATCTACCTATCTATCTATCTATCTATCATCTGTCTACCTATCCATCAGCCACCATCTGTCATCCATTAGTTTCTCTTTCTCCCCCCCCCCCACTTTTTATCTATCTCTATCTTACTCTGTTATTTTTATCTATCTCTTGTGAAAGGAAAAATCTTGGGTCCCCAAAATCACCAAGCTAAAAGGGAAAGTCAAGCTGGGAACTGCTTTGGGCAAACTTGCCTCTCATTTTATTAAAAGTCACCCCTTTTCTCACTGACATAAATACATATCTGACTGCCTCCTTTGGAAAGGCTGATTGGAAACTCAGTAGAATGCAACCATTTGTCTCTCATCCACCTATGACCTGGAAGCCCCCTCCCACTGCCTTTCCAGACCAAACCAATATGTATCTTACATATATTGACTGATGTCTCATGTCTCCCTAAAATGTATAAAACCAGGCTGTGCCCCAACCACCTTGGGTACATGTCGTCAGGACCTCCTGAGGCTGTGTCATGGACGCGCGTCCTCAACGTGGGCAAAATAAACTTTCTAAATTAACTGAGACCTGTCTCGGATATATGGGGTTCACACTCTATAGGATATATACAAATCTATATGTAAATATAAATTTATTTGCTTATTCATTTATGTAAAGGAATTGGCTGATGTGATTGTGGAGGTTACCAAGTCCAAAATCTTCGAGATAGGCCAGCAGGCTGGTGAATTGGGGAAGAGTTGCTGTTGTACGTGGACTCTGAAAGCCGTCTGCTGGCAGAATTCTCTCTTCCTTGGAGGAGGTCGGTCCTTTTCTCTTAAGACCTTCAACTGATTGGGTGAAGCCCACCCAGATTGTGGAGGGTAACTTGCTTTTCTGAAAGCCTACTGATTTAAATGCTCATCTTATCTAAAACAATAACTTCACAGCAACATCTAGATGTGTTTGACTAAGTATCTGGGTACCATGACCCAGCCAAGTTGGCACCTCGGATTAGGATGCACCACCCCGGTGGTCCTCTTTCCCAGAGCTTTGCACAGCACTCGATGGAGCCCCAGAGATCATACAAAGAGCCATGAGAAGGGTGGGGCGGGGCCTGGGGGGATAGCCTGGGCCCCTTGACCCTATAACCAAGGGCATTTCTGGTCCCTAAGCAGCCCGCCCATCCCTTGCTCAATCCCAGCCCTCGTGTTAAGGGAAGCCCAGGATGGCCATGCTGCTCACCTGGGCTCTACAGTCTTGCCCAGCCCAGCCCTGCCCTCATCTCACATCCCACATCTGGGCCTCCAGCTTCCTGGCTGCTGCATGGTTACAGTCACAGCCTCATGCTTTCAGAAGTTGCCTCATGCTTCAGGGCCTTGCCTGCCTGCCAGGCCTCCCTCTCCAACCCACTTCCTTCTTGCTGGAGCAGATCCTGAAGGCCCGGGCTTTCCGTGCCTCGGGCTCCCCTGGGCTTTGAGAGGGGTCTGCCTCAGGCCATGAGGCCCAGCCCCGTGCATGCCTTGCCTGCTCATCTCAGCGTAGGATCCTCCTGTACCACGCTCCTCTAGGGCCTTCCTGCCTCGCCCTGGGTCGCGTGCAAGATGAAAGCTGTTTGCTTAAGCCACCCAGGGAGGCTGGTGGATCCCACTTGTGTTGACTGCTGGGTTCCCAGCCTGGAGAGGATGGGGACGGTGAGAACAGACCCCAATGCTGGAGACTCAGGGAGACAGAGTACAGCACTCGCACTTGCATAAGAGATACTGCTTTATACAAAGTGTGTGTGTTAGCATTGCCCCAAACAAAGAATACACAGTGGGAGGGACCTGGCTTTCTTGGAAACAGGCACTGAATTGAGTGAGGACTTTACAGGGAAACTTCTACTGAGTTCTTCTACACCTACAGTCGTCTACATCTGTATCTATACATCGGCACCTATGTCTACATCTGTATCTATACATCAGCACCTATGTCTACATCTGTATCTATACATTGGCACCTGTGTCTACATCTGTCTACACCCATGTCCATATCTGTATCTGTCTATATCTATATCAATGTCTATATCTACATCTGTCTACACTGACATCTGCATCTGCAGATGTCTACACCTATGTCCATGTCTATATCTACAGCTGTCTACATCTACATCTGTAGCTACAGCTGTCTATACCTACATCTATATCTATACTTATAATGTCTGCCTGTTTATATCTGCATCTATGTCTATCATCTATATCTATATAATGTCTATCATCAAGATCTATATCTACAATGTCTATCAATATCTATATCTATAGCTAATGTACATATCTATATCTACATCTAACTGCATCTGTATCTGTAATGTCTTCCTACATCTATATGTCTCTACATCTATACCTATATCTACATCCTTATTTGTTTCCATAGTAAGCACAGCAAGAAAGAGATTGTGACCAGCCCTTAGATCTCCCCCTATCCCTGGCTGACCACTCCCCATCTCAGGCTGAACCCCCCCAAATCGTGGGCTGACTGCACCCCCAATCCTGGGCTGATGGCGTCCCTCATCTCCACCTGACCTCCCCCACAATCCTGGGCTGGCCTCCTCTTCAGTACTGGGCTGACCACCCCCATTGCTGACTGATCCCCCACCGCCCCCGATCCCCAGCTGACCTCCCCCTCTCATCCTGGGCTGACCACCTCCCCCTTCCCGGGCTGACCGACCCCCACCATTCTGGGCTGACCATGTCCGCATCCCAGCTGACCATCCTCTAACTTCTAACACCAGGGCCAAGGTGAGCTCTGCCCTCAAGCAGTCTGTGGGAGGCTCTCACAGCTGGTGCTCGGGCTGGGCCGTGCCTACTCGCACTGCTGCAAGCGTCCTCTGCATTGCTGTGTGTAGCAGCATCTCATTCGTTCCCACTGTGGGGTCTCTTATTGTACAGCTGCACACAGTTGGCCCCTTCATGTCCTGGGGATGGGCGCGGGGTGGTTTCCGGTCTGGGTGCCCCAGGGATGGGCGTGGGGTGGTTTCCAGTCTGGGTGCCAATACACGATGCTGTCTAGGCATTCTGACACCTGTTTCGGTGGACACCCACCTTCAGGTCAGTGGGGGTGCAGGTAGGGGTGGAGGTGCCAGGCCACAGAGCACACGGATGCCCTGCTTTACTAGAACGTGTTGCCTTCAATGTTCTCGGCATCCCTGAGATGCGATTCAGATTATTACTGGGTTTTTACAAACGAGGAGCCTGAGGCTCAGACGGGTGAAATGATTTGCCCAAGTCCACTCTCAGAAGTTGAGGAGTTGGGTTTGAGCACAGGAAGTCTGATTCCAGATGCAGACAGTGAACTTTCCACCACCTCGCTACCCTGGGACAGACACTTTGGCCCCAGTTAAAGGTGAGGCCCGGGTCACTCCTGCTCTGACAGCCTTGATCTGTGTCTTAAAGTCACATCTTCCTCTCACGAAGGGGGTCAGTCTCTGAGGACACAGTCCTTTTGTAGGAGAAAAAAAAAATACTTTTAGCACAACCGTGATCAAATCTAGGCTGAGCAACTTAGTAGCTGTGTGACCCTGGGCAACTTAATGCAAGGAGATAACTGCAGATAAACCACACACTGCAAAGCTGAATGCAGGGACACCTTCTAATAGTCTAGTCAAATCCCCACATGAAGAAAACTTTGCTTATAATTAAGGAAAAGTTCCTGAACTGTGGGAAGCAAGAAAACATTTGTCATCCCTTTTCTTTGTATGTACTTGGGAAGATTGTTCCTGTAAGAGCTGGAGATGAACACTGTATTTCTTGCCAACCCTATTATTCTGGGGTGGGGCATGTGACTGCAACCCACCATTCCCTGTAGGACACTGGGCATGTGATCCCCCAGGGATCAGAGCAGATCAGTCTCTTGCCCTGAATGAAAAATCAGTCCAAAGATTATTCTCTCCCTCTCTTTTTTGCTTATGTGCAATATCTCTATCATTTCAGATTGGAAGTTACCAAAGTGTTTTGTATGGGTTGTGAGGAGGTGAGAAGAAAAAATAAAAAAGCCATGGACATTTGGGGACTGTGGGCTCACATGGACTTTAACGGCTTTCTTTGCTGCAGAGCTTTTCAGAACCTTTAATAAACTAATCCACATTGACATGTGGCGGATATCACAGGCAGCATTTACTAATTCAAGCAGGGGATTCTGTTTTCCATTCTGTTTGTGGAGTGTATTAGTTAGGATACAAGTCTGGCATCTTGACAAAGACTCAGGTTAACAGTGGCTTGAACCAGACAGACAGTTCTCTCTTTCTCACAGAAGCATCTGGATGCCAGTGGTCCAGGGCTGATGGGGTCTTCTCTACCTGGTGACTCACAGACCTAGGCTCCTGCATCTCCCCGGTGTTAGCCTTGTTGATGTGGGTGATGATGATGACTCATCATCACCACATTTGTGCTCCTGCCAGCAGGAAAGGGCTAAGGGTGGTGGGACCAAGCCAGCTTTCTTGGCCTCCCGTCCATTCACACCCCACAGCCCTTGCCTTTTAAGGATATTTCCCAGGAGTTGGACCCATCACTTCCCATTGGCCAGAATCCAATCACATGACACACCCAGCTGCAAAGGATGCTGGGGGATGTAGTTTTTTCTGGACAGTCATGTGCCCAGCTAAAGTCAAGTGCTCTAACACTGACCACAGCAGGGGAAACAGACTTTAGAGGAAAACTAGCAATCTCTGCTCTATGGGGTTGGTGGGTCATGGAACACAGTTTAGGAAATGGTGTTCTGAGTGTATATAAACCAGATACGCGAAGGACATTGGTGGGAATAGAGGTGCCAAGCATCACTTGCTGAGAATTGGAAAGCCCACTTAGGACACAAGGTTCTTTAAGATGTGTCAGAAATGCATAATTGTACTCTCAAAGGAAGTGAAGATCAGTGGTTGCCCAGGGCTGAGAGTGGGGTGGGCAGTGTGACTGCTAACGGGCATGAAGTTTATTTTATTGTGATGGAAATGTTCTAAAACTAGACCGTGGCACTGGCTGTGCAACTCTGTAAGTATACTAACATTCATTGAATTGTATGCTTCAAATGAGTACATTTTATGCTGTTTAATTATATCTCAATACATCTGTTAAAAACAAAAAAAATTAAAAAGGAGTTGTTTACAATTATAATAAATCTAAAGGACAGATCTTATAGACGAATTTTAAAAATGTATGCATCTAATTGGGTACATTTGAAGCATCTTGACAATCTACCAATTTCACTGTGTTTAGAACAACCACTCCCTGCCTTATCGCCAGCAAAATGACTTGTCTCCAGAGCAGGGGTCAGCACCCTTTCTCTGTAAACAGCCCAATAGCAAATATTTTCAGCTGTGGAGTCATAGGGTCTCTGTTGGGACTATTCAATTCTGCTGTTTTAAGCAGCCACAGACAACAAGCGAGCCTGGCTGTGTGCAGACAAAAATGTATTCTGGATGCTGAAATTTAAATTTCATGTACTCTACACACGTCATGAAATAAAATTCCTGTTTTGATTTTATTGCAATAATTTAGATCTGTGAAAAACGTTCTTAGCTTGTGTGCGGTGCCAAAGCAGTTTTGCAGACACTGCTCTGTGGGTGTGCCCGCACATGGGGGTGCTCTGCCTTCTTTTCTCCCAAAGTGCAGCTAGGAAAACACTCATCAAAGGAGCCAAACCTGTACCAAGTTGACTTTCTGTATCCTTTGTCTGGGCTGCACCAGAAGCTCTGTCAGCAGTTGGGGCTGGGCTCAGCTGGCTGACTCTTCAGCTCTGTGTGGGGTCAACTGGGATCACTCAGTGATGTCAAGCTGATGGCTGGGCTGGGTTGGAGAGTCTGGGGCAGTATCTCTCACAAGTCGGGAGTCCTGGCCTCAGCTGGCCTCCGCCTCCACATAGTCTCAATGTCTCTCCAGCTGCCAGCTGGACTTGTTAATGGCAGCCAAGGGATTTAATAAGTGTTTAGTGAGGCCTGTGGGGAAGCCTCAAGCCTTAGGACTAGCCTCAGAGCCTGCAGCCTCCTGCTGGCCAAGCAAGTCTCTCTGGCCAACCCACACTCAAGGGGAGGGAAATTAGGCTTTGCTTCTAAATGGGATGGGAACGTGTAGCCACCTTAGGAACCCTTCCAGAAAGCTATTCGCTGCTGTAGCTTTTTAAGTGTCTGTGCTGATGCTGCTCTGAAGTGAGGATGGCAGGCTGGGTTTCCAAGACAACCAACCTGTCCTTAAACCCCTGACTGTAAGAGCAGGAGGAAGCTTTGGGCTCACACGTGAAGTCCAGCCTGCTTGTGCCTAGAATGCTGATAGGCTGGGACCCTATCATGCTGGGTGGTATGATGGTCTTCCCAGTTGCTGATGGCTTCACTTAGTTTCCTGTAGCCCTGAAGTGAATCTGTAGGATTCTCTCCAAACACCTAGAGGCACCTGCCTGTTTGGGATCAGGCCTGGTTCTCCACCCTTCTGCTGCTTCTCTGTCGGAGAAGTGTCCCATCCCCATTCTAAAAAATTTAGAGTCAAGTCATTCTTATGCTTAAAAACAACAACAACAAAAGTCAACAAAAATTAACACCTTTCCCTTACATATGTTGCTTTAAAGTTTCTGCATTTTCTTAAAATAAATGTCTTTTCTTGTACTTTAAAATTCATCCTGTGCATTATAGAAAATTAAGAAAACCAAGAACGAGGGCTAAAGAGAAAGGCACGTTGCAGAGAGTGTGGACTCTTCCAGCCTGCTTATGTTGCTGTTGGTCTGTAATTATGGTCTTTCTCCAAACAGAATGCTGCATTAACTGATCTTTTAAATGTGTTTTCGATGTCCTTATGTTTTAATATCCTGAAGTCACCTCTCCTCTTCCTTAGGAAAGAAGTAGTATTTAAACTGATAACAAATACACCAGACAAAATGGAATTCACTGCAGAAAATTAGTTTTGCAGATATCTTCATGAATAAATCCTGAAGCTCCCTTGCTTCATCCCACACCAAGGATGCTAGTGTTGAGTCCATCTGTACTAGGGGCACAACCTCTAAGGGTTCTCGGCATTGACAGCAAGGAGAGACAGATGCAGTCTAGTGTCGCTAGATGAGGCACCCAGAATTGACCTTAAAGGACAGATGGAATACAAATAGCAAGAGGAGAGAAAAAAAGAATAACAGCCATGATAATAATGGAGAAAAAAGATTGTGTATATCATAGGGCTGTTCATTCATTCATTGATTTATTCATTCTTCACTCACTCATTTACCT
The DNA here is from genome assembly GCF_000001405.40 of Homo sapiens. Taxonomy (NCBI): domain Eukaryota; kingdom Metazoa; phylum Chordata; class Mammalia; order Primates; family Hominidae; genus Homo; species Homo sapiens. The sequence continues at coordinate 86,972,889 of NC_000016.10, read as the reverse complement.
AGCCATCATCCATCCATTCATCATCTATCCATCTACCATCTGTCTTTGCTTTCATCCATCCACCCACCCATCCATCCATTCATCTATCCATCCATCCATCCATCCACACACCCACCCACCCACCCGCCCACCCAACCATCATCCCCATTCATCCATCCATTTATCTATCCATCCATCCACTCATGCATCTACCCACCCATTCATCTATCCATCCATCCATCCATCCATCTATCCATCCATCCACCCACCCACCCACTTACCCATCCATTTGCCCATCCATCCATCCATCCATCCACTCACGCATCCTTTTGCCCATCCATCCATCCATTCATCTACCCATCCATCCACCCGCCCCTCCCTCCCTCCATCCCTGCATCCATCTCTCCCCCATCCATTAATCCACCCACCCATACCTCCACTCATGCATCCATCCATCTATCCACCCATCCATTTATCCATCCACTCCACCTTCCACCTAGCCACATGACTCACTCCCAACCAAGCTGAGGTTTATACTCATGGGCACCTTAGCAAGGCCTTTTTGTTCACTCTAGAATTTTCAGCTCTCCAGGCCTCAACATTTCATATGTCGCCTCCCAGTTTTCTGTTTTCTTCTTGGCACTTATCATGCTTTAAAACATTTTTTTTTTTTTACTTCTGTACTAATTGCCTTCTTCACCATAATGAGAGGTCAGGGACTTCTATCTTTTCTGCTGTCCTCTAAATCGCAGGGCTTAGACCAGCCTGGCTCATGGGAGGTGCTAAAAAATGTTTGCTGCTGAATCTAGTAAAATCCACCTACTCCATTGATTCTCTGAGTACCTATTGTGTACCAGGCACTGAACTGAGCCCTGCAGCTGCCAAGGTGATGAAGGTTGGAGCTATAGAAACACAGAGAGGGAATGGGAAGGCCTTCTTTGGCAGGGGCACCTTAGCCAAGACCTGGAGGCTAAGTCAAAGACGGGCTAGGGCAGAAGAGTCTACAGAGGCCTCAGGGAGATGTATGGCCAGACCTGGACCTGGGTTGAGAGCAGGTGGGCCTGGCTGGACTGTGGATTGTGAGGTGGGGATGGGTTAGCATGGGGCTGGGGGAAGCTGGTGAGGTCAGCAGAGCAGAGTTCTCTGAAATACAGCTCAGGGGCTGGGGTTGACTTTGAGGGCAGTAGCAAGCTACTGAAGATTCTCCAAGGGCAGGGACATGAATACATGGAGGAGCAATGGGGCCGCAGAAGCAGGACCTGGCATGCAGCAGAGCTCCATGGCCCCTGAGCTCTTCCTGGCTCCCTGCTGTCTTTAGAGGCAGATGTTGCACCAGATGTTCCTGCCTCAGCAGCTTGGGTTTGGCCACATCATGCTGCCTGCTCAGTGGATGGGCCAAACCCCTCCAGTGAGGGCACAGGCTCAGGACCCGCTCTGGGCCTCTCCTCTCAGCCCACTTCCTGCTTCCTGCTTCCGCTAAGCTTCCAAAGGCCTTTTGTCCTCAGTCCAAATGGCCCAGAGGCTGCCAAACAGCTGGGACATGGCTGTGGAAGACCAGAGCCAGAATGAAGTTCATAGTGACGATCACATTTGCCACGCACTTCTCCCGTGCTAAGCATAATGGCAGTTAACCCTGACCGCATTCACGGGGGTAAATGCGATGATTCTTTCCTTCTGCAGATGAGCAAATGTAGCTCCTAGGAGTTAAACACCTCCCCAAAGCTCACGCTCTTGTCTGCAGCAGATGTTGCGTCCCAGCCCAGGCAGGGGGAACTTGGAAGCACTTGCTTAGCCACAGGGCCACCTTGCTTCTGCTCCTTGATGGAGACGAAGACTGTAGACTTGGGTCTGTGACTGTCAAATGGGATTCGGGGCCCAGACCTCAGAGACTTTGCCCCTGGGTGAAGGTGGTGAGTCTGTGTGGAGTGTGGAATCCTCAGCAGAGCCATATGGTGCTGGGAAGAGATGCATGGCAGGAGGAGGCAGTGTGGTCTCATCCGTCTGGATGGAATGATTCCAGAGTCATGCTTGCTCTCCTCCTGGCCAGCACTAGCCCCAGGGGAAGTGAGCCCTGGCATAGGCTCAGTGTCTAGGCCAGGCAGACGGGGCTTCTGTGGGAGATGGGAAGGTGGATGCCAGGAGACCTGCAATTGAGTAAAATCTTTCCTATTTGCCTAAAGAGACCCTCTCTGGGCAAGCCCCCCCAGGCCTTGGGTCAGTCAGATACCACTTCCTTCCACTATCTCTGCTTCTGAGGAATGCCGGATTTGATGTGTTTGGAGGAAGGACTTGTGATACAGACATTGCAGGTAGAGGCAGCCCCTGCCGCAGCTTCACTCAGCAGTGTTGAAACTTCCCCTTTCTTGGAAGTAGGTGGCAGCCCTTGGGGGAGGCCCTGCAGGTGGTTGTGTCAGTGTCCTGGGGCTGTGGTAGCCAATGACCACAAAACGAGAGGCTCAAAACAAACACATTTATTCTCTCACACTTCTGGAGACCGCAAGTCTGAAATCAAGCTGTGCACGGGGCTGCACTCCCTCCAGAGGCTCTAGGGGAAGCTCCTTCCTACCTTTTCCAGTTCTTAGTGGCTCTCGGCATTCCTTGGCTTGTGGCTGCATCAATCCCATCTCTGCCTCCATCATCATCACGTGCCTGTCTCCTCTGTGTGTCTGTGACAGTTTCTACTTCTGTAATAACGATGTGCAACTGGATTTAGGGCCCACCCTAATCCAGTATGATCTCATCTCAAGATCCTTAACCTAATTACATCTTCCAAGATCCTGTTTCCAAATGAGGTCCCATGCAGATTCCAGGGCTTGAACATATCTTTTGGGGGCACCATTCAACCCACTGCAATTGTCTTGGCCAAGCTTTGAGGGAGGGTGGTGCTGAGGGCCTGCCGAAGGCCCAGAGGCCTTGTCCTGCCATGTGGCTCTGGACGAGCTGCAGGCCTTCATGCAGGCTGGAGGCCAGGCTCAGGGCAGCCACCTGGATGTACATCCTCATCACCTAGAAGTCATTGGGAAATACAAATGCCTGGACCCCACCACTCCAGAGCTCCTAAGCCAGGATGCCTTGGAGCTAGGGGTGGGGTGGGGTTGGATCAGGCGTCAGTCAGAGTATGGGTCCTCCAGGTGATGCCACAGCATCCAGGCTTGGGGTGGACACTGGAAAACCCCTTCTCTCAGGCTCTTTTCCAGCTTGGACATTCTAGAATTCTGTGACATGAGGTTGTAGGGTAGACAGAGGTTGTATGTCCCAAGTCTGAAGTCACAGGCTGAGCCAGGACCATGCAGTGTCCTCAGTGCGAAATCTTTGTGGAGGTGCTCGAGTTTCAGTAGGACACGCACATGTCACCCACCCACCATCAAGGGATATTCAATGGGGCTGATCCTTTACGTAGAAGACTCAAAGTTTGCTTTGATTGTCATCAAGTTGGGGTGGACCCCATTGAAAAGATGTTAGATTTCTTAAAACTAGGTAAACAGACCCTGCCAATTCTTTCTGATGTTTTGGCTGAGAGTCTTTGTAGCTTAAAAGAGAAGAAACTAAGGGCTGCTGGAGGATGAAACATGTTTTGCCCCTGTAATAAATGACCTCACATACACTGATGGTGAAAAAATTCTTCGTTTCTCTGCAAAATTTGGAATGTATTTGTGATGACCATCTGGATGCTACACTATTTATGTCATTAGGTATTTGACCACCTGCCCTGAGGAAAGGAGCCCCTGGAATGCGAGGCTGTCTCAGAGAACCTGGGAGCCTGCCCTGTGCTCCAGGGCCAGGCGCCGCTGTGTGGCAGGGCCCCTGGGGCTTGGGAGGAGCTCCACCGGCAAGCCCTGCCCTGACATCTGTTTTAGCTCTCCCACGCAAGTGTCTTTCCTGAGCCTGCCCTCGTGACGGATCGGACCTCGCGTCTGCCCGTCAGTCACCAGACGGCGACTTCACAAATGGTGACTCCAACTGGGGCATCTGAGGCTCCAAGTAATTCACCGCGTCTGGTCATCTCCTCTGTTAATACCGAGTGGAAAAGCTATTTGCAGGGGGGTCAGTTGTGGGGTGGGTGCCTTGGTGGATGTCTGTGACAGTCTGTTGAGAGGTGAAGGCATTGTTAGGGACCATGCCCGTGGCCCCTTTATCATCCTTATTGTGGGTTGTGTTTTATTAAATGGCAGAATGTTCTGTTTTAATGTCTAGATCCCCGTCTTAGATAGTGTGAGATGCTTCCCTTTTCCTCCTAGCACATTCATGGGTTTCTGTTAATAATATGGTACCAGCCCGTTTCTCTGGACTGAATCGTGTCTCCGCCACATTCATACGCCGAAGTCCTCCCCGTAGTGGGATGGTATTTAAAGCGGGAGCTCATGCCAGGAACAGGGCCCTCACCAGTACCTGACCATGTGGCACCCAGACCGTGGACTTCCAGCCTCCAGAACTGTGAGAAGATCAATGTCGGTTGTTGAAGCCACAGTCTCTGGTATTTTTCTTTTATGGCAGCTTAAGCTAAGAAACCTTTCATTTAAAATAAAACTCAGGCTGGGTGTGGTGGCGCGCACCTGTAGTCCCAGCTACTTGGGGGCACTGAGGCAGGGGGATGGTTTAGGCCCTGCAAGTTGAGGCTACAGTGAGCCATCATTGAGCCACTGCACTCCAGCCTGGGAGGCAGAATTAGGCTCTGTCTCAAAAACAAAACAAAACACAAAAACAGAAATGAAATAATAAAATAAAATAAAATGAAATAAAACTCAATTGAGGATGTGAGCAGGTGTTCTCAATCTTGCTGCGCAACAGAATCAATAGGGAAGTGATTAAAACGTAGCAACACCTGGGCCCCCCCACCCCCCACCCCCCACCCCCCGGTAGTTCTGATTTACCTGGTCTTGCACAGGACCTCGGAGGCTTGATACATTCACAAAGCTCCCCATGTGGTTTTAAGGTGCACCTAGGGCGCAGAGCCATTGAGCCCTGCGTAGTGGATGTTTGCTGTGTCCCTCCCCGGCATTCATCCTCCTTCTTTGGATAACATCCAGATTTTCTGGATGGGACTTAGGAGCCCATGACCCAAGGCTCAGCCCCTCAGCCCTTCCGTGGACAGCCTGCTTGGCTCAAATGTGGGTGGCTGACCAGAGACAGCCCAGCCATACCTCCTGGGTGCCTTGAGACCGAACACTTTCTCCTTCCTGCTGGACTAGCATGTAGGCAGATGTGGCCCTGGGAGATGCTGGCTGCCACGTGAGTCTAGATGAGTTTTGAGCAGGGGCCCAAAATAGAAAGACTAAGAAACAAAGAGAGAAGAACCCATTTGTGCTGATGCTGCTTCAGCCTGGGGTCAGGTTGTACCTGAAGTTGCTCTACCGCCGACTGTTCAGTTATGGAACCTAATTAATTCTCTACATTTCACAGGACATTTCAAGGTCGGTTTTTCTATTATTTGCAGTGGCTTCCTAGAAGATGTAGCTTTTGTCTACTGCAAAGGAAAAGGAGAATCAGAGAGGTTAACTTTCCCAACTTCACATAGCTAGTGAGTAGGAGAGCACTATTTTCCCTTTTGTTTTTCTCCTGTAATTCACACTCTTTAAACAAAACACAGCCACCAATCATTGAAGGAGGACAAGGTAGGGAGAGGAGTAATATGCTCTGGACCTAGTCATATTGGCAAGTCCTGGCTGTGCTGTTCCCAAGCCAAGGGCTTCTCTGAACCCCAGCGTCCTCATCACTGGCACAGCAATCTTAACATAGCGACTTTGTAAGATTTTTACGGGGTTGTATGGGTTACAGCAGTCATATTTTACTATCAGATTCTAAGTTCCTCCAGGGTAGAGAAAAATGTCCCCCCTTCTCCACACTGCCACAGTGCCTGGCTCTACGGAGCATGTCTTCAATGTTTGTAGAATCTGTGAAAGCACAGCAGTGCTAACCGTGAGCTGGCAGGCCGTGAGTGCTCGGGTGCGCTGGTGCACGGCATGAGTATTAGATCATATTCCAGTGATGGGTTTTCACATTAGTTCACAGTGATAGGTTTTCAAGCAAGAGGAACAGCATGATGTGCTGTGAAGGACGCAGGTTCTGGAGTCCGATGGCATTCAACGTAGTAATCCCCACTCTGCCTTTGGGCAAACAATGACTCTCTGAGTCTTCGTTTCTGCATCAGTAAAGTGGGTGCATAGAGTCCACCTTGGAAAGCAGGTAAGAGCCGCAAAGCAGATGACAACCAGCCTGTGGGAAGCATTCCACCATGGCGGCCTAGTGTCCTTTGTTCAATACAGTTTTCTGTGCAGAAAGTTCATACACCAGAGGGCCAAACTCTAATGCAAGTTTCTGTCCTCAGCACTAGCAGATACTTTTGTGATCCGCACCAGTTGCAAAGCATTTTTATTTTCACTGTGTGTGTGCATGTGTGGTAGGCTGAAAAATGGTCTGTCCTAAAATATCCACATCAAATCCTTGAAGCCTGTGAATGTGACCTGATTGGGTACAGGGTCTTTGCTAATGTGATTACATCAAGGATCTTAAGATGACAGCATCCTGGACTGCACAGTCATGAGTGCTTTTATAAGAGAGGCAGAGAAAGATGTGAGACCCAGACACACCAGGAGGAGGCCACGTGAAGACAGAGGCAGAGACAGGAGCATTGCAGCCACAAGCCGAGGAACACCTGGGCCAGTGGAAGCTGGAGGAGGAAGGAAGGGTCCTCTCCCCAAGCCTCTGGAGGGAGCACGGCCCTGCAGACACCTTCATTTCGGACTTTCTAGGCTTCATTTTGGACTTCAGACTTCAGCCGGACTTCGGCTTTCTGCGAGGAAGTAAGCTTGTGTGGTTTCAAGCCTCCCAGGTTGTGGTCATTTGTTTGAGCAGCTGCAGGAGACGTGCACAGCCCATGACACCTGCTGCTCCTGCCCGTGTCTCCAGCGTGTCCTGGACCTCCAGTTCCAGGGTGTTCTTTGCTTCCGGCGGTTCTGCTCTCAGACCAAGATAACACACTGTAGCTGGGCAGACACCTTCTTCACCCCCTGGTTTCCTCACCTGTGGATTGGGTCATTAATGTCCTTGCTGTTCGGGCTTGTGACCCAGTGCCTGTGAAGTGTGGTTCCTGGCCAGTATTCAGGCTCAATCAATCAGAGATGCTGTCCCTGGCTTTCCTGAGTGCCCTGAAGTCTTCCTCCTTTTCTTCCAACACCCCAAACCCTTGAGCTCATATTTACTTTACATGTGGGCCCTTCGAATCCCAAAATGCTGGGGCTGGTAAAATTTCAGATACTTTAGAAGCATCTAAGTCTGGCAAAAGCCTTTCCCCCGGCCAAGCAAGAGTACAGGTACAGGCCAGATCAATGCGAGGGTGTCTCTGGGCTTTGGCTGGGGGTGCTGGGATGAGCACATTCACTCTTTCGTGCGGCACTGACATCGGGAGCCGTGCGGTGCCAGGGGCGGCTGGCAGCACCTGCTGGCTACACAAGGCCAGACGTGGGAGCCCCAACCCAGGTGACAGCGTCCAGGAGTAGAGAGAAAAGTCCGTTTCTGGAGACACTGTTTGAACTCTGGAGGAAACCCTACCTGAAACTCCCAAATGACACTAGGGTGACCATTCTGTTATATAAGCAAATAAGTTCCTTTTACAAGCGAACAAGACAAGAATGTCATCACTGCCCAAAACACATGGCACGACAGATCCCGAGCACGGGCTGGGGCTGGGGTTGGTTGTGGCTCCTCACCTCTTTGCCTCCAATTTTGCCAGGCCTGTGGCCTGCTGCAGCTCACACCTGGCCCTGCTGTGGAGCCCTGCCTGTCCTGGGGGCGTTCCCCAGATTAGAATCAGCAGCAAGACCCTCCCCCGGAGCCCCAGGAAGGGGAATGCAGGGATTGGTTTCCAATCAGATAAGGCAATGGCGGCTAAGATGCTGCCACCGTTGCGGGGCATGGCAGGGTTCGGTTTCATGAGGCCGGACACATTTATAACAACTTGGTCTCTGCAGAGACGCTAGAGGGAGGGCAGGCAGGGGCCGGCGGGAGATTTATCACCATACTAGTGGCCCTGACAAGCCTTGGGAGTAAGATGTCATGTGGTCGTGGCGGGGGTGGGGGCGAGAGGGGGTGGGGATGGGGCCTCACCTTAAACATAAATTAGGGGTGAGCAGCTGAGGGACAGCTGCACCCAGTCCCTGCCAGAGCCACACACTGCCCTGGAGGTAACAGTCGTCTCCAGCATTTCCCCAGGGACCATGTAATCCGCCAGCATCCTCACTGGTAGACACTATTTTCCAGCCTATTATACAGATGAGGAAACTGAGGCACAGAGAGGTAAAGTGACTTGCCCCAGGCCACACAGCTGGTAAGTGGCAGAGCTGGGAGCAGACCAGGGGTCAGCCTCACTCTGAGCCCAGCCATTCTAGAAGTGGTCACAGGAGGATTTCAGTCATCCTGCGAAATGCGTTCCTTACCATTTATGGCAGAGAAGCACGGGTGGGCTTGGGTTTCCCGGGCAGCACTGTTTGGGGAAGTGGTTCAGGCTGTGGGGCTGGATGGGCCTGGGTTTGAATCCTTCCTTCCCATCGCCCTGCAGCCCCTAGCTAGCTGTGCTTCCTTGAGCAAGTGCATCTGCCTCTCTGAATCTTAGTTTCCACCTGGAGAGAATGGGGCGATACCGCCCATGCGCCATATGGGTTGTGAAGCTGAAAGCACACGGATGCAGACACTGACTCAGGAAACTCGTAAACCAAGGTCAGCTCTGGGGCTCGGCGGTGGGAGCTCATCCTCCTCCCTGCAGATTCGAGCACAGTCCCCGCCCCTGGCCTGCTGCTGAGGATGCGGCACGAACCAGGAGGGAGGAGGCCTCAGCCCCAAGGCATCTGTGCCACTAGGCATCTCGTGTCTACTTTGGGGGCCTTAGTTTCCCTGTGTCTGTTGGACGGGGGCAGTGGTTCAGTTGGATCCACCCTAGATCCACCTGGCTTCCCTTAGAGATGCTGCTGTAGCTGATCTGGGGTGGGGCCGGGCTTGGATGTAGTATTTAAAAGTTATTGGTTCAATTGTGTCCCTTTGAAAGGCATAGAAGTCTTAATGCCAGTGCTTGTGAATGTAACCTTATTTGAAAGTAGGATCTTTGCAGATGTAGTCAAGTTAAGATGAGGTCATTAATCTGATATGGCTGTGTCCTTACAAAGGGCACGTGGGTAGAGGTATACACAACCCGGGAGAAGCCTTCACAGAGATGGAGGCAGAGATTGGGCCATGCATCTACAAGTCAAAGGAGGCCAAAGAACCCATGACACACCCGATGCCCCGAGAGGCCTGGGACAGAGTCCCCTCACAGCCCGCGGGGAGCCTGCCCTGCTGACACCCTGTTCTTGGACCTGGGTCCTACAGAAACGTGAGAATACGTTCCTGTTGTTGAAGCCCCCAAGCCTGTGGTTCTTTGTTATGGCAGCCTCAGAAAGCAGATGCCACAGTGGGTTTTAATGTGCTGGCCTCTTGGTAGCAGAGAACATCTAGGCCTCCCACCTCCAGCGTCCGCATCCCCAGGGTTTTTCTTGGAAGTGATGAGTTCTGGAGTACTTCGGAAAGAGCCAATTCTAAGGGAGTGGGAGTCTTCTTTCCAAGCTCACCCTTTCTGGGGAGATGCTCTAGAAGAGCAGGGACCTGGTGTTAGGAAGGGGCTTGGTCTTGGGCACAGAGAGGCAGGCGTGGGAAAGGTTACCCGTGGGGCTTCACCCCTGCAGCGGATGTGCGGCTGATAACCTCCATGAGGGAACAGAGGGGATGGGGCAATGCTGGTGAAAAACACTCCGATAAGGCAAAGCAAACAGGCCTGGCTATCGCTCCTGGCAGCCTATCAAAGCCCGGCACCCCACCAAGGCAGCGGGTGTTCCGGGAGCCTCTCCTGGTTTGCAGCTGGTCACACAGCCACAGCATCAGCCCAGCTACCTCTGCATCCACCCACCCAGCACCGCTGAACACGGAAGGAATAATCAGGGGTCCTTGGTCAGTGGTTGGAGACATGGAGGAGCCAGTTCGGGGGTGGAGAATAGAAGGCTAGAGCTGGAGGGAACGAGGCACCTTGGAGGACATTGGAACTCAGGGACGGAGGTGACAGTCACCACTGTTTGCTGGGGGCTGGTCCCCGGGTGTGTGCCGAGCCTTCTAGGTACATCAACTCATTTGTGACACCAATCCCGCTTTAGGGAGGAGAAGTTTGAGAGTTAGAAAAGGGAGGCAACTTGCCCTGTCTTGGGGCTGGTTAGTAGCAGAATGAGGACTAGAAGTCAGTCTCCTCTGGGACCCAATGGTGTCAGTGTCTCCTGTGCACCCAGGGTTTGGTTGATCCTGGGCTCCGGGGTTTGGTTGATCCCGGGCTCCAAGTGAGTGGCTTGGTGCCCGTGGTCTCCTTCTGCCCTCATCCCCAGCCCAGGAGGAGGCCTTGACCCATCATTCTTTATGCCTGACCCTGCTGCATTTTCTTTCACGGCATTTGTCACCATGTGACGTATTTATCTATCCATCTTTTGTTGTGTTCATTTAGTGTCCAGCTCCTCCTCTGGCATGTAAACTCAGAGGGCTGGGCGTTGGTCAGATGGGGTTCCTACTGAAGTCCCAGCTCTAAGATCAGGGCAGGTGGGGACTGAGATCAAGGCTTCCCAAGGGCGTGGCACAGCTGAGGGTGGAGCTCCTCTCCACCTCCTTGCCCCCTGCCCAGGTCAGTTCTTCTTCTCCAGGGACAGGCCGGGAGGCAAGGGCCCTTTCTTCATGTCCTCAGAAGGAAGAATAAAACTCACTGTATACGGTCCAGGGGTGGCCCTCCAACAAATAAGTCCAAGTCATCCCCAGAGTCTGTGAAGCTGACCTCATTCAGAAAGAGCACCTGTGCAGACGTGGTGAAGTTAAGGAGCTCAAGGTGAGATCACCCTGGATTACCTGGCTGGGCCGTAAACCCAATGACATGTGTTCTTATAGGAGACACACAGACAAGAGACACACAGCGAGGAGAGACCACACGAAGACGGAGGCAGAGACTGGAGTAATGCAGCCACAAGCCATGGAATACCTGGGGGCCACCAGGAGTCGGAAGAGGCAGGAAGGGCCCTCCCTTAGAGCCACCGCAGGAAGCACGGCCCTGCCGATGTCTGGATTTGGGACTTGTGGCCTCCAGAACGTGAGAGAGTAAGTTTCTGCTGTTGTAAGCCCCCCAGTGTGTGGCAGTTTGTTGTCCTGGGAAACCGATATGCTCACTCATTGAAACCTCCAGCAGTTTCTGAATGTGTCTTTTGATTGCACTGTAATTTATGAATCGCACAAGCCAGGTAGAAAGTTGGCTCCAGGTCCAGTGTCTGCAAGAAACGCGGGAGTTGCTGAGAAATCAGCCGGCATCACATTCCTGCAGTCGAGGGCAGAGAGAGTTGAGGGGTTGAGATGGGGAACAGATTTCCTTGTAATCAAATCCAGAGGCCGCCTCATGAACCTTATTTCAAGAGACCCTCTGGGTCCTGAGCGTGGGCAGTGAAACGGTGGATTTGATTCCTTCAAGCAGGCAGATTCCTGGGGTTTGGCCGCCCCGGTGATTCCGGGAGAGGAACGTGGGCGAAGCTTGCAAGTGTGTCACTCAAGCAGCTCTGGTCTGTCTCGCAGATGGAGCGAGCAGCTGGCTGCTATCATTCTGCTAATCGCCTCACTGCTGGGACAGCCCCACAGTGTTGGGGCGCTGTGAGGACCTTGCTGGGGCGGGGGGGTTGCTGGAAGCCCCTACCACATGAAGGCTGGGACAAGCTGGGAGCTGCTCCTCATCAACCCGCTGCAAGCAAATTGGCAAAGGGAATGCAACATGAATCTGCTTTCCAACTATGGCAAATGGGGGCCAGAATTCCTCCTTCCGGAACTGCTGCATTGGGTCCTGTGGGGAAGAGTGGAACGCATATTTCAGACAGGAGGATTCAAGTCGAGTATAAGCTGCCCACCAGGGTTGGCCTGGGGTGCTTGGCCATGCCATTTGCTCTCCCAGAGCCTCGGTTTCTCCGTCTTATGAGGGGTACAATAAAAGCTTCCACGAGTGTGGTGTGCGGAAGTGAGGTCAGAGCCGAGCGAGCCTGGGATCGTTGCTGGGTTCAAATCAGGACCACATGCTCTCTGGGGACCAAGGATGCCACCCAATCTCACTAAGCCTCGGTTAACTCTTTAGCAAAAAGGAGATCGTTGGAGCACCTGTCAATAGGATTGTTGTGAGAGCTCAGGAAGAAGTGCGTAGAAAGCCTTTAGCATCTTGCTTGGCACAGAGTGTGGTTCAGTAAATGGCAGCCTAGAGAAAAGGAGAGCTTAGGAAGCCCGCATTGCAGGGATGATGTGAGCAGTAGAGGAGACACTGAACTCAGCTCCTGCTTAAGGGGCCCATTGTGTGCAGGGACTTGCCTGGTGCTTCCTTCCGAGCATGAACTCATTGTACTGTCACTCTCTTACAAAGGAGGCTTTGCTTTGTTACTCTGCATGTGGAGTGTGAGGTCTGTGTATGACCCGGATCCCGGGGACAGACTGAGAACGTCGTTCATCCACTGTCCATCCTACCAGTCTTCTCTGTGCTCCACGAAGCGCTGGGGGAGGGAGACAGAGGAGAGGTGAGCGAACCAGTGAATAGCTAAGATCACTTCCCGTCCTGTTGAGTGCTGTGATGTGGTGACAGGGACACCTCTCCCTCTGTGTCCTAATTCTGTCAGGCTAACTCCTGCACATGTGTTACCCTCTCTAACAGCCCCGCCTTGCAAGTAGTCTTAGGAAGGGGGCAGTGTCATCGGCCACCATTTCACTTATGAAGAAACCAAGGCACAGAGTGGTTAAGTCATGTCCCCAAGGTCATAGGGCAGAGGCAGGAGCTGAATAAGTCAGTCTGCCTCCAGAGCCTGGTCTCCAGTCCCCTTGCTGTATTGTGGAGAGTAAATATGTGTACACATGTGTGCATTCAAGCATGTGCATGCATAGGGGTACATGTGCCTGTGTGTGCATGACCATGGGTGTGATACCACATACTCTAGAGTGTGTGACCAGGAGGCTTTGTCTGATGCAGTGACCTTTGGGCTAAAATACAATGAGGTATCCAAGGTAAGACCTGGGGAAAGAGTCCGTGGCTGAAGGACTGGGGGGTGCAAAGGCTCCTGGGCATCAGCGGGTGGCAGGCAGGGTCCTGCACTACCTCCTTACGAATGTGCATGTTTCAAATCACATTCTGGACACCGAATGGCCATCCCAGCAGATTTGGGGCTGGGTGAGGGGTGGGGATGGGGTAAACAGAGCTGGATTGGAAAGGCCCCCACCTACCCAGAATGGGCTGGGACCCCTGCCTGTTTAGCCTGGGCTTCCAGGAGTACAGTCCTCCCTGTTCCCTGATGGGTGGTCCGGGAAGCTGCTCCCTGACAGCCTTCTGTTTCCTCTTCTCCAAGGCTCCCGGTGAAGCCAAGGCTGAGCCCGCCAGGGTTTCCGAGGGCTGCGTCCCAGCGCGGATCTTTTCCAGCTTCATTCCCCTCCAGGCGCTCTGTCAGCAGCTCCCCCCAGCCCCATCCATCTTCCCCTTCCCCTTCACAGCCTGCCCAGCTCCCGCTCCTTCCAGGCTCCAGCGGGGCCCCTCTCCAGGAGGACGCGGCGCCTGGCCTCTGAGGCCGCCCCGTCCGTCAGGATCTGATCCCCTGGCTGGCCTGGAAAGCCACACCAGGGACTGATGGGTTTCACATCCTCCCCTGCTCAGAGGGAATAGCTGTCTCCCAACACTGAATCTGAGATGCGTTTTTCAAATTCTTTGACAGAATGCTTTTAGCAGAGCCGAGGGGCTAATAAATCTTCCTGCTCGGCATCGCCTTTGTGGAGTCTTGATCAGGAGCTTGGACTCGGGGAGCAGCTCCCGTTTTCTCTTGGAGGCTGTGGGCAACTCAGAGGTGGGGTGGTGGGTTCCCGAGGCCCTGGGAGTCTCAGGAAAGCCATGGTAGCTCTCTTGGAAGGAGAATTCACGTTTTAGAGTTGGAACCAAGGCTAGGGGCAGGGAACTGCGAGGGCATAGCAGGCCTGGTGGTCTTGCCCTTGGGGGGTCCCCATCCAGCTGGGGGAGACAAACACATACATCAGTGGAAAATTACAACTGCCTGAGGGAGAGGCCCGAGATGCTCTGTGAGCTCTTTGTGGGGGTTTGACCCCACAGGGGAGGTGAGTCGGAGCTCCCCGAAGCTCTCAAAACTGGGCTGGTGTCAGGAGGAGCAAGAGTTGGTGAGGAGGGGAGGTGGAGGGAAGGACAGGGCTAGAGAATGAAGCTGTGTTAGTGGAATGCAGTGTGGATGGAACACGCCCCTCCGGCCTCCTGGTCCGTAACTCAGCATTGCACGTACACCAGCACACAGACATTGCACTGGCAAAAGCCATCCAACTGTACATCTATGATGCGTGTGCTTTTCCCTATGTATATTACACTTCCATAAAAGTTTCAAAGGTGTTCGTCACCTCAAACATCTGGCATGACACCAACATGTTAAAAAAAATTGTTGACTAGGTGGAGTGGCTCACGCCTATAATCCCAGCACTTTGGAAGGCAGAGGCAGGAGGATCACTGGAGCCCAGGAGTCCATGACCAGCCTGGGCGACATAGCAAGACCCCATCTCTACAAAAAATAAAAAAAAATTAGCCAGGCGTGGTGTTGTCTGCCTGTAGTCCCAGCTATTCGGGAGGCTGAGGCAGAAGGATCGCTTGAGCCCAAGAGGTTGAGGCTGCAGTGAGCTTTGATTGTGCCACTGCACTCCAGCCTGGGCGACAGAGTGAAACCTTGCCTCAAATAAAGAAATAAAAAGTTATTGTGTCTGACTGTTGGGATTGTGTGGGACTGACATGCCCCATCTTATATTTTCTTATCGATGTGCCTGTATTCTAGCTTTGTCTGTGTTTACAGTGGAGATGGGGTCTCTGAGTGTTTCCAGATGCCTCACTCCCGGCTGGGAAAGGCTCTTCTGCCTGCCACAGCGGAGGAAAGGTTTTCCTGTCACCCCTCATCTCCAGATGTGGCTGTTTATCAGGGCAGCCGGTGAGGGGTGGGCATCCTTGGACCAGGGTTCCGCGCGCAGTATAGACAGACAAGACCAGGGTTCCACACCCAGCATAGACAGACAGGACCAGGGTTCCGCACCCAGCATAGACAGACAGGACCAGGGTTCCGCACCCAGCATAGACAGACAGGACCAGGGTTCCGCACCCAGCATAGACAGACAGGACCAGGGTTCCGCACCCAGCATAGACAGACCCCCTTTTCACAATCGCACTCTGTGGCTGACAGGTCCTGGGAAGATCTTCTGACATTGGCCTTGGTCAGGGAGAAGCCAAGAAAGAAGAGGAAGGGGCTGACGTTGTTGGTTAGGGAAGCCCCTCGGTCCCTCCGGAGGGGAGGGAAGGGGACCACAGCCAGGTCAGGTGGAGCCCAGGTCACCCAGGGAGCTTCCCAGTGTTCCTAGGTAGCACTTTCACACCTGGCTTCCCATCCTGCCGTGGAGGGGAGCCCGGGAGTGCAGTCCTCGGGTGACGTGACATGATCATGATATGACATGATCACATTGGTCCAAGCAGCTGCTATTCAGGAAGTTTCCATCCCATGCTGGCTTCGGTAGATCCATATTGTCCGATGGGACCCCCACCCTCTGGAATGTGGACTGTGCCAGTTTTCCGTGTGAGGACACGTTATTACAAGAGCTAACTTGCCTGAGGTGTACAGTTGGCGAGGGAAGAGCAGGGGTCAAACCCAGGCCTGGCTGAGCTGCCCTCTGAGGGTAAGAGCCCTTAAGTCCATTGAGCTTCACATCACTAACTGCCCTAGGAGAGTTTCCCCGGCATCTTTGACAGAGTGTCTGGATGTTAAATCTGCACAGCTCTATTGAACACTTTTGGTGCAGAGGTCCAATGGTGTGGCCCCTCCCCCCACCTTCCTCCCATCCATTTTGTTATCGATAAGGAAAGCAGAATGACCAACCTTGTTCAAATCCAAGCTCCAGGAGTTACAGGCTGTGTCCTGGATGAGTTATTCTACATCTCCCAGCCTCCTCTCCAGAGATGGAGTTCTAATCGTGCCTGACTCCCAGGGCGGTGGGAGAGCAGAAGTGACAATGCACGTGAACCCCCCTCCACCGGGTGCCCACTGTGCACTCAGCTACGGCCTCGTCTCCTCCTTGGACACTTTCGTGGATCCCTGTAGCAAAGTAGCTGCTGTTTCCCGCCTGAATCGTCACTGTCTGGAGAGTCAAGCATCCCCGCCCTCACTGTCATCACCCTTCCCAAAGCCTTGTCACCGGCGTTTCCTGAAATGCTGCTGAAACCGGAAGTCATAGTCCCCACAAGGCTCTTGCTGAGGGCGGCTCAGCTGGGGCATGGTCTCTTTACGGCAATTTGTCAGCTTTGGTCACCCTCTCCTCAAGGGCCCTAGAGTCCAAGGGGGGCTCAGCTATTGCTGTGTAACGAAATACCCCCAAACAGTGGCTCCCCAATCCAGATCTTGCCTGGGGTCAGCATTGTGGGTCTCAATCAGGATCTCTCACCAGCTGCATGAGATGGTGGCTGGGCCTGGGCTCATCTCAAAGCCTTTTTCTCCGGGCATCTGGGCTGGAATGTCTCAAATGGCTGGGCTGCGGGGTGCTGGGGCGTCTCAGGCTTCTCTCTCCCGGCGGTGGCTTCAGGGCAGCCAGGCTTCTTAAATGGTGGCTCAGGGCTTCTAAGTGCTTTACATGCTTCACTCTGGCCCACTTTATGATGGTCACATTGAAAAGTAATCTGAGCAGGAGTAACAGCATTTGCAAAGCCTCTGAGCTACAGAAGAGCATTGCTTCAGTTTCACTCCCTGAAATGGGAATGGCGTGTAATCCCCTGTGTACAGTGCTGTTGGGTGATTCAAATCAGATGAAGCAGGTGGAGGAGATCCGGGATCTGGAAACCCACTTGCTGTTACAGCCACATGTTCTAGGTGCTTTGCTGTGGCTGCTCCAGGGGAGAGTCCTGTGCAGGGGAAGTCCTGGCTTGCATGGAGCTCATCCTCATGGATGTCATGTGCCGGCTCAGAGTCCCAGGTTGCACTGGAGCCTGGACATGGGGATGTCTGTCACCAAGGGGGCATTTCTTCTGCCCCTTAACACCAGCATTATGAATGGCTCCACTGTGTTTTTCCAACACCAGAAAGAGCTCTCCACATGTCGCCTGTCAATAACAGTGTATTTTCAGCAGCAGCCCAAACCGGGGGAAAGCTGTACTTAAAAGCACATGCCCCGCCTCGCAGCTGCCTGGGCGGAGGACTCAGGGCCTGGATTTGGGGTGGGTCAGAGGGGAGACGGGGGTGAGCTGGAGGTCAGATCACATTTGTTTCTCAGGGTAGGATACCAGGGCCATGTTTCAGAGGCAACTGCTGGTGCCCTTTCCTTTGGAGGCCAGGGGCTAAGCTGGGGGTGCTAGTGCCTCTGCCCCTGTCTATCCATGGCCCACCATGGGGCCGAGCATGTGATCACAGAGCTGGTGGGGTGAGTGCCTGGACCCAGGGCTGCCCCCCTTCCCAGGAGGCCTGGTGCTGGGGCGTCCTGAGAGTACCTGCCTCTGCCCTTCCTGTGGGTACTGCGCTGACCTTGGTCTCGTCTCTGCCCCTCCCAGCTGTGGGGCCTCTGGCACCTTCCTGGGTCCTCTGATCCCTGTCCCCTCCACGAGTGTCGTGACTGCAAAGGGGGACACTGCCCTAGGGGCTACGTAAGGTCCACTCCTCCCTCCCAGTAGCATGAGGAATAATCTAGAACTGGTGTCACAGCAACCGTCAAGGGACAAGATGGGCAGTTTATGCACTTAATTTTCCTTAATATCTTTTTTTTGCTCCCGGCTTCATTGGCTTGAGCTACACATTTCAAGTTCAAGCAACTTTATATTTTTTCTTACAAAAAAGTGACAGATGGTTGTTTAAACTTTTTTGGATAGTATGGAATAATGACCTGAAGAAGAAAAGCTGATCTCACCCATCAGAGAAGACCACACTCAACAATTTAATATGTATCATTCTAGACTTTGTTTTTTTTTTTTTTTTTTTGAGACAGAGTTTTGCTCTTGTTGCCCAGGCTGGAGTGAAATGGTGTGATCTCAGCTCACCGCAACCTCCGCCTCCTGGGTTCAAGCGATTCTCCTGCCTCAGACTCCTGAGTAGGTGGGATTACAGGCATGAGCCACCACACCTGGCTAATGTTTTTGTATTTTTAGTAGAGATGGGGTTTCTCCACGTTTGTCAGGCTGGTCTCAAACTCCCGACCTCAGGTGATCCGCCCACCTTGGCCTCCAAAGTGCTGGGATTACAGGCGGGAGCCACTGCAACCGGCTCATTCCAGACCTTTATAGTTTTGGTTTATTATTTATTTTATGAATATATGTGTATTTTTTAATAGGCTCCAACTCTCTCCTACTGGCCGCTGCTTCCTTTTTTTTTTTTGCTCCTGCTTTCCAGGCCCCTTCCCCACCCCCACCCATCCAGTCCCCGCAGGACTGGGGCCCGATCTCACACAGGAGCTGCAGCCTGGAGGGTTCTGGGGAGGCAGTGGGCGTGGGGGAGGGGTGGCACAGGACAATAGGGCCTTGTATCCCATGCAGGCAAAACGCCGATGGACCCACTGGCCAGTGTGGAGGCTCCTTGCAGAGTCAGCTATCTGCCCCAAACGGACGGGAGGCGAATGAAGAGGCGCTCACTGCAGCGTGAGCACTGGCTCTGCACCAGAGGCCCACGGCGATGACTGTTTTGGTCAGGAAGCTTGGGACGTGTGTCGCCTTGGAGAACAAACCAGAACAAACCAGGGCACCAGAGGGGCCGCCGGCCCTCCCCCCAGCCCCCGCACTTTATCAGTCTCCTCCTCCCTCAGGCTGCAAACAAAAGGTCGTGGGTACCTGGGCCCGGGAGACACCGTGACACAGGATGTTCCCAGCATTTGGGATATTTCCTCCGCCGTCTGACTGATATGTCCTAGAGAAAGCACAGGGTTCTCGAGGGAGCGCGGGGCTGTAAAATCTCCAAAACACAGGAATAACAAAGCCGTAAATCTGGGCCTGCCACAGCCGCTCTCAGCTCAGGGTGTCCGGCTCAGGCCATGCCCTGTGGCCACAGGAGGCCCAGGAGCTTAGGTCAGAATCCTAAGGGGTAGAAGGCAGCACGGAGTGGGGCTTTCCACAGGCCCACACAGGGCTGGCCCCTGTCGGGTGCAGGAGCTCACATCAAGCATGGCCTCCTGTGTGCAGCAAGTGAGAGCTGGGCAGGCGGGGGAGTGGGGGCAGCAGTGGGGTTGGGCCCAGAGCTCCCTCCCCTTTGGCACCCCGGCAGAGCAGGGGCTGACTCCCGTCTCTGTTCTCTTTTAGATGAGCAAGTTATTTACCCTAATGAAGCTGGAGGGCCCTCCTATGTAAAATGGAGCTCATGGCATCCCCTGCTTTAAAAGTCTGATTGTGAGAGTGAAATGCGATAATGTCTGTTAGGCGTGAGGTGTGATGACAGGGAGACAGAGTTTGCACTCAGCGTATTTCCCCATTCCCTACCACTCCTCCTCTTCACAACTGTCACGAAGGCTGAGGATCCAGCAGCTCATGTGCACTCTGCAAACAGAAGTCACTCCAGGTATTTTACATGGAGGGATTTAATATAGGGGGCTGGTTTTACAGGTGAGGGCCTAGGGGAGCTGCCAAGCTGCAGGTGTTGAGGCACCTCAGGGATCAGCCACAGCAACCAGTCACTCCTTGGGCTGGAGTGACAAAGGAGGAGATGGTGTCATGGAACCCAGGATCTAGGGTCACCTGGTGAAAGCTGGACCCTTGACAACCTGTCCAGTGGAAATAGGGACCATGGAGGGAAGGGCATTCCCACAGGAGCTGGAGCCAGAAAGGAAGTGGGCAGAGGGGGAGAGGGAGAGGAGAAATACTTTTCTCAGAAGTCCTCCACCAGTGCCTCCCATTGGTTGAAACTGCCCAGAAGTCAGAGCACACAGGAACCTGGGAAATGTAGTTCCCCATGATAGAAAGCAGGGGAGGGGTGGAAGTGATAGCCCAGTGACCAGCAGAGATCAAATATAATGAAGGTTAATGATAGGGGTCTGGGGAAGAGATTTCCTGGCCCTGAAGCCTACCCTCCTATTTTTTAGTTGAATTACTTCGTATAAATTATGTGACCTTTCTTGACCTTGGTTTCTCATCCACAAATGGGATATTGAAAAATGTTAAGTTATCGGGTTGTTAAGGAGAGCAAACCTAATACCACCTACGAAGCCATCACCCAAGGGCTTGGTCCAGATCATACCTTCAAGAAACATCAGCCATCACATATGTCAGAAAACGGGTCAACAGAGATCAGACCAAGGTCTGAGTACACCAGCAAATGTTGCTCAACTCTCAGTATGGCACTTGGCACAGCTGGCCTGGGGCCCTTGTCAAAGAAACCAGTATAACAACCATTTTCTTGGGAAGGAATCACTCATAAAAGCTTGCCACATCATCGGCCAAGAATGACATAAGCTCCATGCTGAAGATGGCTTCTCGGGGGAAGGAAGTGAGTTGAGGGGATCTCCTCCATCACATACATTCTTTGGGGATTAGAAAACCGTTAGCTGTTACCACAGTGGAGACATTCAGCAATGGCCATGGGTCATTGGAAATGTGCGCATATCCCTGCTTCTCGTTTCCTCATTCGGGAATCTAAACGTTCCTGACACCCTGGCACAGCCTGTTGGCATGGCTTCTCATCCTGGTTGAGTACATGCTGATCTCACGAGTGGGAAGAAAATGTTCTATTTGTGAGCGAGAGCCTCCAAAGTGACTTCTTCACTTCCTGAGGAGGATCTTAAAGAAGGCCACAGAGTGAGTCATTCTCACCACACCCTGACTGGACCGCCAAGCTGGGAATCTCCTTTGTAGAGATGGGGGAGGGTAGTGTTGCTGAAATCCACCCACCTGCTCCACATTACGTGCCAGGACCCCCAGGGATCAGAGCACAGTGGGTGTGCTCTGGGCCTTCCTGCCTTTGCCGTGCTATTATTGGAGTGAGTCAGCTAAGTCAAACACTCACTGCTGATGCTGAGGAGACCTATGTTACCAAAGCACTTTAGGTTGGTTCTTGACTAGCTCTAAACTGAGTCCTCAGTGGCTGACATGAGGGTAAGTCTCAGCGAAGTGTCTACAGAGAAAGTGGTGATGATAGTGATGATGATGATAATGATGGTGATGGTAATGATGGTGGTGATGATGATGGTGATGTTGATAGTGATGATGATAGTGGTGATGATGACGGTCAAGATGGTGGTGATGGTGATGGTGGTGATGATGATGATGATGTTGATGGTGGTGATGATGTGATGATAATGATGGCGATGATGGTGATGGTGATGATGGTGATGTTGATAGTGATGATGATAGTGGTGATGATGATGGTAAGATGGTGGTGATGATGTGATGATAATGATGGTTATGGTGATGATGTGATGATAATGATGGCGATGATGGTGATGGTGATGATGGTGATGGTGGTGATGACGGTGAAGATGATGGTGATGGTGGTGATGATGTGATGATAATGATGGTTATGGTGATGATGTAATGATAATGATGGCGATGATGGTGATGATGGTGATGGTGGTGATGGTGATGGTGGTGATGTAATGATAATGATGGTGGTGGTGTTGGTGATGGTGATGATGATGATGTTGATGGTGGTAATAGTGGTGGTGATAATGACGATGATAGTGATGGTGATGATGGTGGTGATGATAATGATGATGTTGATGATGGTGATGATGATGGTGGTGATGGTGATGCTGATGATGTGTGATGGTGATGGTGTTGGGGATCATGATGGTGATGATTGTCATGGTTATGGTGATCATGATAGCTATCATTCATTGAGCGCTGTGCTAAGTCCCCTATACATTCTATTTAAGTCTCTCAGACACCCAGTGAGCCAGATGCTATGCTGTTAAATTGTCCTCATTTTACAGATAAAAAAACCGAGGCTTGGAGGAGTGAAGTAACCTGCCTGGGCCACACCATTAGTAAGTGGTCAGGCACAGTTACTGCAGGTCTGTCTGATGCTGAAGCCTGCATATATGTTTAGTACCTCCTGGCTTCATGCCAGGCACAGTGCTGGATCCTGGGGATACTGTGGCCACTAAGATGAAGAGGACTGGGTCATGGGACTTACGGTTCTAGTGCAGTGAAATAAGATTTGCTAAAGAGCAGAGTCTTTTACTGTCTCTTCTAAGCTACAAGGGCTGCCAGATTCTGAGGCCCAGCAGGACATGAGAGCAGAGAGCACAGATATCCCTCTTGGGAGGCCCAGGGAATGATGAGGAACTGATATCTGGAATGATGGGAGGTACCTTGTAACTCACATCTACTCCTTTTCAGAGTGTGACTGGGAAATCATTTCTGGTGGAAGGTGGAAGTGGGTGGGGAGGAGAAGACACAGCAGCATGGCTGAGTGTTGTGAGCTGGTTCTTGCTGGACTGGAAGGTCAGATAAAGAGCCTTACAGCCCTGACTTTGTAAGGCAGGGCACACAGACATAGGGGACATGGGCTTTGGGAACTCAAGATTCAGAACCTTCCCTCCACAGTCCCGTGACTTTGGATAGGAGATTCCACCTCTCCCAGCCTTGGCTCCCCACCTGTACATCAAGGACTGATAGAATAACTCCTTCCTGGAGTTACCGAGGACTTAGATGAGCCAGGGCAAACAATGCCTTCCGCTGTGCATGCCCTCCGGATGCACCACTGGTGTGGTAACTATGCCCATTGAACCTGCAATATGTGATGATGAGGGCCTCGTTTCTCATGTGACAGATCTGGAAACTGAGGCTCGGTGAGGTGAGGTTTAACTGGTAGGGCTAGATGATAACTCAAGGCCTCTGAGGCCCAAGGCTCGAGCACAAGGCCAAGGGCGTCTCCTTTCCCTGAAGTTCTTTCTGTGTGATTGTCTGTTGTACCTGATCACGGCATCACCTCCTTATGTTATATCATATATTATAAACATTATATAATATCTAGCATATTCTATATTAGGTATGTATATTTTATAACATAGAAATATTATGCAATGCAAGCATTTTATGTAATATAATAGGATATCACAATGTATGTAGGTTAAAGTGGGCTTAGTTCATGAAACCCCAGGAGGTGGTTGGGGACACCTGCTGACTTGTGAAACCAGCTGGGGACAGGCTGGCCCAGACCCCCAGGTGTTCTTGAAGAAGTATTTGGCTTCAGGAAAGAGAAGGTAGTTGCTGTTAATCCTCAGAGTGCCTTAAAAGATAATCGTGGCTTCACAACAAAGAAGAAACGAACCAATTTGCCTCTGTCTACCCCTTTCAGAACCACCGTGAGAACAGCTGGTACTCATGGACCAGTGGCAGCTGGATGACCCGCAGTCGCCATCCACTGAATCCTTCCAGGAACACCTGCACGTGGAAGCAGGTATTGCTCTCTCACCACTTTGCAGGTGATAAAATGCAGCCCAGAGAGATGGTGGGATGTGGGGAGCTGGGAATCCCCTTCAACTCGGCTCCAAGGCTCCTGGCACAGCTCCAGGCCAGTGTAAGAGAGAAAACTCGCGAGCGGCATGTCCCGGCTCATCCTGTGGGGTAGGAAGGAAAGGCTCCAGACACAATTAGAAGTGCTTCAGAGCGAGTGGAAAGTTCTCAGGAAACGTATTATCATTAGAGCTGGCTGCTTGCTTCCCTGGACGGGGAGAGGGCATGCATGTGCGTCTATGGTGGATGCACTCACTGTGCGACGTCCTATATGAAATCCTTCTCCTCACAAAAAAGTGAAAAAATGGGCTTGCTTTCTTGCGTGAACTTTTCTTCCTGCTGTGTTTCTAAGAGTATCAGAGAGGCTGTTGACTCAAAGGGCAGGAGCTAGGCGTACCTGGTTAAAGAAGGTCTCTGATTGCCTTGTAGATTCAGAAACTTCCCTTAGCCCCTCATGCCTCAGTTTCCCCATCTCCAAGTGGTTTGAGAACAGAGAGGAGGGAATTGCTTAGAGGACCTCCAAGGTCCTCTCTGGGTCCTGGGATTCTTTCTTTTGGCAAAGAAAAGTCAGAGAGGCAGTGTGATGTCACTGCTGAACGCGGGGCCTCCGCAGCAGCCTGAGGGCTCTCCATGCCAGCTTTGCTCCCTCTGCACTGTCCTGACCTTTGGAAAGTGTCTCCCCCATGGCTGTCAGTTTCCCCATCTGTAAAATGGAGATGAAAATGGAAATAACTGTCTTTGGGTTCCATCCTTTGAGGTAAACCTTTTGGGAGATTGAGTCAGCACACACGCAATGTGCGTGAAACTACCCAGCACTGAGAGAGCTTGTCCATCTCATGTGTTTCTGGAGAAGGTGGCGTCTTCCCTCCACACCTCTTCCTCCAGGTGATAGCACTGAATGGTCAGTCCTAGGGGGCTCAAAGAGAGGATTCCATTGGGAACTGATGGAAATTTCCTAGTCCAGCCTCCTTCTTTCACCTGCATATGCTCACCGCCCTCCAATGCTGGTCCCGGAATTTAGCTCAGAAAATAACGCATGCACACAGGTGATAGAGATGTCTGGGTACGTAGGTACACCTGGGTGCACATGCGGAAACTCCTAGAAGGACTGGCGTCATGAAGATGTGTGGCGTTGGTGGGGGCGGAGGTGCTCAGGGCAGAGCCTTTCCTGGCAGGATTTGTCCGTGGAAGCTCGGGGAGTGGGAGCAGGAGCAGGAGCAGGAGCAGGAGCAGAGTGGCTGAGTGGGCTCAATTCCTGTGAAGGGCAGGAGCTTCAGAGCTCCTGGGCTTCCCTGTATCATTCCTGGCGTGGCCACAAGGACCTTATCTAGTGGCAGGGCAGAGGCAACAGCGGCACTAATAGCAGTAGCTGTCACAGCAGCGTGTCATGGTGTTGGACACGTAGTCTAAGTTTTTAAAATACATAATATGTTTCACACAGAAGCTTATTTTCGTAACACGATATGGCATGGCAGGTACTAGTATCTTCAGGGTACAGATGAGGAAACTGAGACACACAGAGCGCAGCAACTCATCACAGTTGCAGGGTGAGAAGGTGGGTGAAGGGGCTGTGGCTTCGCAGCCATCTCTGCCATCTGAGCCCTACGCACTGACCTTTGTGCAGGTGGGGACGCCCGTGGCTTGATGTGTCTCTGGGTGTGCAAGTGTACGATGAGGGTCCTGGCTCGGGACGCTCAGTATGGGTTAGCAGCGGGCAGCAGGTTTCTCAGCCTGCCTCTGTCACTCGGGAGTTGGTTCTGTGAGCTAGTTCTCCCCCTGTGCCTCAGTTTCCCCATATGAGGATAACAAGACCCTCTCCTAGGGCAGCTGTGAGGAGATGAGAGAAACCTGTGGCCGGGTAGCTCAGTGCCTGGCTCGTTGAAGGGGTCCATAAGTGGCAGGCAGAGGACGGGTTGGGCCTGGTGGACCCCAGAGCTCCTCCCATAGCTGGGACTTGCCACTCCGTAAACTCGTCAACAGGTTGTCTTCAA
Organism: Homo sapiens; assembly: GCF_000001405.40. Classification (NCBI taxonomy): domain Eukaryota; kingdom Metazoa; phylum Chordata; class Mammalia; order Primates; family Hominidae; genus Homo; species Homo sapiens. Next base: position 86,947,416 of record NC_000016.10, on the reverse strand, counting down.
AGAAAATGTTCAAGGGAAAGTGTTCACCCTTCACCATCCTCTTGAGGACAAAGACAGTGGTTCTGAGCATGGCCCTTGGAGCACCCGTTAGCCACACTGGCCAGCAGAGCAGTTCTGGGAGGCCAGAGGGTGTTGGATGGCGAGGTCTGCGGAGTGACCGAGTGACCACGCAGAGAATCCCCTGGCCCCTTCCCTCATCCTGAGGTGGCCAAGGACACCAGGAGGAGGGAACATGGGGCTGGTTTGGACCAACAGGTGGAGCGGGAGGGTGCACACACCGTCAGCAGCATCAGCATGTTGGGGGACGCGGCAGGAGAAGCCAGGAGCCTAGCTGCTCACAGCAGGATGGAGATGATGAGGCCTGGAGGGGGTCTGCAGAGCTTTCCCAGGCACGGCAGTTGAGCTGGGCTGCAGACCCCCACCTGATGGTGTGGGGGAGAGGGGGTGAGATTCCAAAAACTACTGGATGCTATGTTTATCACCTGGGTGGGGAAACAGTCTGCACACCAAACCCCTGCGACAGGCAATTTACCTGTATAACAAACCTGCTCGTGTACCCCTGAGCCTAAAATAAAAGCTAAAAAAAAATCCCCCCTTGGAGCAGAAAAGGGAGAGAGACAGGGAAGCGGCTGAAGGCAGCAGCCTGTCTGGGGAGGTGGGGGTCAGGCGAGGGAGGAGTTTGCTTCCCCAACCTGAGCAGTTTAACCTGCAGCCCTTACTCACCCGAGGGTACCTGCTGGGGCCCAATGCCTCCAGGGGTGTTTGTTCTGACTGCCCAGGCCCCAGCCAGGCTGGCCGTGAATATTTTCAGTGTCATCTGATCTTTCCATCTCCTTGGCTGTCCTGTATAGAGGACCAAAGGACTTTATTTCAGGACATTCCCATCATTCCTGCAGGGTGACACATACACGATAACCATATCTGTATGCACGGTGGTGGGGTAAGCAGAGGATTTGGGGGCGTCCCTGTTTCCTTTCTGTAAAATAATTACAGGAAAATAGGATGCTAATTCTATTTTCATTTACATGAAATAAATAATAAATGACTTTATATTTGAATAGGCAGTGCCCAAATGAATCATTTCAAAAATGTTAATGAGAAGCTTTAGCGTACTTCTGTGAATGTAACTTTCTTTTTCATAACAGTCTTATTGAGGTGTAATTAATCTACCGTAGAATTCAGCCATGGAAAGTTTCCAGTTCAGTGATTTTAGTGTCCTCACAGATTTATGCAACTATCACAATAATCAATTTTAGAACATTTTCATCATCGCCCCCGAAAAACCATGCTTGTTAGAAGTCACTCCTTTTACCCACCACCTCCCCAAACATAGCTTTCTTAAAGGAAGTCAGGTTTTATGCTGGAAATAGCTATGTGCAATTCTTGGCTGACATGTGAACGTCCCTCTTCAAAATCTTGAAGTCACTATCGATGTGAAACTTTGGTTGCACAGGTATGTGATAAAAAGATCTAGGAAAAATTTCAGAAAGTATTTAAAAATTTGGAAGAGTTTAAGTGACTATGGAAAGAAAGAATCCCATAGGTCGTTCTTTTCTTGGCTGAATACAATGCTGACGTTTACTGTGATAATGAGGGTATGCCCTAAACTCGGCTGGACTTGTTTGATTGGGTATTTCACAGTGCTGGTGCTGCTGGAAGCTGCGGAACACACACGCATGGTTAGAACAGCTCTCGGCCCGTGGCCACCCAAAGGGTGCACCTGCAGGGAAACTGAGGCCTTCCTCTGGACTCCGTGCTTCCTCAAGGTCTCTCCTGAAAGGTCTGCATCCTGCCATGTGCTGACGGGGCTGGCGCCGTCCGTCCTTGCCCTGAGCCCTGCCGTGTTGGCGTGGTTGAGGGGTCTGCTGCCACGCTGCCTCTCCCAAGGAGGCTTGGGCAACCCAGTGAGGAGGAAACCTTGAATAAACTTCAGGAAGAGCAAATCCATTCTCCCACTTTCCCAGAACCCAAAGGGCTTCCACACTTTAGGGATGTGTTGTTTTTGAACCTGAGCCCATCATGGCCCTGGACATTGATCAAAGAGAGTGGCTTGTTTTTCCTAAAAGTGTGCGGATGGGTCCGATCAGCAGAATTTCAGGTGCAGTGACTCAGCTTTTCCTCTGCGGCTACCACCTACCCGACATGGCCCCCATGGGGTGGCATCCAGACCCTTTCCTCGGGCTTGCTTTTCTGGAAGCCCCCACACCGCGGTTAGGGTCTGGGATTTGGAATCAGACAGATAAATGGGTTTCAAGGTCTCTCTTTCCAGCTGCTCAGAATGACCACCGGCAAACTCCTTCACTTCCCTGAATCTCAGTTTCTCCTATTTAAAATGGTGATAAGACTGGTGGGCAATAGATACTGCCTCTTGGGAGGGTTAAGGTAAAATCAGAACAGGAGATGACTGCAAAGTCCCTGGCAGTGTTCCTGGCACAGACAAAAACATTTGTGGCAAACCTGGAGTGGCCAGATTCCCCCTCAGCCTCCCCAGAGGCCAGAAACTTTGGTGGATCATTCCTGAGCCCACTCATAGCTTCCTTCTTTCAGCACTTGCCTCCCTCCACCAGAGAACTTTCTAGGCTGAAAGAGCATCCTTGGGCTGTGCAGGGAATCAATGTCCTCAGAGCAGCCCCCCGAGGAGGGATGGAGTAGATGGGAAACACCCCTGCGTGTGTTTCTTGGGAAGATAATTCTGAGGCATCTTCCACAGGCCTCTATAAAGGGTCCCAACAGACCAGAGTCCAGTCACCCTGCTACCACCCATTCATGGTTGGCTTTCTCACCTCTGGGCCTCATTTCCCCATTCCCCTCCTGGTACTTTCTAAATTTACCTCCAAAGTAATTCACTTGGGCCCAGGTCCCTAAATCCCTTGTCTGTAGGTTTGCTTTGGGGGACACCCAGCCAAAACAAGAGTCGGTAAATATGGGCTATTATTATTATTATCACTCAAAAGGCTGGATGCAGAATGAGAATAAATTCATGGTCAAATTTTGTCCTATGGATTTCATTTCATTTTATGGGCAGGTGAGAGGTCATATCTAGATGATATCAGAGAGCCAATTTGGAAACACTCAGTTGGTTATCATGGGATTTTATTGAGCAGCAATTAGATTCCCAGTGCTGGGTGAGGGGTGTGGACCTGGGCCATGGGCACCCATGGCCCTACACTCTAGAAGGGCAGAGTCTATGGAGCAGAAGCGGTGTTCAAGTGAGTTCAAGATCAAGCACATGTCCCCCAGTCTAGGTACGAGGAATGGCCTGGCGGTAACCAGGGAGATATAACCCAAGAGGTGGCGTTTGCTCTGGACCCTGAAGAGTAAGTGTTGCACAAGGAAAATGTTGGGACGGCATCCATGGGAGGCGAAGAAGAGTGTGTGCAAAAAGTTCAGGGCATGAGAGGACCTGGCAGGGAGAGACAGGGGTGACCAAGAAAATGTAGGTTGAGGCTGGGCATGACGGGCAAAGTGACTTAACTTCTCTGAGCCTCATTTTCTTCATCTGTGAAATAGGATCATAATAGCATCTACTGAGATAATGCTGGATTGTCGTAGTGGCTCAATAAAGGTTTCCTGCTTCCATTGCCATTAGGGTCAAGTGCAAGGACTTCAGAGAGGACTTAAGAATCTGCACTTTTTCCCGGCATGCTGAGAGTTGTGGGGCTGGAGGCAGCACCGTCATAATTGAGTTTTAGCATCAGAGGTCTGGAAGGCTAGATGTCATAGTGTTACCTTGACTTTCTCCTCTTTCTGTAAGGAGAATGCATCACTTCTATAATAAGAATATATGTTTAAAAGCCAGAAGAGCACAGTGAGTTGGGAGCTTCTGGAAGCTGGACAGACTGGGTAGGCCAGAGTAGGAGGGTGGGTCAGCCTCCAGCTTTTGGGCTGAAGCGTTCCTGGGAGAATCTGATAAAGCTAATGGGAATTCCTCGCAGAAAGCTGACTTCCGTGTGGAATTCCACACCCAACCCAAGTGGACTCATGCAGCCACTAAAAGGCAGATGTGGACCCAGGGTAGGGTCCCCTCAACTTTGAAGAATCAACAATTCAGGCCAGAGAATTTGAGAACTTCCCACATGAATGCTTGTTTGCCTTGATGTTGCCATTTCCTCATAAGACAGCACATGTGAGATGACATCTTTCTTTCTCATGAGAACGTTTGTTGGGGCCTGCAGAGGCTGGGTGAGGAGGCTCCCAGTCTCCAGGTAGATATGGGCAAGACCTTCATTCCTAGTGAACTGAATGTTCTGTCTGAACTCAGTGCCTCCATGCACAGATCTAGATTCAGAAAGTGCTTAGATCCATGCAGCATTGGTGTGGAATTAGTTGTTTGCCAGGATTGGCAGTGAGGGCCAACTACTCTTCCCAAAGCAGGAGTGGGCCTGCTGCAGCTGGAGGGTCTGTCCTGCTCCCTGGGCTGCTGGCCTCCCTCACAAGGCTGTGGACTGGCCTCACTTCAATGACATGGATTGTCTCGTGCATGAGTGCACATCGGATTTCCAAGTCTGCTATTGATTTTCAAACTGCAGACAAAAATGCATTCATTCCCCGGGCCTCGCCATAGTCTTCCATTATCCACTTAGCGTCACGTTACAAAAATAGCTTTAAACAGTTTTGCTTGAAATATTGGACACATACACTCACTGACAGCGAGGTTTTGTTTGGTTGTATGACTCAGCTTCAGGGCATAACTTTTCACACGAAGAGCGTACACACCCGTCACTTTGACACAAGCGGAGATGTCGGTATTTATTTTTGCCTCGAGAAAATGATGGGGGAACAGGGAGGATAAAAAGAATTTCCAGAAAGGCCCATGCCAAACTCTCCCCACATCTGTGCAGGCCGTGGACCTCCTTCCTGGGCCCTTGAATTCCTTTGGTTTGAGGGAAGAGTCATCCTCTAGTCCGGAAGAGCCTCTGAGGCTGCCCGACAAAAACGAGGTCTGGCTGGAAACCCTGACTTCTCTGGCTCCTGGTTGCCCATTGGCATCATTTGGGGAGCTCTTAAAAATGCCAGTGCCTGAGTCCCACCCAAGACCCATTACATTGTCCTCTCCTGGGTGGAGCCCAGCACTCCTATTTTTAAAGCTCCCCGGGTGATTTTGACCAGCAGCCAAGGTTGGGTAGCACTGCCCTGGAACCACCCACGGAGTGACATGGTACTTCTGCTCTTTGGAGAGAGATTGAGATCAACACGATGGCTGGGAAACAGTGCTTCTGGGAAGAAGCTTTACCTGGGGTGGTCACTTTCGGGAACCACCATGGGTTCCCATCTACCAGGGTGCTACCACCCTGAAGGGACAGGCACTGTCTCCCACCCAGTGACCCCATCTTACTGGTCTTGATGCCTGGTCTCTCATTCTCCCCGACAATGTTCCTTTTGCAATGCAGCCCTGCCCATGGCACCACCTTAGTAACTTCTCTGTGGTCTTAAGACAAAAGGCAAAGTTCCTGCTGCCATGACTTTCAAGACTGTGTCCTGGCCCCTGTCCAAGTCCGCCATGTAAGCAGGTGCCGCTCAAGAGCACCGGCTCTGAAGCTCACTGGGCACATTCCTGCCCCACAATCCCTAGTGAGGGACCCGGGGCAAATTCATGAATCTCTCTGTGCTTCAGCAGCCTCACCTGGAAAATGGGAATGACTGTAGGGCCCACCTCAAAGACTGCCATGACGGTTGAAAGATTGCACTGAGGTAAGGGGCTGAGTGCTGTGCATGGCAGGTAGTGAACATTTAGCAATATTGCCTTTTGCTGTCATCACCTGAACTGGCCCTTACTCTCTGGACATGGACGATTTCCATCCCTCAGACTCACTGTGCTCCCTCTTACCTGGGGCTTGGCACACACTGTGGTCTCTTCCTGGGGTGCTGTTTCTTTCCCTTATTTTCCTAGTTAATATTACTTCCTCCAGGAAGCATTCCCTGATTCACTGGCAAGGTCAGGGGTTCTTGAAATTGATTATAGCACTTTCTACTTCTTCCCCAGTCCACTTGCCACAACTTTAGTCATTATCTGTGTGTAGGATATAAATTCTACAAGGGCATGAACTGGATTCTTTGTTCATTAAGTTCTCCCACCAGCACGTAATAGGTGCTCAGTTAATACTGGTTGCATGAATGAGTGAATGAATAAATTGCACTGTTTGCAAAGGCTTGCAGTCATTTGCCTTTCACTGCATCTTTGGGTGATGGTTTTGTGGTCCATGGCCATGTGTCAGAGAGTCAACATCTGGCAAGAACAAGTTTGGGGCTTTCACTTTGCTCCACCAAGACATCTTGATTCTGGCTCTGCTCCTGAGTTGACCTTGCTTGTTGGGTCCTTGCTCAGCATGGACTTTGCCTATTCATATACTCAGGACTCTCCTCTCTTTCGTTGACTGATACGTGTACACACACACAGAGAAGCAATTCAGGCCAGAGAATTTGAGGACTTCCCACATGAATGCCTATTTGCCTTGATGTTGCCATTTCTCCACAAGAGAGCACATGCAAGATGACGTCTTTCTCATGAGAACATTTGTTGAGGCCCATAGAGGCTGGATGAGGAGGCTCTCAGCCTCCAGGTAGATATGGGCAAGACTTTCATTCCCAGTGAACAAGAATGTTCTCCCTGAATCCAGTGCCATGGATTTAGATTCAGAAAGTGGTTAGAACCTGAAAACATTGGCACGGAAGTAGTTGTTAGCAAAGATTGGTTAGCACCAATCTCTTCTCACATCTCACGTTTTTCATTTTTTATTGACATGGAATGTACATACTATAAAGTTAATCATTTTAGTTATTTATAGTTTTCCTGATTTCACTGAATTGTTTGTATTTTCTCAAAGTTCACTGAGCCTCCTTAAAACAATTATTTTTAGTTTTTTGTCAGGTAATTCATATATTTCCATTTCTCCATTTCTTTGGGGTATTCTATCAGGAGGTTATTGTGTTCTTTCCGTGGTGTTCTGTCTCCTTGGTATTTTATGTTTCTTGTTGCCTTAAGTTGATGTCCCCACATTCGAAGAAGTAGGGACTTCTTCCATTCTTTTCAGACTGGCTTTGTCTGAGAAAGATTAATTATCTTAAAGTGAACAACTCAGTGGCATTTAGTGCATTCGATATGTTGTGCAACCATCACCTCTATCTAGTTCCCAAATATTTTTGTCACCCCAAAAGGAAATCCCATACCCATTAGCAATCTCTTCTCATTCCTCTCTCTTCAGCCCTAAAAACCACTAAGCCATTTTCTGCCTCTGTGAATTTACCTATTCTGGACCTTTCATATAAATGGAATCATACAATACATGATGTTTCATATCTACTTTCTTTGACTTAGCATGATGTGTTCAAGGTTCACCCATATTGCAGCATGCGTCAGAACTTCATTCCTTTTCAAGTCTGATTAATATTCAATTGTGTGGATAGACCATATTTTGTGTTTATGCATTCATCTGCTAATGGACTTTTGGGCTGTTTCTACCTTTTGGCTATTGCAAATAAGGCTGCTATGAACATGTGTGTACATGTCTTTGTTTAAACACTTGCTTTCAGTTCTCTTGTGTACACTCTAAGGAGCGGAATTGCTGGGTCATACACTGACTCTGGGTTTCATCTTTTGAGGAACTGCCAAGCTGTTTTCTCTGATAGCTGCACAGTGTTACATCCTAACACCTTTGATTTATATTTATCTCCTGACTTCACCCAAACATGACTGTTCCAGATATGACCTCTGACCCCTGACCCCTTTTCACTCCCCCACTGATAGATAAAACATGACTGGACAGAGAGGGGCAGGCTGTCTTGGATGGACCCCGGTCCTGCCACATACAAGCTGAATGGTGCTGGGGGGGGTCAATCCGCCCTTCTGAGCTTCAATTTCAGTCTGTAAGATGGGGATGATCATAGTGCCCTCCACCCTGGCATGGAGTTACTGTGAGGATTAAGTGAGTGATTCGTGTGTGGGAAGCCTCAGAGCCTCACCTGGCATGTGTGAGTGCTCCTCCAGGCTTGGTGACCATGAACTGTTATTCCTAATAACAATCCAGTGTGGGCACAGAAGGAGTACCAGGCATGGCCCCTGCCCCTAGGTGGAGAGGAGAGACTCATCCACAGGGCCTAACTCAGCTAACACCTGCTCGTTCTAAAAATGACATGAAACAACAACAAGAGTAAGACAAAACAATGCTGGATGTGACGGTACAGGATAAAAATGAGCTATTTGACAAGGACTTACACTTCATTAATTTCTGACATGGAAATATTAACAATTTGGAGAACTACCACTAAGTTAGGACTTAACTGTGTGATTTAAGTCACGTAGCCCTCCGAACCCCTGTAAAGTAGCGACTAATATCCCGTCTGTCAGGTAAACTGAGGCACTGAGCGGCAAGGTAACTGGCAAGCAGTTGCCCCAGGACTCCAACCCAGGTTCATCTGGCTCCAGAAACCACTCTGTTCACACTCTGAGTTCTTTCTTAAAAACTGTTCCACCCCAAGACAGCCTCCTGTCTTTCCGTGTGATGTGAAGACCCTCCTCTCACAGATGGTCTCAGCAAAGTTGTGAACATCCTTGATGCCCACAGACGGCTTGGTTGTCTGAGAGGCTCCAGGCCCCAGACAATATTTGTTTTTGCCCCACTGAGAGTATTTCCATTTGCTTTGGATGGAAAAACAAGCCTTTCTGTTGTTGTGAATATTTCAAAGGGACCCGCTGGGCCACAAGGTATCCGCCGGAAAGCTGAACCAGGAACCATGCGTTGTTTCAGATGCATTGATTTTTATCAGCTTTTGACCTCATTTATTTATGAAAAATATCTGGCTCCCAAATACGGTGCTTTGAAGGCACAAATGATAAGTGACCGAATGCGTCCAAAAAGTGACAAGGCTCTTGCCTGCCCAAACCCTGGCCTGCTGTAAAGTGAGTCTTCTCCTGGAACATGAGCTTGTCTCCAGGAATCAGTGAAATCAGAGCCTTGCACATGCAGCCTGAATCAATCCAAATGGGGCTGCGGAGCCACACTGATGCCTGTGATGCCTTCAGGTGCTAAAGAGGAAGGAGCACTATCATCAGTGTCAGGAGGATGTGCCATGAAGTGGATGGAAATGGGTGGAGAGCCCAGCCTGAGGCCCCCAGAACCACGGGTCTGCCTTCTGTATGGGGGACATCCTTGGTGAGGAAGTGGTCAGGCATCCGTGACCCTGGGGAGGAGTGGCCATCTGAACTTACAAGAAGAGCCATCAGGGTTCCACGGAAGGCAGAGGAAGCCCTCCACTTCAGAGCCACCTGCCAGAGCCACCCTGAAAGCCCTGGCTGTCTCCTGCATACAATGAGGGATGGAGACAGCAGCTCGGTCTACTTCGTAACTTTATCGGCAGCTGAGGTCCTAGATGTGGAAAATATCGCTAATGCCAACATGGGTGTATTCTTCCATGAATTCCCAGACAAATCAATTTCCGGAATATTGCTGGGCAGCACATTTTCCCCCCATCCCATCCCCTTTCTGAGAACATCTGAAAATATCTGAAACACAGGACAAGTACCCTGATCTCAAAACTAGCTTGGGAGATGATTAACAAGAAAACAGCTCTAGTTTCAAAGCAAAATCCACAGAAGATGAACAAATTCAGTTATGTCATTTAAACACTCTATGTTAAAACATGAGATGGGACTCCTATGTCACACTGTACACAAAAATAAATACCAGATTTATCCAGAAGTTTAATGTGAAAGGCAAGACCAAAAACTTAGAAGAAAATGTATTTGTGTGTTTAGAAGCATATAAATACAAATAAGAAGAGATATTCTCTCTCCTCCCTCCTCGTCTTTACTGCTTTGAATGCTGGGAAGTAATAATATGATATCTTGAGCAGCAGCAGCTACCTTGTGACCATGAGGACAATTCTGAGCATGACTTGATAATTGTCCTATCTCTGCCACCAAAAAGCTATGGTTGGAGGAATAGTTTTGGTACCTCTACTATTAAGGTTTATGGCAACATATGAGATCACTGTGGAGTAAACGGTTTGTATCTCATGCAAAACACAATCCCGAATGAAACACAGATGGACTTTGTATTTCTCCTAGTTTATTTCTGAACTGTACAGCACACTCTAAAGAGCACAGGGGTGAAAAAGAAAGAGGCGGGACTTTATGCTTGTAGAAGTTACAGTTCACAGTTTCCTGCAGGGCTTGGGAGGAGACTTTTGGAGGTTGAGCCGGAAAAAAGAAATCTACCCAAGAAAAATGTGAAGGAAAGAATGCCAGACCGCATGTGCTTGGGCAAGATCTCATATGTGCATGGCAAAAGTTCTGCTTCCCAGGTGAACAAAACCTCTCCAGTTAGCCTGGTCCAGGGGCCATGACATCTGCTGTGTAACATTTCAGAACTCTCCTAAGAACATCTATTCCAGGGAGGTCAAGACAAACCCATGTTAGAGGTTCTCTTTCCATACTCAATTCATTAGATTCATCAAATCCTTTTAAGCCGAGATGCTACTTGGTATCCAGAGAATCAGCAAAGCTCCTTAAAATAAGGAGAACTAGTTTCCTAAGTAAAGCATCCATGCACACCATTACTTGGCTTCTGTGGTGGTCACCATTGGTTGCAGCCCAACCTGTTTCTTTTCTATTCCTTACTTGCAGCCAAATGCACCCTGAGCGATGCACACCATTCCTCCTGGGTGCAGGTCTGTGTGCCGTGGCCACTTCACTTTGCAGCACTGCTGGTTCCCGAGTGCTGACTCCACATCAGACCTTTGCAGGAGCCTCACAAACACCAGCCTATACTTGTAAATAGTAAGGCACTGTGGTCCCTGCCATGCAGAAGGGAACCAAGGCTCGGAGATACCAAGTAGCTAACGCATGGTTGTGCACTTGTAAGAGGTGGAGCTAGGACTTGAGCCCATGTCACGTCCATGTCCAGAGCACAGAGTCTGTGCTCTGATCACCATGAAGGCGAGCGGCCACAGGGTTAGGGTTGTTCTCAGAGATAAGCTCTCCACACATGTTTCCTCCCTCCCTCTGGTCCCATATGGATGGACTGTTTAAGATGCCCCAAAGGCAGACACACAGTGCCCCCAACATCAAGCACCTCTTAGAATAGCATGGGGAAAGTTCCTTAGGCCAACTTTGTCCTGTAGAGGCTGATGGAAGGAGACAGGGTCAGCACACGCTAACGCCTAAAATTCAAGCAACTGATATGGCCAAGTGCCCAGATACATTCATTCACTACATCATTTCTTCAGCAAGTATCCACAGGGCCTCACTGTGTGATGTGCACTGGGATTCCGTAAGAGTGGCGTGCCTTTCTCCCTGGCTTCCGCTGCACGCAGCCGACGGTGGCATCCTCGAGCGCCTGCCTTATGGTTCTTGCTCTGCAGACTGCATAGGTTATGCCAAATATCTAAGAGAATTGCAGACATTCATCCACACAAGGATCTTGTACAGGTGCTCATAGCAGAGTGATTTATAATAGCCAAAAACACAAAAAACCCAAATGCTTGCAAGTGATCAGTGGATATGCAAAATGTCATCTATCCACACAACAGAATATTATTCGGCCATGGAAAGGAATGAAGCTCTGGCACAAGCTACAAGGATGAACCTTGAAAACAGGACACGAGGTGAGAGAGGCCAGATGTATTAAATGGATCCATTTATAGAAAATGTCCAAAACAAGCAAATCCACGAAGACATAAAGTAGATTAGGTGTTTCCAGCCCTGGGGGAAAGGGAGAAGTTGGGGAGGGGGGTGGTGATCACTAAGAGGTGTTGGGTTTCTTTTCAGAGTGATGAAAATGTTCTAAAATTGGCTAAAATGGTTCTGAACTTGGTGGTGGCTGCACCACTCTGTGGATACGCTGAAACCCCTTGAGTTGTGCCCTTTAAGTAGGTGAATTGTGTGGCGTGTGAGTGACATCTCAATAAAGTTGGTGAGAAGGTGGGGTGGGGGCGGGAGCTCCCTGAAACAAAATCCTTTGTTCAATGTCACTTCCCGAGAAGTCTGTTGTCGGCAGCCTGCCCTGAACTTATGAGACCCTGTGTGGATCCTTTGTCTGTGTGTGTGGTTGAGGTGGGTGGAGGCTGTGTTTTGTGCGGGAACCTTGCCTGGGATCTGGTGTTCAGAGACGTACCCCCCTGGGGGATCCTGGGGCTGGGAAGGGGCTGAGAGTGCCTCATCTCTCAAAGATGTTTTCGTCTTGAAAATGGCGTTGGCGGTGCATGGATTAGCTTGAGCACGTGCTTCTACCGCATGCGTGCTGAGTTTGCATCTCATTCACTGGGTGCCTGTCCAAAGGGCAGGAGGGGACTCAGCGTGGACGCTGCACCTCCGCGCTGAGCTTTGTGGTTGCTCTGAGGAGCAAATCTCTGCCATTTCCTGTCTTTGCTCACAGGCCCCCACATAAACCACCAGCTTCCTTAGTTCCCTGACTTGGAGCAGCCTCTGATAGCCTTGTGACCCAGAACAAATCAGCTGGTGACGGCCATCAGAACTCCCGAGTCCTTGCACTGTAACCGAAACTCTTCCGTGGCCCTGGAATGCTGACCTGGTGAACTCTCCCTGACTTCCCAGTGTGCATGGGCTGAGAGCATTGGAGCTGGAAGTGGCTGCCATTCTTGTTGTCCTCTTTCCGGGAGAACTTGTCTGAGCGTGTGGCCGGCAGCCCACCCCGAGCCAGGGCAGAGGGTTCAGAGAGGCTCGTGTGGATCCAGACCCCACGTACCAAGCCCTGTGGCCGTGGGCAGCTGCCTTGCCTTGTGCTTCAGAGCTATGGTCTCGGGTGCACGTTCAAGGGTTGACGTGGGGATTCATGAGCTAATCCCCGGGAAGTGGCCCCACTCCATGCCTGCCCCTAAACCGCTTTCAGTAAATGGCTTCAATCCTTGCATCTCCTATTGCTGTATATCTTTGTATCTATTTTTTAAATCATGAAATATACCAAAGATCTGGAAAATAATGATAGATAACAGCATATCCCCCATCCAGATTTTTAAAGATAGTTTTCAAAGTGAACTTTTTATTAAAGTATAAGTTATAGTCTGAAGAGTGCACAGATCCTAAGGGTGTGGGCTGAGGAATTTTCACAAAATGACCACGCCCGGGTCACCAGCACCCAGACAGAGGAACAGAATATAAGGTTAGGGGTGGTGGCTCATGCCTATAATCCCAGCACTTTGGGAGGGTGAGGCAGGAGGATGGCTTGAGGCCAGGAGTTTGAGATCAGCCTGGGAAACATAGTGAGAGCCCCATCTCTACAAAAAATAAAATAAAATAAAATAAAATAAAATAAAATAAAATAAAATAAATTAGCTGGGTGTGGTGGTGTGTGCCTGTCATCCCCTGTACTTGGGAGGCTGACGTGGGAGGATCACCGGAGCTCAGGAGCTTGAGGCTGCAGTGAGCCATGATTGCACCACTGGACTCCAGCCTGGGCAACAGAGCAAGACCATGTCTCAAAACAAAAACAAAAGAACATGACCACTGAACCCCAGAAGCCCTTAGGCCCCTTTAGTCCCTACCACCTAAGGCCAGTCATTACCCTGATCTCTAACTGAAGAGATTGGTGGTGCCTGTGGTTAAACTTGACAAAACTCCATAGTAATGGAATCCAGCAGCAGGAATCCCTCCCTCATCACCCTATCTGAGAGCCATCCTCAGCTGTGTGGAGCTGTGTGCTCTGCTCGTTCTCATTGCTCTATTGTGTTACTGTGAGAAGAGACCGCACTTGCTGAGCTGATCTCAACATCAAAGGGCATAAGGCAGTTCCTGGGTTTTAACTATTCTGAATAGCGCTGCTGCGAACCTTCCTGCAGATGTCTTCTGATGAACGTATGCACCCATGGTATGGGGCATGCAGCTAGCGTGGAGTTGCTGGGTGACAGGGTGTGCGTGTGCTATGCTGTGTAAGGCACTGCTGAACACTTTTCCAAGGGGTTGGCACCACGCGACCCCCACCGACAGCATCCGGCATCCGGCATCCGGGAACTTGATCCGCTCCACCCCCTCCTCAGTGCTGGGTGACTGCTGCTCACTTTTGCCAGCCTGGAAGGTGTGAAGAGGGGTTGCAATGTGGCTTTAATTTGTATTTCCCGATGGCTGATAGTGATGGCCACTTTCTCATGTTTATTGGCGTCTGGCTATGCCAGCTCTCAGAATTAACCCATGCTCCGTTTTGTCTACTTAAAAACTTAAAGACAGCCAAAGGCTCCTACTCTATCCCATTTCCCTCCTTCCCTTCTTCCCCATCTTTCCAGCCCTAAAGGGAACCTCTATTCAGAAGTTGGGATGTTTCCTTCTGTCCATATTTTTATGCTCTTACCGCACATGTAGGTAGGTACCAAAACCAATACATGTTCTTGCTTCAAATGATCTCCCTGTGAAAACCTTGACTTGATTTTCCTTCCAAGTATTGCCACTTATCCAGGGCTTCTGACTTACTGTCCAGAGGTACTTCTACCAACTCACACAGCCACCCCACACTTTCTCACACTCACACCTCACACTCACACATCTCACACTCACACCTCACACTCACACCACCTCACACACACATCTCACACCACCTCACACACACGTCACACCTCACCTCACACCTTACACTCAGTCACACCTCACACAGGTCACACTTCACCTCACACTTTACACTCACACACCTCACACTCAAACCTCAGAGTCACTCCTCGCACACATCTCACACTCACATCACACCTTATGCTCACACACCTCACACACATCTCACACACCTCACACCTCACACTCATACTTAACACTCACACCTCACCTCACATGTCACACATCACTCTCCAACTCACACTCACACCTCACTCACACACCTCACACACACATATCTCACACTCACACCACCTCACACATCTCAAACCTCACCTCACACCTTGCACTCAGTCACACCTCACACACATCTCACACTTCACCTCACACTTCACATTCACACACCTCACACTCAAACCTCACACTCACGGTCACACCTCACGCACATCTCACACTCATACATCTCACACTCAAGCTCACACTCATACTTCACACTCACACCTCACCTCACACCTCACAATTACACACACACCTCACACTCACATCACACTCCAACCCACACACCTCACACACCCATTATGCTCACATCTCACACACCATACCTCACACACACATCTCACACTCACACCTCACATATCGCACTTGACTCTCACCCTTCACCCTTACATCCACCTCGCACCTCGTACGCCTCACCTCACTCTCACACCACACCTCACTCACACCACACCTCACACTTCCACACCTATTTCCATGTGCCCCAGGCCCGTGTCAGCCCAAGTGCTTCTTTTCACGTCTCTCAAAGGGAAAGGGAGGAAGAGGAGAGCCGTTGGGAAATGTATTCTCCCGATATTGCCCCAAACCCTCCGGTACCAAATACAAGAGCCGACATCGGCTTCATTTCAGAGGTGTGCCAAATGCGCTCAGAGAGGCTCGGTGACCTAAGGCCCCAGAGCTGGCAAGGAGCAGGAGTATTCCAACCCAGCTCTGGCCCTGAGCCCACGCTTTCGTCCCCAGGCAGGGTCATTTCCAGCGAGCTGCGCGCGCTCCTCCAGCCTGATGCTGCGCATGGATCAGCGGGCACCAGGGGCAGCCACCGAGCCGGCCTCCTGCGGCCAACAAGCCAACAAGCAGGGCCGGGCTCACAACGGAGGTCTTCCCAATCTCTCAGATACAGACGATTCCCGCTCAGTGCCTGAAAAATGTTAACATCGGCAGGAGCCGGCGTGGAGCACACATTCCTGACTGCTTTTGGCTGCTCGTCAGCCCCGGTCTTCACACGAGTTTATCTTTATGTAACACAGGCTTTCTAAACACTTCAACATTGCCATGAAATCAAGATAATTTCTGGCAATTAAAGACCTGACTCACCCATTGTTCCTGCGCATTGTCATTCTAGGAAATTCCCTCAAGTGGGGCTCCCGGTGACCCGCCCGCCATGTGTCAGGCCACCTCGCCCCTGGAAAGCAGCTTTTTTCCAGATTTGATCAGAACAAGCTGCTTCTCTCCCCCTGGCCTTTCCCGGAAGGAGCCCACTTTCCCAACGCTTCCTGGGTTCACCTGAATTCCTTACCAACATGTATTTCTTCCACTTTGTTATTTTTGGATTAATGTAAATGAAGTCTGTCTTGGGCTCTCTAAGATAAATGAAAGGGATGCTAGGGTCAGAAGCTTCAGTGTTGGCTCTGCTGGAGAAAGATTAAGGTAAGACTCTGCATAATGCTCTTAAACCTCCCACTTCCTTAGTGTGAGACGAGGAGGAAAAGAGCATGAGGAGAAAAAATGAAGGAAGAGGAAGAGGAGGAAGACAGGGAGGAGGAGGAGAAGGGGGTGGAAGGGGAGGGGGAGGAGGAGGGGGTGGAGGAAGAGGAGGAGTGGGATGAAGAGGAGGAGGGGGAGAAAGGGGAGGGGGAGGAGGAAGAGGAGGAGAGGGATGAAGAGGAGGAGGGGGAGGAAAGGGAGGGGGAGGAGGGGGAAGAAGGGGAGGAGGAGGAGGAAGAGGCGGAGGGGATGAAGAGGAGGAGAAGGAGGAGGGGGAGTAGTCATACCTGCTTCCATCACGCCTGCGTTTTGGACAGCGTGATGGAGGAAAGGAGGGGTGCAGGTATATGTCTTCCCTTTAAGACCACAAGCTGCGAGTTGGGCATCACTGTTGTTCACATCCCAGAATCTAGATGTGGAGTCACACCTACCTGAGACCTTAGGTCTTCACTGAGAACGAAGGGTGGGGTGGTGAATCTTGGGGAAGGGCAGTCACGCACCTGGTTGTGATTAATACGGTCACTTAAGAGAGGGAATGGATGTAGACAGAACTAGCAATTTCCGACACCCATCAGGTTGGTTTTAGTTTGGGGACAGGTATTCTATACAAACCTGTGACTGCATGCAGGGTTATCCCTCCCACGTGCGGCCAAGACTGTGTCTCCTCTTCCCAGCCTGTGTTCATGGAAAGCTGCCTCCTCCCCACCCAGACCAGAGGCGGGTTGTGAGTGCAGGCAGTTTTTGGGAGGTGACCTCAGGAAGTGTAGGGGAGTTGGGAAGGGACCGGGGGAAGGGACGAAACCAATGCAGGGTGGACTGTTGATCAGCTGACCATGGTGGGCAACCGGGGCTCCACCCTCTGGGGAGCGCTGGGAGACTGTCTGGCCCCCTTGGAGTTTGCAGCCGAGCAGGGTTTTATGTTGCAGGGCTTCACCGTCCCTGGCCCAGGGCTGCTCCTGATGACAGTGGCTCCTGGGCATTTGTGGGCTGCCTGTCTGTGAGGGGGCCTTTTTATAAGGACACCATCATAGCGGTTTAGAGGCCAATCCTACTCCAGCATGACTTCAGCTCAACTAATTACATCTTCTAGGGCCCTATTTCCAAATAAGGTCACATTCGGAGGCACTGGCAGTTTGGATGGCAACGTAAGAATTTTTGGGGAACACAATGGATTCATAACAGGGTGGGAGAAGGGGCAGAGGGGGCACTGAGGAGAGTTTCATGGCAAACACTTGATGTTTGGGCGAGCACTCAGCGCCGTCGTGCGCCGTCGTCTCTTGGGAGGAGCTCTGCTCCCTGTTGGACTTCCTTCCATTTATTGTGTCACTCACTCCTGCCCCTAGGGCTGAACGCCTCGAGGGTGGAGAGGCACCGTCACCTTCTCAGCCTGGAGAGCTCTGTCCAGCTCTGCAGACGAGGCCCTGGAAGCTCACCTGAAGCCGACGAAGGGAGGAGGGAGTGGAGTGCCCACTGCCCGGGCTAGGGCAGCCAGACCCTGGCGGCTTCGTGGCAGCTGCTGTACTCATTGCCAGCTTCAGGGCGGTGGGACCACGGAGGAAGAACGTGAACGCCTGGACTCCCACTTGGAATCTGAATGCAGTCCAGGGATTTGGCATTTGAGTCCCTAGAGCTCGTTGCTAGCCATCCTCCTCCCCGGCGAGAATAATCCATTTCAAACTTCTGAGCTGTCTAGACTTGTTATCTGGCCCCCTAATTCCTGAGAGCCTAGAGCGGGCAGCAGCGGGACCGCCGAGATAGCAAGGGGGTGAGGTCATTGGCGCGGTCCCGAGGCAGGAAGTCCATTCCGGGGGACGATGGATGAGTGTGGAGCTGGTGCCCGAACGGGGCCAGATAACGCGTCTAGACCCGGCAGGCCGTTTCCTCCTCTTCCCCGGTGTCCTATCGGCATCCTCCTGCCTTCCTGCTGCTCTTCCGAGCCTCTCTGGAGAAGCCTCTCAGGAGGTTTTACTTCATTTTCAGTGTAAGGGGCGGCCGGTGTCTCTTGGCCTCGGCTAGGTGTGGGCGCGTTTTCTAAGTCACAGTGACGGTGGGGCCGGGAGGCCTTTCTGGAGAGGCCGTGCTGGCCTCTGTCACTTTGTCCTTTCAGAGAGTTCAGTGGGTTAGGGGAAAAATGACGTTTTCTCTCCCTGGTCTCCAAAGGTCAGTGGAAGGCCAGTGGTGGGACTGGGAGGACAGGAGTTGATGTCAAACAGACCCAGAAATTTCCACAAGTCCTGGGGGACAAAAGAGCCTGGAGCAAGTCTTATCTAAGACAGCCCCTGGGAGCCGCAGAATGCCGAATAAACTCGCCTTTCCGGAAGGAGTGGCTAATTTCATTGGCCCATGTGCACTCTGGCTGATCTTGAATCCTGGGGCTAGGGTTGGACAAGAGGTCAAAAGGTCATTTGGTTCAATCCCCTGCCTCCAGGCAGGATTCCCCCAGCAAAGAGGAATCGTGTGTGTTCCAATATTCAAAGACACACGTGGGGGCTGCAGGAGAGGAAGTGGCCTCCGGAGCACCTGCGGGGGTGGATGAAGTGGTAATCCCCACCAGCTGTGCTGAGTCTCTGAGCCCCAATAGTGCTGTGGGTTTGGAACAACTGCATTGTGGGGAACATCTGTGCAGAAGGGTACGGTGTGTCAGGAGGGCCACTGCCACCCCAATGATGATGACAACGGTAAAAGCAAAAATGAATTGAGCACGCACTGATGCCAGCTGATGTCAAGTGGCTGGACAAATGCTGGTGAATCTCATTTAATCATAAAATAAACCTGGGCAGGGGCTGTCATAATTATGCCCCAACTGAGGCTCAAAGGAAAGGTGTCTGCCGAAGGCACCTGGTTTGTAAGAAGTAGGGTGGGAATGTGAGCCCAGGTGAGGCTGCTTTCAGAGCTCAGGATGGAATAGCTCAACTCTTCTGCCCTAAACACATGTGTTCGATTCATGAAGGTCTCTGTGTCTTGTTTATTGCCTGGTGGACAGGTGGGGGTGGCTGAGGGTGGCACAGGCTACACAGCTAATGAACAAGAGGTCAGGATGCTAACTCATATCTCTAGACCCCACATTCTCACCAACCCCTCCCTGTTCCCCCATAAGCAGTATCCCCCTGGCAAAACATGTTCCCTTTCCATGGGAAAAGTAATATTTATAAAGAAGGGCCTGTCTGCAGGGGACCAGCTAAATACATAGATAATGAACAGGCTGTTCGAGGGAGTAGTATACAGCCATGAAAAGGAATCAGAGCTCTTTACATGCCAACATCTACTTATCACCAAAAGAGATGACTGAAAACAGCAAGGTGCAGGGCAGTGTGGATAGTGTGTGTGTACATACATACATGCATGCGTGTGTGTGTGTATACAGTCAAGCACTGCATAACCACGTTTCAGCCAATGGTGGAGTGCATATACAATGGTGGTCTCATGAGATGATCATGCCATATTTTTATTGTCCTTTTTGTTGTTTAGATACACAAATACTTACCATTGTGTTGCAGTTGCCTACAGTATTCAGTGTATAACATGCTGTACAGGTTTGTAGCCTTGGAGCAATAGACTCTACCGTACAGCCTAGGTGTCTAACAGGCTGTACCATCTAGGTGTGTGTAAGTGCACTCTAAGATGTTAACAGAGTGACAGAAACATGTAGTGATGCATTTGTCAGAATGTATCTCTGTCTTTAGGTGGTGCATGACTGTGTATGTATATATATGTATGTATATACTTACATGTGTGGAAGGATATGCACTTACCTACTTTTATGCATGTAAGTATATGCTTACAGGCCTAAAACATCTGAAAATATAGGCACCCCTGGGAAGGTGGCTGTGGGAACAGGTGAGAGGGAGATACCTTTTTGTATCTTGAATTTTTAGCAAGGTGACTGACCTTAAAAAGAAAACAAAAACTCCATCCTGTTTTTTAAACAGAGTTGTTCTCATGAATAATAAACAGGCCCCCTTTGTGCAAATAAAACCTCTTGTCTTGCCTCCCCAGGTGTCTCAGAAGTGAGCCAAGGGCATACCTGTGGGCAGTGAGTGTCCCAGCCTGGAGCCGGGCATGGGTGCTCGGTGCCCACAGCTGCACCCCTGTCCACCTACCCCTGGATGGAGTTGCTCAGTCCTGGGGCCAGGTGATGCACTAACCCCGACAGGGTTTTGCAGCCCTGAGATTCTAGAACCCCCTATAGAAGCCACAGTCCTCAGTCCCATCAGCGCCCAAGCACACTTTCCTGCTGGTTCAGCAAAAAGTTTCTTGTAAGAACTTTAAATGCCTTCTCTGAGGCAAGAGGCTGGAACCCTGCAGGCGCTGACACCTAAGTATTTACCAGCCTCCCCAGAACTCGGACTTTCTGCCTTGCCCGTGGAGAGGGGCAGGGGTTATCTGCGGGTGGGCAGTTGGGGCTGCCCTGGGCCCTCCCTCCCTGTGGCATCTGCTAAAGCCATTAAGGTCCCTCCCTTCTCAGCAACAGTCAGTGTCTTCTTAGTGCCCAGCTCAGGTTTCTGACCTCCAAGGAGTCCAAAGTCTTCGCAGATCCCAGGGCCAAAAGGACTTTTCATAATTCGGATGAAGAAAGGCAGGGGACTCGGGATGGCCGGGAAGAGGAACAAAGGCAAACGCACCCCCTTCAGAAATAGATCTGAGGCCCCTCGGACGCTGCATGCTCCAAAGACAGCTGGCGGGTGGGAGGGTGACATTTGTTCCTGTCGCCCGGGGTCTGGAGGCAGTGCTGACAAATGGCCATGCCAGTGCCCTGTGGGAGGCTGGGAACAAACTTTTAAAAGTCACGGAGACCCCGGGTCAGACAGCTCGGTGAGGGGCCGGCGCTGCTCGCCGCGGAAGGTTGGACGAGTCAGGCAATGCATGCGGCCTCTGTGTTCCCATCTGCATGATGGGACCAGTAACTCCCGTTTCTCGAGGTGTCATGGTGATTGGATGAGAGGATGCAGGGCAACTGTGTGGCAGAGAAGATGAGCAGGACAGCAGCTCCTGCAGGGCATGCTCACTGCCCACCCTGCTTCTGAGAACTGTGCCCCTAGCAACTCAGTCCTCACACGACGCCCTGCAGCAATCCTCTATTCCCATTTCACAGACAAGGAGGAGCCAAGAGAATGAAGAAACTTGCCCCAGGTCTCAGAGCTAGTGAGTGGCAGAGGCTGGATTCGAACCTGGGCCTAAGCCTGCTGCCTTTATCCGTTGCCCCATCTGCAGCCAAGCCTGGCTTCCCAGAGAGTCACCGATGCGGGCTGCCTCCAAGGGCACGGTGGTTGTCCTCAGCAGCGGGTTCCTGCAAACTCACCCCCATCTGGTCTGTGCAGGTGAGCTTTGATTCAAGGCCTGTGGAGGTTCCCCAGACTCTGCGGAACCTAGAGGATGCCCTTTCTCAAGGCCCGGCGAGGGAGGAATCCATTCTCTCCGCAATCTCCAGAGAGATTTATGCTGCTTGGCGGGCCGGCATGCATGATTACATTTCCTTCTCTCTCATTAATCATCCCTGGGCTCATTCCTCCTGACAGCCAGGAGCCGCAGCCTGCAAGCCAGAGATCTCCAATCTGGCTGTTGAGAACCTGGTGAAGAGGCCGGCGGCTTATCTGCGGAGGAGGGCTTCGCACTGCCCTGCAGAAAGGGTGCTGGGCTGCCTCCCTACCCAAACCTCCGTGTCCTCCAGGAAGGGGCCCCTGCCTCCCTGGAAGCCAGGCACCGACGGGCTTACTCCACACAGGGCAGAAGAACCCCCGATACTGGCCGGCCATCAGCTCCAATGCCATGCTGGGATGGTGGCCATCACTTCTCATTCATTTTCTACTGTTTATTAAGAATTTACAACAAGCTGGTGCTGTGCCAAGCACTTTACTTTTATGGCCTTAGTGAATTGTCTCAAAGTCCTTTGAGGGACATAAAGCCTTCCGTCCTGCCTTCCACCATGGGGCATGGGGTTCCACCCTTCAAACCTGCTTTTTAACAGCTTTAGGGAGATGTAATTCGAATGTCATGCAATTCATCCATTCTAAGTGTCCAGTTCAATGGCTTTTAGTATATTCACAGATATGTACAACCACCACCCCAGTCAATTTTAGAACTTATCACCCCGGAAAGAAACCTTTGCATCCTTTAGCCATGATCACGAATCTTCCCATTCTCCAGCCCTAAATGGCCCTGTCTCTTGGTGCATATTCAGTTAACAGACAGTAATTGCTTATATGCCAGCCTGTGGCCCCAGCCTTTCCTGGGTCCTGGTTCCCTCACCCCAAGTCTCTGCAGCCTCCAAGGCTTCTTGCTGGCGTGCTAGTGAACCTCGGGTGGGGTGTGTGACTCAACCCGCAGAGCCGCCCCAGCTGGGATTCTGACTGGAGGAGGTGGGCGAGATGGGGAGAGGTGGGCTTAAGGCCCAGTGGGAGAGGGGCAGAGGAGTCACCAGGGATTATGACTCAGGGCAGTGAGTAGAGAGGAGCCCTGAGTTGTGTTGACACAGGAGGCATAGCTAGGAGTCGGGGCCAAATGAGGAGGGAACATGGGATAGGTGCTTGGGGTGGGGAAATGGCACTTGCAGAGATGTGGAGGGAAGAACACAGGGTCCCTGTGGAGCTGCAGCAAACTTGGCCTGAAGCTGCAGACCACCAGTGGGGTGAGGGAGGGGAGGGACAGGCAGGAGACAGTCCAGGAGATGAGGGCACGCAGGATCCCAGGGGAAGGGACTTGCCGGGGCTCAGACCACACAGTCTCTGGCCTCACCCTCCCCTGGGCGTAGACCCCTGGAAAGCAGAGATGTTTCAGAGGTCTCCATGTTCCCAGCTCCCAGGCCAGCAACCCAGGATCTCAAAGAGGAGGAGCTGGTTTGGCTGCAGAGCACGATGATGGCACCCACTGGAGGCCTAGTGGCAGTGACCACCTGGACCCAGCCTCGCCAGCACCTCGCCTATGCAGACATCAAAGCTCATGCCACAGGCTGGGTCTGGCTGCCTGAAGTAGGAGATCTGGGCGCATTTGCTGCTGGTGGGTTGCATTGTGAGGCATTTTTGAGGGTACTGGTGCCATAGGGATGGCATAGCTGGCTTTTGCAGATGCCATTATTTTAATACCATCATTGCCCATCATTTGGGAGGTGAGACATGAGCCCCAAATCACAGACTGACAGGACATCACAGAAAACACCCCACCCACGGCAACAGCTCCATGTTTTGCTCAAATGCCTCGCGTGAATGCACTGTTTTATGTGTGACCTCTTTTGCCTTCTCTGGCGGAGACCAATCAGTGGCTCATCAAGCCAGTTTCCTCTTTTTTATCCCCTGGAAATACAGCTGGACTTTCTGTTTCCTAGCCTCCCTTGCAATTAGCTGTGGTAATGTGACTGAGTCTAGCCAATGGCCCAGGAAAATCTCCCTTCCAAGATTCTCTCTTCCTTCCCTATTTTCCAGTGAAATGCAGTAGACTCTGAGGTCCTGGAAGACCACAAGACAAAATTCCCACCAGGAAGAGATCTGCCTGTTAGTTAAGTCAGGAACATTGGTTTGGACTTTACATGATGGAGTTATAAACATCTATTGTGCTAAGCCACTTTTATTTGGGGGGTTGTTACAGCACCTAGCATTAGCCTAATACACCTCTCTGGTTGAAAGATTTTGTCTACCAGAAAATTGAACTTATTTTTTCAAAATGAATTATTTTTTCCATTGTATCAATTAAAGACATATGTAACTTCAAGGTAAATAGGCATTTTTTTTGGAATAGCTATAAAGACTTTATAATAGCTTTCACAACTGTCTTCATCAACTCTTAAGGTTTGGGGCACCCAAGATGGGAACTCCTGGTCCAAGAGATTATAGATAGTGGAAATCCAGACCCAGGAGGGGTGTGTGATTTGTCTGGGATCACACATGTGTGTAGCTGAGTCAGGGCCACATTCCGCTGGGCTCAGGTAGAGGTGGGCTGTGTCTCAGTCTGCTTGGGCTGCCATAACGAAATACACAGACTGGGTGGCTTCAACAACAGATGTTTATTTCTTAGAGTTTTGGAGGCTGTGCATGGTTGGGTCTGGTGATGGTGCTCTTCCCGGCTTGTGGAGGGCTGCCTTCTTGCCAGGTCTTCATGTGGCAGAGAGAAGGGCAGAGAGCTTCCTGGTGTCTCTTCTTTTATGGACACTAATCCCAGCATGAGAGTCCCATCCTCATGACCTCATCTATACTGAATCACCTCCCAAATACCATTACGTTGTGGATGAGGGCTTCAACATATGAACCGGGGGGACACTGTTCAGTCCTTAGTAGATTGTGTCTGCATTCTCTCAAACTATTGGTTGATTTTTCCCTCTATTTTTGTCCAGAAGATTTTTGCTGCAAGGAATAGCCTTCAACTTTGAAGTGATGAATCAATAATGTATATCTGCATTTCCCATTTCATGAGCCATTTTCCAAGAACATTATTTTCCATGTTTACATCATGTTCGGTTTTAATATGCATGTCAGAATTTACATAGCCAATCTCTTATTGTTCGACATTTAGGTTCTCTATTTTTGAAAAGCAACTGGGCTTCTGGGGAACATTTTGCATTTTGCAGTCCTTCAGCCTTATTTCTTATCACTGTGGTTTTGCAGGCACGGCTTCCTATTGAATAAATTTTCTAAGGTTTTGGCAAGCCCCCGATCTTGGTCTTTAAAGTTAGATGCTGTTTTTGACCAGCATGAAAGCAACACTAGAGAGTGAGAGAGAAGGTCTCAGCCAGGGCAGAGGAAGTCTGTCCTCCCCTCCCCACCCTCCCAGCCACTCCCGGGGTCACCGAGAGAAAGAGTGGCCGGGAACCCTGCAGGTTATGATGGCACCCTGGTAACCCC
The DNA here is from genome assembly GCF_000001405.40 of Homo sapiens. Taxonomy (NCBI): domain Eukaryota; kingdom Metazoa; phylum Chordata; class Mammalia; order Primates; family Hominidae; genus Homo; species Homo sapiens. The sequence goes on along the minus strand of NC_000016.10, from coordinate 86,922,303 downwards.
TGAATGTCCTAGGACAGGAAGTGACCAGAATTGCTTTCAGTGACTTGAGGAATATTCAAGACCAGTCCATTGGTGACTTCGCATGCCATGACTTGAAGCTTGAAAATAATCTGGGTTGACTTCCTTAGCTTAAAAATCAGTTATAAAGGTGAAAAGACACTCGCCATTCTCTTAAAACATTTAGGATTTACCATCTTCCCTTTCCTTCCCCTTCCCCTTCCTCCTTCCCCAGAATTGGGAGATTGCTAATGTCTTCTTCTAGCTCTTTATTGTGGTAACTAATTCTCTCTCTCTCTCTCACACACACTCTCATGGATATGTATATATATATATACTTTACACATGAGGACATATATATCCATAAGAAATAATTGATGGTTTGTATGTGTGTTTATATAAATCATATCATACTATATGTATCAACCTAAAATTTAAGTTTTTTCAGAAGCTCTGTTACTGTGGACAGATCTAACTTGTTCTTCTTAACGGCTGCAGCATGCATCATCTGAATAGCTTTAGAAGTCTGTTAAAATGCACATGGGTCCCTAGGGGGAAGGCCTTCGAAATCAAAGTGGGGTGGTCTCCCTGCTTTTCTAAGTTGCCCTCTGCTTGGGGCCAGAGAGATCTGAACACAACTGGAATTTGAAGGGACAAAAGCTCAACAAGGCTCAGCGGAACGTGCAGGACAGGACCCATCCCAGGCGAGTGAGAGGGGAGTGGCTGGATAAGTCTCAATGCACTCAAAATAATGCAAATCTTAGCAGCCACAGCAGTAAGGACCACCAGTTACTGAATAACCGCCATGCAGAGCACAGCCTCATTCAGAGTCTCATCACCAGCTTTCACATGGGAATACTGTGTTCCTGTTTCAAAGATGAACACAGACATGGTCAGTAGCTGTTGGCCCAATGTTACAGCTAGTGTGTGGTGGAGCTGGGACTCACCCAGTCCTTCTGCTTTCAAATGCCAGTATGTGAGAGTAGGGGAGCAGCTGTCTGCTGGTTGTCACCTTTTATTTTTAAATAGCATGGAACACAAAGAGTGATGGGGCAGAGGGTGGCACAATAACACACTGAGGTCAGACGTGGTAGTGAACAATGACCTGGGTCCCACTCAGGGCTGGGATCGTCTCCACCTCTGTGCTGGTTGAGAGAACTCCCTCCCCCTCCATTAGAACCTGGTCAGTCAGTTCCAGTTCACCAGATTCTGAGCCCCGGAGCCTCCACCAAATGGAATGTTCCATGAGGTGGAAGGGGAGTACAAGACACGTCGCCACTGAGAAAGTTCGGGAGTTCAGACGCCACTGACTTTTATGTTCCTAAATCAGGGGCCTTCGAGGTTAGCCCTACTATAAAATCACTCTCATTTCAGATTGTCTGCTTGAGTGGGAGACATAGAGCCAAACCCATGGCTTGTCATGGGAAAATCACATGTAACCACCGCTGTACCTGCATGGGCTGCTTACGGGGGTTGGGCTGGAAAACTTGACCATAGTCTACAAGCTCTGCAGTTAACAGGAAGAATCTTCTGCACTCCTTCTGGTCTTACTGCCCAAGTCAAGCCTGGAGGACCTTAAGGAGAGTCACCAGCTTTCTCTTGCTCTGCCGTGTTGGCCAGCATCTATTTTACATTTGAATGACTCCTCAATGCCTACTACTAGGGAGAATCCACCTGGAATCCAGATTTTTCCTTCTAAATACCAGGAGATCTGATCACACCGGGCCCCAAATCCCTCCTGGCAATGACCGGAGCCCATGTTCTCTATAGGCAAGTCCCTGAGAGGCTGTTTTCTTTCTCCTCAAGGCGGGAGGCCAAGGGCCACTCATGCTTCATCTTCTCCCACCTGGCCTGCTTCCCTCACTGAAATAAGGGTTGATGTGTTTATATGTAAATGTATGCAGTACGCAGTCACCTCCCGCCCTGGAAGACCTTGGAGTTGGAGTCTGATCCTTCCTGTGAAGTGTTCATGGTGGACATTGAGCCACAGAGCTCCTGCTGGCAAGATGGCACCTTGGTGCGAAAGACAAAAGGGCCCCCTGGGGGAGCAGACAGTACACAGGTGCCCCCGTGGGTAATGAATTCCCCAGGGCTGTGCTGGGCTTGGCTTCATTCTCCTCAGCAGCCCTATTTGTGTGGCCATGGGTGAATCTGGGAGCCCGACAGCAAGGACATCGCCTGCCGTTACTCAGCTCTTCCGATTCGATGTGCACCGAGCCTGGTCACCTGCTAGCAGGGACACATGCCTGAGGTCCTCCTGCAGGCCAGGTTTCCTGCCAGTGCTGGGAGCCTGGAGTGGGTGTCGGCTAGGGTTTCCTCTGTCCTCCTCCCCACCCCTTGGCTCCCAGACCATCCATCAGCCCACAGCTCACCTGTGAAACCCAAGGCTGGGAACCGCGGTGCTATTCTGTTACAAAATCAAGATTTATCGGAACATGACAGGCCTGGAGGGGTTTTATGACATGCACGGCGCCAATCCCTCCTGTTGACCTATTTGTCCCCGGTGGGGCGGGGCGTTTTACGACTGCCGACACCACTCCATCTGCTCCTGGGCTCGCAGCGTTTTGACAGGGAGGACAAAATGTCCAGCCTGGGCCAGACTCCGCGGGCTGGATTATCACTTCAGCACTGAGCACTCAGCCCCTTCCCCTTGGAGAAAGACCTCAAGCCCCGCTCCCCCCGCCCCGGCTCGGCCTGGTGTGAATGAAATTCAAATCGAGCTCTGACAGCCCCATGAATTGTCTGTTTTCCAACCTGCCTCCCGCTCTTTCATCTTCATGGCAGAAACAGTGAAATCATCCGTTCCCATCTCTACAAAGGCCCCACCACACCCCAATTGCCTGTGTCTCGAGAGAAACGTGGTGTGGGGACCATTTGGAGCCTCTTTAAAAACGAGGTCACCACATCCTGAGGCTGCCTGGGAATTGCCATTCGGCAAGGTAGGGAGGGACCCCGGGGGTGACCAGGACACTGGGCCAGCTCTTCTAATGATTTAGTTAAAGAGTTAAGTCGTGTTTACATGAAATGGAACCCGTCAGGAAATTGGAAGCTCTCGGCCTTGCTGTGAGTTCTGCCTCGTCCAACACTGTTCCCCCACTGTATGTCCGCCCTGGGCGCGGAGCTGGGATGGGTTTTATTTTATTAAAGGGGCAGGGTTTCTTTCTGTTTACTTGGTGTGCTCCCTTCTTTATCAGCCTGAGTCCTGGCTCTGGGATGGGGAAGCTGAGAGATGTTTGATGTTCAGAAAAGGAGGCTGAAAAGGGCTTCTCTTGGGTGGGTAGAAGGGGCAGCACCCCTGAAGATTGCTTCCCGCTGAGAAGGGTCCCGGCCAGAGGGTGACGCAGGCTGGTGTGCGCTGAGACCAGGGTAGGAAGGGAGTGTGTGGGGAGTGAGGAATAAGAACAGCCGTTGATATTGCTGGCAGTGGGCGCTGCCCAGGCCTGGACTCATCATTTCCGGAAGCCAGTGCAGGAGAGAGTTTGTGATTCTCATTTTGCTGGTGAGGCCATCGTGCCACTGACTCACTCAGTATAAAAAAGATGGTCTGCAGCAGGGCTGGGGTGGGAACCCAACTGATGCCACCCTCGTTCCCAGGAGGAAGCAGTTTGGGCCTGCTGATAACAAGATCTTCTATGATTGCCCTGGTGTCATTTAATTGCCACATCTGTACATTGGGCTCGTGAAATCTACCTCACAGGGTTTTCAGTCTCAACTGAGAGTTGACATATTGATAAACATATTCAGTATGCAGTGAGCACTCAATAGTTGTTCACGGACTCTTGTTGTGAGCCTTGGAGTCAAAGGAACTGGGCTGGAAGCCCTGGTTTGGCCCCTAACAGCCGAGTGACCTCGGGCAAGTCGTCACCCGCTGAGCCTCGAGTCACGTTTCTGAGCCTCCGGCTCATATCTGTCCAATCGGGAGACACAGCACCCACCTCCTGGTCACGGGGGCTCTCACAAGATGCTGCAGGTAACATGCTTGGTGAGATGTGCAGTAAGGGCTCACTAGATGTTTGCCCCATGGGGAGAGCCACCAGGGGGTTGTTACTGCTGCGGTTTCCCAGGTCTCCAACTGCATCCCTGGAAAACAGCTGCTGAGAGCCTCCGGGCCGGTAAGCCAGAGGCCAGAGCCCAGAGGCCATGCCTTACCTGGGCGTGGGCTGCTCCTTTCCTGGATCTGCAGATGCTCCCGTGGGCCGGATCACACCACGGCTGTGGTCTGTGGCCCAAGGGCCCACGGGAGCTGCAGCAGCCTTTGCTGGCCTGGATGGTCTGCGTACTTTCGTTTGGAAATCAGAACTAAGAAACACCGGCCCAGGCAGCCCGCACGGTTTCATCCCCAGTGCCCGCTGAAGCCCTCGCCAGGAGACCGTCAGGATGCCAGGGTCTACAGAAGTTAACACAGCTGAACTGGCTGTGACCTGAGCTTAGACTCCGAGGGTGTGCTGTGCTGGGTCCATCTAAATGGGAAGCCCTTCTCCAGGCCCTGCAACCCCGAGGAGACAGCAGAGCTCCGAGGTGGGCCCGACATCACCCTCACAGGCCCCCAAGATGAGAAGGATGTGTGGAAGGATTCACATGGAGGCCATGGCAGCACGCAAGGAGCCCCCCTGCTGTGAGCGCCACCCACGCACCCGCCCGTCCCGCGCCGAGCGCCACCCGCGCGCCCGCCCGTCCTCTAGGCTCTTCAGCGATCACCCACACCTGGATGCGGGCGGTGCTGCTGAAAGGCCATAGAATCACGGGAATGCACAGGGGCACAGCCGCTCTGGAGGACAGTCCGAAAGTTTCCTACAAAACGGAACATGCTCTTACCGCACGCTCCAGCAGTCACGATCCTTGGTATTTACCCAAAGAAGTTGTAAACCTCTGTCCACACAAAAACCTGCACACAGATGTGTCGCAGTTTCATTCTAATTTTCAAAACCCGGAAGCAACCCAGATGTCCTTCAGCACCGAGTGGATAAATACGCGGTGGGACGTGGCCGTGGAATATTATTCAGCAGTAAAAGGAAATGAGCTGCCAGGCCTTGGGAGGACATGGAGAAGCCTTCAATGCCTACTGCTCAGTGGAAGAAGCCCATCGGAAAAGACCACACTCTGTAGGATCCATCTGGATGACATTCTGGAAAAGGCAAAACTACGGAGATAGTGAGAGCATTCGTGGTTGCCAGGGGTGATCGGAGAGAGAGAAGTAGGTCAATCACGGGGCATTTTTAGGGCAGAGAAGCTCTGGGTATGATCCTGTAATCGCGGGGTCAGGTCATTATGCAATTGTCCAAACTCATAGAATGTCCAACGCCAAGAGTGAGCCCTAATGTAAACTATGGACTTAATAATAATCCATTAATATTGGTTAATCACTTGTAACAAATGTACCACACGACGTTACTAGCAGTGGAAACTGTGTGCACATGGGAAAGAATGGAGACTCTCGGTACTTTCTGCTCAATTTCTGTAAGCCTAAAACTGCTCTAAAAATTCCATGACTTTAGAAAATAAGAAGACAGTCTGTGGACCCTGGAGCCACACACCCCAGTGCAAAGCCCTGCCTTCACCACCACGGGGGCCAGTTTTGTGTGTCAACTTGGTGAGGCTTCAGTCCCTGGTGATTCAATCCCACACCTCTGGGTGCTGCTGGGAGGGGATTTTGCAGATGTGAGTAAAGTCCATGATCAGTTGCCCCTCAGTAAGGGAGATTGCTCTAGATGACCTGGGTGGGCCTGAGTGGGTCAGCTGGGGGGCCTTGAGAACCAGACTGAGGCTTTGCTTACCCAAGGAAGGAGAAACCCACCTGTAGGCAGTAGCTCCCCTGCCCGCCCCTCGAAGTGAGCACCCTGCAGATGCTGGACCTGCCCAGCTGGCCCCACCACTGTGAAGCCTACCCTGGCAGTGAATCTCTTAATATGTGTCTTCCACTGATTCTGCATCTCTGCTAGGAACTTAACTGATTCAGCCACATAACAGCTGTGTGACCTAGGGCAAGTGATTTACCCTCCTTGCCTCAGTTTCTTTATCTGTAGAATGGGGTTAATAATAGTGCTCACCTCTGTGCTCTCTAGGACTTTAATACAGTCCTCTAGATGGGGACTGTATTAGTCCATTCTCACACTGCTAATAAAGACATACCCAAGATGGGATAATTTATAAAGAAAAGAGGTTTAATGGACTCATAGTTCCTCTTGGCTGGGGAGGCCTCACAGTGATGGCAGAAGGTGAAGGAAGAGCAAAGTCATGTCTTACGTGGCGGCAGGCAAGAAAGTGTGTGCAGGGCAACTCCCCTTATAAAACCATCAGATCTTGTGAGACTTATTTATTCACTATCACAAGAAGAACAGCACAGGAAACACTTGCCCCCATGATTGAATTACCTCCCAACAGTTCCCTCCCTTGACACATGGGGATTATTACAATTCGAGGTGAGATTTGGCTGAGGACACAGAGCCAAAGCATATCGGGGACGAAGTGAGTTACCACACGTCAGGCAGTGAGAATGGCTGGCACAGAGTGGGTGTAACTGTTTGGATTCCTGCTTTACCAAGGAAGAAACCGAGGCTAAGGAAAGGTGTGTAACTCACATCTTGGCACAGAAGTGGCAGAGTCGGCGTGGGATGCTGAGATCTGACGTGGCACCTGTGGCCTTAATCCAGCTCACACCACCTCCACTTGCAGGCAATACTGATGGCATTTGTAGCCAGAAGGGTCTCAAATGACATACATATTCAGTTCAAAGTCCATGTCCTGCAACAGAGGAAGCTGAGGCTCGGGAAAGTTGTCAGCTCATGAAATAGTCAGGACTTCCCTTTGGACCCTGGGACAGTAAGGTCAGGGTCACTGGGCTCCACAGGGCCAGGCAGGAGATGGAGCTGGAGGAGCCCAACTGTGGCTGGCCATGGCAGGCTGTGCCTGGTCAGCTACCCACTCGGCCCTGGGCAGGACCCCTGGCGCTCAGGTCCTCGCAGCTGGTGCACCTCGTCTTCCCTAGGACAGCGGGAGCTTCCCAGGGGCTTTTATTGGAGACAACAGAGGACCCAGCGGCTGCCGCTGTGCTTGGAGCAGCAGATTTTTCACATTCTTCCTTGACTTGGCACAGCCGGGACACTGTCCCCTAAAAAAATTAATAAATCTGGTATTTGAAATAAAAAAAAAATCACAGGCTTCCTCTCCTGGACTCATTTCCTGTGGTGTTTCCCTGGCCTAATCGAAACCTGACAGGCTGCCGTGTGGAGGAAGCCAGACGCCCCCACATCAGGGCAGAGTTCAGCGTGGAGAATGGTGTTTTTGTTCAGGGGAGTGGGAAGAGGTGACGGAGAGGGGGCTTCCCCCACTGACATCTAAAAGCATAGAGAAGGGCCAGGAGGCAAATGCCCTAGATGCAGTGTTGGACTCCACCCCTGAGGTGGCAGATAGTACCGGGGTGGCAGTGCCAAGAGATGGGCCATTTTGTGAGGGGTCCCTGTTCTCCTCCTCAGCTTGGAGGAACCATCAGAGCTCTTGGAGAGAAGTGACTGTTCCCCCAAAATACTCCTACCAGGACAGACAGCAGCAGATGAGCAAGCTGATTCAAGAAGCCCTCGTCACCCTCATGGGGCTGAATGGGAATAAGCCGATCATCAGCAAGGGAGCCAAGCTCAGAAAAGCCACTGCAGGTGTTCTGGAGGGGAGCAAGCATTTATGGAGGGCCACCCCTGCCCCCAAGAATGATGAAATTGGCCAACACCTTGTTGACCTCATCATAGCTAACCGGTGTCGAGCATTGGCTGTGCAGTGGGCATGGTGTTCAGCACTCTGCAGGCATCACCTCAGTTAATCCACAAAACAATCTTAGGAGGTAGAAGAAAGGATGGCTGCTGCCTGTTATGGAGGGAGGGCTTGGAAATATCACAGCCACAGGACCATGACGTGTCCAGGCCTACACTTTGAGCTAGGAGCTTGATGGTTAAAAGCAATAGTTGGTCACCGAGTGTTAACAGCATGACCCTTGAAGACTTGAACAAGTAATTTTCACTAGAGTCATAAATGGGCAGTGTGTGTATGAACAGGTGACCCAAATCATTACTCACCAGGGAAATCAACCTTAAAGCCACAGCGAGGTAACCACTACCTGCCCAGTATAATGATTGAAATTGAAGAGACTGGGAATGCCTTATTTTGGTGAGGGTGTGAGTTACTGGAGCTCACACCTGGCCTGTGGGGTGTGAACTGACCTGTGGGGTGTGAACTGGCATACTTTGGAGAACCATGTGATAAGAGCTATGGCTTCATCAGCTCTGTATCTCCAGTGCCTGGCGCTTAGTGGATGCTTAATATCTACTACAGCTCCACGTCCTCCTATCGTATGACCCAACGTATGCACCAACCACGTATGCAAGACAAGAATGTTCATAACTGCTTGGTTCATCATCACCCCAAGCCGGAAAACACCATTTGTCCATCCATGTCGAATGCATAAATAATTGAAACGTCTCCACGTAACGGACCACACTCACAGCAGTTACAAGGAATGGAGCACTGCCTCACACGATGTGGGTGAATCTCACATGCTAACGACGAGGGAAGGAATCTCACACACTAAACACAAGAGAACACACCGTATGTCCCTTCATATGAAGAGGGAGGGTGGGAAACACCCGTCTCTGGTGATGGAGATCAGGACAGTGGTGATCCTTGGGAGATGTTTGTTGGGAAGAGGTGCAAGAGGGCCTTCTAGGGTACTGGAAAACCCTCTATTTCATGTGGGTGGTAGTTACACCAGCCTGTACATATGTGAAAATTATTTATTGCTTTACACTTAATAGTTGTGTACTTTACTATATATTTAGAATGTTCCAACTAAAATTAGGGAAATGACACAGGTACTGCCCTCAACTGCGTTACAGCCTAGTTGGGGTGATTGGCACACTCTAGGGAGTTCAGATAAGGAATATGTCAATAGAAACTGGGATGGGACAGGCAGGTGCCATCAAAACCTAAGTTGGGAGACTCCAGAGTCACCTTTAGGCTGCTGTTGGTTCACGAGGGCATCTCTACCCTCATATACTATTTTCAAGGTACACGTCAATGTGTGTGCGTGTGTGTGGGTGTCTCTTTCTCTCCTTCCATCCCCTCTCTCTGTGTGTTGTGGGGCGGGGATTTGAGGTTTTATATACTTGCACCAATTGCAAAAAGTTTGAACTACCAATTTCATTGGCAGTGTTACCACCCGTGGTGTAAGTAGGCAAAGCAATTGTTCCATGGTCCTTGTTTTTCCTAAATACTCAAATCTACCATTAGATCTCTGACCATGTCAGTGTATATTTAGGCAGAGGGGAAAAAAAGGAACTTCCTACTGGCATGGGGCAGGTCTGTGGAGGCAGCCACGGGATGGCGCGGCCATGGCATTCACACTGCCCTTGTCACATATGGGGGCAGTGAGAGCCTTTGGAAAGGTCCTGAGCTTGTCGTTTCTCAGAAGTAACTCTTCCTGGCTAGCTCTCTCAGGCGTCCTTTGTAACATAACAAAACAAAATATGGCCATGAAGGAGGGCAGGTTGTGGGTTGATTATTGGCCAAACTTGGAATGATCCATCTTTCTTAATGGTTCAGAGCAAGTCAGATGAGAAATGGGAAGCTATGAAGTGTGGGGGAAGCAAATAAAGTAATAATGAGAAGATCACCTTTACTCTGTCTTTCAAAAGAAGTGTCAATTTATTTCAAAAGTAACATCAGTTCCCTTTGTACTAGATGTGTCAGCAGTACCTGTGAAACCTGCTGTGAGTAGACAGTACCGCTTGTAGAAGGCACGCACAGATGTCGGCTTGTGGATGGACATCATGTTAGTGAATGGACATTGTTTGAAAAGGTTGGAATCCATATGCATAATTCAGGGAATGTTTTAGACAAAGTTGGTTGTGCCTCGGGCGTACTTCTGCCTGAATTATGGTAACAATAAAATTAAATTTATTAATATGCATGACTCTGTTCAATGGAATGATAAAGCCCTTGAAAGCAATAACTATGGCTTAATCAGCTGTGTATCCCCAGTGACTGGCACCTGGTAGATGCTTAACAAATATTTATTGAAAAATTTAATAAGTGAGTGAGTGTGAGTGACTGAGTGTGCTCTTGGGAAAGCCAGCAGTTTCAAGATTTGGAAAATGAGGATAGTGAGGGCATTGCCTCATGGGGTTATTGTGAGAGCTGGGTGAGATTGTGCTTGTGCACCGTTTGAGGGGCAGGGTGATGATGATGGTGATGATGATGATGATGACAATGATACTGGAGAAAGAGAGTGGGAGGGAGAGAAACTGAGGCCAAAGAATTCACTTTGTTAATGTTCACTAATGAATCAATGTTAAGGTTGGAATTCAGATTCCAGCCCTAATTCTGGAGCTGTTTCTCTAGAAGCCTAAGACAAATGAGGGGCCACCGGCCTCCACAGTGGAACTCCATGTGAACTCACCCCAGTGGGCTGGGGTCAAACTCTGGGCAGTGGATTGGCTCATTAAACAAATGACCTAATTTAGTGCTTAAGACATCCAAAATTTACTAGGCTAATTTGTCAAGTCATCCAGAACAACCAAACCACAAATGGTAAGCCTCGTAGGTTTTAGTGGAATCATAGACGACATTCAGATCACCACTCAGTGAAAGGTTAAGTTAAAGTAGAAGCGACAATTTAGTCTTCAGAGCACTGCAGAGACTTTTATGGGCTGGTGTAAATCTCTTGGCCAACTCTTTCATCTTGTCCTTTCCATTTTTAGCACCTCTCAAGGAGAATGGTTTATGGAACTTGGGAGCAGGAAGCAGGAAGTAGGAAACAGGAAGTAGAAAGGTTCTCCTTTGGATGTGGTCACTGATAAGCACATGAAGTTACCCTTGGAGGGTAACAGTGACAGGGATTGTTCTATTTGCTGGCTCTCAATGGGGACTGAATGAACGAAGGGCATTTGTCGATGGGAACAAGATCCTTTAGCATGAAAAGGCTAGCTACAGAAACATAAAGAGGTGGAGGAAAGTGTGGTCACTATAGAAAGCTGTTACTTTCATTCACTCCTGGAATCAACACCTCTATAATTGCACCTCCTTCTGTAACTAAAGTGATGTTTGTCATTTTGCTGCAGAGGAAGGAGCCCTCACAGAGCTTGTGCATTTTGCTGGTTCAGGAAAGACAATGCAAGCAGTTATCCAAGGCCTTGTTCCTGGGGCTCTGTTATACCTCCCATCATCTGGACAGCTGTCTGTTTACATGGCGAGGGCTGCAAAGCTTCCAACTTAAAGATCCATCTGGTTCTTACATCAACCTAACCCGTAACCTTAAGGAGCAAGCCCAAACACGCCAGGGACATTTGAAAATTTAGGAACGAGCGTGTTTATATTGTATTTGCATTAATGCTTCCTAGAGTTTATTTTCAAAGTGAAGAAAGAACAATGCATAGTAGGCTATTAAACCCAAACATAATCAGTTTAAAGTTAGGGGCATGCTCCTAAGAATATTTTTCTCCTGTTTTGAAGGGTCCACTTGAGAAGGGAGTGGGGAGAAGGGGGTGCAGCGAGGAACCCAGGGCAGGGGAGGGGGTGGAGGGACTGTTCTGAATTCTCCTCAGGGTTTGGCCGGCCCCTGCGGGCCACTGCTGTTTGTCATATGGAATGGATTAGGCCTTCGCTCTCACACTGTCGACTTGGGTGTTCTGCACACAGGCTGTTTTTGCTGGGGTCTTGGTTTTGCTTTTTATAACGGCAGGAAGTGCCCCTCTAGGACCACATGTGAAATCGTGTGGGAACGGTTGGGAGGGGTGGGGGCCTGGAGAAGAGGTGAGTGGGGTGTGGGGATGGAAAACCTCATCTATGGCAGTGTGGGTGGAAGCCGGGGAGGGGAAGATGCTCACTGGCCAATTTAACTTTATGGGGTCTGGTTGGCAGGAGGACGGGGAGGTGGATGCTTCCTTGACGAAACCAGCCTGTCCCTAATAGATCTGCCCTCATATTTTACAATCCCGCACAGGATCGTGGAGGGACCATTAAAGCATGAGGGACTGCAGCTGCTGTTTAATTTGTTCTAAATTTCCTGCCGGCCTCACCAGACGTGTACAGGAAATGGGCGGTAAATGTTTAATAGGTCATACCTAACCAGACAATTAACGGGTGCTGTCATTTAGAAAATCCCAAACTGTGTGTGTGCATATTATGGGGTGGGACCCAACAGGGGACTCGACAGAATACAACTCTAGAGCGGTTTCAAGTGTTAGCCTGCCCGGCACAAGGATCTCACTGTTGCTAAGCTGGGCCTGCGTGTTTCTGCCGCCGCCTCCTATCCCTCCAAGAAGGCTGTCTCAGAGATTTCTGGGCCTGGTACTCAGAAAGCGAGCGGCACTTGTAGCCTCACTGGAGGCAGGAGCGTCCAATTCTCTAAGAAGGTGCCTCCCCACCTGCAGCTCTACTCACCCACCTGTCCTCTCAGTAGGTGAGGGGCAGGCAGGAAGCAGACAATGGCCAAGGGGCCTTCGATGGCAGAGGGCTCGTGGGACGGGGCAAGGAGCCAAACGGAGGCTGAAGCAGAGAGGGAAGGGTGCCTGTGTGTGGGGGTGTGTGTGTGTATGGGTGTTTGTGTGGTTATATGTGTGTTCGGGTGTGCATTTGTGTTTCTGTGTGTCTGTGTTTGTATGTGTGTTTGTGTGTGGGTGTGTTCGTGCATGTTTGTGTGTACGTGCGTTTGTGTATGTTTGTGTGTGTTTGCATGTATTTGTGTGTATGTGTGTGCAGTTGTGTGTGTGTGTTTTTGTGTGTATTTGTGTTTGTGTGTGCCTTTATGTGTTTGTGTGTGTATTCGTGTTTGTGTTTGTGTATGTGTGCATTTGTATATATGTGTGTTTGTGTGTGTATTTGTTTATGTGTGTTTGTATGTGTGTGCATTTATGTGTTTGTGTATTCGTTTCTGTGTGTTTGTATATGTGTGCATTTGTATATGTGTGCGTGTGTGTATGTGTTTGTGTTTGTATGTGTGTGCCTTTGTTTGTGAATGTGTATTGGTGTGTGTTTGTGTGTGCATTTGTGTGTGTGTGTTGTACCTGGGTGGGGGTGGGGCAGGGGTGTCTCAGCTCCCCCAGGTTTATCCTCCTGGTGGGTGCTGACAGTGTTTGTTCATTAGCCCCTTAATTTTGTCTAAGTGCTTTACCAGATTCATCCCTCCAGCCCTAGGAGTTCGGGGGTAGAATCATCTCCATTTTTACAGAAAACAAGGCACCAACCAGATAGGAACCCTGCCCATGGCCAGAGAACCAGCTGGTAGTAGAGCTGAGATTTTACCCAGAAATCTGACTCCCAACTGGCCTTGTGTTGGATTATTTTGCCCAAGGACAAGGAGACTCTGCCACCCAGCACTAACCTGTTATGATTTTGATTCAGTTTCTCTTGTGCTTTTCTGTGTGGAATACTTTTCTACAAAATCAATATTATGCTCTCTATAGTTTTTCAAACTTGCACTTCTAATTATTATTATATGGTGATTTCTTCCTGTTGTTCACATGCAAAAATATGGTTTTTTAATGGCAGCAAATACCTATGCCTAAGGATACACCCTCCATTATTCAGTTAATCCCTTCTTTTGACATTTAGGCTATTTCTAATATACTGAATTGCACATCCTGTTCATATCTCAGATGATGTCTCTGGTTATTTTAATACTTTTATATTGGAATAAAAGAAATATAAACGAAGTTCTCAAATCATTGGTGAGGATGCAGTAAGTGCAGAGAGGATGAGAGAAGAAGAGAATTGCCATCTTTTGGCTCATTTAAGAAGCAAATGGACTTCCAGCTGTGGCCGTGTGGGCTTGGAAGAAGGAGGATTGGGGCATAATCAGGTTCTCCCCTGGGCATTTCCATTGGTTGATTATCCAACAAGTAATCAAGAATATTCTCAGAAATGTAGACTGCACCAAATGGGGAAAGACTGGAAATGCACAGAAATGCTGAGGAAAAGAGAAACGCAAGACCAGGAGCCGTGGTGGGCGAGCCCATGTTAAGTGATGGCCCATTCATTCATTCATCCCTTCTGTTCAGTCATTCATCCCTTCTGTTCATTCATTCACCCCTTCTGTTCATTCATTCATCCCTTCTGTTCATGTGTCCAGTTGGCTCCTTCTGAGGGTCTGCTCATTCCTACAGAAAAAAGATGAGTGAGATCGAATCAGTTACTGCCCCCAGGGAGCCAGTTACCCAGCTCCTGGCTGCCCAAAGCTGGTCACTGAGCCAGCAGCAGTGATATCACCCAGTGCTTGTTAGAGATGCAGGATCTCAGGCCCGCCGAGACCCATGGGATCAGAATCTGCACTTTAACAAGATCTGGAGATTCATGATCTCAGACCCACCCAGACCCATGGGATCAGAACCTGCACTTTAACACAATCCAGGCATTCTCTCGCACAAGTGGAGCCTGAGTGCCAGCTGGAAGTTTTCACCCTGAGACCTCAAGTCAGATTTCTCTATCCCTTTTCTGCCTCCTACAAAACACAACACCAAGGAAGTGTGTGATAATGAGTGTGGCAGGATGACGGTATGGCTGTCCCTGAGTGAACTGGATCAGCATTGACTGCATCAGCATTGAGGGCAGGGCTATCCCCATCCAGCCTAACTTCTGGCTCACAAAAAGCCCCTTGATACGTGTATATTGAAATAAAATCAGCTGAGAGTGCAGCAGCCATATATTGTTCTTCCATGAAAGAACCCACGATGACCTTAGACCCAAGCAATTCTTTGCAACCCTCTTCAGACGTTGTGAGAACTCTAGATCCTTTGTGAGAACTCTAGATCCTCAGGCAGAGGTTTGTGATGCAGAGGACAGTTTCTTGTGAGGCTCTCAGATGATGGGGCTGACCTGACACGTCCACACCACCTCTGCATTCACTGCCAACCTTTGACAGTGAGAGATTGCCTTCGTGGCTCCTGGTTTGATGGGCTTTATAAAATTTAGGGCTGGAGGGAGGGTGGCTACTCGGGTTTTCCTGGGACATGGAACTTCCAGTGAGAAAACTAGGGAAGTTCAAGGCAAACAGGGATGTTGACCACCCTAGACAGAAGACGTCTGTGGAGCCCCAGGTTTAATGCTCCAGTCTTACAGCTGAAGGTGCTGAGGCCTGGACATGCCCGGTGACTTCTCCAGAGCTCTGCAGCTGGTTAGAGGGTAAATTAAAGTGTCCCCCGGCTCTCCCACCCGCCACAGCATCAAGCCTTGACAATCCCGTGCAAACGTCCGGATGGAAATTGCTGCAACGGCTACCAGACGACCCTCAGCTGCCATCCTCCCTGATATTACCTGCATGAAGTTCAAGGCTAATGGAGTTCAAAAGATGATTTAAAAACAACATCTAAAAAGTCTTCTAATAGTCCATGACTAATGGGCTGGGCTTGGCTGTCTAATAAATTGTCTACGGAGCATTTACAGTGACGATCCTCAGACGCCCTTATCAGCACTTGAGGCTCGTGTAAACCAACTCTCATTAATAACAGGATGAAAACAGAGACACTGCGCAGGCCTCCCGCCTGCTGTCCGCATCACGCTTTGAAGTCCAGCTGCTAATAGCAGTGTCGACTACTTACGTAAAGTCGGGTGGCAGGTTATACAGACATGTCCGATTTCAAACAATCGATGTCAGCTGTCATTTCTGCCAGGAGACTTCTCCTTTTCCTGGTCATGGCAGAGCGGGCCGTGTGGGGATGGCTTACAGTTTAGAGGCTCAGTGACGTCCCTACCTCAGATATTCTAATACTGTACAGCAGAGGGTGTGCCTGGTGGGTTGGGAACCGAATCAGTCCATAGATGTGTTTAAATTTTAAAAACTCATCTCACAGCACTTAAAAAGTCCTTCAGGAGCAATTGAAACAGGCTTTACAGCAAGCTGAAAAGGCTCAGCATCAACTTAACTATTTCCTACATCAAGAGAAGTTAGTTAAAAGTGAGGGGAAGACCGAGACAGCAATGGAAGTGGTTAATAGTCAAACAAAAGTGAAAGGTCACGATTCAACAAATATACCATTGGAGAAAGGAACAAGAAAATCACTGGTTTCAGATTCAGGTGGACAAAGGACAAATGATACAATCCAAGGATATCCACAGATCTCTGCCCAAAGTGGGAGACCAATTGAGAAAAGATCCTAATAGAGTTTCTGAAATACTTTGGAAAAGTCTCCCAAACCTTCAGAGAGTGGATGGGAGCGAAGTAAGGAGACCCCACCTGAGCAGATACATGGTATTGCTTACAATAAAGTATATTTTTGCTCTTAAAAAATAATAAACCCTAGATCTCCAGCTTTTCTTGATAAATCAGAAGATCTGGCTGAAGCTGGGCCTTCTGCCTAGCAGACACTGGCTGGAGGTGGGCAGTGGGCATCCCCTTTGGACAAAGCTGTGCTTTCCAGTGTGCCACAGTCCCCACCACACCCAGTTACCTCACATCTGGTGCACTTCATTTATTTAAACCACAGGCCTGGCTTCTGTAGATGTTTGAATCTGGGAGTCTGTGTGGCAGTCTCTCATTTTACTCTTCACATATCCTCAAGGGGAGAAAAGAGACTGAAGTGAGTTCTAATTTTTAGTCTTATAATAAATTTCTAAATTTATCCTCAAGGCCTCCAAATGGACTCACAAAGGAAAGATCATGAGGTGAGAAGCTGCTAGAAACTTGGAAACGTGGAAGAAGTGGAATACTGAAGAAGTCCAATGTTCTGGATTTGCATCTGGGCTCTGCTGCTGACACTGTGTTCCCTTGGGAGGACCTGGCACACTTTACTCTGCTGGTGCTCACGCTGGTGGGACACCGAGCACCACGTGATGCTGGCCCATGTGACGCTGGCCCACGTGATGTCTGATGTCTTGCGTGTGTGAGCACGAGCAGGACAGAGTGATTCCAAGATTTCTGCAATATCCAACTTCTCCTTCTATGACACTTGGAGAGCTCTGTCCTCCACTTCCCTCCCAGAGTGGGGAAACTCGAGCCAAAAGAAAGCAATGAAAGAAAAACCCACATGGGGGTCCCACGTCTGGTGAAGCCCTATCCCCTCCACTCAACAAGGATTACCTGAAGACCTCCTATGAGCCCGGCACTGAGAGGTTACAAGAGCCTGTATGGTCACAGCCTTTAGAAAAGGAGCCCTTATTTTGGGAACAAAATAAGGGCTCAGAACAACCCTCTGAACCTGTCTAGGCCTGGGTTTGCTGGTTTGGAATAGGCAGCATCTGAGGGGTCTTCTCTTTCTGACACCCCCCGAGACTCTGCAGTCCTTAGAGAAGACTGCCCCCTCTGTCTAGGGGGCCTGAGGAGGCTTCTCTGACTATAAAACAGAGGTGTGTCCCACAGCCTTGGAATGCGACTTGGAGAGTTCAGCCTGAAGTGTGGGTTGTGGGGAGAGCTGGAGCGGGGAAGGTGGGATGTTCTCACTGGGAGTTTAATTCCAGATTCCTCACCTCCTGGCTGGGTGATCCAGGCAAGGTTTTCACCTGTCTGGTTTCTGGTTTCTTTGTCTGTTGGATGAGGGTAGTGATACTCATCTTATAAGAGCTGTTATGGAAACACATAGAGTCATGGACATGATAGACTTGGCCCAGTGTCGGCCCTTATAAAATGTTATCTCCATAGTAAATAAAATGTTTCTACCTAAAAAAATCTAACATATTCCCAGAGATACCTGTGTGCTGGGTGGTCACATAACAGCCAAACCAGGAAAACCCAGCACAAATCCTGCAGTTGTGGTTGTTGATGGGAAGAGACATGGCTCACAGACATCGTATCAGCCTTCAGCTTAGAAACCAGACAGCTTAGAATAACCTGGTCACCGCCACTCAACACAGAATAACCCTGTCCCCTCCACTGAACACAGAGCAACTCTGTCTCCTCCACTTAACATACAGCAACCCTGCCCCTCCACTCAACATACAGCAACCCTGTTCCCTCCAGTCAACATACAGCAACTGTGTCCCCCGCACTCAACATAGAGCAACCCTGTTTCCTCCAGTCAATGAGGATTACCTGAAGACCTCCTATGAGCCGAGCACTGAGTGGTTAGAAGTGGTCTCCCGTGTGCTCAGGCAGAAGAGACAGAATTGGTGCACATCTAGCACGTTCTTGCATTGCTATAAAGAACTACCTGAGACTGGGTAATTTATAAAGGAAAGAGGTTTAGTTGGCTCACAGTTCCATAGGCTGTACAGGAAGCATGGCTGGGGAGGCCTCAGGAATCTTACGATCATGGTGGAAGGTGAAGAGGAAGGAGGCACGTCTCACATGGCAGGACCCGGAGGAAGGGAGAGATAGGGAAGGTGCCACACACTTTTAAACAACCAGATCTCGTGAGAACTCACTCACTTTCACAAGAACAGCAAGGGGGAGATCTGCCTCCACGATCCAATCACCTCCCACCAGGTCCCTCCTCCAACGCTGGGGATGACAATTCGACATGGGATTTTAATGGGACCCAGAGCCAAACCATATCAGCATGTTTCCATAAAGACAGGGTCAGAAGAGAGGGTGGAGATCCTATGCAAGGAGCAGTCCTCATTTTGAGGCGGTGGAGCTCACTGGGGAAACTGTCTCTCCATCATTTACCATGATGGGCATAAGATGTTCAAGGGTCAGGTGGTCTCACACCTGGTTGCACATTAGAGTCACCTGGGGAGCTTTTTTAAACGTAACCCTCCCCACCTGCAGAGACCCTAACTTAATTAGCCAGGAGTGGGACCTGGGCTGCTTGGATAATCTGAGTATGCATCTGTATTGAGACCCAGTGATCTAGTGAAAGGGCCCTTTGACAATTGAAGCTGCTTCACCTCTTTATGTCCCAGACTGAGAACCTACAAGACAGCGAGTTTGGACCAAATCATCCCTAAAGCTTCCTGTTCAGTGCCATAATTCCCCATTTTAAAAAACTCCTCACTTGGAACTCCAACTCCTCTAAGAGCACTGTGTGTCCCTTCACTTCTCATTTCTACTATGCTACACCCCAGTAATGGGTCAACAACCCCATGAGAAAGGTATTATTGCTATTTAACAGATGAAGAAAATGGAGAACAGGGAGGTCAAGCAATTTGCCCAAGGTCACACAGCTAGTAAAAGGCAAGGCTGGGACTCAAAGAGGGTTAGTGTCTCCAAAGCCCAGGGGGGTAACAGGTAGTGACTGCGTACCATTTTACCATTCCTCCCCTCTCCAAGATGAAGATGGAGATAGTAATTCTGCCCTAGAAGGAAGAACTCATTGGATACCTGTGAAAGTGTTCAATGGACTCCAGAAAGCAGAGCACATGCAAGTAATTACTCGTATCATTGCCCTCCTGGAATTGTATTTTGAAGGACCAGAGGAAGAGAGAGAAATAGTCTGGTGTAGACATTGATACATGCAATTGGAAGAATGCAAATTCCCCTGAACGTGAGGACAGTGACTTATGTAAAGGGAGACTGAGAGTTGAATACAATCACAGTAACTTTAGAGGCGGGGAAATCCTTGCTAATGAGAATGCAAGCACTGCTGATTTTGAGTACCCGCATTAATGCAAGGATGCAGGGTGTGGGGCACCCAGACATTGAAAGAGCCACACGGCAGGTGTTAATGTGTGGTTGTTTCCATGCCTTTCTTTTTGCATTACAAATTCTTATCCTGGAGTCTCTGGAGATGATTGCCCTGGTACTTGGCAGCACTCTGGCTTCAGTTGGGGAAAGGCTGGGGTGAAGAGGTGTGCTAGGAATGGACTCCAACGCAGCATGTAAGAATGGCTCATTGGCCGGGCGCGGTGGCTCACGCCTGTAATCCCAGCACCTTGGGAGGCCGAGGCGGCCGGATAACCAGGTCAGGAGTTTGAGACCAGCCTGGCCAACATAGTGAAACCTTGTCTGTACTAAAAATACACAAAATTAGCTGAGCGTGATGGCGGGCGCCTGTAGTCCCAGCTACTCGGGAGGCTGAGGCAGGAGAATCGCTTGAACCCGGGAGGCGGGGGTTGCAGTGAGCTGAGATGACATCACTGCACTCCAGCCTGGGCAACAACGCGAGACTCCATCTCAAACAAACAAGAATGGCTCATTTTTCTGGAGTGTCAGTTTTCCTAAAGGATCGGGGAATGTGTTTGCCAAGGTAGTTATCACTTACTGCCATGGTAACTCCCAGAGCCCTGGAGGTGTAAAGCAGTGAGTTCGCTTCTGACTCACGTCACAGACTGATGCCCTCAGGTGCCTCTCCTGGACGGCTGCCCTCCAAGGAATGACTCGGGCTCCCTGATGCTTCCGTCCTGTGACAGTGGCCTCGCTGAGGTCCTGCTCGGAATCCTGCTTCACAGCCTCCACGTTCTCTGCATGAAAAGCAATGAGTGGCCCAGGTCCCTTCCACTCACGATGCATTGGTTGGGACCCAAATAAAGGAGCCCACCCACCTGCAGAGGGGGATGGGAGATGTGGTCTCCCGTGTGCCCAGGCAGAAGAGACGGAATTGGTGCACGTCCAGCGAGTCCCCGCTCAGATAAGGAATGCTCTCAAACAAATGCAGACATGCGATAAGGCAGAATGCAAATGTCAAGCAAGTCTCTAAGGCACAAATTAAAGGCTTTAAAGACAACAGTAGGTTTTGGTGAGTCACTGGAAACTTCTACAAATGCCTGACCTTGGGGTGGAAAGCACAGTGCTGATGTCAGGTGGTTGATATAGTCCCCACACATTTCCTGATAATACTTCCAGTGCCAAGCAAGAGCAGGGCCAGGCCCTGGTACACACAGACCCGTCCTGGGGCCCCCTCCAGTGGACTGCCCAGTCCCAATCACCAGCCTCCCTGCTCCATCCTCCAAGGCTCCCCAGCACTCCTGGGTCAAGACTGGATTGCCAGGTGGCTGTTAAACCCTGAGCAACAGGGCTTGTTCTTTGCCTCTTGTTCAGCCCCACTACCATCATTTTCACACTCACCCTCTGGGGCCATGGGACCCTGACTCCTGTGTTCTCCATGCACATCCTGTGCTTGTCATCTACTGCCTTTCCCAGGCCACTCTCTCTGTCTGGAACCACAAACGTGCTTCCTTAGCTCCTCTCCACCCAACATGCATGTGCCCAGCCAGAACTGGCTCCAACATCATCACCTCCAAGACGCCTTCTGCTCACATGCCATTTTACTTATTAATGGTGAACACGCACATATGCCATGTCTCACCAAATCCACTCCCAGGTATGGACTCGAAAGAAATGTGTGCACCAAGAAATATGCACTGAAGGAATATCCATAGCAGCAGCGCTGTTCGTGACAGCCCTAACCCGACTGCCCAAATGCCCATCAATAGCAAGGTAATCAATTATACGTTCATGCAATATATACTCTAGAAGCACAAACAGCTACACCCAATAACCTGGAGGAAGGTCACAAAAACGTTATTAACCAAAGAAGCCGCACACAAAACGAGTATCTACTGTGTCTCCATCTATGTCAAGGTCAAAAAAATCTGGGAGAATTGTGGCCCTTGGAAGGGCAGAGAGGGCTTCTGGGGACCGCTCTGTCTCTGTTTCTTGGCCTAGGTCCCTATCACAGTTTGCAGAAAGCTGTAAGCTCATACTAGGTGCACTTTCTGTGTGTGCATCACACTTCTAAGACAAGTAATGGGCCGGGCAAGGTGGCTCATGCCTGTAATCCCAGCACTTTGAGTGGCCGAGGTGGGTGGATCACCTGAGGTCAGGAGTTCGAGACCAGCCTGACCAACGTGGCGAAACCCTGTCTCTGCTAAAAATACAAACTTAGCCGGGTGTGATGGTGCATGCTTGTAATCCCAGCTACTCGGCAGGCTGAGGCATGAGAATTGCTTGAACCTGGGATGTGGAGGTTGCAGTGAGCTGAGATCGTGCCATTGCACTCCAGCCTGGGTGACAGAGTGAAACTCCGTCTCAAACAAACAAACAAACAAAAACAAAAAGACAACGAAAAACTCTGTCCTTCCTTTGTGCTTAATTTCATTATCTCTTTTATTATCCTTTAGTTTTATATTTTGTTTCATAGGTAAAATTCACATAACATACAAGGAACCACTTTAAAGAGTGTAGTTCAGGGGCCTTCAGTGTACTCACAGTGCTGTGTCATTGTGTCATCACCACCTCTATCTAGTTTGATGAGATGTTCACCGCCCCCCCAAAAAGAAACCCTCTCCCCATTAACAGTCACTCCTCACATCCTCCATCCCCCAGCAACAGCGAGTCTGTTTTCTGCCTCCATGAACTTACCTATTCTGGACATTCATATAAACTATAAAATATGTGGTTTTTGTGTCTGGCTTCTTTCACGTAGTGTCATATTTTTGAGGTTCATCCACACTGTGGCATGAATCAGCACTTCACTCGTCTTTATGGCTGAATCATATTCCATTGTATGGCATGTTTTTCTTTGTCCATCATCTGTTGACAGACATGTGGACTCTTTCCATATTTTGGTTGTTGTGAATCATGCGGCAGTGAACATTTGTGTGAAAGCATTTGTTTAAATACCTGTTTCATTTCTTTTGGGTAGATACTCAGAGATGGAATTCTTGTATTAGCATGTATTAGCTCTCCTTCCCCCTCCCTATATCCTCCATCAGACTATATATAAATTCTGACTTATCCTTTGTGTCTCCCAGGGTTGATCTAGAGTCTAGCCCTGAGAAGGTCTTTGGTAATATTTATTAAATGGATGAATGAGTAATTAAATGAATGAATGAATGATGGGTCCTATCTATCTCCAGTTAGCTCTTCCCTTGGAAATAGCATATGAAAAAGACAAGCAGAAGAAAAGACTCACCCGCTGGTCCCAGCCCTGCCATCTCCTGGCTGTGTGGCTTGGGGACAGGCTGCCACAGGCCTCTGGCCTCCTTTTCTTTGCTGTCCACCCTGCAGGTTTCTGAGGGGCCTGTGATTCTGCAAGCCCACTTAGTTCCGGTCATGCCCACTTCTCTGCAGCATTGGCTGCTGCCATGGGGAACGCGTTGCAAGGGGCGTGGGTGTGCTGGCAGCCTCCTCCTGCATTTCCTTTGACTCTGACAGCAAGTGGAGCCACGCTGGGCTTGGTGGCCACTGTGGCTGAGCAGACCTCAGGGAGGTGGGGCTTGTACACATCCCTCAGGCCTCATTTCTGGAAGACAATTCCTGGAACAAAGCTGGTCCCCCTTTGGGGCTTCCAGGCACTTTGGGAGCTGCGCCTCTGTGCAAACATGGCTGGGCCTGCCTAGTTTTCAGGGGGTCTCTTTCCACCTATCCTATCCCCATCCCATTCTACCCCGGATGGATATTTGGCTGTGTTGTCGGGGTCAGACCTGTGAGTGCTGAACTCACACAGGAACCTCTGCTGACAGGCAGTCCCTGTTTCTTCTCCGTTCTTCCCTTTGAAGTCAATGGGGGCTCTGTGTGCAGCTGAAAGTGCGTGGGGTGTGGGAGCGAAGAAGCTGGCCTCACTGTTTCTGGCCAGGATGGAGGGCAGAGGTGTCAGAAGTCTCACTGCAGGGCTGGAGGGTGGCAGCCTCCCACTGCAATTTCTCCAATGTGAAAGGTTTGGAAAGGCTTCAGAGAAACCTCTGATGTCCTGGACTCAGAGCCTGACTCCACCTAAAACCACGGCCCACCCCGCTCCAGGAGGACTTTTCCAAGCTCACAGGGGATCTTGGATGGAGTTCCTCTGCAGCCTGCTCCATGGACCTGGGCCGAACCTCAGCGCAGGGAGGAGGTGAAGTCTTTGATGTGCAGCCTCACCCTTCTGTGCCTTCCCCCTCAGGAGGGACTTGTGAGGAGCCACTAATTGGATTTGAGCTTGGCTCCCCTCCTATGGGCTGCTGAGGACTGTGAAGAGAGGCCACCTGGCCCTGGGGCTGGCGTGAGGCCTAGCCTTTCACCAGGCCACAGGTTTGGGCAAATAACCCAGTGCCCTTGCATCCTGAGAAGTGAGTAACTTGGACATGAGGAGAAGGAAGCCAAAGTGCCATGTTGCTCCAAAACCTAGGGTCTTCCAAACAGCCTCTTGTCAGGTAGCACAGAGTAAAGCCACTGGGAGAAAAGACAGCTAATCCTTCAGCCAGCAGATGAGCTGGGTACACACATGTAATCCTAGGGAAATGTGTCTCTAAATGTTTCTCTCTCTCCTGCTCATGTAGGGGAAGGAAGGAATGCAGAAAGAGAGGCAGAGGAAGAGGGGGAGAGGGAGAGGAAAAGTGAGAGGGAGGGAGGGAGGGAGGAACAGGGAGAGAGATTGAGAGAGAGAGAAAGAGAGAGAGGGAGAATGGCTATATACAGGAAACAAAGCATAGACCACATATGACTACAAAATACATTCATTTATTCAACAGCTGTTTACCGAGCATCTCATCTATTCAGGAAACTGTGCTAGGTCTACAGCAGATAGAGGGAAGACAAGAAATAGTTCTTTCCTTCAAAAGTATTGCAGTATAAGATTCTGGATTTGAGTGGGCTTTTAGAGACAGACACAGATCTGGTGGGATTCTGAATCCACCGTCAACTCTGTGGGACCGAGGCAGGCTGTTTTCTCTCTTTGAGCCTCAGTTTCTTTCTCGTGGAGCCGTTCTGAGAATGCAGTGAGGATTTTAGCTTGTGTTAACACTTAATGGGTCAGAAATGGCAACAGCGAGCTGTGGCTGTGGCAGTGACCTGGCAGGGGATGTAACATACATGCACGGATGTGACTCTGTGCAGCTCCCTGGGGTTACCTGGGAGAGATGTAGACACTTTCCCTCCTGTTCCCACATCGCCTTCTTCTTGCCTCCACATAGTCCTTTTCCCACAGCGTGGTGATGATGGTTCCCATATTGGTCTCTCGTGATGGGCCGTGAGCTTCCTGTGCGCAGAAGCCTGGCCTTCCTCCTATCTTAACCCTTGGCTTCCAGCATAGAACTGGCCGGTAGTAAATCCACATGCACACTCTAACCCAGGTCTCCCAACCCCCACCCAGGCCTGGTTCTTTTTTTCCTAGCATGTTCTACAATTTACTTCTTCGCTACGTTTATCTGTCTCTCCCCTCTACAATGCCAGCGTTGGCAGAGCAGGGATTTTTGTCTTTTTTGTTCACTGGTTTATCTTCACCGCCTAGACACATCCTTTGTGCAGATACCTCCCAGTGCCCGACACAATAGCAACCCAGTAAGTATTTGTTGAATGGATTAGTGGATACATTAGTGATACTCTGTGAAATTACTGAGCCGACTATAATTATTTCAGGCAGAAAAGGCCATTAAGAAAGAACAGCCTCCCAATACAAAAGCACAGGGTGCCCAGGGGTCAGGCCGACATGGGTGCTCTGGCCCGCCCCTCTGTGATCCAGCTACGGGACTCACTCAAGCTACTAAACTTCCTGAAGCCTCAGCCAACATGGGTGCTGTGGCCCGCTCCTCCGTGACCCACCTGCGGGACTCACTCAAGTTCCTGAACTTCCCAAAGCCTCAGCTAGCCCACCAGTAGCATGAAAAAATAACAGTGTCTACCTGGCAAGATATTGGGAGAATTAAAAGTAACGATGGGTGTCAGCTGCTTCACAGAAGCCTGGCCCATAAGTCGGGGTGGCCATGTCAGCTGCGGTTTACCACGATAGCTCAATGGTGCCACATCACCCCCGGGAAAGCGAGTGTGTTTGTGGGAGCAGCATTATCTCGTCCCTCTTGTGATAACCAGCCCTGCTCTCTGTATCATCATCTGACTTAAGAGTCAGGGTGGAGTGTCTTCACATCCTCCACCTCTGCAGAACCCTAGTCCGCCGCGTTGCATTTAGTCTACGGTGTAGTTCCGCCAGCAATGTGGCCTCCATCACTACTGTGCAGTGAAACCCTCTGCTCCTTCGCTGTCCCTGCCCCCAGGCAGCCACCAAAATGCTCCAAGTGCAGGGCAGCAGAAACGTCTTTCTAGGGAATTCACACACACGCAGGGCTGGGCCTGAGTGCAAATTCTGCGATTTGGATTTCCACTGTCCAGGTGTGTGTTTACAGTGTGCCTGCTGTGTGCACGGTGGGGCGGCTTGCGGTGTCTTTTCATCCTTGGATCTAGGGCAGCCTGGAGAAGCCCCCAGCCCTCTACCTGGCCTCATCTGGCACTCATTGGTGCCGTCACGACAGTTTGTTTATGTGTAATTTCTGGCTGAGACTTGAAAGTTTAACTACCGATCCTTTCTCTAAACAGCCACTACTGTTATACAAAAAACAGACGACCTCCCTGCTTGGATGTGAGACCAAAATATCTATTCCCGGCGTACCTTGAGAGAGAAATCAAAGGGGCTTGTTTACTCCCAAATGAAAACTTGCAAAATTCCAAATCCTGCAGGATTGGCTTATTTCACTGTGAGGAAAATGCATGCCGAACAGCTCACAGTAAGCCTAAATGTTTGTTTACTGAGATGGCCCCCCCCGGTCAGGAATCAGATATTCTGAAATGCCAGGGCAGGCAGGGGCTGGAGTCCGCCAGCTAGGGACAGGCACTGTGCAGTGAGGGAGGGTCTGGGGCTCCCACCGTGCCCATCCCGCCGTCCTGACCTCCCTGTTTCCTCCCTCTTCTCTCCCTCTTCCCAGGGAAGGTCTGCAGACAGGGCGGGCTCTGAGAGGAAGTCTCCTTTGTTTCTCCCGCAAATGTTTTCATTAGAAAGCTGGTTCTCTTCTATATGTTGTCCCTGGCCCCTCGCAGAACCAGTCATCGGGTTTCAGGACCACGATTTGAACAGCTGCATGTGCTAATTTGATCAGGTATCTGACTTGGGGTCCCAGGGAGGCCATGGTGGCTGCCCTGTCCTGTCCTGCAGGCACAGCCCCTGGAAGTATCTGCCCTTCTGCAGACAGCTGTCCATCAAAACAGCTCCAGCCTGAATATGGGAGAATTCCAGTGTGGTCCAGCTTATAATGTAGTCAATGATGCCCCAAGGGAAAAAGGAAGGGAAAGAAGTAGTGACCGCTTGACTTTCATTTTTCTTTCCTGTGGGGTCTACAGGACCTCCATTCTGATACGGTTTTGGGGCTGGGGTGGCTGACAAGGGGCACAGTTGTTCCCTAATCGATGCCAACAACAACCTGTAGAAGATCCCCCATGCCACCAGCTTCTTGTAGCGGGTGGGACTGGCCCCTGTTATGCACATCTGAGAACCCTTTCTAGAGCTGATATTCACGTCCGGGGCCACTAACAAATGACCACATAACGAATGACCGCAAACGGTGGGGCTTACAGCAGCAGAATCGGGAGTCTGCCATCGAGATGCGGGCAGGGCTGTGCTCCCTCTGAGGGCTCCAGGGCAGGACGCTTCCTGCCTCTTCCAGCTTCCAGTGTCCCTGGCTCTTCTTGGGATTCCTTGACTCCGAGGTGCATTACTGCGGCCTCTGCCGTCTTCACTGTGTGTGTGTCTGTGTCCAAATTTCCCTCTTCCTATGAAGGCACCAGTCCCGTTGGATTAGGTCCACTCTCACCCCATATGAGCACATCTTGACCCAATTATATCTGCAAAGACACTGCTGCCAGATAAGGTCTCCCTCACATGTGCCCAGGGTTAGGACTTGAGCATAACTATGCGGGTGACACAATTCAACCCGGTACAGAGCTGTTTACCACAAGGGCCCTTTTCACATTGATTTCACATTGTCTCAGTTTTTCCATCTGTGAAATGGGGATAATAGTCACATCTTCCTGACTGGGCTAATGTGGGGACTGAATTGGCTCAGAGACGTTGCGTGCTTAGAGCTGTGTTGGACAGGCAGCAAGCACGACGTCAGAGGGCTCTGCTCTTGATCTCATCATCAGCTGCAGGCTTTGGACAGCACAGAGGGAGAGGGTCGGGGGTGGACGCAGGCCCTACTCCATCAGAATAAGATCCATACCTGTAGTGTGACCTTCCAGGCCGGCACCACGTAGCTCCCGGACCTCACCCTGCACCCTCTAGCTGTACCTCATGGTGCCTGGCACGCGGGCCTCTGGTCCTCATCGTGTGGCGGGGTGGTGGCTGCTGCCTGGAACCGTTGTCCTGAGTTCTTGGAGCCCATCAGGGTGGGCTTCCCTGTCCTGGCTTTGCTCCCCTGTGCCTCTTGCCCTGGCTGCTGCTGCTGCCGGCTGTTCCCTTCAGCACATGCGCAGTCGGTGCCTTTGCGCAGGGCGGAGTTTGCTTGTGCTCTGATCTGAATGCGTCTAGACTGTGAGTCCCACGAGGACAGGAGCTGCGTCTGATTTGTTCTTCTCTGCATGCCCTGGCAGTCGGGAGCTCGAAGTAGTCTTGGTACCCGTGCCTATGAATGAGATTGGACTGCTCGGTGAATCACCTGAAACCCTTTCACCGATGGGCGCTGTGTTACAGGGGCAGCCTCCATCCTGGGGGCAGCCCATGAGAGGGGCAGATGGGCAGGGAGGCTTGGCATGGCTCCCCTGGCTGTATTTTTCCCTGTTTTATTTGCTTTTATTAAATTTTTTATTTTCAAAAATGTGAACTTGTAGAAAAATGGTCAAATATTACAATGGCCTGCTATATTCCTTTGGCTGATCTCACCTGTCGCTGGCATTACTCCTGTCGCTGAACTCCCCTGCAGCTGGGCTCACCTGCGGCTGGGCTCACCTGTGGCTGGCATTACTCCTGTTGCTGACCTCCCCTGCAGCTGGGCTCACCTGCGGCTGGGCTCACCTGCGGCTGGCATTACTCCTGTGGCTGGGCTCACCTGTGGCTGACATTTACTGCACTTGCTCTTTGCTCCTTCTCTGTCACCATCAGCATCGTCATTGTCGTTGTTTGTTTATTTTTGGTGAACTCTTTGACGGAACCTGTGGAGGGTGTGTCCCTCGGCTGTGAACACATCTGTGTTCTCCTGAGGACAAGGACGTTCTCCTACATAGCCACAGCACCAGGGTGCTCTTAGCTGGTCTTCCTATTCAAACATCACCATTTGTCCCGATGCTGTGCTTTGGGGCAACTTTTGCCTTCCCATCCAGGCTTCAACCTGGAAGCACACCTTGCATTTGGCTATCTCCTTTGTCTTCTTTAATCTGGAACATTCCTCCATCTTTCTTTGTCTTTACTTCATTGGCATTTTGGAAGAGTGTATGGACTTGCATTTTGCAGTTTCACGTCTATGTGAGTTTGTTTGATTGGATTCAACTAAGGTTTTGTATTTTTGGAAACCTGGTGTTTTTAAAAATGGGGGAATTATGTATTAGGTAAAATATTTTCATCTTTTACAAATTCATAAACTTGGCAACATTGAGCCCCAATTCCCACTTGGCATGTTATCCACAATGTCCCCCTCCCAGCCCCCTGACCCAGGGCTATGAGTGTGTGAGCCCTGATGTCATGGTGGGAGGGAGCCCTGGAGGGGGACAGGAGGCTGGTGCCTGGGCGGGGCCCCCTCTTAACTCACCAGGTGGCTCTGGGCATGCCCCTCACTTCTGTGGGCCTCAGAGAACAGTAACAGAGAAAAAGTTTGATGAGAGTACATCTCTCCAGTGGCAGAGCCCAGAAAATATGATCCTTTCGCTCAAAATCCATGGAAGTCTATAAATAGATGCTCCCACTGCCAGAGAGAGGGGTGTTGCGAAGAAAGATGACACCCATGAGCATGAGCAGCTGGGAGGTTGTGAGGATTTGTGCAATCACAGGAGGCATGGGTGATAACATGATAATGCCGAGAAGTGGCTCTGTCACTCATCCAGGGAGGGCTTATCAGCCACGCTGATCTTTCTCAAGAAGTCGGAGACTGACAGCTTCCTGAAATGAGAGTATCAGTCCCAAAGACAAGGAAGGTTGTGCACATGCGGGTCATGGAGGGTCTTGGCTAGGACAAGCCCCACCCCAACCATGCTTTGCTACAACCTACCTACCCACAGTCAGAGCTGAAACTTCCGAAGTTTAGATGTGGTCAGGCTCTGTGCTGAGCAATCAGCTGGTGTGATGTTCATCCATTTTGAATAAATACATGAATGATTGCATACGTGTAAAGCAGCTGGTTTCTTAACTAACTCTTTGGCTTACTCTCCAAATAAATGTTTCTTAACCTTCTTAAACAGATATCCCCTTTGAGAAACGCAGAAATACATCCCATATTATATGTGATTTATACATCCACTCCCCCAAAGGGCTATGGAGAATATGTCCTCACTAACCATTGTGATCCCACCTAAAAATCTCCACCTGCCAAAAACACTATGTTACTCTGTGTTTTCAAGTTATACAGAGAAAAGTTATTTTCCCTTACATTATATAATATCATAAAATGGAATGTTTGAAACTTTTTAGACTTTAAATCTAACTGGATTGCTGTCCGTCCTACATCTCCACTCTAGTGGTTCAAATTGCCCGCCCTGAAGGTGGGGGAGTGCATGGTCCCTTCCCAGCGAGCACCTCACGCCTAAAGCTTTAGGATGGGGAACCCACCCATGGCCTCCTGAAGCATTAGGATGGGGGAACCCGCTCATGGCCTCCTAAAGCTTTAGGATGGGGGAACCCGCCCATAGCCTCCTAAAGCATTAGGATGGGGAACCCGCCCACGGCCTCCTAAAGCATTAGGATGGGGAACCCGCCCACGACCTCCTAAAGCTTTAGGATGGGGAACCCGCCCACAGCCTCCTGAAGCTTTAGGACGGGGAACCCACCCATGGTCTCCTAAAGCTTTAGGATGGGGGAACCCGCCCACGGCCTCCTTGTGCAGGTGCCTGACTTTGGTGCACCATTGAACCTTGCAGTCACTGTTCTGGGATATTCCCCAGGAAGCTGGGCTCTAGGGCCAAAAGAGCTGGTTTACTCATGGGAACAGGCCTCAGGGATCGGCACGCAGTCCCAGTGCCACCGCTCTGCACCCCATGCTTCTCCCACGTAGAATAAATGCCAAGCCGTGGAAAGGGAAAACAGAAAACAGGGACAGCCGCCACCCAAAATGCTCAACTGCAAATGAAATAAATCATGCATGTTCTCAAAACACAACAGAAAAAGGCGTTTGGGGTGAACTGGGCTGTTTATCTCCATCCCTTCTGTGTGTTTGGTGATAAAGATCTTACTTGGAAACTTTCACAGAGATTAGGACACATTTTCCAGTTCACAATGACAGATATTAGAAAATCGTTAGCTGACTTGGCTACGAGACAGCACAGGAAGGGTTTCCTCTTCATTTTTAGCCATAGTAATAATAGCATCAGCCAATTTGAGAAAAGATCAAATGGAATAGCTGATTCGAATTATCCAACGTAATGGTCCAATGTGCTAAATTAACTGTGAAATCTTCTAATTTTATTCAGGCGTGTAAATAACATTTTTGTGCCTAAGTACATCCAATGGCATGTTTTCAACTAGTTTTCAACAGGCATTCTACATTCAGAGAGGCCCACATTACTAGGGTTCAGAACCCAGGCTCTGGGACCAGATGCTTGGGTTCAAATCCTGCCTCTGCCACTTCCTGCCTGGGTCAGCCTCTAGCAACTTCCTCTCTCTGTGCCTCCGTCTGCTTCTTGGAACAAAGGGAGTAAGGATCATAGTGCCCTCACTGTGCATGGGAGGCTCTGTGGGATTTTGATTTTCACAAAATCGCTTAGTTTCCAACACATGGAAAGTACATAGTAGAAGCTAGAGATGATGGGGAGGAGGAGAATGGTATTTCCTTAATGTACACTGAGCTGTTTGCACCCATAGGTGCCATACAAGTGTGAAACACACACGGGTTCAATTAATTCTCCCAGAAACATTGTTGTTCCTATCTTTTGATCGGAATAGATGAGGTCTAGGGAAGTTAGGAGACTGGAGAGCGGTTGGACCCAGGCCTGTTGGGATCGACTAAGGCCTCTCATGGCCAGTGTTGGGATAGAGATGGACAGGATGTGACCCCTGACTCTAGGGGTCCATGATCCCCCAACAGGCAGGAGGGTACAGATGATCATAAGACAACGTTCTAGTGCTGGCATCCGGGATAGCAGGCGTCATCATTTGAACCCACAGACACCCTGTCATATGTTGGGAGCAGAGACTCTCACATTCATGCAATTAAAGATGTTTTAATTGGCCTATTGGTTGGTTCCAGGCATGAGAATCATCATAGCGCCTGTGAACTGGGTCCAGAAATGAGTCACCATCTCACCTGTTGGCTGGGCACTGGTAGGAGAGTCACATCTCCAACTTTTGACTGCGTTCAGGTGTGAGATTCAGGACCTCACCAGTGGGATGTGTCCACGTGTGAGGGTGACCAACTCCACATGTCTGTGCCCTAACTTAAGTTTATCTACTAATGACTACTTAATTTGCCAATGAGAAGACCAGGTTTCAGTTATCATTTGCAGTCTCAGGTAAAGCTTTGCTTGTTTTTAACTCAATTTCTTCTTTTAATTGACACAATAATTGTACTCATTTAAGCTTAAGTGAGGTTATTGTCCTCAATAGCTCTTAACACAATTTACATCGTAAGTCTTTAGTCATTAGACTTATGATGCTCTTTGATTATAATGAATGTCCCTAATAACATCAAGTGGTTTTGCATCATGTATTTAACATCTATCTATCAATCTATCTATCTATCTATCTATCTATCTAATCTATCATCTATCTCTATCATCTGTCTATATCATCTATGTATCCATCTCTATCATTTGTCTATCTCTATTATCTATTTCTATCTCCGTCTCTCCATCCATCCATCCATCCATCCATCCATCCATTCATTCATCCATTCATCCATCCATCCATCCATCCATCCATCCATCCATTCATCCATCCATTCATCCATCCATCCATCCATCCATCCATCCATCCA
Source organism: Homo sapiens (assembly GCF_000001405.40). NCBI lineage: Eukaryota > Metazoa > Chordata > Mammalia > Primates > Hominidae > Homo > Homo sapiens. The sequence continues at coordinate 86,889,603 of NC_000016.10, read as the reverse complement.
TTCATCCATCCATTCATTCATCCATCCATTCATTCATCCATCCATCCATCCATTCATCCATCCATCCATCCATTCATCCATCCATCCATCCATTCATCCATCCATTCATTCATCCATCCTTTCATTCATCCATCCATCCATCCATCCATCCATCCATCCATCCATCCATTCATCCATCCATTCATTCATCCATCCATTCATCCATCCATCCATCCATCCATCCATCCATCCATCCATTCATCCATCCATTCATTCATCTATTCATCCATCCATTCATTCATCCATCCATTCATCCATCCATCCATTCATCCATCCATTCATCCATCCATCCATCCATTCATCCATCCATTCATTCATCCATCCATCCATTCATCCATCCATCCATCCATTCATCCATCCATCCATCCATTCATTCATCCATCCATCCATTCATCCATCCATTCATCCATCCATCCATCCATCCATTCATCCATCCATCCTTACATCCATCCCCAGCCTCCTGCTAAAGATTAGCAGACACTTGTTAAATAAACAAACAGATAGAAAACCGCAGTCCACAAAGGCACCCTCAATATTTGATTGGTCTTTGACAATGGAGACTTTCAGATACACCCAGGGATTACAGAATCAAATGGTGAAATTGGTTTCGTTTATTTACTGGGGAAGCAAGCCATGCTTGTTATATCAATGAATCATCAGGGCTGGCTCTGTAAGACTATTTTAAAATCCAAACCTGCTTCTGAAGATAAAGGTTTGCTGTCCCTAAAGATGCTCAAGACAGGAGTCACATATAAATGTCTTTAAAGAGGCAAAAAGCAGGCATTGTTCAAAGACCCTTTCTAGAAGCATGTTGGGCTAGATTCCCTCTAAAGGGCAAATGTTTTAGCAATAACAATAATGCTTTTTTTAAAACCTAGCATTTATTGGGATGTATTGCTCATATTTGGGCCACCATGACTCACACATATCACCTGCAGCCTTCACAACAATCCGGCCAATTCAGCATTATTATTTCCATTCTATGGATAAGAAAGTGGGTTGAGAGGGTTCAAAGTTTGCCTCGAATCTGACAGCCATTAAGTCCTAGAGTCAAGATGAGAACCCAGGTATGCAGCCTCTGAAACCTGGGCAATGTTTAATCTACTCTTGCATCTGTAGTCCTATTTGATGTTTGTTCTGATGGGTGAGTCAGACTTGGTTGGTGGAAAAGGGCTGGAGAGAGCATTGCATTTGGAGGAGTCCTACATGTAGATAAAAGGAAACATGAGACCCCTGGGGCATCTGCAAGAACTCGGGGTGGCTGGAGGATTGGGGCAGGAAAGGCAAAGGGTGTGAAGGGGGTGAAGATGCCAAGACAAGGAGCTGGGGAGTCAAGCAGGGACTAGAGGTGCTCCGCCCTGGGTGCAGGTTACAATCTCCTTTGGGAGTCACACGAGATCCATGACTCCACACTACATGGAGTAGGACCCCCCACCCCAGGTAAAATTCTGTGTTTTTTCAAAGCCCCCCAAAGGGAGTTCTAATGAGCCGCTGGGATTGAAAGCTGCTGGGGTGGAGCGTGAAGGGCCGTGTTGGCCATGATTATAAGGAGTCCTGATTTAGTCTATTTCAATATACACTCTCTTGTACAATATCATGCCCGGGGGAGAGATTTCCTTTGTCTTGTACCTGGAGGTGCAGGGCAAGTGGGTGGCACACAGAGTAGAGGCTGGGTGGAGGACCGGGGGGCTGACTGACAGTTGACAATGTCTTCCTGGTCAGCTGGAGAAACAGCATAAACAAACTGTAAAATTTTTCTTCTCCTTTGCCTAGGGGTCCTTGGCTGACATGGAGTTGTCAGCCTCTCAGAAAGCAGCTATCTGCTCTAGAAAGGCCATGGGAACGCAGAGGCACGCACTGCTCCAGGGGCCACCCTGCAACAGCCTCAACAGTGTAGTAGCCCGACTCTCAGAGCCACCTGGTCAACCCGCAGTTCCCCAGGGAGACTTGGCTCTGACCTGAAGCCTGAGTGGGGTCCGGTTAGAGCTGCAGTCATGTTCTTCCTGGATTTCCCAGGGAGGTAATGAGCAACAGGCTGGGGAACATCCCACGTTTGCAAGGCAGGTGGTTTTGAGACTCTCTTCTTGTTAGTCTTCCCTGACCCCAAAGAGGTACATCCCACCGAAAACGCTGTCCCCAGAGGTTAATTCCCTTAGCAAAAGAAACCCTTTTCTCTGGGAAGAGGCTTTTTACAACAAGTTAAGGTGGTTGAATATCCCTTTAAAACAAAGTTCACTGTAACTTTGCTATTGGACTTTTGGGGAAGCAAACCACTCCCAAAATATAAATCTGGTCACTAAATATTGAAGATAATGAAATTAAAGAAGCCCTCGAGTATCATTTCTGTACTTCCCATAGTAACCCCTGACATTCTAAACATTAACATTCCTTGCTCATCTGATTGCAGTGAAACTAGAGCATTCACTGACTCTTGGTAGCCTGGTAAATTTCACAGAACATGAGCGTAAAGCATTACAAAAAATGTTGGTTCTCTTCAGGCAACTGATTCTATTCCTAAGATTTTATACAGAGGACAGGTGGTATTAAAAGTTAAAAATCAAATGTACAAAGATAGATGTTCACTGCCAGGTAATCTAATTGCCAATATCTGGAAGTATCTAAATGTTCTAGAATGGGGGAGGGCTAATTTCTTCTTAAAGGCAAAGATTACAGGTGTGAGTCACCGTGCCCAGCCAAAGGCAAAGATAGTAAGCACTTCTGGCTTTGCAGACCACACACAGGCAGTGTCTGTCACAGCTCCCCAGCTCTGCCATTGTAACACAAACACAGCCACAGACAGTAAGGAAGCAAGGAGAGTGCCTATGTTCCAATAAAACTTTATTTACAAAAACAGGCAGCAGGCAAGATTTGGCCCATAGACCCCTGTTCTATAATAAAGAATATGATTCACAAATTTTGAAAAAGCGAAATATGATTCAACATTTAGCAGCCAATTTAAGATCCTATAGAAACTTGAAAAAAATGTAAAAGATGCAATGTTAAAATTTAAAAGCCAGTAAAAGATGTACAATTGCAATTATGAGAAGTGTGTATAGAAATAGAAAATGGCAGAATGGGAACGTACAAATGAGAATGAAATAAAGATGGCAGGATGATGGGTGTGCCGATACTTTGAAGTTTGCCATGAAAGCCGTTTACACTTCAGACTTTTGCACAATGCTTCAGGCAATAAACCAACATTTGAGGTGAACAGGACCCCATGGTGCTGGCCTGAGGCCAGATTGCCTTGCTGTAGCGTCCTCATCCACTGCACCCCAAGACCATATGTTCCTTCACTCAGTTCTTCATTACTTTATTTAAAACTGGTTTATTAACAAATGGTTGAACATTTGTTCCATGCCAGATGCAGTGGGAAGTGATGGAGAGACGTTATGTGTTTATTTTGTTGTTGTTGTTTTGAGATGGAGTCTCACTCTGTCACCTAGGCTGGAGTGTAGTGGCGCGATCTTGGCTCACTGCAACCTCCGCCCCCCAGGTTCAAGCTATTCTGCTGCCTCAGCTTCCCGAGTAGCTGGGATTACAGGTGCCTGCCACCACGCCTAGTTAATTTTTGTATTTTTAGTAAAGACGGGGTTTCGCCATCTTGGCCAGGCTGGTCTTGAACTCCTGATCTCGTGATCCACCCACCTGGCCTCCCAAAGTGCTGGGATTACAGAGACGTTACATATTTCAAAACATCATGTTATATACCATAAATACATATGCTTTTTTTTTCTTTTTTCTTTTTCTTTTTTTTTTGAGTCTCGCTCTGTCTCCCAGGCTGGAGTGCAGTGGAGTGATCTCAGCTCACTGCAATCTCCACCTCCCAGGGTCAAGTGGTTCTCCGGCCTCAGCCTCCTGAGTAGTTGGGATTACAGGCATCCACCACCGCACCCCGCTAACTTTTGTATTTTTAGTAGAGATGGGGTTTCGCCATGTTGGCCAGGCTGGTCTTGAACTCCTGACCTCAGGTGATCTGCCCTCCTTGGCCTCCCAAAGTGCTGGGATTACAGGCGTGAGCCACCACACCCAGCCTACATATGCTTTTTGCCAATTAAAAATGAGCCAGGCATGAAAATAAATAAATAAACAAACCCTGCTAACACTTTCTGATTGTGATACATACTGGGAACAAGATGGACTGGAGCAAATGGGGCAGAGAGAGGAGGACCTTAATCAGGGTCGTCAGGGAAGATCTGGGGAGGCAGAGACAAGGCCAGTGTGGCTGGAGCCTGGGGGAGGGTAGTGAGGCCGGCGGTGGAGTCGAGGGAGGCAGGGCCCTGGCATCAGCACCGCTGCATGCATATATCCCACAAGTGATGCAATGTGAGCCAGTAAAAAGAATCACGTGAAATTAATTTTAGTAATGCATTTTATGCAACCCAATGTATCAGTATATCATACCAATATGTAATCAATGTAAATATTATTCATATCATACCTTCCATTCTTTTCTTTCTCTGCCTTTGAAATCTGGTGTCCAGCATGTATTTTATACTCCGGTATCTTTGTTTCAAGTGCTCAGAAGCTGTGTGCGGCCTGAGGTGCTGTCCTGGACAGTGCGGCCCCCAGATCTTCGGGGCTTTGGTGTCCGGGAAGTCCCCGTGAGACGAGGAGGCTCTTTTCCTGGGAGAGGATGGCCGTTCGTTGGTCAAATATGTACTAACCTCTGCGAGGTGCACACTTGGAGTAAAGACAGTTGAGACAGGCCCTTCCCTGGCGGATCTGACAGTCCAGGGTCTGAGAAGGGCATTGAGGGTGAAGTTACTGGGTGTCTGGAGGAGGGAGAACTGGGAATACTAAGTGGGGTGAGCACAAAGAAAAAGACCTGGGAGGGGCGAAGGGAGGGCGGGCACTCACATTTCCTTGTTTATTTCATCCAGACTAGGGTGTTTTCTTCCTCTTTTCTACAGAGGAAACTGAGTCACAGTGGGTCGGCTAAGTTGCTCAGTGCTGGGCAGCTAATAAGTGGCAGAGCTCCGGGAAGCTCTGGGGACTCCCAGAGGGTTGTGGAGAATCCTGGAAGTTTTGAGAAGATTTGCCCACGGGCAGCTCTCCGGGAGGCCCCCTGGGCCCTCTGGCATTCCCAGTAATGCCTCATTTGGCAACCCCACATTCCTGGGGGCAAGATTCCAAGAGAATGGGATGGAACAGTAAGGTTGCAGTGGCTCAGCTGCTCCTGGCTGTAAATAATAAAATGCCTGAGCGAGAGTGGTGTAAGCAATGATGGCCTTGAGTGGCTCCACAGAAGTCTGCAGGCAGGAGGATTCTGCAGGCAGGGGGATTCTGCAGGCAGGCGGATTCTGCAGGCGGGGGATTCTGCAGGCAGGCGGATTCTGCAGGCGGGGGATTCTGCAGGCAGGCGGATTCTGCAGGCGGGGGATTCTGCAGGCAGGCGGATTCTGCAGGCGGCGGATTCTGCAGGCAGGGTGATTCTGCAGGCAGGGTGATTCTTCAGGCAGGGGAATTCTGCAGGCAGGGGGATTCTGCAGGTGGGGGATTCTGCAGGCAGGCAGATTTTGCAGGCAGGGGGATTACAGGTGTGGCTCAGCAGCAGCATCAGGAGGCAGCACCTCCTGCCTTCCAGTTCCCTGGCCTCTGTGTGGCTTGACTTTATGAAATGCGGGCTCCAACGCCAGGCCCCGCCTTCTCACACAGTAAGACCCAGAGACAGGGTTGCAGGGGGGACTCTTGTCCCAGGAATCTCTTCACTGGGGAGAAAGCACTTTCCCAGAAGAAGCTCTTTCCCAGAGACTCCCTGTGGAGCTCCCCTTGAGTTCAGAACTGGATCCATGGGGCAATTCTTAGCTGCAAGGCATGTTGGGAAAGTGAGTGCCTCTAGCAGATGTCAGTACCTGTTATGGGATGTGGATTGTGTCAATAAGGAAGGAAGCTGATAACTAGCAGAAGAGCTGTGCCTCACAGTACGGCATCCACAGTTTCACATCCACAGTTTCAACCAACCTCAGATTGAAAATATTCCAAAATCAAACCCAATAGAAGTAACAGTGCAACAATAAAAATAATACAAACAAAAATACAGTATAACAACTATGCACCTACCATTTACATTGTATTAGGTATTACAAGTAACCTACAGATGGTTTGAAGTATATGGGAAGCTGTGCATTGGTTATATGCAAACACTATGCTGTACTACACAGGGACTTGAGCATCTGCAGATTCTGGTATCTGAGGGGGACCTGGGATCAATTCTGTATTCCTAGGATAAGGAATTGACTCCTCCCATATTCATCACAAACTTACTTCCTTGGGAGTCATCTTTTAACAGTCATCTGTGTGATATACAAGTTTTCCCAGCTAGACTGAGAGGTTGCCTTGTTCATCTCCATATCTTCAGGTTGAGCATAGTGCTGGGCAGATAGTAGGTTTTGAACAAATGGATAAATGGATGAGTGATTCAGAGTATCCCAGGATTAAACTGCAGACTCAGCTCCTCCTGGCTTCAGCCCAACTCCCCAGCTGCCACGTGGGTCTGCCTGGACTCTCTGGCAGCTAGGAGCAGGAGTGGAGGATTTTGCTTAGGCATGAGTTATTTCCAGGAGCCTGCCAGGAGCCAGGTCCCACTTAGGTGCTGGGGATGGTGAGTGGGACACATGAGGATCCCTGTTAGATAGTCAATGAATCATGCAAATGAAGGAGACACTTGTGATGCTGGGGGGCAAGTCACCCAGAGAACTTGCCTGGCGGTCAGGGGCACTTCCCCGGGGAGGTGACAGTGAGTTGGCACCGGGGGAAGAGGAAGCTGATGGGTGAGGAGGGGAGGGCAGAGGCCGGCAGAGCTTTCCAGGTGGAGGGACAGCACGTGTTGTCAACATTCTAGGGCAGGAAGGGGAACTAGAAAAAGTGCCCTGTGTCTGTGGCCCCTGGAGGTAGGGGCACCTGGTAGCCCTGGATGAGGCTCAGGTGGGCTGCAGATCTGGAGGGAAGATGATGGTGGGAAGCCCACCTGTGCCCACTTGGGACAAGGCAACCCTAAATTAGGGTGGGGAAGAGTTATGATCAACAACAGCCCCCACCTATTGGGAGGGGGTTCCCTAGAGCAGGTGAACCCCACAGCCGCCCCCCACTGCCTCCCCACCATCTCACCACCCCTCTATTCTCCTGCCCTTTCTTTCTGCAGGGCTCTTTTCTTAGACCTGGCCTCTTCCCCAGTTGTGCCTGAGGGCAAGTGTCAGCTGGGCACCATCTAACCTTCCAGGAGGGCACTTCAGTGGCTGCACCAGTCTTGCCTGGGTCTTGGGACAGCCTGAGATTTATGTCCAAGATCTGTGAGCTTAAAACTCCTCATGTTCGCCCTGCGGATGTTTCACGTGCAATTTGGGAATTTGGGAACGCTCAAAATAGCATTTGCTCATAAAATCGCCTGAAATGCAGTCCAAATGTGTCTGTAAAAAGTAACCAAATAGCTATTTATTGTTATTAGTTCACGTTCTTCGAGCTTCCACATGGGGCTGGGCGTTGATTTAATTGGGTGCCAGACGAGTTTGGGGGTGACCTCAGATGCCGACGCGGACACACTGGGCTCTGCTGTGCAGAGAGAAGCTGGCAATCAGCAGATTCTCCCCGCTGGCTCTGACATCTGACCAGGACACATGTGGAAAGCCCCGTTGGCCTTTTCAAGACATTCTCCTTAAGGTAAATTCCTAAAAACCCCGGCAAGAGTCCAAGGCTGCTCATACAGATGCCAAAATCTAGAAAAAAGGAGCAGGCTGGAAGATGATAAAATTATAATTAGGCAACCCCCTTCCAAAAGAGCCTGTAGCAATCCATTACTTCTATTCTTATGTCAGTAAAGTACACCTCACATACAAGTCACCATTTTAACCATTTCGAAGTGTGCAATGCAGTGGCATTTACATTCACAATGCAGGGCAACCATCACCGCCAACTCCAGAACATTTTTACCACCTGCAGAGGAAACTCTGCACCCGTTCATAGTCCCTCCCCATGGGCCCTCACCCCAGCCCCTGTCAACCGCACGTCCACCTCCTGTCTCTATGGGTTTGCCTTTTCTGGACATTTCATGGAAGCGGAATCGTGTGCTCTGCGGCCTTTTGTGTCCAACGAGCACATGAAAAGATGCTCACCGTCACAAGTTGTTGGGGAAAACGCAAATCAAAACCACAAGGAGATGCCACCTCACACCAACCAGGATGGCTGTCATCCGGGAATGGAAAATCACCAGTGCTGGTGAGGATGTGGGGGAACTGGAGCCCAGGTTCACAGCTGGTGAGGGCCAAATGGTGCCACCGCTATGGACAGCCACCACTTCCTAACAATCACTTATGACTTAGCAGCTGGCTGGGCTCGCTCAGGCTGAAGGAGAAGGAGCCAGTGGATGTTTTGTGCCTGTTGGAGCCTCAGACCTCCCGCATAGTAGCCGTGTGACCTTCAGGAATTCACTCGACCTCTGTGAGTCTTTGTTCTTCATCTTTTACCTTCCAAGATTCTGTGAGGCCAAAATAAATCACATGTATGGCTGGCGAGGGCCTCCCCATGTGTCCCCTGCTGCCTGTCTGGCCTGGTTCCTTCCTGAGTCTCTCCCTCATGCACCACCCCCCAACCAGCCACACGGCTGGGGCTCAGTGCCTCACACAGGCAGTTCCTGCCCCAGGGCCTTTGCACTTGCTGGAGCCACCTGGAATGTGCCCTCCCTCACCTCCTTCACACTTCCATTCAAACGCCGCCTTTCAGTGACACCTGCCCTGAGTGCCCTACTGAAAGTTACAACCCCTTCCCTACCCCTGGGCAGTCCTGCCACTTAACTCCTGTCACTTACAGCATAATAATTGACTTTTACTTTTCAGCTTTATGAAGTCACTTTCTTACCAACAGAACGTGAGCACCACAAGGGCTGAGTCATGTTGGTCTGTTCAGCATCAGCTCCTGAGCATGAGGCCGGTGCAGGGGAGCTATTCAAAAGATGCTGTTGGATCAATGGACAGGCTGTTGGCTCCACATGATGTAGGCATCTTGAATGACACGTGTGCAAGGCAGGTTTCCTTGCACACACGGAGGTCAGGGTCTTCCTCGCGACATCCTTGTCTCCCTCCCTGCACGTGGCCCAGCACACCCGCATTGTGAGGGGTGCACAAGAAGGGAGGCCGGCTGGTGGGGGATGAGTTCGGCTCTTGTTGGCAAGCAGCACAGACACCCTGGTTCTGGCTCAGGTGACAATTGGGGAATTTATAAGGATACAGGGATGGAGCTGAATCTTGGAGAGGGATGGCACAAGGCCCCAGGAAGGTGCAGGAATTCTGTCTCTTTTCCTCCCACTGTCCCTCCCTTCTTCTCTTTTTCCTCTCTCTTCTTCTCTTTCTCCTTTCTCTCTTGGTCTCTCTTCTCTCAGTCTCCTCATGCTGTTCTTCATGGTTCCTCTCCCCTCCACCCATGTCGTCTGTGTCTGGGAAACATTTTCCCAGCAGTGTGCGTACCTAGCAACCTAACGCAGCTTGCATTCTCTCTCTCGGTCCCAAGTTCAAGTTCCCTGGGTGGGGGATGCTGATCTCCGTTTGGGTCAGGCTGCTCCCTGGAGCCCATCAGCTGTGTGTGAGGGTGTCAGGCACATTGTAGAAGAAGGCTTTAGGGTGGGAGTTGAGGGACAGAGGGGTGAGCCTGGCAGTTAGGAAACTCCATCGTGAGCCGGGAAGCCTTTGCAAAAGCTGCTCACCACATGAAGGTAAAGGGGACACAGGCTACACATCCCCATTTCCTCATTAGTCCACTTGTCCATCAAATACCTCTTGGGCTCCTACTTCGTGCCTAGAACAGTGAGTAGCTACTCACTGTTCTAGGGTCTGGGTCTACATCGGTGGATGAAATATATGGATACTCCTTCCTTTATTAAACTTATAACCAAGTAGAGGAAAGGCTGCATAAAGAAGTAAACACACGACTGAACAGTCCTTAGTGCTTGGCGAAGCTCAGCAAGGTGAGATGGACGTGAGGGAAGCAGGGCAGCTATGGCTTGGCCCGGGCAGGTGGGGAAGGCCTCTCTGAGGACCTGAGTGAAAGGGATGAGCCTGGCCACACTCCAGGCAGGTGACCTAGTCTGTGCAAAGGCCCTGTGGCAGGCGCACGTGTGTGACTGAAGACAGGAACTTGGCTGGCGGGCCTGGGAGGAAGGAGACACCTGAGTCTAGCAGGCCATGCACAGGCAGGAGAGCCCGTCCACTTCCGGGCCTTTCTGCAGGTGTCAGGCCATCCCCACGCTCTTTGTTGTTGCCATGAAAACATCTCAAGAGAACAATGGGGCTCCTTTGGGGACACGAGACTGGGACGGAACCTGCAATCGGGAGCTGAGTTGCTTAGATTGGAGTCTCAGGGAAGCTACTCACTGCCTCTGAGACTCTGACCTGCTGCTCGGCCTCTCGGGCCTCGGTTTCCCCATCTGTAGGGTGGCACTAAGAGCTACCCCCCATGGCCGTGAGTGTCCCATGAAGTCTCACCCAGGACCTCACAGGTGCCCAGAGGTCACGTCCCGCTTCAGGGCAGCGTGTGTGCATCTCTGGGCGCCGCTCAGGAAGGTAAACAGCGGCAGGAAACATAAGGCTGCAATTGTACACCCGCTGACGGCAACGATTACAGAGCTCGTTTTTCAGGGATCTGCGATGACAGTTGCGGCCCAGCGTCGGGGGAGCCTCGGCCCGCTTCCTACCCGCTGCTCCAGCCTCCTCGCCGACCTTGCGGGAGCTCGGGGTGAAGAATGAGGGCCGTGCCTGGCGGCGCTCTGTGTGCCTGTCGGACAGATGGAGGCTGGCTCAGAACGAGTGACTTTCAGGCAGCTCCAAGGGGGACAGGGTGTCTCGCTTGTCAACCCCCTTCGCTGTGTCCCAAGCAGGAGGCAGGAATTCTTGACAGGAAAAGCTGAAAGATAGGTCCCCACTGGACCATACAGATAATCTGCTGGGGGCCTCTAAACCCCAGGAAAGGTCAGGGCCTACCAGAGGCCTCACCCTGAGGGTCCCAGGGGCCCTGTCAATCACGGCTGATGCAGGAGCGGTGGGGACGGGTCAGGCCGGCGTTTAAGAAAGCCCGGTATTGTTTTTAAAGGTTAACCCGTTTGCATCTTGGGTTTCATCGGGAAGTCTGTGTGGTCACACCAGCCAATTTAGCATTTGTTGGGAGCTGGGTGAGATGGGCCATGAGGAACAGCCCCCTGGGGGCCCTTAGGTAGTTCTGTGGTCATGACTTGTGGGGAACGCAGGCGGGGAAAGGGCACATTTGTATCCCATATTTGGTGATGTGGTGGGCTTCAAGTTCTTCTTTCTCTCTCATTTGTCAGGATCTTAATGAGAAACCCCAAAAGGATTTAGAGATTTCCCTTTCCCAAGGACAGGAAATAAATGGGAACGTTCTATGAAATTAGGGGAAAACCCATTGCAAGTTAAGACAGTAGAGTCTTTGTTGTCTACGTGTGTGTGAGTGTGAGAGACAGAGTGTGTGAGAGTGTGTGAGAGTGTGAGAGTGTGTGAGTGTGAGAGAGTGAGAGAGTGTGTGAGAGTGAGAATGAGAGAGTGTGAGAGACAGACAGAGACAGGGAGAGACCAGAGACAGACAGAGAGAGAAACCAGGAGAAAACAGAGACAGAAAAACAGAGAGACAGAGACAGGGACAGGGAGGGATGGACACAGAGAGAGAGGGACAGGGAGGGATGGTCACAGAGAGAGCAAGACAGAGAGAGAGAGAGAGAGAGACAGAGACAGGGAGGGATGGACACAGAAAGACAGAGAGAGAGACAGAGACACACAGAGAGACAGAGAAACAGAGAGAGAGAAAGAGACAAAAAGAGACCAGAGAGACAGAGAGACCAGAGAGAGAGAGGGACAGAGACAGATCAGAGAGAAACAGAGACAGAAAGAGACCAGTGAGACAGAGAGAGAGACCAGAGAGGGGCAGAGAGATACTAGAGAGAGACAGAGACAGAGACAGATCAGAGAGAGTGAGAGACAGACAGGAAGAGACCAGAGAGAGACCAGAGAGACAGAGAGACAGGCCAGAAAGAGAGAGACAGAGATACGAGAGTCACGGAGAGAGAGACCACAGAGAGAAACAGAGACAAGAGAGAGAGATAGCAAACAGAGAGACAGAGAAACAGAGAGAGAGATAGAGACCAGAGAAAGCCAGAGCCACAGCCAGAGCGAGCGAGCGTCCCCGTCTTTGGGATGTGCTCTCTGGCATTGAGGCCAGGACTGTTTAGCGAAGTTTCATCTTTTGTGCGTTCTGGACTCCACTCGTGACAATGATTCATTCTTTGACATTCTCAGCTTCGAATAGACAGTTTGTCCCTCTCTTCTCAGGCATTTGGACACCAGGGGAAGCAAACTTTCGCAAGCAGGTGTAAATGTATGTTAAACCATAACTACATTGAGAAATAAACAGAGGCTTGTGTGCCATAAATACTATAATCTGTTTCTTCCATGTGACGTATCTGGGGTAAAAAGAAGAAGAAGAAAAAGAAGAAATGCTGAGATGCTGAAGATAAGATGGAAATAAGTCTGACCTGAGCGAATTACTTTACTGTCCTTTGGAGTTTCTTGAAAATAAAATGTATTCATTTGAAGTGTAATGGGCTTTTCCTTAACCAAAACTTCTGGCCATTGATTTGTGTAAAGAAAAGCCGTGCACAGGCTCAACTGAGGAATAAAAGTTGTTTCAGAGTCGTAAGTCTTCTGAGTAAAATCATGTTGTTGTGACTTTTTACCTATCCATGTAACATTCCACATTGTCGTCAAGTGATTCCGCAGGGAATGCAACGCTCAGCTTCCCAGACACCTGCCCTGGGTGACAGAGGCACCAGCTCCCAGGTTAGACTGGCATCTGGCAGCTCTGAGCTCCAGCCCTGGCCTGTCACTGCCACGGGTCAAGGGACCTTGGCTGAGTTACTTAATGTCGCTAAGCCTCGAGGTTCTGAGCTGTGAAGTGGGCATGCAGCTCCTCTTCCATTCCACACGAGATTGACATGCACTGCATATTGACACTGTGGCTACCTCTATACATACCGTACGACTCACCCATTTAATGTGTACAATTCAGTGGTTTCTAGCATAATCTCAGGTAGGCAGCCATCACCACAGTCAGCTTTAGAACATTTTCCTTTTTTTTTAAATTTTATTTTAGAGATGAGGGCTCACTGTGTCACCCAGGCCAGTATCCAACTCCTAGGCTCAAGCAATCCTTCTGCCTCGGCCTTGCAGAGTGCTAGGATTACAGGCGTGAGCCTCTGAGCCCAGCTAGCCTGAGAACATTTTCATCACCCTAAGCAGAAACCCTGTACCCATCAGTAGTCAGCTCCATTCCTCTTTCCTCCAGCCCCTGTCAACCACGAGTCTACTTTCTGTCTCTACGGATTTGTCTTTTCTGAACATTTCATAGAAATGGAAGCATATGAACTGTCATCTAATCTTTTCTATATATGATCGTAGAATATTGGGTCCTTTGTGACTGGCCTCTGTTGCTCAGCATCACGTCCTCCGGGCTCATCCCTGTTGCAGCATATGCCAGTGTTTCCCTCCTTTTTATGGCCAAATAATAATCCATTATATGGACAGATCACATCATGTGTATCCATTTATCTTGAGGGACATTTGGGTTGTTTTCACCTTTTAGCTATTATGAATAATGCTACTGTGGACATTTGTGTTTAAGTGTTTGTGTGGACATATGTTTTCATTTCTCTTGGGGATATTCCTTGCAGTGGAATTGCTGGGTCATAGGGTAACTAGGTTGAAGTGTTTAAGGAACCGTTAGACTGTTATTCACAGCAGCTGCACCGTCTTGCATCCCCATGAGATTCCTTCTTAACCTTGACCAAAGAAGCCCTCATGAGGTGGGGAGAGAGTCATCGTTCTCTGACGTGGTCTTAAAAGTGCCTATAGACCTGGCCTCTAGGGATGAAGAAAACATCAAACATGACCACGATCCCTCTGTTTGGCTATTTCATTTTTTCCTAAGACGGAATGTTATTTCACTTGGGAGTCATTCAGTTTCAGATGATAGAAAACAAGCCCTGAATTGGTTTCTGAAGTAAAATAAATTATTACCTTATCTAACTGGACAGTTTGGAGGTGCTGACTTCAGGCAAGACTTGATCCAGGGGTTCTAAGAAGCCACAAAACATCATTGCTGAGTCTCCTCACTCTGCCTTCCAGGGCATGGGCTTCTTCCTCAGCCTCTGCTGGGTGTCCCATAGTTCCAGACTCTTGTCTTAGGGTTCCAGCAATTCTACTCCTCAAATCCTCATGGTATACAATTGGGGTGGGGTGGGAGTGGGAATGGGTGGTAGGGAGGAAGAGAAACAGAAAGGGAGAGATAGGGATGGGGTAAGGTAGAAAGGAGAGCGGGGTGGAGATTATTTCTGTGTATCTCTTCAAGTCCTGCCTCTGCCTAAGCACACAGCTAGGAAGATGCTGATCCGATTAAGTCAAAAGGGCCCCATATTAAATAGGGCCACTCTGCTGATCTCATTTTAACTTGATCACCTCTGCAAAGACTGTTGTCAAATTAGGTCACATTCTGAGGATCCAGAGTCAGGATACCATCATATCTTTTTGAGGGGACATAATTTACCCCACAACAGAGAGGAGGAATCTTCTATGGGTCTGAATATTGTTGGCACCTTTACTTTTCAACACGCATAGGACTCTGCCGCCTCCCGCTCCTAAGCCTGGCTGCTGACCAAGCAGCACCTGCAGGGCTCAGGGTTCCAATAATGTGGGGACCCCCCCTTTCTACGTCCAGTTCTCCAGAGAACAGGCTTACTTGGGGCCGCTGGGCCCTGGAAGTCCTTCTACTTCATTTATTTTATGTAAGAGACTCATCTGTGTCTCATACACTTCTCTTTGCACTTAACCATAATCCTGGTGTTAGTTAGAAACTATCCAGAAAAGAGACAATCTGCCTGGTGGCACGGGAGGTCGGAACTGGAAAAGGCCTTAGAGGAAATCAATTTCCAGCCCAGTGTTCTTCAGGCTGGGCTTTGTGCTATCGCAGAATTCCTGGGAGTTTGGTGGCCTCTGTTGGGTCTTAGTTTGGGCTCCTCAGAAGCATACCCAGAGACAAGGAGTCATGGGCAAGCTGTTTATTTGGGAGGTGACCCAAGGAAACCCCCAAGGGAGTGGGGAGGCAGGACAGGGAAGGGGAACAGCAGCAGAGCTTTAGTTCATAGGCAGCCACTGCCCCGGGCACCTGGGGTTCAGTACCACTGTGGACCTCTGGGGGTCAGCGTAGAGCTGGCCTCAGTTATCTCAGTGAATGAGTGAGGGAGCTGGGATATTTATACATCAAATCCTCTGTCTGCTACTGGCAGTGGGCTGATTCTGTTAGAGCCACAGGGATTCACAGTAAATGGTCTTTTGTGAGGCACATCAGGGGATGAAGAGGGGGCACCAACAATTACTATAAGGGGGCACCAAGGTATCAGATTCAGATGTTGATTTAAAGGCTGAGCATCTGCATGAGGATTTTAAAAAACAAGCTACAGGTGTGTTAAACATAACAGCAGTGTCAATGGAGCAGAAGGGCAATGAATGGAAAGTAATTCTTCCCTGGAGTCCAGTTCCCAGTCCCTCCCCAGAGCACTGAGTGAGTGTCTCAGGGGTCCTTCTGATGTTTTCTTTCTGTATCTGAGCAGATGCAAAGAAAAGACACACTTTCCTTACTCAGTGGTAGCCTGCTATTGATGCCTCCAATGCTTTGCCCTTTTCCTCAGCAATTCACCTGGAATTCATTCCTGTCCGTATGCTTGGTGGTGCCTCATCCTTTTTATTTACCATGGCAGCATAGGACGTAGTACTCCAGTGTGTGGACATGGTACTCCAGTGTGTGGACATGGTACCCCAGTGTGGGGACGTGGTATTCCAGTATGTGGACATACCATGACTTATTTAATCTGTCTTCTAATACTGGGCATTTTGGTTGTTTCCAATCTTTTGTTACTACAAACAAGGGTGTAACAAAATGTTTATCTCTTTGTACAGAGGCATGAATTGATCCATTGGATAAATCCCTAGAAGTGGAATTTATTTGGCAGAATCTTCTGTTTTTAAGTTTTTGGCAAATACTGTCCAAACACTTTTGAAAGAAGTTGACCGATTTGACATTCTTGTGGCAAGAGCCCATGGGGTACATGGCTCAGATGTCCCTCATGTCAGGAGAAACCCTGCTGTGGGGTGAGGGTGGCTGGTGCCTCCAGCTTCCAGTGCCCTCTGGCTCTACCTCTGCTCTCCAGCCAAGGCCCCATGTCTCCAGGGCAGCTAATGGTCAAGCATGGCAGAAGCACAGGGCCCCTCCATTTCTGCCTAGCAGGGGCATCCTCTATGGGGCACCTTCAGTCTGGGGCTCTCGGTCAGCATGGCTGAGACATCCTCTGAGATGCACTGCAGGCTGAGGCTCTTGCTACTGCATGCTCCTTCCTTCCCCTCTCCTCTCACGGGTGTCGGACCAGCATTGCAATCTGAAGGCTCGCCCGCGCCCTCCAGCTCCCCTTCCATTTTCTGCAGTGCACTAGCACCACCTCCCTAATACATAGCTCACATTCCTGACTCCATCGTGGCATTCCTTCCTGAAGACCCATGCTGACACCCACTGACAATGTGTGAGGATGGGCTTCTGATGGTACTCGGTGAGCAGGGGTCTATGGCTAAGTGGTTTCTGAGCTCCCAAGCTTATCCAAATCTCTCACTTTATAACAGGAAATCTAAGGCCCAGAGAGGGCAAGCCACTTGCCTGAGGCCACACACTCAGGGGTAGCAGGCCCTGAGTGCCACACCAGGCCACACCGAAGTGCTCCCTCAATCTCAGACACCAGCTGACCTTGATTGTCCCCACTCCCGGCCAAAACCAAGCCCGGAGCAGACATGTGTGGCCTGGACTACCTCTCCTGCTCTCCAGATCTTCTCAGGGACAGGGTTCAAAGTTCCCCAAAACGTGTTGGGGGAAATTGCATCCCAGTTTTTGGAAAGCCTGGCCAATTTCTTCCCATGCAGCCATTTCTGTGTCAATACGGGCTATGCACAGATGCCAGTGCCAGCTCCCACTCCTCCGTGGTCAGCCGAGCAGGGACCAGAACTCAGAGAGAAGCACTTTCCAGAGGGGCAGAGTGGGTGAGGGAGACGAGGAGGGAGACAGTGGGCCACAGATTCTCATCACGTTTTCCCCTCCCATGCTTTCAGGGGCTTAAACAGCAATAAAAGAATGTGCGATTGTCAGCATAAATCAAGAAAATCAGAATTCTGCTGAGCAAGCGAGAACATTGGACTTGAAAGAGCCATTTGCTAAATGTGGAAGGAGCCCTTGAAAGTGTTCCTGGAGGCCTCTTTCCAGCCCAGCTAGTTTGGGACTGAGCTAGATCACGGGCTGGTGCTGAGGGCGTGGACTCAGGGCTCAGGGCAGCCGCATTTGGGCTTGGCTGTGCCCCACCTGGTACGGCTCTGCAGGCAGCTGGGTGGTTGGGTCCTGGCACCAAGATGAGTGAGGGAGGGAGGGACGAGGAGATGGCATGGAGATAGGGTCCTCGCCAAACATACTTGTGTAAGCCCCCAGAGGGCAGAGCCAGAGCTCATCTTTTATTCATCTCTAAGTTTCTCTCAGCCCTTAGCATAAGGGAACTCCTGCTCACTGGAGTTTCCTTTGCTGACTGAGTGAATAAAAGAAATAGAAAGGCAGGGAGGGAAGAAAGGGGGAAGGGGGAGGGAGGGGAGGAGAGAAGGGAAGGAGGGAGGAAGAAGCAAACCCCTGTATTAGTCCATTTTCACACTGCTATAAAGATACTACCCAAGACTGGGTAATTTATAAAGGAAAGAGGTTTAATTGACTCACAGTTTCCATGGCTGGGGAGGCCTCAGGAAACTGACAATCGTGGCAGAAGGCAAAGAAGAAGCAAGGACTTTCTTCACAAGGTGGCAGGAAAGAGAAAATCCCAGGGGAAACTGCCAAGCACTTTTAAACCATCAGATCTCATGAGAACTCACTCACTATCAGAGATTTTAAACCATTGGATCTCATGAGAACTCACTATAACAAGATTTTAAACCATCGGATCTCATGAGAACTCACTATCACAAGATTTTAAACCATCGGATCTCATGAGAACTCACTCACTATCACAAGATTTTAAACCATCAGATCTCATGAGAACTCACTATCACAGGATTTTAAACCATCGGATCTCAGGAGAACTCACTCACTATCACGAGAACAGCCTGGGGGAAACCGCCCCCGTGATCCAATCACGTCCCACCAGGTCCTTCCCTCCACACGTGGGGATTATGGGGATTACAATTTGAGATGAGATTTGGGTGGGGACACGACCAAACCATATCACCCCCAAGTGCTTTTTCCTGTTCACCGTGAGTCATTTTAATTAGGCGCTGGCCTAACCTTTCGGCTCAGCAGATGGGACCCGGCCACCTGCCCCAGCACCCCCTGGGTGGGCACAGCCATGGCCTGCAGCAGACAGTCCTGAGGTCAGCGCCCAGCTGTGGACCCACAGATGCCCTCAATGGAGAGCAGAGACCATGCCTCGGTTTCCACACTGGCCTCAGGCTTTGCAGACGAGCGACGTGTTGTCCAGTAGCTTCGTGGCGATCATCAACATCCAGGCCATCCTTGACTGGACTAGTGCCATTCACGGTTCTTATCTGTACCATGTCCACATGCTGGGGTACCCCTGAGCTTAAACCTGTGCAACAGCCTGAGGAAGAACCTTGGTCTGGCTTTCCCAGGTCTGCACAGGCTCTGCTTCTCTTTGTGGGCTGCATTGTGAGAAGGTGGGTGTATGATGCTGGCCACAGCCGCATCCTATGTCTTCAAACAGTCAGCCGCAAAATGCACCAACAGGCAGAGAAATGCCACCAGGTGTGCGTGATCAGCGAGGTGGCCGTGTGGCTCCAAGACTGAATCATCTCTCCATGTTGCTCCTTCCTGCCTGCTTCAGCTGACAGCATTGCCCCTGAGCAATCCAGTCTTTAAATCCCACCGGGACTTAGAAAGCTTCTATTTCAAAACACAGGATCATAAGTTATCTATTTAAACAATGTCGCTGTTAAGCTGCGCTGTCTGTGATCTATTGGAATTATTCCTTTCAGTGTAGTCCAGCGAATGTCCCTTGCTAACCAGGGCACTGAAATGGAGAAGGCAGCAGCTTAATGAGTCCTGAGAAGGGGATCGAAGGCTTGCTAGAGGGTTGTGCAGAGGGTAGGACAGGGGTCCGGGGACCTTGACGACGGAACAATAAATACAAGTGTCTCTGCTCAAACTGGCTTGTCTCAGCTGTCACACAGGTGAGACCTTAACCCACCACAGGTGGTTGGGAGGATCTAAGATGAAAGTATCCCCCCACCCATCTCTGAGCTTTCGATGGGAGTGGGTCTGGGAAATCAGGTGGGTCTAGGTCCCCAAACCAGGCCCCCCACAACTGGAGCCTCCTCCCTGGTGCTGGGAAGTTAGGTGGTGCACACGTGTGTGTGTATCTGTGAAGATGTGCGGTGTTTGCGTGGATGGGGTGCATGTGTATTGTTGCTGCTGCCTTTTAAAAATTCAGATGAAATTCGCATAGCAGAAAATTAGCCATTTTAGAAGGGAACAACTCAGCGGCACTGAATGCATCACATGTTGTGCGGCCATCACCTCTACGCAGTTCCAAACTGCGCCTGCGCGGCCATCACCTCTCCGCAGTTCTAAACTGCGCCTGCGCCGCCGTCACCTCTACGCAGTTCCAAACTGCGCCTGCGCCCCGTGTGTTCGGGGCGTGGAGGACACGTGGGTGTGCATGTCTGTGGACATGCGGGTGCGTCTGGGGCACGCCTGTGCCAGCCCGAGGGGCTGGGAGCACTTGCAGGACTTTGGGGTTTGCCGAGCAGCCACACGGGCCCTTAAGGTAAAGCTGTCAGCCCCGCTCTTATTCCTACCTCCCCCTGGATGTTTATTTGTTCTTGTCAGGGGACAGTGAGTGATATTTTGTTTGCTGGACGCATTTGGCTGTGAGTGACAGCCGTGGGGGGCCTGCTGCTCCCCTGCCCACTGTGGGAGAAGGCCTGGCCCCCCACAGGTGCAGTGGGAGGCTGACCTCACCCCCTGCAGTGCCATGGCTTTCCTCCTCCCCGCGGGCAGCTGGCCTGGCCTCCTGGGGACTTGGGTGGGGACAGGCTGGCTGGGCTGGCGCTGGTCTCCTTGGGATGTTGGGCCCCTCAGCTCCTCTCAGCCTGGGTCCTGGAACCTGTGAGGAAGGAGCTGCGTGGCCCCTGCTCATGCCACTCTTGGGAGAGGTGGGCACACTGCAGGTTTCAGCCAGTGCTACCTGGAGGAGACATCCCCCCAGGGGTCAGGACCGGGGGTTGGATGCAGCTCAGCTAAAAAGACATTTGATATCATTTAACCGAGTTGCCACTTCAATGGGAATTAAGTTCTAATGTCAGCACGTAAGCCCCCAATTAAGAACTGCATAGAAAAAATAATCCTCGAAAGAACAGTTAAATCATCTATAAATCACGCTGCTTCTGCTGTTGAACAAGCAAAAGCAGCGGCTTCCACAGAGCCTTACAGTGCACAGTAAGGATCCGTCTGCAGACTGACCGGGAACTCACATTTGCCTTCAGGGCTGCAGGCTGTGCTTTCTGGGTGGCCGCGGGACATGGGAAAGGACGGATCTCCAGTTTCATCTCCAGGCGTTAAGTCCACTGGGTGAAGCAGAGGGCAAAGCCCCCAGGCTTTTAGAATCATTTTCCCCTCTACCTCTCTGCCTTACCTTCTCTCTGTCTCACCCCCTCTCTTCCTTTCCCTCTCCGTGTCTCTCTCTGTCTCTCTGTCTTAGCTCTCTTTGTCTTCCTCTTTCTTTCCCATCTCTCTTCTCAATACCTAGAAGCGAATTCACATGCACACAGGTCATGATGCCAGCATAAAATAATTTCATGTTTGTAATTTACCCCCGCTTCAGTAGAGAGCCCAATAGTCGGCTACAGCCCATTGTGGCCACAGCCGAATGCTGGCCTGGGTTGGCCATATCTTCCTGCATTTCAAGAGAAGCCAGAAGTTTGAAATGGTTGGCGACATCTCCCATTTTTAGAAAAATGTGGCTCAAATTAAAAATAAAACATAAAACTAAACAAAGGAGAGCAGCAGAAGCTGCTCCGAGGTCTGGAGCGTGACCTCCGTGTGATGGGTTCTCCCTGGGAGGGCTTCTGGGAAGCCCCTCCTTCCAGGGAGGGGCCGCGGGTGTCCCGAAGCTGGGCCAGCCCTGGTCCCTTCCTCACCCCCTCCGCCCACCTCACCCTCACACAAAGGTCAGAGGGTGTCGGCCGCCCTGTCTCCAGATGCCATTACCATTGCCAGCTGTGGGCAGCGGCCACTACGAGTGGCTGGACCTGGGGGGCAGTGGCCTGGGAAAAGTGCCCTCAAGGGCGCAGTCCCCTTTCCACCATCCAAAGGGGATCACCCTGAGTTTGGATTGAGAAGTGTTGGCATGGGGATTTTAAAATTGCCCCTTAGATTGGCTGCGTTATTATTTTTGGCAATCCATGTCATTTGAAAGAATGGCCATTTCTGCTAGCTAACAAAAATGGCAACTGGGCGAGCAGGACCTGCCCGGGTGGAGGAGAGGTTGAGACCACACCCACATTGCGGTAAACCTGTGTCTAAGCCGTCAGTTTGAAGGATATCCATTCCTGCAATTAAGGATTGGGGTGCACGTAGCAGCACTACCCGTAGGAACCCCAGCTGAAAGCAACTGAAACGCACACCACAGTGGAATGGGTGATTAAATGTGTCTATTCACAGCAGGGGACAAAACTGCACAGACTCCTGCCCTCAGGGGCTTATGTTCTGGAGGGAGGACTCAGACAATAAAATCAGTAAGTAAAGTGCACAGACATGAACACATGGGGAGAAAATAGGTGTAGGGGGGATGGGTGTGGGGTCTGCATTGTAAATAGAGAAGTCACTGAAGGCTGCAGAGAGGGCGGCATTGTAGAAGTAAAAGCGTATGGAAGGGAAGATGGGAGCCATAGAGATATCAGGGGAAGAGCATGCCAGGAGAGGGAGCAGAAAGAGCAAGGGTCTTGAGGCAGGTTGCTTATGGAGGAATAGGAGATGAGCCTGGCTGTGACATGGTGAGTGGGAGCAGTGGAAATGAGGGAGTTCAAAGGGAAAGGGGGAGTGGGGAGAGCAGAGAGCCCTGGGAGCCTGTAAAGACTTTAGCGTTGACTCTGAGGGACAAGGGGCTGTGGCGGGGTTCTCAGCAGAGGGAGGGCCTCTTCTACTCAGGATTTACAAGGGCCACTGTGATTACTGGGCTAAGGGTAACGTGCAGGTGGACAAGGCAGGGGAACAAGAAGACAGGAAGGAGGCCAACACAATGCTCCAGGGAGGTCCAGGCCGGAGGTGCTAACAGCCTGGGCTGGGTGGCTGTGGATTTGCAGGTGGAAGAAGTGGACCCACCTGGGCAAGTCTGCAGCATTGGGTGCACAGAACCAGGCAGTGGATGTGTGGGTGGGATGGATGCCAGTGGAGATGCCTGCTAGGAGGTTAGGCCAGAGACCTGAGCTCTGGACCTGGAAATGATCAGCTCAGACACCAGGTGAATGTCTGGGAGCTGTGGGGTAGGCCTGAAATAGTACAAGGAGGAAGAAGAGGACCAGGGACCAAGCCCCAGGAAACCTTCATATTTAAGGATTGGAAACGTGACCCCATGGGGGGAGTTACAGAGGTAGGAAGAAGCCAGGAGCTGAGTGACGCAACAAGGCCATTCTCACTCTGAGACCTTCAGTGGCTCACATCTTCTTCTCTTTTCCCTAGTCTGGAAGCTCCATGAGGACAGGGGTGAGTCCATCAAGTTCTCTGTTAGGTCCCCAGAACTGAGCACAGTACCTGCCCCGAAGGGGTGTAGCAGACCTTGTCGGATGAATATACGGCAATGTGGCTGATCAAAGTAACAAGGCAATGACTGTCCATCAAGGTCTGGGGCTGGTGAGGAAGTAGCATGTGCATTCAGTAGGCTGCAAGTCTCAGCTCCTGCACACCGGGAGGCTCAGCGGCCTGTCACGCACATTGGTGGGAAGGAAGGACAGCTAGTCCAGGCTCTGCCAGTGGTGCCGATGTCATCCCATCTCATGCAGACACGGGCTCAGCCAGCCCACCGCCAGAGCCTCCCCTGCGGGAGCCACATCTGCTCTGCCTGTGTTCTTTCCCTGTTTTTTGCAAACTGTTTTTATTTTGCCATCCAAGAGACACAATTGGGACTTCTGTGTCAATGCAGATACGCGCCCTCCCCTCAGATCCTGGTTCAACATTGGACTCATAAGCCAGGCTAAGTTAAAAAAAGCAAAATGTGTCTGGCTTGATAGCTGGCTCTAAGTGCAATGGAAAAAGCCAAAAATAAACACTGTAAGTTGATGACATCCGTACCATCCGTGGGCATGGGGCCCAGGCTGGGGCCAAAGCAAGGGAACAGTGTACAGCCCAGCGTCACGCACAGCCCATCAGGGCTTCCTAAGGCAGTCTCAGGGCCCGGGTGACCGTGAGGGTGCAGTGCTCTGTTACGGCCACCACCCTCCCTCGGGCACCAGGTACTGTGATGCCAGTTACTCAAGCCTCCTGCGTTTGTCTGCTTGCCAGAGAACCACTGCCCGGGGCAGCCTGAATCGTCGGATTTTGTTTTTCCTCCCTGGTATTTTTCTTGCCATCTGAGAGGTGCCAGTGCCCCTGTGGGGTGAGTTTTGAAAATGGCTTTGTCTGGACAACAGAAAGTCACAGACGTGCTGATGGCATACGGTTACCTTGGTGACTAGAGAAGAGTTTGCTCTCCTAATTCCACAGATGAGGAAAGGGTACTGGGAAGTCCTGCCTTTTACCTGCATGGCTGTTGCCGGCTTCGCCTCCCTGGGCACTCTCCCCCACAGTCTGGGTGTCCTGCGACTGCCTTTGGTTACCATTTTGGTGAATATTTTCTTGGAATCAACTTTGAATTGACATGACACCCTCTTCTTTGTCTTTTTACTCAACTTTATTCTAAACAGTACAATTATTTGTGTTGGTTATGGGATCTTTTTCTTAAAACACAGTATTATAAATACAAGACAATTGAAAATGTGAGAACATTTCTTGCATACCCCATGGGAAGCCGCCCCTGTGTCTATGTGATCCTTGTCTGGGGGCTGCTGCCCATGCGCCTCTGTCCCCCAAGCTTGGAGCCCTCTGTGCCCTCCCAGCCCCTGCAGGGGGTTGGGTGGGAAGGCGGTGCTTGGGTTTTGAGGAGGAGTTATCGATCGCATCCACCTCCTCAGGGAAATAGCCTGGGGTGCAGACTTTTATTTGGAACATGAAACATGAATTTCTTGAAATGTTTTAGACATTGTGTTGACATAAAATGCACACATGGAAAGGGCACAAACTACAGCCTGGCCCCGTAACCCCCCGCCCAGTCTCATTCCTCTCCATGTGTGTTACACACGTGACTTCTACGTTTTTCTCACTGCTGCCTCCTCAGGGCCAGAACAGTGCCCGGTGTGCTGCAGGTTTTCAATACACGTTGGTTGAATACATGTGTCAATGAGTGGAGACTCAGTGGGGTCTCTGTCTCCAGCCTTGTTCCTTTCTAATCTCCAGGCCACTCAGGAGCCAACGTAACCCTTTATCATGCAATGTGATCGTATCATCTCCCTGCTGAAAATGCGAGTGAATTCACAATAGCAAAGTCGTGGAATTAACCGGAATGCCCACCAGTAGATTGGATAAAGAAAATGTGGTACATGTATACCATGGAATACTACACAGCCAGAAAAAAGAATGAGATCATGTCCTTTGCAGCAACATGGATGGAGCTGGAAGGCCATTATCCTAAGCAAACAAACACAGGAACAGAAAACCAAATACTACATGTTCTCACAAGTGGGAGATAAACATTGAGTACGCATGGACACAGAGAGGGGACAACTGACACCAGGGCCTCCTGGAGGGTGGAGGGAGGGAGGAGGGTAAGGATCAAAAACCTGGGACAGGGTGTGATGGCTCACACCTGTCATCCCAGCACTCTGGGAGGGCGATGGGGGTGGATCACCTGAGGTCAGGAGTTCGAGACCAACCTGGCCAACATGGCGAAACCCCATCTCTAATAAAAATACAAAAAATTAGTTGGGCATACTGGGGCGCCTTTAATCCCAGCTACTTGGGAGGCTGAGGCAGGAGAATTGCTTGAACCTGGGATGGGGAGATTGCAGTGAGCCGAGATCACGCCTTTGCACTCCAGACTGGGCTACAGAGTGAGAATGTCTCAAAAAACAAAACAAAACAAAACAACCTATCTGGCACTATGCTTATCGCCTGGGTGACTAAATAAAATAATCTGTACAACCAACCCCCCATGACACACAACTTAACTATGTAACACACCTGAACCTGTACCCCTGAACCTAAAAGTTAAGAAAGAAAAAAAAAGGCAACCTCAGGCAAATGTAAATGAAAATATCATTCTATAAGCCTGACAAAGACACTAGGCATCTGTATAAAGCTAACTGCCCAACGACTATTAAAGAATTGCTGAATTGGTTTAAAATATATATACATATGCCTGAGCGACTCTCCTTGGTCACTGTGATAAAGAGCACCCCTGTAGGGTGCAACCCAGGGCTCCAACTCCCTCCCCTGTAGGCTGCACCTGCGTGCTCCGCTCCGTCTGCTCTGGGTGCTCCCGCCCAGTCCTGGACATGCAGAGTCCTCCCCCAACACCTGCATGTGCTGTTCCCTCTGTCTGGAATGCTCTTCCTCTGCTGGTCACCTGGCCAGCTCCATCAGGGCTCAGTTTGCCTCTCCTGTCCATGGGAAGCCTTTGCTGAGCCCCGTCTACCCTGCCATCTGCCTCTTGCCCAGAGCACTGTGCAACTGCTCCCTTGTACCAGCCAGGACCAGCGAGGTTGGGCTGCAGTCAGAAATAAACCCTGAAACCTTAGGGACTTCATGCAACCCACATCTGCTTCTCACTCACATGGCATGTTCCAGAAAGCCCAGGTCCCTGTTCCACACCATTGTTAGGGACTCAGACTGAAGGAGGCACCACTCCTGGGCACAGCAGGGAGCAAAGAGTAGAGAGAACTCATTCCTGCCTCAACTGCCCAGGATCCAAAGTGGCCCGTGTCACTGTTGCTCACAGTCTGTTGTCCAGAGCTAATCACCCAGCTGCCTGCAAGAGAGGCAGGGAAGCATGAACTCCTTGTGTATCGTCAATAAAGTGGATATAAAGTGGAACGGTCTCAGCTGTACCCCACCACGGACTGTCCCATGTGACATTGTAGTTGCCTATTTACTTCTCTGCCCACCCCACACCCTAGACTGAAGTTCCTTACGTTCACAAATTTCAGGCTTCTCCTCCATTTGACTCTTAGCAGCTAGCACAGTGCCCTTCTTGAAGGCCCATGAAGTTTCAGGGAGAGCCTGTCACACGACCCGCCCGGCTGTAAAGCACCTCCAGGCTTCCACAGAGCCGACTCTACTGGTGCGGCACGGCTGTGACGGATCTTTCTTCATCCATCTCCTCCCTCTGCCAAGTCATCAGAAAATGCTGAGCACCTATGGAAAATCCTGAACATACTCCGCCTGTTCTGCCTGGTTTTCATTTTATGTTGTGCTGGGTTTTTTTGGTACAATAAACAAGGTGAAAGCAAGGAAGTAAACAATGTGGGGTTCGAGGGGGTTTCAACAAATGAGCGCCACCTCGCTGTGTTCTGTTTTGAGCACGTGCATCCCTGGTTTACACTGAGAGCTGGAAAATGGCGCTTGGATGGCAGCCAGGTTTCCAGGGTGAATAAACACCTCCAAAGGGACAAATGTTTTTCACAGACTGTGAGTGAAATGGAGACTCAAATATTTAAAAATAAATATATAAAAAAGAAGAAAGAAAAGAAAAGGCAAGGAGACCCTGCTGACCTTAGTTCCCAAATGAGCTAAAAACAAGTTTTTATAGTAATATTTTCTGCATCCAAAGAAACAAAACTTCTTATTTTCACTACTCCCAGAATGAGTATTTCTGTATGTCACTACTCCCAGAACGAGTGTTTTTAAAATGTCATTTTTGAGATTGAACAAAGGGCTTCACCCTTTAAGCCTCAAGTTAGTCATCAGTAAAATAGGAATACTGATAATTCCTCACTCCCTGGGTAATTATGAGAATGAAATGACTTGTTATACAAAGGACATAGATCAGGGCCAGCATGTGGTGAGTTTCATATAACTGTTAGTCATCGCTGTCTTCATCATCACCATCATCATAATCACTGTAATCACCACAATCACCATCATGATCATCATCACCATCACCACCATCATCACCATCACCACTGTCATTATCATCACCTTCATCTCCACCATGATCACCACCATCACCGCCACCACCAGCATCACCATCACGACCATTGTCATCATCACCACCACCATCATCGTTACCACCATTGTCATCATCACCATCACCATCATCACCATCACCACCATCACCATCATCACCACCACCATCATCACCGTCACCACTGTCATTATCATCACCTTCATCTCCACCATGATCACCACCATCACCACCACCACCAGCATCACCATCACGACCATTGTCATCATCACCACCATCATCGTTACCACCATTGTCATCATCACCATCACCATCATCACCATTGCCACCACCATTATCATCACCATCACCACCATCACCATCATCACCACCACCATCATCATCACCATCACCACTGTCATTATCATCACCTTCATCTCCACCATGATCACCACCATCATCTTCAGCATCACTGCCACCACCATCATCACCATCACCACCATTGTCATCATCACCACCACCATCATCATTACCACCATTGTCATCGTCACCATCACCATCATCATCATCATCACCATCGCCACCACCATTATCATCACCATCACCACCATCACCACCACCATCATCATTACCACCATTGTCATCATCACCATCACCATCATCACCATTGCCACCACCATTATCATCACCATCATCACCACCACCATCGTCATCACCATCACCACTGTCATTATCATCACCTTCATCTCCACCATGATCATCACCGTCATCTTCAGCATCACCGCCACCACCATCATCACCATCACCACCATTGTCATCATCACCACCACCGTCATCATCACCACCACCATCATCATTACCACCATTGTCATCATCACCATCACCATCATCATCATCATCACCATTGCCACCACCATTATCATCACCATCACCACCGTCACCATCATCACCACCACCATCATCACCATCATCACCACCACCATCGTCATTACCACCATTGTCATCATCACCATCATCACCATTGCCACCACCATTATCATCACCATCACCACCATCACCATCATCACCACCATCCTTATCATCACCATCATCACCATCATCACCATCACCACCATCACCATCATCACCACCATCCTTATCATCACCATCATCACCATCACCACCATCACCACCATCCTTATCATCATCATTACCACAATCATTATTATCACCACCACCATCATCACCATCATCACCACCACCACCACCATCATCATCACCATCATCACCATATTCAGAAACCTGGGAATCTGGTGTGATTAGAAATCACAGCAACCCAGCAAAGGGAAACTGGAAACCCAAAGTTGACTACAGGCTGAGTATGGAATTTCCTCTAGGCCTTAGTTTCCCCAACTGTAGAAATGGAGACAGAAAAACCTCGTGTCACTAGCTTAAGGGTGTTTGAGATATGGCCATGCAGTTACTATTTCCACGGCTGCAGACAGGAAGGTGTTAGAGCCATTATTGTTAATAGTTATGTTTATTTTGGAAAAGAGGGTCAAAGTGGGATGAGTTAATATATTTATAATCTGTATTTGTTCTCAATCTATTTATGGGCCCAGAAATGAAGGTGGTCTAGTTTTCTAAAATGCAAAACATTGATGATAAACAGAACCTCCAAACTGGGCAGTTTTCCATTACCCCTCGCCTTGGGTGAGTCTTTCCACCTACTTGGAATACCCCACCTCCCTGCTTCTTCTGACAGTTCCCACTCACCCTCCATGCTCAACACGGCCGCTTTTCACTTACCAAATAGTCCAAGAATCTAAAACACAATCATCCCATCATTGTCCCTTTACACCCAGCAGTCGGGGTGGGGGGATTAATTTTCACAAGGGATGGTTGGGTAAAGCAGGGCTGAAGTATTTAAAAGGAGCCCATACCTTTCTGCCTAGCAATTTAATCTTAAAATTTACATTTTAAAAACTAAGCATTTGTCCTGGAGAAATAATCATGGATTTGCATCAGGCACTGGCTCAAAGGATGATCACCCCAGCACTGTTTTGACAGCAGAATAATGGGAGACCATCAACATGTTCAGCTGAGGAGATGGCACGCTTGCATGCTGGAATACTAGGCAGCTATCAGAAATGTTTTTATGGGAAAAGAAAACACTTAGTAAAATAGAAAGATGCTATGATGTTTCAAGTGGAAAAAAGACAGGATTCAAAATAGCGACGGTGGCCTTACATCCTGTTGTCCCAGCAGGAGTATCTGACTCTTCCCCTCTCACTCTTCACACTCCCACTTAGGACCATGAAGTCCATGGTCACCTTCAAATTAGAATGCAGAGCAAGATCCCGTCTTCATGGAAAACATTGTCTGTACTTCTTCGTAGAAAAAGGGCCAGAAGAATGTGCTCCAGACGTTGGTGGTGGTTGCCGCTGGGAGCGGAGTTAGGAGCAGAGCTCCCAGATGGCCCATTTGGCTCCAAATAGCACTGCTTCCTGCCGGGTTTTTCCTGGTGTAATTAATCAATTAATCACAGTGTCTTCTGTCACTTCCAAAGTGTCCCAATTTGGCTAATAAATTACTTGGTCACCATAATTTTGAGAGATTCTTATGGTGCTTTTGCTCATCTCTATTTTGTGAGCGTTTGCCATCAAGAGAATAAAACCAGAAAAGTGTGGAATGCATCAGCCAAAGCACCACCTTCCTCAGAAAGAGTTCCCCGATCCTCCTGCATGAGACAGTCAAGGCTGAGTCCCCAGTGTCACTTCTTACCTGACACATGGCAGGTGAACGTTAAATGATGGTATTCACCAGAAAGTTGGAAAGCCTACCTCTAGGGCCAGGTGTGGTGGCTTATGCCTGTAATCCTAGCAATTTGGGAGGCCTAGGCAAGCGGGTCACTTGAGCCCAGGAGTTTGAGATCAGTCTGGGCAACATAGCAAACTGCCTCTCTGTCTCTACTAAAAACACAAAAAATTAGCCGGCTGTGGTGGCATGCTCCTGTATTCCCAGCTACTCGAGAGGCTGAGCTGGGAGAATCACCTGAGGCCGGGAGTTTGAGGCTACAGTGAGGTGAGATGGTGCCGCTGCACTCCAGCCTGGGCAACTGGAGTGAGACCCTGTATCGGAAAAAAAAAAAAAAAAAAGAAAAGAAAAAAGAAAAGCCCAAAGCCCACCCCTAGCCACATGGATGACGCTGTCCTGCTAGCAACGGGAAGAAATTAAAACACTCCTCATGCAGACATAGAAAACATGCCTCCTCCAAGGAAGCCATTCCACCGGATGATGGGCAAGGCCGCCCACTCCCTTTGTGGGTGATATTTTCCTGGCTCCGTTTAGCTGGTGTTTGCACCCAATGAGGACCCTCCATGTGGGAGAGGAAGAAATTGACCCAGGAACCAAGCCTGAGGCAGAAGCACCGAGTGTCCACCTTTGTACTGTGCAGAGCTGCAATGCACGCCTGTCTGTTTTTCCAGGGATTTTTTTCCATCCACCTTTGAACTACCTTGAAACAATAAAGTGTTCTCTTTTGACAGGCTGGCCTAATGGGAAGGTTGACCTGATTTCCACTCTCCTACCGAAAAGTGACAATGCAGCCGCTGGGCTAAGGAGGGACGTTGTGTGACCAGTTTAGAGGCAGGAGTTCACGCGGCTGCAGTGAGGAGGGACGTTGTGTGATGAGTTCAGAGGCAGGAGTTCACGCGGCTGCAGTGACCCTCTGCAAAAGGAAGCAACTGGACATTTCCTCTACACGTTGTCTCTTTTGAAAAGTTCCAAGTGAGGAATATTTG
Organism: Homo sapiens; assembly: GCF_000001405.40. Lineage (NCBI taxonomy): Eukaryota > Metazoa > Chordata > Mammalia > Primates > Hominidae > Homo > Homo sapiens. The sequence goes on along the minus strand of NC_000016.10, from coordinate 86,858,457 downwards.
TACTTGATTGTTTTTCTTTCCTTGCATGCCAGCAAAAACTTACTCACTTTAAGAGAAACGGAGAAAAAGCCTGGGTTATTAAATTTTAGCGGACAATCACGTTCAAGCCAAGAAAAGTGCCTGCTGATTTCCCCAGGCAGGGCTACCTCTGCCCAGCACCCATAACCACCCCAGATCAAGAGCCTGAGCACAGTTTTGGGACACAGATTTCAGGTCAAGTTGGCTCTCATGCCTACAACCCTTATAATACTCCCTGTTACTTAGGCAGGGGATCTCTGTCTGGTTTTACCTGGAAATCACTTGGAATACTCATAAAAATACTGAGCCTGGGCCTCGCAGGCCAACCTGAACCTCCAGGTGTATGTGTATGTGTGTGCGTATGTGTGTGGTGTGTTGTGTGTGTATGTGGTGTTTATGTGTGTGTGGTTTGTGGTGTGTGTATGTGTGTGGTATGTGATGTGTGGGTGGTGTGTGTTTATGTGTGTGTGATGTGTGTATGGTGTATGTGTGATATGTGTGGTGTGTATGTGTGTGTGTGTGATGTGTGTGTATGTGTGTGTGATTTGTGTGTAGTGTGTGATGTGTGTATGTGATGTGTGTGATGTGTGTGATGTGTGTGGTATGTGTCCATGTGTGTTTATGTGTGTGTGTGATTTGTGTGTATGTGATGTATGAACGTGATATGTGTTTGGTGTGTGTGTGTGTGTGCATGTGTGCTTTGATTCTTCAAAAAATTCTTCGAGTGACTCTAATATGCTTTTATTGTTATTTTTTTTAAGGTCACCAAGTGACTCTAACATGCAGCCAGGCTAGTATCACAGCTGCGGGCCTCAGTCCATTTGCAGGTGGCTTCTTGCTGCCAGCACCAGTGGCCCCATCCCATGGGTGTCTCTGGCTGAGGGAGCACGCTCAACCCACGCAGGGGCAGAAAGAGTTGCTGTAGGGTGGATGGCCCAGGAATAGCCTCCGCCAGCTTGGGTTGAAGGATCAATACCCCAGCTCCCTCACCGCTCATGCAGACCACCTGAGGGGTGCTCCCCACTGTCTCCAGGAAGCCTCTGATGGGTCCGAGTCCAGGTGTCCCTAGGGAAGCCTGACTGTCAGCACTCCCCACCGTGGCTTCCTTCCCTTCCCTGTCACACGTCCTCACGCTGCTACTAAGCTTCTTGGGATCCACCCAAATAAACTCCTGGCACTCAGTGCTCGTCTTGGGTTTGCGGACAGTCCCTAGAAGAAAACTCGACAGTTTCCAGTGAGCCTGCAGCACTGCACAATCTGGCCGCAGGGTGTCCCCTCCTGGGTCCCCTCCCCTTGGCCACCCGAGCTTCCTATGTCTGCCTTAAGTGTCCAGTTTCATCTGTGCCTCTGGATGCAGTGCTCATCCAGACCATTCCTGTCCTTCCCCTCCCTTTAACTGTCTAAATCCTACACATCCTCAGACCCCAAGTAATACCCCTCTGTAGGGCAGCCTTCCGCAGTCCCCCGCCCATCCCTTTGGTTTCTCAGCATTGGAGCATCTGCCCAGACTTTCTTCCCTTGATGCCACCATTTCTGTCTGTCTCCACAGACACCATCTGTGTCCAATCCAGCTCACCGTTCTCCTGTTCTAACATACTTCACCTGCTCCCGGCCTGGCACTGGGGTGCTCAACCCTGGCAGCCCATGGGCATCCCTGGCAGCCCTTGAAAAAACATTGACCCCCTCAGTCCTGCCTCCAGATTCTGCTTTCTGGGGGTGCAGCCTGGATTGCTGGATTTCTAGTGCATAGCCTAGGCTGAGAAACCAGTGCTAGAGTCTCACCTCACTGACCTCCAACCACTCAAGCTCCTCTCTGATCTGTGGGCATGGCCAGTAGAGCCCACCTTGGGCCTCCGCACACACTGCTGCCTCTCCCCAGAATGCTGTTCTTGTCTCTTCCATGGGGATGGCGATCCTTCATTTTTCCCTTCAGTTTTAACTCCATCGTGAATTTTTGAGAAGAGCCTTCTCTGATCACCCCAGCAGTGCTCTGTTTCATCAAGCACTGGCCACAATCTCACAGTCTTGTCTGTTGATTTTCTGTCTTTCCCACCTGGAAGGTGAGTTCCAGGAGGGCAGGGATGGATGTCACTCACCATTGTGGCCTCATTTCCTGAATGAATGAATGAATGAATGAATGAATGAATGGTAAATTATGGTTTATAGTGCTCCTGCTCTTAAAGGCACCCTGCCAGTTGCTTTGCAGGAGACCAGGCTGGTGGTCTCCACTCTTCTGTTTTTGTGATTCCAATACTCAATTCCAAGTCTCATCTAAAACCATCTTTTCTCTCCTGAACGGAATCCACGCCACCAGGCTCAAACCTGCCTCCTTCAGCAAGCCTCCCCAGGACCCTCCTCACACGTTCCCTGATGACACATTCAGGCACACACATTTATTGCGCACCAGCTGAATGCCAGCCACAGCGCTTAGGTGGGGATTCAGCTGTGAACAGCATCATCGGGGAGCAAGCCAGACCTGTGGTGCAGAACCACAGAGGCAAGGAGCCACAGCACCAGAGATTGGCAGGGACCATCCCTCCCATCACCCATCTCCTGATCTAGATGGAGTTGGGCTGCTGAGTGGTACCTGAAGCATCCTAGTGCTCCTGTTCTCAAACCATTTTCATGTATGTGTGTTTTATTTGTTTTGTTTTGTTTTTTGTTTTTGTTTTTGTCTTTTTTTTTTTGAGACAGAGTCTCACTCTGTCACCCAGGCTAGAGTGCAGTGGCGCGATCTCAGCTCACTGCAACCACTGCCTCCCAGGTTCAAGCAATTCTCCTGCCTCAGCCTTCCGAGTAGCTGGGATTACAGAGGCCTGCCACTGTGCCTGGCTAAGTTTTGTATTTTCAGAGAGACGGGGTTTCGCCGTCTGGCCAGGTTAGTCTCGAACTCCTGACTTTGTGATCCGCCCGCCTCAGCCTTCCAAAGTGCTGGGATTACAGGCCTGAGCCACAGTGTCTGGCCATTTTCTTGTTTAAGATGAACTTTTGCTGCCTCTGTCTGCCTGGTGTTTGCACCCAATGCAAGCTCTCCATGTGGGAGAGGAAGAAATTAACTGAGGAACCAAGCCGGAGACAGAAGCACCAAGTCTGCACCTTTGTACCCTGCAGGGTTGTGATAAACTCCTGCCTGTTTTCCAAGGATTTTTTTCTACTCACCTTTGAACTACCTTAAAAAAATACAGTGCCCTCTTTTGACAGGCTGGCCTAATAGGAAGGTTGTCTTCCTTCTTTTTGGAACTCCTACAGAATTTCTCCCAGGCCACAAAGCTACAATGTGGGACTTTCCTTACTTAAAACGTGACTGCCGTTTTCATAGTCAACAATTCCATCCAGCACAAAGGCAAGAGAAACTCATGAGTCATGGCCATCTTTAAAGGGAAACGAAAAAACAGGTGGAAAGTAAATATTTAGAAAGGAAAGGAATAGTTCTCATTCTCATAAAAATGAGGGAGGAAAATGCCATATTGTATATTTCTTCTTATGTTCATAATCCTTTTAACCAAGGGTGCTGACAAGGAGCATTTGTATAGAAATCTTAGATGCTCTGAAGTCAATGCTTACTGCCTGTCAGAGAGACGCTTCGTCTGACCTAATACATCACACACTCTCACACTCATACACTTTTACAAATACTCACATATTCACACACATGCACATACTCTCACATATTCGCACACACACATTCTCACACCCCCACAAAGCTCACACACTTACGCACTCACCAAGCCTATGTCATCCCCCCTGTTTTTTCAGTCTCTAAAAAGCTGCATATACCAAAATGAGCAAAATATGTGAGCTATGAAATCCACCTTGTTGAAAGGCTAGGTTTTATTGGTCAGCTGGTAAATGAAAGCACATGGTGGAGAAGTGCTACGTTCAGGAACACGCTGCGACTATATTACTCCCGGCTTTATTGGTTCATCTCTAATCGGAACCAGCTGGTCATAAAGAATAGAGTTCATGGGAATCCACCCTCTGTTGAAAGCCAGGCCAGGGTGGATGCTGGAAGCTGATGAGCACAATGAAAACAGCTGTAATTGACTTGTGAGGTCAGGCTCTGGGTAAAACTGGGGGACAGAGGTGACGCTACAGCTGGTGCATAAAATGCTGGGCTCCTGGTTACCCATAATTGTGTAAAGAGGAGCTGAAGAGAAAAGCGTCCAAGTCTTAGGAAGCTCCTCCCAGAAGAGTCTGCTGCTGCCGGCCTGCACCCGGCAGCTTCAGAACCACAGAATCACTCTGGGCTGCTTGTTGACATGAGTCACAGTAATTATAAGGATGACACCCGTGATCCTGATGATGATGGTGATGATTACAGTGATGATGAAGATGAAGATGATAATGATGGTGAGGAAGATGATGATGGCGGTGGTGGTGATTAGCATAATGGCAGCAGTCAGAAACTCCAAACAGGCTCCATGAAGCACCAGGAAAATTTCTGTAGCAAAGCCTTGCAACTTTTTTCTTCTTCTTCTTCTGTTTTTGTTTGTTTGTTTGTTTGTTTGTGTGTTTTGAGGCAGGGCCTCGCTCTCTCTTCCAGGCTAGAGTGCAGAGGTGCCATCATAGCTCACTGCTGCCTTGACCTCTTTGGCTCGAGCAATCCTCCTGCCTCAGGCTCTGGTGTGTATCACCATGTCTAGCTAATTAAAAAAAATTTTTTTGAGCAGACAGGGTCTCACTATGTTGCCCAGGCTGGTCTCAAACTCCTGGGCTCAAGTGATTCTCTCGCCTCAGCCTCCCAACATTTATGTTGGGATTACAGGCGTGAGCCACTGAGCCTGGCCAAAGCCTTGCAGCTTTAATGCTGCGGGAGTTGTAACCTTGACAACAAAATTGAACAATTTTCATTTTTCCTTTGTGATTTATCTATTTTAAACACTTTTGCCCCCCTAAACAAGGAAACTGGCCTCTGAATTCTAGAAATGGAACATATACATTTGCCACCCCCATGCCTCTTCCTGTCTCTAATCAGTCCAGTGGGTCCACCCTTTGGAAAATCGTGATGTGTTAGGAGGGCCTGCAGGACATTTTTAGTGCCTGACAACATCCTACCTCTTCCTCTCCCTATAGGATTGTGTGATATGCACCTTGTTCAATACTTAACATTTCAGTTAATTTTTTAAGTTTATTTTTTATTTTTTGAGATGGAGTCTCGCTCTGTCACCAGGCTGGAATGCAGTGGCGCGATCTTGGCTCACTGCAACCTCTGCCTCCTGGGTTCAAGCGATTCTCCTGCCTCAACGTCCCAAGTAGCTGGGACTACAGGTGCGTGCCACCATGACCAGGTAATTTTTGTATTTTTAATAGAGACGGGGTTTCACCATGTTGGCCAGGATGGTCTCGATCTGTTGACCTCGTGATCTGCCCGCCTCGGCCTCCCAAAGTGCTGGGATTATAGGTGTGAGCTTTTACACAAAGATTTTTGAAATAATTTTGCAAATATTGTGAGCTCTGGGGGTGGGTTAGAGTTGGGACCTCCATCTACACTCTGGCTACGCTTCCTTTCTCCAGGCCCAGGTCAGGCAAGTCTCAAGCACACAGTCTGAAGGCAGCTTCACATTTCTTCTGAACACAGGCTGTCATCCCAGTGCTGGAAGTCAGTGAGATCAAGCTCATCTGCGATTCTTGGAGATGCTGAAGCCAAAACAATGCCAAGCTTCTATCTTCCAACTTCATCCCTTCACTTCCACTGGCCCCACAGTGAAAGTACCAAGCTAATGCGCATGGATCAAGTTCCTTCCTCCCCTGGAAACATTAGCTGCCTGAGGGCAGGGGCTTTCACTGTCTCATTCTGTGACACATCACTAGCCTGACTCAACCCATGTTGGTGTTAGCAGTCTGTATCCTGCTCACTAAATCTATTTGGGGAAATTACTGTCCACAACCATCCAATGGCCTTGCTTCTCCTTGGCAGTGATGATGATGTTGGTGATGGTGATGACGATAGTGATGGTGATGGTGTTGATGGTGATGGTGATGGTGATGGTGATGATGGTTATGATGATGATGGTGATGACGGTAATGATGATGGTGATGATGTTGATGATGGTGATGGTGATGATGGTGATGGTGATGTTGGTGATGATGGTGATGTGATAGTGATGGTGACAGTGATGATGGTGATGGTGATGATGATGGTGATGGTGATGGTGGTGATGATGGTGATGGTGATAGTGATGGTGACAGTGATGATGTTGATGGTGGTGATCATGGTGGTGATGATGGTGATGGTGGTGATGATGGTGATAGTGATAGTGATGGTGACAGTGATGGTGGTGATGATGGTGATGGTGATAGTGATGGTGACAGTGATGGTGGTGATGATGGTGATGGTGATGATGGTGATGATGGTGATGGTGATGATGATGGTGATGGTGATAGTGATGGTGACAGTGATGATGGTTATGGTGGTGATGATGGTGGTGATGATGATGGTGATGATGACGATGTTGGCAGTAATGATGATGATAATGGTGATAAGTTTTTTCTTTTTTATTACCATGACCATTACTAGAACTAATGAAGTAAGTTAATCTGTAGTCACAAGGGTTTGCGAACATTTCCAGCAGCAAGACCACTTCTTTTCTATATGTCCTCACCCTAAATTGTGGAAGATGTTATAAAGAAGCTCATTGTCTGTCTCTGATCAGTTTGGGTCCAGGAAGGAAATGCCCTGAGGCAGATGGAAAGAGAAGTCCGTGTGTCCTGGAACGGAGGCTTAGCTGAGGGGGTCAGTGAGAGAGGCCAGCACTTGGAAGCTAAGGAGCACCCCCTGCCCAGCCACTTGGGGTCGGCTCCTCCTTCCCCACACATGGCACACACACCTGCCAGCTGGCCTTTGCTTTGCCAGCCTTTGTCCTGAAATGCCCTTTGTCCTTTCCGCCAAATCATCCTGCAGGTTGAAACTAGGTCCAAGTGCATCGAGCTGTCACCAGGTGCCTAGAACTGTCCCATTTCATCCTCTCAATAACTCTATGACATAGGGAAGGTAGGCACATGACCTCCATTTCACAGATGAGGAAAGTGAGGTTTCCAGAAGGGAATTCATTTGTCCAAAGTCACCCTGCTAATATTCAGTAGACCCCACAGTCCCCTCTCCCCATGCGCTTTTTGAGGCACCTTTAGGTTTCTTGGAACCGAGTTCAAAAACCACTGACCTTGTTTCTCTCTTATGGGCTTTTCCAGCCTGTGATGTGGTTATTTTTACAACTTTGGTCCTCTCTTTTGGTCCTGAGATGGTAAGACGTGGATGAAATTCAACACACCCTGTACCCAATAGGGCTCACCAGTGGCTTTGAAGGCAAAATGTTTTCTTTCGTAAATCTAGAATTTAGAAAATAAATTCTTCTTCCCCACAGGCAGATGCTGACCCACCCACTAAGGCTGAGGCCAAAGAAAATTCTCCGATGACAAGGCTCTGCAGGTGCCATACGGAGCGAGTGCTTTTCAGGCAGTTGGCGGAGCCCAAAGCAAGCTTCCCCCAGAGCATCCGAAGGGGCCACTTGGCTGCGGTCGCCATCGCGAGAACAACAGGAAACTGAGCAGGGGCTGCTGTCGTCCTGGGCAGGACAGCTCTCCATTTCCCTTCAGGCCTGGCATTGTTTTGCTGATGGAAGAAAAGTGGAATGGGGCGTGATCACACTGCCGGCTCAGCAGCTGGAAAGCTCATGTGTTTGCTTAAATGTGCACAAGTTGAGGTCCCTCTGTGCTGCTGATCCCCACCCCCTCTCACCACAGGGTGTTTTCTGATCACCAAATGTATGTTGGTTAGAAGACTTGGCAGTTCTCTGGCCCCAGAGGTAGAGCTAGAAGTTGACGCAGAGTCTCAAGTGGCAACTCTGTTGTCTATGCTGTCTGTTGGTGATGATGGGCCGGGCGTCCCAGGAGGAAGATGACTTTCCAAGGTCCCTTTCTGAGGCGGGATGGCGCAGGGGAGACACTGGCAAGGAGAATGAGGGTTGGGGGAGCTCCAGGGCTCCTCTGCTCCTGAGTGTCAGTGGAGGGTGGACATTGACCAGACCAAAGAGTCTTTGAAACAGGGTCATGGGCAACCATAACTGCATTCCAAGAGGCCCAAAAGACGGAAGGCCCAGGAGACCCCCAAGAATGAGTGTGTGATGAGCAGCCAGGCCCTAATCACCCAAGTCCTGGCTTTGAGAGGGGAGGGGTTGGGCACATAGTATTTATCAGCATTGTCATTAGATTAGAGCACTAGTTATCCAGTCTCCATAAGGTTAACAATCTCTGGGGAGCTTTCTATAAAATGCTACCTCCCCCCCCGCAACTCCAAGGTTCCACGCCAGTCCATCTGGAAAGGGGTTTGGGAATCTGCATTTTAACAACATCCTGTGTGTTTCTGGTGTGGCGGTGAGTGGGTCACACTCTGAGAGACAAGGTCTTAGAGCAGCGGTTCTCAAACTCCAGCACCCTGAGGCCCCCTGCAGAGCACGTTCACCCCCAGATGGCTAGACCCTTGTTAGTGTCTCTGATTCAGCAGGTCTAGGGTGGGGCTCCAGAACCTGCGTCTCCAACAGGGTGTCAGGGGAGGCTTTGCTGCTCTTCCCAGCACCTCCTTTAAGAATGACTCTTCTTTCTTGGAAAAAAAATATCAGTTTGGTCATGTCAACGTCTCAAAGTCAGGGGAAACAGGCCTTTACCATTTTCTATCCCCCAGCCCAGCAGACTCATCTCTGGCTGATTATGTTTGCCTTGAGAGTTTTTAAAAAGTTCTGTTGATGTTTTCATCTGGGTGAGGTGCCAGCTACATTTCTAAAAGCCACCCTCCCCCAGGGGATGCTAAGGTGCAGCTGGAGCAGAGAATTCCTGTCCCACTGTGCCTGACACAGTGCAGGCAGCCAAGTTTAGTTTTTATATCAGTATTTTTTGAGTGCCCACTGCAGGCTTTCATTGATATTTATTGAATGCCTACTGTCTTCCCAGTACCTGCAAGAGGCAGTGGAGGTGGGAGAAAAAGGGACCTGCCCAGTCCTCAAGCAGTTCACAGCCCACTGGGATGACAGGTGTGCAAGGCATCCAGGTAGGAGCTCCAGGTGAAAAATGGCAGGTGCCCTAGGACCACAAAGCAGAGAGAAATGATTCAGCTGAAGGTGAGGCAGGGTGTGAAAGGTTCCAGGAGAAGGGAAAATCTGAGCCTGTTTCAAAGGACGGCTCAGGAAAAGGCAGGCTGGGATGGCTCAATTTCAGGCTGCTGGGACAGCCACACAGCGACAGCATCCTGAAACATCACAGAGCATTCCACGAACTCTGGGCAGGCTGGGGTCACTGGAGCATGAAGCATGAGGCAGGAGTGATGGAGGATGAGGAAGGAGATGAGAGCTCATCAGGAGCATGCATGTTTAGATGTAAACTGCCTTCGGAGCATCAGTTATGATTCATTTGCCCTGATGGAGAGATGGAGGTTCAGTGACGCATAGCAAGCCATCAGCCTTGGTGCAGCCGCATGGGGACCCGATCGTTGCCCCTCCCAGGCAGGGAAGCACAGCCCATTGAGGCTGTTTCTATAAAAAGCACGACTCTTAACTCCTTGCTAGGAGCTTTTGGTGCTAGGATTCCTGTTGGAATCCCAGTGCCCTTCTCCTAGGAATGAATGGGAAGAGTTGGGGAGCAGACTGCTTGCCAGGAGAGCTGGTCTGTGGTCCTGTTCTCTGGTCTCTGGTCCTGTTCCAGCCGTTCATTCACTGGGTCATCTTAGATGAGTCTCTTCTCATTGCTGCCTATAAAGTGAAATTGGGCAGAAAATCTGAAGACCACTGTAGATTGTTCCATTTTAGGAAGGTGTCTCCTGGTGCATCAACGCATGAATGGAAGCAGTGCTGGGAGAGGGAAGCTGCAGACCCCCCAGGCTTCCTTTATGTGCCAGGCCTCCCTTTACATGCTCTTGCCAGCTTGGCAAAATTCCCTTCCTGCCGTGTCCTTGGACAAGCCCTAAACACCAGGTAGCAAAGTGCAGGCAACGTCCCTCAGCGTGAGCCCCGTCCTCGGCTCCACAGCTTCCAGCCAGGATAGATCCCCAGGTCACAGGCCCTTGAACAGAAATCAGTCTATTCAGAAACATTTTGGAAATTAAGACCAGGCCCTGGCTCCTCGGGGAGGAGTGAGAAGCCCGTGGGGTCTGCGGCCTCTTTCTCACGAGCTGCCTCCATTCACAAACTAATGTGCCAAGAGATAACTTGCTAAAGCGGAACGGCCTAGAGTTCCACTAGAGATCCCACGGTGGTCTTCAGATCTTCTGCCTAATTTTGCTGGAACTCCAGATTCAGAGGCAGGCAGGACTGGACATGGAATCCTGGACTCCCAGCTGCACTCTGGTGAGAAGATGCTGGGGCTTCATCCCTGAGCTTCCCCTCCCTTGTGTGCAGATCCTATGCCCACACAGCTACCCCGTGCCTCACACCCATTGATGGCTTCACACTGTTCTTAGGACGAAAGCCAGGTGTTGATTCAGCACTCCATACACAGTGGTGGCTGCCATTGGGATTCTTTGGAGAGCGGCCCCAGGCATCTCCCTCAACCTCACTGGCCCTCAGTCTTCTGTGCTAGGAGGCAAGGAAGACTTGGTTCCTGCGTATTCCTCCAGGTAACTGGGATAAACACATGGGAAACTGATGGGAGAGGCTTGGGACACCATGATGACCCAGACCTTGTGGATAGGGCAGGCCTCGGGGGCTTCCTTTATATGTCGAGCCTCCCATCACGTGCTCTTACCAGCTTGGCAAAATTCCCTTCCCGGCACATCCTCAGACAAGCCCAGAACACCACGAAGCAAAGCGCAGGCAACATCCCCCAGAAGGAGCCCCATTCTCAGCTCCACAGCGTCCAGCCAGGAGACCTCCAGGGCTCCTAGAGAGAAGCAGGATGAAGTTCCAGTAGGATGCGTAGACCCTTCAGGGTTAAATTCTGTCTTCCTTGGAAGACTCGGAAAGGCAGATGATGTAGCCAGCGGAATAAATACAGCCAAGTTGCCCGGTTCTTTTGGTTGGGTACCAGTGCCAAGAAAAAGCAAAGATTCTTTTGTCCCCTCGAGGTCCATTACTTTCTCTATCGGTGTTGCCTCCTCCATTCCTCCCTTAGCCCACACTTTCAGTGGGATTATCCCCCGTGTCCGGCATCCAGCCCTGGCCAATCGGAGCCTTTCACCACTCAGATCACAGTCGCCAGTTCCCATATCAGCAACTGGTCCACGTGGGCCAAGAAGACTCAGTTCCAGGGCTTCGGTTGGAGCAAATGGGAAGCAGGGGCTGCCTCTTTCACTGAGGTTGCTGGGAGAATGAGACTCAGGCCTGGGGCTGCTACCTGGCCCACCCTGATCATGGAACCCCAACAGAGGAAAGCAAAACTGAGGGCTGAAGTGGCCCAAATGGAACCCTGCTGACTTGTCTGAGTCCCTAGATCCAGCCCTACCTGAATCCAACAACAGGAGTTTTCAGTTCCACAAACCAATCAATTCATTCCTTTTCTTAGGTACGTTTCTGTCACTTTCAATCAATGGAGTTTGAGAAATACATGCAAATGATGATGAGAAGAGAAGAGATGCAGAAGGATGGATTCCCATCTGAGTGGGCAGCCTGACTCCAGGGCTGGCATGCAGCTGTGTGTCCATCCACTGGTCCACTGGCAGGTGCACTCTGCCTCCTCCCACTCTGCTGTGTCTTGCAGGGTGGCTCAGGGCTGCACTCCAGTCCCCCCATGTCTGCTGGCTTCCAGCTGGTTCAGCCAATAAGGGACCCTGGGGACAAGCAGAGGTAGGAGGAAGGGAGGAGCCAGGGTGTTTTCTCTCCTCCTCCTCCTCGGCCACAGGCACTGTCTCCCCTGCAGCACCAGTGCCCCAGCAACCAGGGCCCTGATAAGCACATCCGCAGGGTGACCCTTCACTGCCTCCTCCCTCTGCCCCAGCTCTGGCTGGTGTGACGGAGGAGGCCTTCGCTCCCGCTCACCTGTGGGTTTCTCCCTGTCCCTCGGTCCGTTTCTTAGCAAAGCCATCAAATATGTAGCCAATTCCCTGCATTAAATTCTCTCTGTTTTCAGTATTCAGAATGTTTTCTCCTTTTCCTGTTTGGACTCATACCAATACAAACAGCAAGTAGGTTTCCACTTATGTCTTAGGAATAGGAAGCACAGAAACAGCGAGGGAACAAAAATAAATTCAGAGCTACGGGAGCCAGTGTGAGGCTAGACCATGCAGGGCCTTACTCACCACAGGGGTGAGTGTGAGGCTAGACCAGGCAGGGCCTTACTCACCACAGGGGTGAGTGTGAGGCTAGACCAGGCAGGGCCTTACTCACCGCAGGGGTGAGTGTGAGGCTAGACCAGGCAGGGCCTTACTCACCGCAGGGGTGAGTGTGAGGCTAGACCAGGCAGGGCCTTACTCACCGCAGGGGTGAGTGTGAGGCTAGACCAGGCAGGGCCTTACTCACCGCAGGGGTGAGTGTGAGGCTAGACCAGGCAGGGCCTTACTCACCGCAGGGGTGAGTGTGAGGCTAGACCAGGCAGGGCCTTACTCACCGCAGGGGTGAGTGTGAGGCTAGACCAGGCAGGGCCTTACTCACCGCAGGGGTGAGTGTGAGGCTAGACCAGGCAGGGCCTTACCACAGGGATGAGTGTGAGGCTAGACCAGGCAGGGTCTTATGTGCCACAGGGGTGAGTGCGAGGCTAGACCAGGCAGGGTCTTACTCACCACAGGGGTGAGTGTGAGGCTAGACCAGGCAGGGTCTTATGTGCCACAGGGGTGAGTGTGAGGCTAGACCAGGCAGGGTCTTATGTGCCACAGGGGTCAGTATGAGGCTAGACCAGGCAGGGTTGTACTCACCACAGGGGTTAGTGTGAGGCTAGACCAGGCAGGGCCTTACCACAGGGGTGAGTGTGAGCCCAGACCAGGCAGGGCCTTCCTCACCACAGGGGTGAGTGTGAGGCTAGACCAGGCAGGGCCTTACTCACCACAGGGGTGAGTGTGAGGCTAGACCAGGCAGGGCCTTCCTCACCACAGGGGTGAGTGTGAGGCTAGACCAGGCAGGGTCTTATGTGCCACAGGGGTGAGTGTGAGGCTAGACCAGGCGGGGTCTTATGTGCCACAGGAGGAGTTTGGGTACCAACTTGACGCAGTGGGGGCCCCTGGTCAGAGGGCTGGGTAGCACCACCAGACAGTCCTCAGGAGGGGTCACGTGTGACAGGATCTAGGACACATCCTGAAGTGAGGACCTGACTTCTACAGGCCAGCATGTGCTGTGGGCTTGGAGAAATGTGATCCAAAACTTCCGGGGGTTCCTTCTCACTAACTTGTGGATTTCAAAGGCCAATCTTGGAGGAACTCTTCGGGGGCTCTTTCAGCTCCTCAAGTGAAACAGAACACTGTATTAGGATTTGGGTGACTCCAGGAGCCAGCGAGGCGGAGGGGCCAGGGACTTCGGCGGAGGCAGCAACAAAGAGCCCAGTGACCCAGCAAAGCCTGAAGCAGCCCAGACATGAAAGGCATATGCTGGAAAAATTAGCTCAGTGTTTGCTTTGGGAACCAGTCTGACGGCTCTTAATCCAGTGGGCGTTATATATTCCAACTCACGGGATGTCCCAGATCTCTCGGCGGGACGACAAAGCGCCATTTGTGAGGTTTCATCCATGCCCTGGAGGGCGCCTGCCACCCGGCCACTCACTCCCAGCAGCAGAGCGGAGCTAGAGCAGCCATGGGCCTGCTGTCCATGGACGGTCAGCCTTCTCCTCGAGGCCTGTGCCATGGCTGGTTTTGTGTTGACCTTTCCCTCTTACCCACTTTAGAGAGACGAAAGGACTATAGAAGTCACCAGCCGGGCGCGGTGGCTCAAGCCTGTAATCCCAGCACTTTGGGAGGCCGAGGCAGGTGGATCACGAGGTCAGGAGTTCAAGACCAGCCTGGCCAAGATGGTGAAACCTCATCTCTACTAAAAATACAAAAAAAATTAGCCGGTACTGGTGGCATGCGCCTGTAATCCCAGCTACTCCGGAGGCTGAGGCAGAGAATTGCTTAAACCTGGAGGGGCAAAGGTTTCAGTGAGCCAAGATCGCGCCACTGCACTCCGGCCTGGGCGACAGAGCGAGACTCCATCTAAAAAAGAAAAAAAGTCGCCAAGCCCCGGAGTGGAAAATGCATGGAAGGTCTGTTTCTTAAAAAGGCATCTATTAGGTTGAGTAGGTGAGAGGAAGGATGACTTTGGCTCTGGAAGGAGAGCCTGGGTCAGGGAGAGCAGGCATAGCTTCAATGAATAAGACACAGAGGCAGGAACCGCTCTTCTCCATGAAATATATCAGTGGAATCAGAGCACACACAGGCACACATGCACACACATGAGCACATGCAAAGTACAAACTCACATGAGCACACACATGCATACACAGGCACACATGCACACCTGGGTACACATGCACACACACATAAAGCACACATGAACACACACACGAACACACATGAGCACATGCAACGCACACACGAACACACGAGCACACACGTGCACACACAGGCACACACACGAGCACACACAAACACGCATGCACACATGCAATGTACACATGAGCACACACGAACACACATGAGCACACACATGTACACACACGAGCACACACGAACACACAGGCACGTGCACATTTCACTTATCAGAATTTGATTATTGTATGTGCTTAAAAAGAAATTATGTTCTAAATTCCTTTGCCTTCCCTCCTGTTTTAAGAAAACAGCCCCAGGAAAAGGGACCCTATGGCTAACATTCAGAAACTAAAAAGGTTTTTTGTTTTTGTTTTTTTTGAGAGGGAGTCTCGCTCTGTCGCCCAGGCTGGAGTGCAGTGATGCGTTCTCACCTCACTGCAATCTCCACCTCCCAGGTTCAAGCGATTCTCCTGTCTCAGCCTCCTGAGTAGCTGGGATTACAGGTGTGTGCCACCACACCCGGCTGATTTTTGTATTTTTAGTAGAGATGGTTTCACCATGTTGTCCAGGCTGGTCTCAAACTCCTGACCTCAGATGATCCACCTGCCTCAGTCTCCCAAAGTGCTGGGATTACAGACGTGAGCCACCGCGCCCGGCCAAAAAAGGTAACTTTTTAGATGTCTGAGCTTTTTAGAGCTGGAGTCCTGCCATTCGAGGGTGAGTTACATGATTTTCAAGAGTACCACTGACCACATGGTTCTTGTTGGATTTGCTGTGACCCTGCTGTATGTGGTGATCCACCTATGTACTGTCCGGGAAGTCCTTACCCCTGGGGTCCAGTCTCAGGGCGATGCAGTCTTCAAAGAAGCCAAATGCAGCAACCAGAGGACATCTTAAAAAAAAAAAAAAAAAAAAAGCCAAGTTGCTCACTCACATCTCTCAACCAACGCGAAGGGCACGCCTGGGCCACACAGAGCGCTGCATTTTCACACTTTCCTATTTGCGCTATTCATCCCCCGACCCTGCCCCATCTCTGCCTTTCCTGACACAGAAACAAGGCCCACCTCTCTTCACCTTGTGTGACATATAGAAGCCCAAAATGTCGGTGTGGGAAGTCAGGGTCCTTCTTTGGTGGTGAATGGAATCCTCTTTATCGGGTGGTGGGGGGATGACTGTCACACACGAGAAATTCTCATCTTACGCGTTGTGTCTGTCACTGTTCCCAAAAAGAGGGTGTGGGTGTATGAAAGGCACCTGCCGGGTTTTCCTCTTCTAACCCTCAGTGTGGTGAGGACACACCTCTACTCAGCCACCATGCGTGCCTGAGCCTCAGACCAACTCTTCCATCAAACATTCTGCCTCCAGCTTTAGTCTCATCACACTGGCCAGCAGGGTGTCTCTCTCTGGGGTTCTTTCTCGCTAACCCCTGGACAGTTCCTGCCTTCTCTCAATGGTCCCCACACCTCACCCCTGCCTTCTCTCAGGGGTCCTCACACTCACCCCTGCCTTCTCTCAGGGGTCCTCACGCCTCACCCCTGCCTTCTCTCAGGGGTCCTCACGCCTCACCCCTGCCTTCTCTCAGGGGTCCTCACGCCTCACCCCTGTCTTCTCTCAGGGTCCTCACACCTCACCCCTGCCTTCCTTCAAGCATCCTCACACCTCCAGAATTTTCCTCCCATCCCTTCTAAGCATGTGCACAGGGCCGAACTCTTCTGTCCTGTAGGGCTCCACCCCAAAGGCCTCCTGGGTGCCACCCCTCACCCTGCTTCTGGCCCTGTGGGCCTTTCTCTAGATTTTGGGGTCAGCTCTTATCCCCCCAACTACAACATCAAGACTTCCTTGAGGGCTTCCTTGTGGGCCCTTGGCCAAGAGTCCAGCATAGACAGGTTGGGGTAACTTTGAGGTTCTGGGAACAGAGCACCTGCCCGAGACTAAAGGTTCAATCCATCTCTGCTCAGCAAAGCCAGGCATGATGTGCTCGCCAAGGCCCTCGGCAAGAGAGGCAGTGGAGCCTTCAGGACGCTTGGAGGGGCTTGGCGAGGTCCATCCTGAGAGACCTGGGAGGGGCCCGCAGCTCAGCTTCAAGTGGGGAGAGTGGAGAGGAGACTTGGGGGCCACACAGGTGCCCAGGGAGGAGAATGGAGGCAGGGAGGGAGGCCTGGAGGCCCGGACGCGGCCGTTAGATGGCTTCAGAGTGTGGCTTCCTGACCCTTGCAGCTCACGATACGATCGCCCAATGGAGCAAAGAAGAACACCCCAGGGAAAGAAAGAGGATGGAGAGGGGGCCCTCTTTGGTCTCCTGCTTACAGAAACATTGGTTTTCTAGTGCAGCTACTTCCTGCTAATTTATTCTAAGGACACAAGATGGGCTCAGCCACCCCCTGGAAGCTACTCCCATTCCCCTCAAACGGCTGGCACCCAAAGTGGACCGCAGGCTTCACAGCTGGGGCTCTAGGGCCAGGCAGGCCCAAAGCAGCATCTCAGATTTCTGTCCTTGCTGGAGTTTGACCTTGGGCAAGACACACAGCTGTCCTGAAGCTAACGAGTCTTGTTTCTAAACTGGGGTAATAATGGCACCCACCTGGCGGTTGGTGGAAAAGGCTGAATAGGATGTGTGCTCCCAGTGCTCGGGCCAGAGCCTGCCACTTAGCATTTGCTCAATAAATAAGAGAAAGACTGGTGGGAGGAGGAGAGTTAGAGCACCACCCTCCCTGAAACAGAGGTGCAGAATGGCCAGGAGTGACAGGCACCACTTGCACAGCTCAGGACACACACCCAGAGCCACCTCTGATGGTTAATATTAAGTGTCAACCAGATTGGATTGAAGGATGCAAAGTATTGTCCCTGGGCGTGTCTGTAAAGGTGTTGTCAAAGGAGATTAACATTTGAGTCAGTGGACTGGGTGAAGCAGACCCACCCTCAGTGTGGGTGGGGACTATCTAATCCATTGCCAGTGCAGCTAGAATAAAGCAGACTTGCTGAGTCTTGTGGCCTCCATCTTTCTCCCGTGCTGGATGCTTACTGCCCTCGAACATCAGACTCCAAGTTATCCAGCTTTTGGACTCTTGTGCTTACACCAGTGATTTGCCAGGGGCTCTCGGGCCTTTGGTCACAGACCGAAGGCTGCACGGTCGGCTTCCCTACTTTGGAGGTTTTGGGACTAAGAGTGATTCACCACTGGCTTCTCAGCTCCTCAGTTTGTAGACAGGCTTTCGTGGGCCTTTACCCTGTGATCATAAGAGTCAATTCTCCTTAATAAACTCCCTTTCATATATACATATATTCTATTAGTTGTACCCCTCTAGAAAACTCTGACTAATACACCACCCTCAGTGCTCCTGTTCTTGACTAATCAGCCAGAGGCCAATCACAGAGGTTGGGGCTCATGGGAAGAACAAGGGAGGGGCCCCACCCTGGAGGAGGCCCAGGTCCGTTGAGATGAGATCTGCATGTAAATGCCATGGAATGCATCCCTGTCCCTGCACTTGGATCCAAAATGGGCCCTCTGCGGATGTGGACTGGTAGGACTATTGCACTTGGCATTCTGAGATCTTGGTTGGATTGTTCTTCATAAGAAACACCATTGCTATTGTAATTAAATAGAACAAAAATTAAGTCATGGATATAAAGAAGGCCCTCAGGTTGGACAAAATCATTCCTTTGCCTACATTCCTGAGACCCACCGAGGGGACCGCCTTGTGCCCAGTCCAGCTGGGAGGACCAGAGCAGCAGGGATGGGGTTTGCGTGCATGCTCAGCCCCACCATCAGCTCTGACCTTTTCCTGAGGCAGCTCCAAGGGAAATTTATCAGGATGCTGTGGCTTGGAAGGGTTACTTATTTGTGGAGGGATAACTCTAAGAGGTTTAAGTAAACTTCCTCTCTTTTAAAATTTCATTTTGGTAAATGTCTCTATGTTTCTCACCCGTCTCTGCCTCGTCTCTCTCGGGAATCACCAAAGCTGCAGGTGCCTGGTGGTCATCCCACACGGGGTCTTCCTTCCTCTGTACCCTCCCTTCCTACCTGGTTGTCTCAATCGGAACCCCCAAGTGCAGTCTTAGTCTTATTTTCTATTTTATTTATTTATTTATTTTGAGACGGGGTCTCACTCTGTCACCCAGACTGGAGTGCAGTAGCACGATCTCAGCTCACTGCAGCCTCCACCTCCCAGGTTCAAGAGATTCTCCTGCCTCAGCCTCCCGAGCAGGTGGGATTACAGGCACCCACAACCATGCCCGGCTAATTTTTTATTTTTAGTAGAGACAGGGTATCACCATGTTGGCCAGGCTGGTCTCGAACTCCTGACCTCAAGTGACCCGCCTGCCTCAGCCTCCCAAAGTGCTGGGATTAGAGGCATGAGCCACTGTGCCCGGTCAGTCTTATTTTCTAATCAAAGTTATTTGAGCTCTTGCAATGGCCCCTTCCTATATGGATACCGCAGTATAAAACATGATCATTTTCTTAAATGTGGGAACTGTCTCCTTGGTCTGAGGAAATGCAGGTTCAAATCCCAGCTCAGCCACTGCTTAAGTGGATAACCTTGGTCAGGTTATTTAGCTTGCCTATGTAGGGTTTCTCAGTGTTTCACACTGTGCTAATAGTGCATATAGGGGAAAGCATATGGTTACCAGGAGTTCCCAGACGAAAGCAGACTATCATAAACCTAAATTCATTCCCAAGTCATAGGGTTTATCTTGGAAATGCACACCATTTTTTATGCTGATAATCTATTGCTGTCGTAGACACGTTATTTGCCTACTCAATGTCCATTTTTCTCCCTCATTTACAGAATCTCTTAATTATTGGGTGCTTTGACGGTTAATCACTGAACAACAAAGAATCACTTAATAATTGGATGCCTATCTAAAAACACTTCCCAAACTCCTTTGCATATAGACATGACCAACATGCCGAAGTCAATATGTAGGGGTTTCCAGGAAGGCTCTTTAAGAAGAACTAATTCGCCTGGAAGATTCCTCTCACCCCTTCCTCCTTCCTCCTGCCCGGATGTGATGACAAGCACTTCAGCAGCCATTTTGTGCTAATGAGGCAATCTCTAAGTGAAGCGACATGTTTTGGATGGTGGAGCAGAAAGGAAAATAAGCTCGGGTATTGATGACACCAAGGGGTCACCATTCCTTCACATAAAGAAGGAACTCCCAATTCATGTGAGCCACTTGTATTTTAGGTCTCTATTATCAGCAGCTAAGTATAATTCTGAGATCAGTTATGATGATTGTTTCAGTGTAAAAATATTTGCAACAACTCACCATGGAGCAAACTAATGCTCTGGAAATAAGTGTCCTCACTCTTCTAGGTGTTCTGTCCCCCAGTTCACTGTGTCCCTCCCCGGCATGCATGCCCCAGAGAAAGAAACCTGGTATGGTGGGGGCCATGGCCTGCACTTCCACTCAGAACCACCCCTGCTCTGCCCCCTGCCCTTCTGATGGAGCGAGCACCCCTGGGGCACCACCTATAACTCCAGACCGAAAAGTGCTCTTTCCTTGCCTGGCTGAGAGTGGCTCCCTGGCCAACATGATGAGGGCCAGCTAGGAGAGGGGATGGAGCCCCGGCAGTGAGCTGTGTCCCCAACGTCAACTTGACTGCTGATGGGCTGGGTGATGTTGAGTGTGATCTTTGACCTCTTTGGTATCCTTGACTTCCTTCATACATTGAGGGGGTTGAAGCAGATGTCCCCTCCTGAGACACAACTCACAAGGACCTTGGAGTGATGTGGTGATGAATTGGAGCTTTATGGTCACAGAGAGTTGAGTTCAAATCTTGACGGTGTTATTCACCTGCTGTTTGAACCTCTGGTTTCTGTAGCATTTCTCTCTAGCACTGTGTTCATGACATGGGGATAATGAGACACCCACCTCACACAGTGCGGGTATAAGAGTTTGCTGGGGCGGTCACAACAAAGGGCCATAAACCAGGTGGCTTAGAACCACAGAAATTTATTCTCCCATGTTCTGGAGGCCACGAGTCTGAGATGGAGGTGTCGGCAGGGCTGGTTCCTTCTGGGGCTCGAGGGACACTTTGCTGCAGGCCTCGCTCCAGTTCCTGGTAGCCTCAGGGGTTCCGTGGTTCCTAGAGCACCGTCTCCTCCCAGTCTTCACATCGCCTCCCCTCTGTGCATGTCCATCTCTGCATCCAGATTCCCCCTTCTATAAGGACCCAGTCATACCTAGGAGGCCCACCACCCTGTGACACTGTCTCAAGCTGATCATCTACATAAGGCCTTATTTCCACATAGGGCCACATTCACAGGTATCGGGGGTTAGGACTTCAATGCTTTTTTGGGGGGACAGAATTCAATCCATAAGAGGAGTTGGCTTATTCATGTCAAGTCCTGCCCTGCAGCCTCTGAAGGTGCTAATCCCCCAGTCATATTCTCTGTTGCCATTATTCTCTACCCTGTTGTCAACGGAGTAGGTTTTCATTGACAAGAGCAAAGAGGGCTGCACCCATGCCACTCATTCCACTGTGGAGGTTTGCAGCTGACAGTGGCAAACCTTGCTGACTTGGTGAAATCATTCTCTGACCTAAATGGTTGACTGGGAGCTGGAGCTGACCTCCTCCTTCACACTTGTTGGACGGACAGACCTAGCCAAGGGGTCAAAAGTTCCAAATCTCTCCAAATTCCTCAGGCCTTGAGATTGTATTTTACCGCGGAATGAAATTTATTCGAAGGTTTCTTCATTTTGCACAGACCTTGCCAGAACATGCCATGCAGAAAGAGTGGCTGGAAATTCTAGTCAGGCCCCAGCTTTGTCTGTTTTGAAATTGGTTCCTCTTCTTCTGATTCCCCGCTTCCTATCTGTAGGGAAGAAATTCAAAATATTCACCATTTTCCACCTGTCTTCACCACTTTGAGGTTTCTGAACATGGCGGCTCTTTGGAAACAACTAGAGAAATAGGCAGTTGCCATTCTGTTTGTGAGCAGAGAGGGGCCTGCTTGTGGCATTTTTGGATTCAACACTCACTGGGCTTCTCCCAATGTCCTTGATAAATAAATCATCTTTAAATGAGACAGTCTTTGAATAGCTGAGCAGTGACCTAAAAAATTAAGGCTATTAGGAAATGGGAAACACGTCAGCCTCTGAGTCACTGGTTCTTTTTATTTTTCATGTATGTGTTGAATCTGTGTGAAATTCCTTCCCCCCCCCCACCCCCAATTATGAATAGAAACCAATGTGTTTTTCAGTTGGGCTTTTTTTTTTTTTTTTTTTTATGAGGTTTTTCCCACAGACAAAAGGGATTTTCACTTTCAGGAAGAAGGGTTGCCAAAGAACAGAGGTCTGTAAGATGGAAGTGGATTGGGGCCACGCGTCTCCTCTCCAGATTCAGCCTTGGCGTGCTGTCCTCTGCCGGATACCCGGGCTTTTTTTTTTTTTTCTTGAGCCTCTTGCAGCTTAGAGAAAAACACCCCAAAGTAGGAGTCAGAAGATGCAAGTCTAGCCTCCATCACCGTGGCTCACTGGTGATCCAGCGTGGAACCCGCCTTTGCTCATCGGACGCAAGTCTAGCCCCCATCACCGTGGCTCACTGGTGATCCAGCGTGGAACCCGCCTTTGCTCATCGGACGCAAGTCTAGCCCCCATCACCGTGGCTCACTGGTGATCCAGCGTGGAACCCGCCTTTGCTCATCGGACGCAAGTCTAGCCCCCATCACCGTGGCTCACTGGTGATCCAGCGTGGAACCCGCCTTTGCTCATCGGACGCAAGTCTAGCCCCCATCACCGTGGCTCACTGGTGATCCAGCGTGGAATCCGCCTTTGCTCATCAAATATCAGTTGGCTCATCTGGTGCTGTTCCGCTCAATTAGCAGCTAAACTGGCCTTGGCGCTGAGAGTCTGAACACTGCAAGATATGCAGAGAGGAAAAAATCTCCGCAGCTCTCAGAAGCCTGGATGGGAAGGCCACTGATGAGGGAAGAAGAACAGAGGAGGTGGCGTGGCACTGGACACGGGAGGACAAGGGAGCCTCTTCCCCAGGCCACGGGGAAACGGACAGAGGGACACTAGAGGCAGCCGGTGCATCAGGGTCTGCCTGAGAGACTAAGAACCTGGCCTCACAGATCCACAATCTCTTTTCAGCAATTCCAATATCCCAAACGTGAAAATCTAATAAAAAAATAATAAAAGCTCAACTGGCAGCGAAACTTGCTACCCTGAACATGCGTGAGACTGTCTTTAATCTCAGTTTCTCCCTCTTAGCTTGAATGCTGAAACACTCCCTGCAGAACTGTTCGTGAAAGGCTGCCCCAAACCCTGTGGGGAGTTATATTATGTGGGGTCTGTGCACCATGTTACCTTCCACGACCCATGACACTTCTGAATTATGCATGCATCTGGCCCCAGGGGTTTCAAATAAGGGTTTGGGGACCTGAAATAATCTCATTTGGAATTGTCACCAGTAATCAAGTGTCCCCATGCAATGTATCAGAGTTGCAAAGTGCTAGCCTGTAGGATGACCTGGAGATAGATTTTATTGAGTGACCACTGTGTTTTCAATTTTTTGGTGTCCTTGGTTGGGAGCAAGGTCATACCTAACCCCTGCTGCCTCCTTCCTTTGGGTACCTGCATGCTCTTGAAGGCATTTGAGGTGACAACCCTGCCATGTGAAACAATGTCCCTGCAGGGAGAGAACTGATGACTGAGATGGGCTCCCCAAATCGCCAGCCTTGCACTCATTCATTGTGCAAGCAACGGCAGAGTGATGTTTGCTTACAATATTTGTGATCTGACAGCAATGTTTAAGTGTTAGTTATTAGTAAAATACTAGGGGGAGCCTTCCAGAGCTGAGTTACTTGCACTGCCCAGTTTGTTCTCTGGCTGGGTGTTGACTGGGCACTTCCTTGGGGTGTCCTGAGTAGGTATTTCAGTACCCTACTTCCGGGGCTATCTTCAGGGCTACGCAGCCCTGTGGCACTGCTCTCAGACCCACTTTACAGATGAGGAGGCCAAGCCTTAAAGATGGTTCATCACTCGGCCCCAGGTTCTACAGTAAAAATGGAAGGACTTGGGTTGCAACCTGGCCTTCTGTCCCGGCTCTTTCGTAGCACAGTGCAGTGCTGCAGAATAGAAGGATGCTCGAGGACGTCGCTTTGGGATTAATGTCCCCGTTGAAAACTTGCAGCCCAGGGCCACCTGCACTTACAACACGGCCTGATGGTGGCAGACAAGGCTTCCTTCTGCTTCCCGCCTGCATCTCAGCCACACACGATTATTGAAAACACACTGAGTGCCAGCGGTGGCTGCTGAGGGCAGACTGGTGAGCAGAGGAATAAGGCCCTTGTCCTCCTGCAGCTTAGAACCCACTGCAGTGAGTCAGATGTCGAGGAAGCAGTGGAAGATACAGGGGAGCTAATTCCAGATGGTGGAGAGGGCTGCAGGGGGAGTCAGTGAGACGAGTCAGCTGGGCTCCTGAGGAGGCAACACCCGTTCAGAAAGGCCAGAGACGCGTCCCGGGCAGAATGAACGGCACCTGCGAAGGCTTACAGCAAAGGGCCGGGGCCCACAGCACGTTCCTGTCCACCCGACCCAGACATTGAGTCGTGTCCTGGCAGCACCTGTTGGAGGCAGTTGGGAGACAGCGTCACTGGGACCCACAGCACCCACACCCGTCCCATCATTCCATGATGTTATGGCAGGAAAATGGAATGGGCTCTTCCAAGAAGTTCCCAAGGCAGCTGAAAATATTGGAGTTAAGACTGTGGGGCCTGCGTTCAAGTCCTGGCTCTGCCCATATGAACTGACTTGGCTTTGAATAAAGCCCTTTTTCCTCTCTCTCTCTCTTTTTTTTAATCTCTTTTCTGTCCTGTAAAATGGACATCTGACACCTACCTCATAGTGTTCTTGTGAGAATTTCATGAAACGATGCAGAAGAAAGACCTACGTAAGCCTCAAAGCACAGGAGGAAACGCATTCCTAATGCTACTCATGCTGCTGCTGCTGTTGTGGATAATGATAAAGGCCCTTAAAGTGGTGCCTTCAAATCTGAAATGTTGACAGGGGACCCTCAAACAGCCTTTTAGGAACTGCGGCCATGAGCTCAGATGGGAAAATCTGAATGCCAACTACTTGTCAATCTGAATAAGGCTCCTGTTAAAAGGCGGATTTCCAGTCAATGCTTGTCGCCCCTGGCCCCACACACATTTCACAGGGACTTCCGGCAAGAGGCATAAACTCTCCGGCCTTCGTTTCTTTTCCCTTTGGCATATGAGACGCGCTTGGAATAGGTCATTCCCTCAGGCCCATCCAGCGGTGATAGCTGCAGGTATGCAATGCAGGGTTCCCCTGACTGTACTCCATATCTGTCTCCCCTGACCCCTCACAGAACCCTCCCTCCACCTCTGAAACGCCCAAGTTTACCTCTTTCCCCAGATCAAACTTCAGAAGCCAAGCCTTCGTCACCACTGTGGACAAGAACACTGACTAGCCACCTTGGCCCCAGCCTGGGGGCAGTGCACAGAGTGGAAAGTACATGTTGTAAGTGGGGCATCTTCCTTGGGAAAGATTTGCCAAGTCTCTGTAAATGGAACTCTTTCTTTCCTGACCCTTTGCCCTTCTTCAAGTGAGCTTTTAAACCTTTAAAAACTACGCGGTTTCACTTTCAACTACACCCGAGCTTACAGTGTGTTATTTTGGCTGGAAGACTGAGCTTCGTGTGGGAGGCGTGGGTTTCACAGATCTGAGCCCAGTGATATTAATGAGTGAACCGCCTGTGAAGTCTCCGGGGTCACAGCATCCGCCCAGAGTGGCATTGGTTCAGCTGGGATCCAATGCGAGTTTCCAAGCCTGGAGCTGGGCAGCCCTCACTACTGGCACCTCAGTCTTACCCCATATGACCTCTGACTGGTCTGAAATTGCAAATGTATATTCCTGGCCCCCACCACCAGATCCAGGTTTTGTGGGTTCAAGCCTTAATACAATATGAGGATCTTTCTTTAAGGAAAGAATACAAAATTATAAACATAAAAGTAGTTACAAAAGTGAATATTCAGAAAAGAAACCATAACAAATTGCATATTTTGAAAAGCTAACAAATACTGCAAATATCACTACATCTGCAAATTAACATATTTTCACTAATTCATTGCCCGACAGACACACACCCACGATACCTTCTTTTTGCTGCATGTTCTTGGATCTTCTTTCTTTCTTTTTTTTTTTTTTAATATAATCGCAAGTGTATGTTGATTGAAAACTATTTTCGGGGTGATTTTTGTACAGGTGTAGTTCCAGATGGCACCTGTGAAGTATGTTCAAGAATTTTGCAGGACCAGCAGTGGCTAGTAGGTTCACATTCAGCATTATTTTGCTACATGTGTTAAATAGAATTCTGCCTTTATTTTAATGGCAAGAGAATCTTTTGGGTAAGCTACTTCTGGCAAATCGGACAGAGTCAAGACCCATTGGTGCGCTGTATTCAGGAGACCTATCTCACATGCAAAGACACACATAGGCTCAAAATAAAGGGATGGAGGAAAATTTACTAAGCAAATGGAAAGCAAAAAAAGAGCAGGGGTTGCAATCCTAGTCTCTGACAAAACAGACTTTAAACCAACAAAGATAAAAAACGACAAAGAAGGACATTACATAATGGAAAAGGGATTAATTCAATGAGAAGAGCTAACTATCCTAAATATATATGCACCCAATACAGGAGCACCCAGATTCCTAAAACAAATTCTTAGAGATAAACCCAAAGGAACTCGTTTTCATATGATGACAATTTTGTCGACATTGTTTTCTACAGTGAGAAGAGGAAGATAGATCAGCATCTGCTGTGGCGTATTTGGCTACAGTGTGATTTTGTGTGTCTTTGGTGGAAGTTAGCTTAGAAAAAATGTCTTTTAGTTTCACAATGATATAATTATGCTTCTACCTGACCCATTGATCCCAACTGAGACTGTTGTAAAAAATTCAAGACTATAATCAAATTTGGGAAAACTTCTATTGAATTTCCTCCATGTATGAGTTGTAAGATTTCAGGTCATTTCAGGTTTTCTTGTACAATTAATAACATCACATGCTGTTTGAATTGACAGTACTGAATTTGTCATCAGTGATTTTATTTGTGGATTTTATCCTATCTACCTGAATGTCAGTTATTTTCCATCCAGCCAGCAAGAAATTTAAATATTGGTGTAATATATTAATATTACTCACTTCTCTTCAGTAACTAGGTCAGCAGTCCCCAAACTTTTTGGCACCAGGGACTGGTTTTGTGGAAGACAGTTTTCCCATGGACGGGAGTGGGTGGTGGGGATGGTTTTAGGATGAAACTCTTCCACCTCAGATCATCAGGGATTAGATTCTCATAAGGGGCCCACAACCTAGATCCCTCATATGTGCAGTTCACAACAGGGTTCGAGGTCCTATGAGAATCTAATGCTTCCCCTCATCTGACAGGAGGCAGAGCTCAGGTGGTAATGCTCCCTCACCCGGCGCTCCCCCTGCTGTGTGGCCTGGTTCCTAACAGCCCACAGACCAGTACCCATCAGCAGCTGTGGAGCTGGGGACCCCTGAACTAGGTTATCATGTCACCTAAGTGCTAATTTATCACTTCCATTTGAAATTGACGTCTTCTTTTTTTCTGAAACAGAGTTTCACTTTGTTGCCCAGGCTGGAGTGCAGTGGTGCAGTCTCGGCTCACTGCAACCTCCACCTCCCAGGTTCAAGCGATTCTTCTGTCTCAGCCTCCTGAGTATCTGGTATTACAGGCACACACCACCATGCCTGGCTAATTTTTTTTTTTGTATTTTTAGTAGAGACGGGGTTTCACCATATTGGCCAGGCTGGTCTCAAACGCCTGACCTCTTGATCTATCTGCCTCGGCCTCCCAAAGCACTGGGATTACAGGCGTGAGCCACCGCACACAGCCAACCTCCTTTTTTTTTTTTTTTTTTTTGAGATGGAGTCTCACTCTGTCGCCCAGGCTGGAGTGCAGTGGTGCAATCTCGGCTCACTGCAAGCTCTGCCTCCCAAGTTCACACCATTCTCCTGCCTCAGCCTCCCGAGTAGCTAGGACTACAGGCACCCACCACCAAGCCTGGCTAATTTTTTTTGTATTTTTAGTAGAGACCGGGTTTCACCTTGTTAGCTGACCTCTTCTTAATGAACTTCTGCTTCTGTTATGATGTGGACATTTTCAGTTGTAATTCGCTTCTCAATGTCGGAAGATCTGTGCCATGCTTCATGTTCATCTCTTTTGTTTCATATTACTCAAGTCATCCATTGTTTTTTAACAAACAAATTTAAGATAAAAGAAGGTACCCTTCAAATACATCTAAATTAGGAGTCTGCGATTTCTCACTTTCTTTATTCGAATATTCCATAATCCCTTTCTAAGTTCCAACTATAGTGGGATACTCAAGCTTGATCAAACATACCATTCCCACCAAAGTGATTTTTACGAGCTGTGGCACACTTATCATCCTACACACTGCATTGCTGAGGGTACTCCTGATGGGAATGAATTGCCATTTTCACTGAGTCCAAGAGAATCGAGTCCTACGTTTACAGCCATGTGTATCTGTTTGGAGGAATTTTCCACAGACCAGGCTCTGCAGATTCCAACCTTTTCCATGCTCGCCTGCTCGTGTTCTTGCCGGCATCACTGGGCGTGGTGGCTTCACTGTTCCACCCTTGTCTCTGCACCTCCATGTCATGATACAGGGAAGTTGACAGAGGGGCAGGAGGAACATGCTGGAAGCCACCACACCTGGTGTCTGTATCCTGATGGCACCAGCAATGCTGCTGATGCCAGTCTACTGCTCACAGCCCAGGATCCAGGTATCAGCCTCCCCTTAGCCAAATCATGGCCCCTCCCATGCCACCAGCAGAGGTGATGGAGGGCAAGTCAGAGCAGGAGGAGACAGCTGTCTTAGCCAACTGTGATGAAAGTATCTTGCAAATTTCACAAAAACATATGACCTTGGTGACATATTGGAAGAGGACTATGCAAATTCATGTCCTGAAGCTTCAGTTGCATTGGCTTCATGATAAATCCACCTCTAGGTGGTCCATAGATGCCACCCTTAGGTACCCAGCTCGCAAACAGGTTGCACCCCAGGCCTCATTCAAAGCTGCAGGATCAGAGCCCTTGTTGATGCATCTGTGAGTCTCTCTGAACCAACATGTCCCTTTCTCTGTGTCCATAGCACTCCGCTTGTTGCCATGCCCAGCATCAGTTGCTAACTTCCCATAACAACTGTCCAATGAGAGTCTCTGCCATCAGATGATGTCAGCCACTCTCACGTACCCAGGCCACCAGAGAGGGGAAAATCTTACCCCTAAAGTTGTGCAGTGCCCAACCTATACAACCAAACATGACAGCCAGCCACCTCTCTTCCTAATCTATCCTCCCCTCTGTGGTCAGAGTGACCTTTCTGAAATGGAAACCCAACCACACACCACTCCTTCCTTGTAAGAAAACAACCTGTAGGCATCCCTGCTCCTCTCACCGTGAAGCCTAAAGCTTATAACAGGGGCTCCAGACCATTATCTACCTATCCAAGGCCATCTCTCACCATCCTCTAACTCATGCTCACAGAGGCAGAGTTCCTCGCCTCTCCGAACCCTCAACCCTGCCTCAATTTCTTTTCTCCGCCACATTGACTGGCTCCAGCCCAACCTTTAGCTTGCCCACCGCCTCCTCCAGGAAGCCTTCCCTGACCTGCCCATCCCACACACTTGGTTGGTAACTCTTTATGCACTTCTCCCAGATCCTGTACCCCCATAAGAGATATCTTACCAAGCTGTTCTGTCATTTTTTTTTTCATTTTTTGGCCTCTCCCATGCTCTTTTCCAATGAGGCACCAGAGAGACAGATGAACAGGATACTGGCCCTGCTCTCACGGAGCTCTGGAAGTAACGGAGAGGACAGATTCATGCGCAGCCAATCACAGACCTGGGAACGCCGTTACAGTGGCAAAGAATAAGCTATCGATGTTACAGCGACCCTCCAAGGAGCCCAAGAATTTCCTGAGTTGGAGAAGAGGGGTCAGGGCAGGGGGATTCTAGAGGGGTGCGTGGGAGAGTAAACCTCACGTCCAGCAGAGACCGAAGGGGGCTCCTCGCAGGGAGGGATGGGGGGTGAGAGGCTGCAGAGGTTGCCTGGGGCCTGCTGGGACTTGACCTAGCTGACAGTGGGCACCATTGAGAAATGTGCAGTGGGAAGTGGCGGGGCCACGTTTGCATTCTAGGAGGATGTCCTGGCAGCCGGGGAGGGTGGTCTGCAGGGGCCAGAGTGGAGGCCGGAAGGCCAGCGAGGGGTTGTCAAATGTGGCGTCCAAAGCAATGCCTCCAACTGCCAGCGGAGAGAAGTCTCATTAGCAAAAAGAAGGAGGAATTGCTCCTGCCACTTAGACTGCAAAAAACCCAAGTTCAACATAAAATAAAATAGACTTTTTATTTTCTGATTTTGCATTTTCTATTATCTGTCCTTCTTTTGCTGTTCCGTGTCATCTCCTTGTTTCCTCTCTGGTTTTCCATGAGTTCTTTGCATACTTTGTTTTCAATTTTAAAATGCATATCTTTCCGTATAAAGTTAATGGCCCTGCCTCCCTGCAGCTGGGGAGACCTGAGTTCAAATCCCAGCTCTGCTGTTTGCCGCCTGCTGTTCCTTCTTTGTGAAAGGGGAGGTTTCAGTCCCTCTCCGAAAGGGGCATGTGAAGAGGAGGTCATGCCCAGCAGATATTTACGAGGATGTCTAAGACATGGGAACTAGGACGATTGTTTTCAATATTATGCTTCTTTAAAAGGCTGTTTTAGCTGTTTAAGCAATCCAGGCAAAGATAAGGTGCTGAGTTCTATGAAGAGAACACAGAGAGATTAATTCCAGAGATACGTCAGGGGTGAGGACGACCTCACCTAACAGGTGACTGTCATGCCTGTGAGAAAATACCTTTTCCAAATGGTGCCGTCCACTTCTATCTCTCCACGGAAGGATGGTGAAGTCTTCCACCTGGAGCTCCTGAGAGAACAGTGGGCTTAGTGGAAACACCACACACCTGGCTGGGTGTTTTCAGGTGGAGACGCTGAGGGCTGTTTCTTTCCAGTCCTGGAAGACGCGGAATTTCTTCTCGGCAGCTTTGCTCGGCCTGCGTCTGAGCGGTAAGTCCAGCCCTCCCTGCCACATCTTTTGCAGGCTGATTCTTATTCATCCTTCACTTCTCAGCTCCAATCTCACCTTGGCAGTGAGGCCACAGCCATCTGCCAAAGGGACCCGGGTCGCTCCTTCCCACATCCTGTTTTATTCATTGTCTGAGTGGCGGCGTTCATTTTCCTGTTTACTTGTGGACTGATTCGTTTCGTCTTCCCTCCCTGGCATGTGCACTGTGCACTACCGCATCTTCAGCACCTAAAACAATGCCTGCAACGCGGTGGACACTGAGGAAATATTGTTGGCTGGGTGAGCAAATGCCCTGCGAGCTGGTCTTTTTCCTTAACAATAGGAGGTGGTCATTTTTCTCAGCAGTGCATTTGGATAGGCTTAACTTTGTAATGATTGTGTGGTTTTCCATAGTAAATACTTAGTACAGTGTGTTGAACCACTGGTTGCATTGTCTGGCATTTCTGAGGATAATCTTTAGATATATTAACATAGTAATTAATCAGAGATTAGGTATTGAGTTTGTAT
The DNA here is from genome assembly GCF_000001405.40 of Homo sapiens. Classification (NCBI taxonomy): domain Eukaryota; kingdom Metazoa; phylum Chordata; class Mammalia; order Primates; family Hominidae; genus Homo; species Homo sapiens. The sequence goes on along the minus strand of NC_000016.10, from coordinate 86,827,381 downwards.
GGTTTTCTGGAAGTGTGTGATAATTGATACAAAGTTAGAATGAAGACCCAGATTATAACAAAGCTTCTTCAGGTATGGCCTTCATTCTGCTGCTGCGGTGACAGTGTGAATAAACGCTTGCTGCCCTACAGGCAATGTGAGCCTTTTGTTAGCCGCGACAGGCAATGTGAGCCTTTTGTTAGCCGCGTTCCTTGAGACTGGCTCCCGGCACCCGCATTTCACTCCTCCCGAGCTCTCCGACTTCCACATTCCTGATGGGTGCGCCTCTCCAAGGATGGGGCTGGGCTTGGGGAGACCAGGAGATGGCCAAGAGTCAGTGAGAAAAGATGAGTGTTGCAAATTCCTACTCAACCCACAATAACCCTCATCCAGTCTGCACACGGCGGCCGCCTTTGGGTGCTGGTGACCCAGGGGTCTTAGAAGCCAAACATCAGTGCCATCATCTGAACGTCCCTGTTTCGGCCACCCACCCCCAGCTTTGCTGTCTTGGACGTCCACAGAGCTGAGAGCAACCTGTGGTCTCAGAGTGTCTCCAATCAGGGCAGATGGTCAGAGTCGAAAAGACTACTGTCCCCTATAGGAGTTTCTCATTGATACCCGCCCCCCCAACTCACCCAGGTATGTGTTTATTGCTTTGGTGGGAAATAAAACTCATGCAATAGGGGAGAATTGAAAATGTAAATGAACATACTGATGACCGATTAGATCCTTGCAATGTATGCTATGTCTTATTTGCCCTCCCTCAATCTGTTTGAAAGAAAACTGTTCTCCAAACTTCCACATCACAGTTTTTGCTGGCACTGCATGTTCCATTTATACTATTATCCTCCCCCTAATATTTCTTCTTTAAATCAACTCATTTTCTGACTTTACCTTATTTTAAAAGAACAATTGTACAGCACAGACCTTCGTGAAAATAGTCATTTCTCATTGCCATCAGAAGCTGCTATAAAAATAAAGGCAAGAAACCACACCGCCATTATTAAACTCTTCCTAGACACCGTGGCTTGCAGCCCAAGCCTGCTCTAGCTTGCTAATGGAGGCAGCCAGGATGCTTGAGAGAGGCGTGGGGAGGTGCTCGGGGCTCTCGTAATTACAGAACTTCCCTTGCGATTTTCAGTACTGCCGAGTGTTCCACCTGAAGTCATTGCTCAGGTGAAATGAGTCCCACACCAGGTGCTCTGTCTGGAACTTCCCAGAGCCCGATCTGGGTGCTGTGGGCTTGTGGGCCCTCCGTGGCTCTCTGTGGTTGCAGAGGGATGAGAGGACCCTCTCACCTCCACATCAGCACACCCTCCACTGTGTGTTCACAGCCAAGTTCTCAGCCACCCCTCTCTCCTCCATCTGCTTGGGAGCTGCCTGTCCACTCGCTCCTCCTGCACCAATGATCTGCTGATTAAAAAAAAAAAAGCCAGGCACAGTGGCTCCCCTGAGCTCTCAGTGTGTGTGGCTGGCTCTACAAATGGCCTCATGTACGCCTCCAAATCTCACCACGCACAGGGCTAGGCTTATCTCCATTTTACAAACAAAGACATGGAAGTTCAGAGATGTTGAGACACTTGCTCAAGGTCACACAGCTCAAAAATGGCAAGGCTGGGACTCAAACTCAGGCCTGGCTCCAGCATCCACGTTCCTGACCATTTGGGCAAAGTTACATAAAGATTTTCTGGGTTTGGCAATAACAACATGTCCCCAACTAAGGTGTCATTCACTCCATTCCCCAGGTTATGGCATTACTCATTAACATAACAATTCCATCAGGGGGCTCATTTGCAAATGCCTGTAGCAAAATTGAAACGGATTCATTCAGAGGGGATATCCTAAAACAGCTCATTTGCAGAAAGCCCCTCCCAGCTTGGAAATAGCTGTCATGTTCCCATCCCGTTTAATGATAACAATCAGAACTTTGCTAAACATGGATTACTTTATCCCCTTTCACAGAAGGGGACATTGAGACTCAGAGAGGTGAAGAATTTGCCCAAGATCCTCACTTATTAGTGTGGTGGGAGTGAGGCCAGAAATCCAGGCAGTCCAGGCACAGACCTGAGAGCAAGACCCTCCCACCCTAGCACCTCCCTCCTGTCCACGGCAGCAGCTCAGTTCTCCTGAGAGTGAGGGAGGGGCGGGTGGAGCCCGGGAGACTGGCCAGGGAGCTGGGGAACGTGGGACCTGAGGGTCGAAGGCTGAGAAGAGCCGAGGAGGAAGGTGTCATCTTCCAGCCAGGCTCTCTGCTCTCTGCTCCTTGTACTTGTTGATTGGAGAACCCATGATGTCGCAACGACAGTGGAGGAAATGGTCGTCTAGACACACATCTAATTACCTGCTGTGAAAATCCCCACCGGGATGTGTGCCACAGGCAGGATGACCTGAGGCCACATTCATCTGAGCCCTCCGTGACGCTCACATGCAGGATGACCTGACGTCACGTTCATCTGAACCCTTGTGCCGCTTGGCATCAGCTGGGAATGGGACAGGCTGGACTTCGCCTGCTGCACCCCTTCTAGCTGGGGAACCCGGTGGGTGGGGATGGTTGGTGGTTTCGTTGGTTTGTTTTAAAGCTCCCTGAGGCTCAGTTGTGTTGTCCACAGAGCAGACTTCCTGTCTTGAGCACCTGCCTTGTTTAGGCTTCCCAGCAGCAGGTAAACAGCGTGTCCCTTTGCCTCCTGCTTCCAAGGTAAGTTTCCCAATGCCCCTTGCAGGAAGGCAGGAGCATGTCATGCCCTAGTTCAGGAGGAGGCAGCGTGGGTGCAGGCTCAGGCGAGGGTGGTGCTGGAGGGATCTGGTTCTGTGGGTTCTGTCAAGACTGCCACGGCTGATCATAGCGCTGTGATGCCACCTGCCAGAGGCCTCAGCCGTGACGTCTTTGCTGGAGCGCACTCCAGTGGGATCTAGGCATTGCTCCTGGTTTCCACACGTCCCACAGACTATGTGAGAGGAACTCCTGAATAAATTCTCTTTTCTGCGTCAGCTTCCTCAAGTGGATTCTGTTATTGCAACTGCAAATCCTGACTCACACACCGTCTCACAGGGTGGTTCCAAAGAAGAAGCGTGGTTGTGAGTTGCTCAGCATAACGCTCCACACGCAGTAGGCACCCCGTATACAATTGTTGAATGAATGAATTAAAGAATGAATTCATGGAAAGAAGGCATGGGGCAAGGTGTCCTGCACCTGGGAACTACTCACTAAATATGTGTTATTAGGACTGATCACGACGATTATAAAATAATTATAATGCAGCCTTGAAAATAGCCACCAGCCTGTGTGCATCTGGGCAGCCAAAGAAAATATGAGTCACCGCCGTAACCATCAGGGTTATTGCCAATGTCCGGGCCCAGGTAGAATTTCTCTGTGGCTTTGAGGTTAAGACAATAAATGTGTGGAGAAGTGATATCTCTCAGGCTGGAGGCTTTATGTCCGGGGTGCAATTTACCACGACTTCTTTTGTCTCTGCCATGGCGCCTGGCAATGTTTGAATGCTGGTGGGGTTACAGCTCTCTGCAGAAGCATAGTAGAAAAACAAGATCAAGGTCACACAAAAGAGGGTTGTGTGTTTGTGGCAAACCTAGTCCAACCTGGCTGGTAGAATAACCTAAAGGCAACTGTCAAATCAAGTGGAGTGAGGCACTTCAACCTCTGTCCACCAATCTGCTGTGTTTTTCTCTTCTCTCTGTGGGTTTTGAGCCAGAATCTATTTCCAGTTCATGTCTAGTTAAATGTCTCTGTTCTCTTTGGTTTAATCACCAAGAGCAGAAAGCCATGACGAGGGCGTCTCTGATCACAAACGAATCTGTCTGTGAAAATGCTCTTGGCTGGACTCTGCTGATCTTCATCGTAAAGCCCGTGGGAAGCTCTCAGGGTCAATATTCGGCCTTGTTCATAAAATCACCTAAGAAGGGTCCTGGTTTGGCCCTCTGTGATGGCTTGCATGAAACGCTGTGCAGCACCTAATAGGGCCTGCATTCCTCTAAACCGTTCATGTTATTTTTGGTGTGGGTGAACGAGGTTTGTTCGTGAGAATCTGACTATTGAAAACAGGCAGTGCAGATAAATGAATGGCTATCTCTGGTGCATGCTTTGGGTATATTCCAGATGTGTCAACTTGTAAACAAAGGAGGTGTCCGCTCCATGCTGGGGACCGTGTGGGCAGCTGGGTGGCTGTTGTTGGGTGGAGGTTTACACAGCAATGTCCCACAAGCCCCGGGTGCTGCCTGTGACCACCACTCCTCCCTGACAGGGTTCCAATGGGAATGGGAGAATTTGAATTCTGTATCACTGGCTCGTCTGTTCACTTCATGCCTTTGGAGGCCTGGTGATATAATTGTCTATGAATAGATGATTAGTACTTTGACCTTATGCATTAATTGACTGCCCCTAAAGATCTGGAAAAATGGATTTCAGTCTCATTCAGGGAAATGTTCAGAAATTTTCTGAAAAGACAAACCATACGGTAAAATGTGGTGATTGCCTTCATGGGGCCTGTGCACGTGGGTGGATGTTTGATGCCAAGAACTGGGTCAAAAGTAAAGATCTTGGCTATGGAAGGTGAAGAATGTGCACTGCCCTGTGGCGACCGCATCAGCACCCCTGGGGCCCCAGTCTCTGCAGATTCCGATTGTACCTGGTAACCTGGTCCACCCCTGACCTTTCCCACCTCAGAAAATGGCATCTCCACGGAACCAAACGCTCGAAGTTGCCCCAAGTCTCCTGTTTTGGTCACTTCCCTTCCCCATCCATCAGAAAACACTGCCGGTTCCACCATGAGAATCTATCTTGGATCCACCCCTTCCCATCAACTCCCGCTACCTCGTGGACAGGCCCCCTCGCCTTCCCTGTGCTAGTTCAGTCCCCTCCTCATTGGTGCCTGACCCTTCTGAGCCTCCTCTGCCCAGTCCATTCTCACATGAAAGCAAGAGATCCTCTTAAAATATAGTCAGGTCTGGTTCCTCCTCTGCTCAAAATCCCACAACGAGTCAAAGCCAAATTCCCACAATGTCTATAATGATGGTTCTCATATGCTTTCCCCAGGGGACATTTGGCAGTGTCTAGAGGCAGTTCTGGTTGTCACAAACGGGGAGCGGGGGATGCTACTGGAATCTGGTGGGTAGAGGCCAGGGGTGCTGCTGAACATCCTACAACACACAAGACAGCACCACCACAGAGAAGCAGCCAGCCTAATATGCCAACAGTGACAAAGCTGGGGAGGCTCGACACATTCCAGGCAGACAGCTGTCACTTGCTGTCTGCCTGCAGTAGTGAATGGGGTGGGGCATTCTTGTGTAATCTGACAGAAAGTGACCAAACTTATTTGTTCTTATCTTTGCCATCTCTACTGCATGTAGGAGGGGCCAGGAAAGATGATTGCTTTCAGTTAGGAATGCATTGAGCTGCAACTAAAAACTCAACCGTGACTTGCACAAATCAATGCATCAGTGCTCTTTTTTTTTTTTTTTTTTTTTTTTTTTTTTTACTTTTTCCCCACATAAATGCTTGGAGATACTTCAGGGCCATTATGCTCACCTAAAAGTGTCATCATGGATCCATGTCCTTGGGACTTCCTGCCCTGCCATCCTTGACAATTGACCATCATGGTCCTTGTCACTGGATGGATTCAACGATCCAGGCATGAGGAAGGGAAAGGGGGAAGAGCACAAGACCAACCATGTCTTTCTCTTTTTAAAATGTGTTTCCAAAATCTCCACCCAGTTGCTTCCACTAATGAGACTCTCTGGAAAATATAGATTTCAGTTTTGCTATCCTAAACAAAACCCCTTAGTGAAAATATCAGGAGGGAACCATCAGCATTTGAGATGCTTCACAAACACTGCCTACAGCCAAAAGAGCACTTTATGGGCTTCTGGTTAAGATGAACTTGTTCTTTCTTGAGGTCCTCTCACTCTGTCTGTGGAACCATTCTCCTCCTGGTCAGCTTGTCTCTAAAACTCAGCATCACATGGTCAGTGCTTAGTAAGAATACATCTTTTTCCTGAAGGAAAAACTTCATCATAGAAGTGCAAGGTTACAACAGATCCTCAAGGTCACCCACTTTTCCTAGGTAACATCTTGGATCAGCATTTACCTAAAATACTTCCAGTAATGGGGACTCACCAACTTGAAAGACATCTCCAACCTCAGGGGAATCTCTGTTTCTTCATATCCAGCTAGAATTTTCCAACCTTGATCTCCACTCATTGCCTCCACTTCCATCCTTGAGGAGATGTAATCTTCACTGGTCCCAGGTTACAGAAGCCCTGGATGGTTAATGGCCCAGGAGGGATGCCATCCTTAGTTTACATTTGAGGACACTGAGGTGCTGGCTGTGAGCTTCAGATGTAGACTTCTTGGTAATTGAGTGTTCTTTCTACTAAAATCATAGAGCACAAGGGCAGACCACACCCTACCCATCTCCAGACGTTCACACAATAGCAGAGCAGGGTCTTGGCGCAAGCTTGCAGCCCACACATGTACTGCACCCTACTGTGGCCTGGAATGAGGCTTGGTCTGGGGCTACATTTATGAAAAACACAGGTCCTGACTTGGTGGGATCCCCAGCCTGGTTGGCAAGGATGATGAGTATGGCAGGTGAGCTGGGTGCTTTGAGAACATGGTGTAAGTGGATGTAATCTGGCCTGGGGGCACCACAGAGGGCTTCCTGGAGTCAGTGACGCAGTTTGTGTCCACAACCTCCCCTTACTAAGGATATGATGACACCCTGTGCTTCCAACCAGGGGCTCAACTCTTACGATTCCTACTGGGGTATTCCTGCATGCAATCTTCCCAGAGTTGATCGGAAGAAGGTGGCCTGAAATGGCACCCTTATAGGTGAGAAATGTTCTAAATCTAGACAGTTGTGATGGTTGCCCAACTCTCAGAATATGAGAAGAACCATGGCATTGTGCTCTTTAAATGGGAGTATGTTATAGTGTGTGAATCATATCCCAATAAAGATGTGTTTAAAAAAATTTTTTTTTTTTTTTAGACAGGGTCTTGCTTGCTCTGTTGCCCTGGCTGGAGTGCAGTGGCAGCATTGATCTCCTGGACTCAACAGATCCTCCCATCTCAGCCTCCCGAGCAGCTGGGACTACAGGGGGATGCTACCACACCCAGCTAATTTTTGTATTCTCTATAGAGATGGGGTCTCACTATGTTACCCAGGCTGGTCTTGAACTCCTGGGCTAAAGCAATCCTTTTGTCTCAGTCTCCCAAAGTGCTGGGATTATAGGCATGAGCCACCATGCCTGGCCAAGATTTTATTCTCTAATCCACACCTGGTTAACTCACAAAACCCAGCCGTGTTCATTCTGCCCAGTGGTGGTCTCTCTGGGAGTGGACAACTCAAGCCCCTGCAGTGGAGCCCCTCACTCCGAGCTCTGCTCATCTCTTTCCCATCAATTAGCAACTTGGCCATCACCTCCTCCACCCACGAGAACCCCTGTACTCCTCTGACAGCCTCACAGATTATTTGGAGGCGATGCTGGGGACATTTGGACAGCAGTCAATTCTCTTTTCTGCTCCAAGGGTGGTCCTGGACCAGCAGCGCCAGCATCCCCGGCTGGGGGTGGGGGTGGGGGTGGGGGTTGGGGGCGGGGGTTAAAAATGCAGAACCCCAGGCCCCACCCTTGATATGCTGAATCAGAATCTTCATTTTAACCAGCTCCCCAAGTGGTTGGAATGTACATGAAAGCTGGGGAAGCCTCACTCCAGGGAGCCTCTTCTCAAACCAGGCTGCACACTGGGACCTTTAAGGAATAGACGTGGGACTCCTACCTCCAGAGACTGGGGTTTCATTGCTTTGGGGACATCCCCTGTATGGCAAAGTGGCAACAGTCCCCAGGTGATTCTACCATGCAGCCTAGGTTGAGAAGCTCTGATCTGGTGCACACAGAAATTTTGCTTTACATGGTTATTTTGTCTAAAGCCAAAGCGGTTCATTAATCCTCATGTTGTCTCAACCCGTCAAAACCCAGCCTGACAAATCCCTGCCGCAGGTCTCCCCCGCACAGCACCGGCTCACTCATGTCATTTCATCTTCACCGAGCAATCTCTGCCCGCCATTGTTAAACTTGGCCCTGGCCACACTGGGGTTCACGGCGATTGTCCAAATACTGAACTTCAAACAAACAGAAAGAAAATAACACTTGCTAATCGTTTGTGATAAGCTGCCTTTATCAGCCCCCTTTGCTCCCGGTTGGCACGGCTGGTCAGATGGCTCTCGGTGACATGCCGTGCGTAAACACCACCTGTTTGTGCAGGATGACACTGGGCTGCTCCTGCTACTGGTGTTATCGCGAGGAAGCACTAGGTTGGGTGTGTGAGCATTTGGATGAAGCTCGGAGAGTATGATAACAGCGCGTTGGACCTGCCCCAGGGGTAGCTGTATCACAGCCTCGGGGCTTTGTTGAGACCTGCTGGGTTGTTGCTTCCTGGAAGGTAGATCGCTGAGAAAGGGACTTTCACTTCTTCCTGCCTCGGTGGCTCCCTTTCCAGTGTCTAGACTTTGCGTTCACAATGGCAAGGGCCTTCCGGATTCCATTCTCCATTTGCTGCCAGTTTCCAAAGCTGCATATCTAAATTGGGATTTCCTGGATTCCCAGAGTCTTGGGTTGGAAGGGGCCCTTTTTGGGCGAGTGGTCAGAATGCACTGTCTGAAACCAAGCTGTCCCCTCTCCCTGCCGCGTCTGAGCCTTATGTGCTGGGACGTATGTCTGAGAACAGAAAGGTTGCTTCTCATTTCCAGGGTGCCCTTAGGAGTGATTTTGTACAATGGTGGCAGCAGCCTTTGCCGTCATTCTCTGGGTTTTGCTCTGCAAAGCTGGTTTGCAAGTTCTCTGAGATGGTGGAGAGTCTAGAGCTCTTTCTCCTCGTGCCTTAAGGTGCATTTGAGTCCCCCGGGATCTCATTAAACTGCAAATTCCGGTTCTCTGTGTCTGGGGTGGGCCTGGGATTCTGATTTCTGACAAATTCCGGGTGATGCTGCTGCTGTTGCTGCTGCTGTGTGGATGACACCTTAGTCGGGAGAGAGATCCCAGACTTCATTTTCTTGAGGCTGAAATCAAAGAGAGAGGAGTCAATGTGTCCCTTTCCCACCTGTCGTTCTTTGAAGACTCCAGGTTCTTGTTTGGGCTCCAGCTAAGGGTGGATGGGCTGTGAAAAGGGTTACAGTGATGGTTCCCTAGGTTAGTGACTGTCAACAAGCCATACCTGCAGGGATTCCCAGCCCTGCACAGTCCCCTCTCCTTGAATCCAGCTGGGATTATGACCCACTTTGACTAATAAGAGGGCTGGCAGGGGGCTGTGCCCATTCCAAGTCTCTATTTTAAGAGGTCCTAGAAGCTTCTGCTTTTGCACTGTGGGACCCAGTTACTTGCAGAGGCTAAGGCAGGAGGATCATTTGAACCTAGGAGTTCAAGGCTGCTGTGAGCTATGGATTGCACCACTGCACTCTAGCCTGGGCAACAGAGCAAGACCCTGTCTCCAAAAACTAAAATAAAAGAAGAAAAGAAAAAGATTAAAAAATCAGTAACATAAGCTTCCACTTTAAGAAACCAGAGAAAGAAGAGAAATTCAAGCCTAAAGCCAGCAGAAGAAAAAAAATAATAAAAAATTGAGCAGAAATCAAGGCAATTGAAAACAGGAGAACCGCAGGGACAATCCGTAAAACCTGCAGGGATCCTTTGGAAAGCTCAATGCAACTGATCAACTTCTAGCCAGGCAAACAAAAAGAAAAAGAGAGAAGGCACAAATTACCAATATCAGAAAGGAAAATGAGGTCATTACTCTTGCTCCAGTGGCCACTGATGGGATAAAAGGAATAATGCAAGCAACTCATTACCCACAGATTTGACAACTTAGGTGAAATGGACCGAGTACCTTGAAAGATAGGAACTGCCAGGAGAGGCAGCAGAGCCCGATTAAGGGCCCAGAGTGGAAACAGTGTCATTTCCATCATTCTATTGGTCAAAGCAGTCACAGGACCTGCCCATGCCAGGTTCAAAAGGGAAGACGGGCAAGGTCTTGCTGCACAGGGGCTTATGGGGTGGGTCATATTGCTGTGTTCCTCTCTGGGAAATCCAACCCACCACACTTACGTTTCTCTTCTTCTAGGAGGCCCTCCTGATCACTCCTCCAGGACCCTCCCCTATCTTGGTCATAGAAACGTTTAGTAATATCTATGAAATCAGCATTTCTTAGCCTTGGCTGCATGACAATATTGTCCGGGGAACTTTTGACAAATACCCACACCTGGACCCTGCTTCCTGCGATTCTAACCTCATTGGTCTGTGGTGAGGCCAAGGTGACTTTCGGAAGCTTCCTAGGCAATTCTGTGTGCAGCCAGGGCTGAGAACAAATGAATGAATGAATTTACAAGTGATTCGCTGAAATGGAGTATCCTGGCTAAACATTACAAGCACAGCAATTTAGAAAATCAATATTTACAAACTAAATACTGATAAAGCAGCCTAGTGGGAAAACAACAGGAAGACATGAATAGCATAATAAAATAAAAATACAGAAGGAGGAGGAGAGAGGGGAGGTAAATGACGGAAAGACCATCACAATGGGAGATTTTGTTGTCAAGTGAGAAGGACGATGAAAAATGAAAAGCTATGATGGAGCCTCAGCCTCTGAACCGAGTTAAAAGTGAAAAGGGCAAATGTTCCCCCCAAAACAGGGCCCTTGGAGGGTTGCGCTTCTTCCTTAATAGTATCATTTACAGTTCATAATAGACACAGAAAAATCTTTGTTCAGCAAGTATATTTTTTCTGTCTGCTAAAGTAGCAAACAATTTAAAAATATGTCAAGATGCTTCATAACGTTTTCTTTAGAACTGGCCATCTAAAACATTTCTGTATGAGAGATGCAGTGTGTACGGATGCAAACACATGCACACAGAGTCTGTTAGGATATGAGAGTTCATCTGGAGAGAAGTCCCTCATGGCTTGCCACAGGGCTCTGCACTTCGCCTTTGCTACTCACTCTTTTTATAAAAACTTGGCTGAGGCCAGGTGTGCTGGCTCACATCTATAATCCCAACACTTTGGGAGGCTGAGGCGGGCGGATCACGAGGTCAGGAGCTTGAGATCAGCCTGACCAACACAGTGAAACCCCGTCTCTACTAAAAATACAAAAAAAATCAGCCAGGCATGGTGGCATGCGTCTGTAGTACCAGCTACTCAGGAGGCTGAGGCAGGATAATTGCTTGAACCCAGGAGGTGGAAGTTGCAGTGAGCTGACATCGTGCCACTGCACTCCAGCCTGGGGGACAGAGCAAGACTTCATCTTGGAAAACAAAACAACAACAACAAAAACAAACAAATAAACAAAAAACTTGGCTGAAGACAGACTATTGCATCAAACTGTAAGATTCACAAAACTCAGAAGAAAATCTCGTGAAATGGGTGAGAACGCTAATGATTCAAGAGATGGTAGCCAGTTGTGCTCAATGCATTTATAAAAGCCCACAACTTAGGACCTGGCATTTAAGAGGTGCTTCATAAATGTTTATCAAATAAGGAATTTCGGTAAGTTTAAATGAAGGGCTCAGACTTCCACAGAGACAAACGTACAGACCTTCATCTACATCTAAAATCTGATTGCACTAGCACAGAATGCAGGTGACCTATGTTTAAATCAAGTATTTTTTAAAAAGCAACTGTGAGTGTTTAACTAGCAAAAAGTTTATTCTGAGCAAAGACTGGGCTGTGGCTGCTATGAGAATGACTCCTATCCTAGCACAGCTTCCTAGATGTCTAGTGTCCCCAGTGGGCCCTGGGCAGCTACAGAACATACCCAGGTGTTGTATTGTTTTCCAGGCAGTGTCTTTAAAAGAATGGTCTCCTGGATGTCCACAGAGAAAGGTGATGTGGAAAGAGACCTCACCTGTGCACTGAGGCATTAATACTTTTCAGAAGAAAAAAATAATAAAAAGTTGAGCAGAAATCAGGGTAATTGAAAACAGGAGAACAACAGAGACAGTCCATAAAACCTGCAGAGATCTTTTGGAAAGCTCAATGCAATTGATCAACTTCTAGCTGGGCTAACAGAAAAAGAGAGAAGACACAAATTACCAATATCAGAAAGGAGATCATTACTCTTGATCCCATGGCCACTAATGGGATAAAAGGAATATCCATTCATTCCTTTTATTCCACTGAATAAAACATTCAGTGAATGTTTTTCCCTAGCATGGGCACATCTCAGCTTGGGAAGCCCGTGGTGAAGGGAACAGAGAACGTCTTCACATACGTGAAGTGTTTCATGCAAAGGGAGTGGACTTACCTTTTGTGCATCTGGAGAAGAGAATAGCAACTTAGAATACAAAGCTTCAGAGAAGAATGGGCTCAATAAGAAAGAAGTGCTGCCTCCCTTAAAATTTTGAAATTGTGGCCGGGCACGGTGGCTCACGCGTGTAATCCCAGGACTTTGGGAGGCGGAGGTGGGCGGATCACCTGAGGTCAGGAGTTCGAGTCCAGCCTGGCCGACATGGTGAAACCCTGTTTCTACTGAAAATACAAAAATTAGCTGGGCGTGCTGGCAGGCACCTGTAATCCCAGCTACTTGAGAGGCTGAGGCAGGAGAATCGCTTGAACCTGCGAAGCGGAGGCTGCAGTGAGCCGAGATGGCACCTCTGCACACTCCAGCCTGGGCAACAAGAGCAAAACTCCAACTCAAAAAAAAAAAAAAAAAAGAAAAAGAAAAGAAAAGAAATACTGCAAGCATACAGATGAGTACAGAGAATAAAGTGACCAATAATCATGTATTTATCAAACAGCTTGAGCCAATGTTACCGTTTTGCCATTGTTTATTCCCTTACGATTTAAGACATAAGAAACATTGCAGATGTATTTGAAATCATTTCTGTTCTTCTCCCTGGCCCCGTGGTCCTCTCTTCCTTTCTGAGCATTAACCACAAACCTGATTTCAATGTTCACCGTGCCCATGCATGTCTGTACATCTAGGCCACAAGTGTATTCATCCATAAACAATGTGGAATGGTGTTTGTTTTGCATGCTTTTATACTCTTTATAAATGCTTTCTAATTGCACATTTCATTCTGCAAATTTCCTTGCTTGCATATCGCGACGCTTCCAGATTTATTCTTGGTGATATTGTAGCTCTATTGTTCCCATTGGCCACTGTAGAATGTGCCACTGGGCAAATAAACCCTGATTTAATTATCCACACTCCTGTCGATGGACCTTTGTATTGTTTCAGACTTTTTGCTGCTGCAAACACATGAGCAGTGGGCACTCCTGGGCATGGATGAAAGTTCCTCTGGGGCAAGTCCTGTAAATGCCATCCCAGGTGGAGGGTCGGTGCATGACGGACTTTAGGCAAGACTGACATTGGTTTTCCAGAGTGGTTGTGCCAACTTCCAAATCTCACAGAGAGTGTGATCCACAACCCTCTTCTCAGCTTCATTTCTGCCAAATTATTGAATGAGTGGAAAATTGTACCTCATTTTGGTTATGATTGGCATTTCCCTGCCTGCTGGTGGTATGGTATGGTTTTCTCTTTTGTAAATAGTGTGTTCATATCTTCTATCCTTTTTTTCTGATGTGTTGTTTTTCATTTCTTATTGATCTGTTGGAGTTCTTCATATATAGTTTGAATCCTAATTCTTTGCCACGTGTATACATTGCAAATATTTTCCAGCACATGAATTACCTCTTCACTTTATTTAGTATGTAGTAATGTTAAATTTTCAACAGCATCATCCCTGACAACATTGTCCTTTGTGGCTTATGAGTTTTGAATCTTGTTTATAACATTCTTCTTTGCCCCAATATCATAAAGATAGTCTCCTACATTTTCCTCTAGAGGATTTAAAACATTGCTTTAGGCATTTGTAGATTTTTAATTATCTGGAACTTATTTTTGTAGATGATCTAAACTAAGAATCTAATTTGTTGATCCTGTTAGAGAACCAATTTCCCCAGGACTATTTATTTAAAAGCCCAGCATTTAGCCCATTGGTTTATAAAGCTACCTCTTCCACAGGCCAAGTTTCCCACTCTCTCCCAACCCGATTCTGTCATAATTCTTAGGGATTCACCCCAGACTCTGAGATCCTAGACATCTCTTCCAACGCTCTCCTCCTGACACTGCCTCATTTATTCCTTCCATGGTCAAATCAAGACCACGAGGTTACCAATAACTGTAACCCCTTCAGTTCCAAACAGCTCATAGCCAACTACAGTCTCCGACACGTCCACCTCATTCCCTTCCTTCAACTGTTCATAGATTCCAGAGTCTTTCAATCCACTCTCCCTCCCGCTCCTCCAGTGTCCCTTAGATGGGTATATACAACAGCCTACTCGATATCTACTTAGAGAACTACTAGGCAACTCTGATGGTCCAGAGTTTTTCATTTCAATCCTCCCAGGCCTGTTTATTCGAGTGCCCCATATCACAGCTAAAGCCAACTCCAGTCCTCAGGATAAAAACCCAGAGTCAACCTTGACTTCTGCTTTCACTTCCCAGGTACAACAAACCAGCAAATTCCACTCACCCTATCTGTGAAACATAACTCAGTCTAACTGCTTCTGCCTCTCACCACTACCACACTGGCCAAGCCATCACCTTCTTGAGCTTGGACCATTTTAGTAGCCTCATGGCAGGCCTCACTAGCACCCTTCCCTCTCCACATTCTCAGCAAGCAAAGTGATGAAAGCCAGAGCAGGCTGTGCCTTTGCTCTCTGACAGCCTTCCCATGCTCTTCCCATGGCCTGTGTGGGGCTCCAGCTCGACCCCCCACTTCATCTCTGCCCTCTGCCCTGCTGTTCTTCCTCTTTATCCTGCTCCAGCCACTCTGGCCACCATGTCCCTAGAACACACTGAGCTCCAGATGGCCCCAGGGCCTTTGCACTTGCGTTCTCACCTCATTCCAGGGCACATTGCATGGCTTCCTCCTTCACTTTATTCAGGACTCTTCTCAAATGCCATCTTACCAGACACCCTCCATCCAAACAAACATACTCCTCCCTCTCCACCATCCTGATTTAGTTTTCTCAGCAATACTGAGGCCTAACTGGCATATCCATTCATTCATTATCAGTACCCACCTCCCACTTTGAGAATGGAAGCCCCCTGTGGGCAAAGACTGTGGCCAGCCCCCCGTCATATACCCAGCACTCAGAGGAGTATTTCCCACATAGTAGCTGCTCAATAAATAGCTCTTGAAGAATAAATATATGGGCATGTTTTACTGTTTTTTAAAAAATTATTTATCTGCCTTCATTACTATAATGTGTATACTAAGTTTTAATACTTGGTAGCAAGTCCTCTCATCTTATTGTTTAATTTTATCGAAATATATTTTTTCTGGTTTTAAATCTTTGCCTTTTTTTGGAATGGATTTGTCAAGTGCCATTAAAAAAATCTTGCTGGAATTTTTATTGCCAATGCATATAATTTAGAAATTGATTTAGAGAGAAAGGACATCTCAGTGAAATTGAGTCTTCCCATCTATCTCCATCTAGTTTGGTCTTCCACATCCTTCAATGCAGTTTTACAATTGTCTCAAAAATTGTCTTTCATAGTTTTGTGAAAATTACTCATAACTAAGCTTTAGTTTTGTTAGTACTGTGAATGGGATCTTACATCTTCTTAAGTGGTTATGACTGGTGGATGGAAATGAATTTATTTTTAATGTTTACTTTTGATTCAGAAGCTTTGCAGAATTTACTTATTGTTTTATTAGTTTGTAGATTCTCTTGGATTTTCATTGCAGACAATTATGCTGTCTACTGATAATGACAGCTTTGTCTCTCTCTCTCTAGTTCTTCCCCCTTTCTTCCTTGTTCTCACAGTAGTGTATTGATGGAGATTGCTAGTCAAACATCAAAAGCGGGCAACGGCAGATGGTTGGCACCCTGAGTTTGTTTCTGAATATAACAGAAATCCTGCTAAATTTTCACTATTAAATATGATGTTTATGGAAGATACTCTTTATCGGTTTTACAATTGTCCCTTTCATTTCTAGTTGTAAAAATATTATGTTTGCTCATTTGTTTGTTCTTATCATGGATGGTTGTTTAATTTCATCATTAATTTGTCTACAACTATTGAGATAATAATATTATAGTGTAAGTGTCTAAATCTTGGGCTTCCCTAATAAAAGACCCTTGCTCTTGGAAGTGAATTAACTCTACAAATATTGACTGAGGACTAACTTTTTACCAGGCATAAGCCAGGAGCTGTAGACAGATGCAATGGTAAGAATAGACACGGCCCCTTTTGTTATGGGGATTTCAGTCTAATAAACTGTTGGATGAGCCACAATTTTAAAAGGGCCAATAATCTCTAATGGTCCTCAAAAGACCTGCGAATGGAAAGAGCCCTGGAGTGCTGGAGCCTACTCACACCAGCTTGTGAGAGCAGACCGTGTGCATCTCTCCCCATCTCTGAGTTCAGTGATGTGACACTGGCCATTTGAAATCAACCATGGTGGGGGTATTCACACATTTGGTCACTCCAGTAATTCTATTAAGTAGGATCATAGAGCTGATTATGATAATAGTTATTAGAACCATTTCATGGTCATAGAATAATGAAACATTCTATGATCATGATATGGCAAATGGACAACGGCAAACTAAACTAATCAGAGCTTTCTTCAGGGCGCCAGGCTATCAAACACTTCCCAGTGCACCACTATTTCTTCCCATCTCTGCTGGAGTCAGCACAAACAGAACTTGAAAACCAGTCGATAGCAGCATGCAGCCTTGGAGGGAAGTCTTCTGCTTCCAGGAGTAAAGCCTCTTCTTTTATTCCCAGCTTCCTGATGCCAGTGGACCAGTGTTTGGGTCATACCACTGTGAGAGGCAGTGATGTGCTGGGTGAGGAGCATCAGCTGGAGTTGGGCTGGGTGGGAATCCCAGCTCTGCCACTATTTGCTATGTGACCCTGTGCAAATTACTTAACATGTTTGAGCCTCAGATTTTTCTACAGAAAATGATCATAGAATCATGAAATGGTTATAAGAATTATTACCATAATCAATGCTATGATCCTACTTAATAGAATTGCTGGAGTGATCAAATGAGAGAATACATGTCAAGTTCTTAGCAGAATGCTTAGCAAGAAGAAGACACAGTAAATTCTAGCAAGTTCTTCGCAGAATGCTTAGCAAGAAGGAGACACAGTAAATTCTGGCAAGTTCTTCACAGAATGCTTAGAAAGAAGAAGACACAGTACATTCTAGCTCTAATTATTGTTGTGTTCCCATAATATTTCCGACTTGAAGATGATGACCAGGTCCTAGCAATCTATATATACTTGTGACTTTGCACAGTTCCTGATATGCAAGAAACAGTTGAGGGCATGACTGAATGAATGAATGACGTTCATCCCATCAGGATGATCAGAGAAATGGTCCACATCCTGAGAGTTAGCATAGACCAGGGACAAAGCCTGCCCTGTCTTTAGCCAGCAACAGCTTCCCCAGGTAAAGCTGCACGTGTACAAGAACCGGCTGAGCTGTCATCATGACTTATTCCACCAGGATCTTTTCCATGGAGGGGAGAAGGCCAACAGAGGTTTTGTCTGCCCTCTGTGGCTCAATCTCCGTGTGGCACCAGATAAACTTCTTTAAAATTTTGTTTGTCCAATGACTAATTTGGTTGATTCATTTCTCACCGACTTTAACCAGCAAGTTGTGGCTGACCTGAACGATGGATAAGATGCTTGTTCCCAGCCCCAGCTGCACATCCGAATTCCCTGGGGAGCTTCCAGCAAATACCACTGCCCAGACCCCCATGCCAGAGATTCCAACCCAGCCTCTCTGGGATGAGGCCTGGGAAACTCCCCAGGGATTCTAGAGCAAAGTCAGGACTGAGAACCAATGCATTTGACCACAGGACACAGATCAGCCCTGTACCTCCTTCCGCAGGCTGTTGCCAGGTGAGGGTTGTAGCTGCGGAGCTTTGGGGTGTGTGCTGGGAAGGGGCTTTTTGGCCCCAGCCGGCCGGCCATTTGGTGGCCATTTGGCCATGTTACGGAGAAAAACGATCGGCCCACGAGGTGGTTTGGCCTTTTAGGAAAAGCTGCTGGTGGATTGGATTCCTCTGCCTTAGAGCCAGGTGCTCTGGCCCAGTGAGGAGGCAGCTCCCATGAAGATACTGACGAGAGCAGCAAAGTGCAAGTGGGTGGCAGGAGCGCCAGGACTCGCTGTAGCTCCAAGATCCCCGAGGATGGGGGTCCTGCACAGAGGTCACTGCAAAGGCAGAACTCCTGTGTGCCCAGGAAAACATGCACAGTACTTAACAGCTTGCAAAAGGCTTGCTACAGCAGGGGTCCCAGGCCCCTGGACTGCAGACTGGTGTCAGTCCATGGCCTGTTAGTAACCGGAGCAGCAGGAGGTGAGCGGAGGGTGAGCAAGCATGGCCGCCTGAGCTCTCCCTCCTGCCAGGTCAGTGGCGGCATTAGATTCTCACAGGAGAGGAACAGTCCCGTGAACTGTGCGTGTGAGGGATCCAGGCTGCACGCTCCTTACAAGAATCTAACGAATGCCTGATGATCTGAGGTGGAATAGTGTCATCCCAAAACCATCCCTCCCAACAGGCCTGTGGAAAATTGTCTTCCACGAAACTGGGTACCTGAAATGTTGGGGACCGCTGTTCTAAATGGTCTTAACTGGGTCTTTAAGGAGAGTAGGAGAGTAGGTAGTGAGGTTGGGATTCTTATACCCATTTTGCAGGTGGCAACTCTGAGGTTCAGAGGGGTTAACTGATTCCAGCAATGGCCTGTGGCTGGCAAATAGCAGATTAGGATGAAAGCTGAGTTATCTGGGGCCCAAACTGTCCCAGGGACTCAACCTCTAAGTCTATCCTTCCAGACAACTCAGAAACTAAAGCCATTTCCAAGCTGCACCCACCCCAACCATGCTCTGTGGGCTAGCCCCCTCTAGCCACCTCTTGTCTGATGCCAGTTGATCCTGGGAACACCTGGATGGGATGGTAGCAACAGAAACCAGGCAAAGCAGAAGAATCCTCAGCCTCTCCAATTTGTTCTCTTTGCAATTTCTATCAAGAATCGGCTGGGGGAGAAATCGAGTTGTGGCTGAAATGAAGTTTTAAATCAGTTTTCCAACCTTTCCAAGTATGACATCAGAAAAAGATGTCATGGACTCTTCAAGATAGCAATCCTGAAGATTTAAGGTCTGATGATCTGATTTAATATGTGTGTATTGAGAAAATGCACTGACAAAAACGCCTTCTGTGAATTCCATAACACTCTTCAATTAAATTTAGTAAACCAGCAATGGGAACAGCATATACTGTTAAAAATAATAGTCCAATTCATATGTACAAGACCGTATTTTCTCTAGGGATGCTTTTGCTATTAGGTAAGAAAATGTCTGTTTTTTAAAAATGATGATTATTTGTTTACGAAAGAAATGATGTGAAATCAGGGAAGCATGGCAGAGTATTGAAAACTTGAATGTAGTTAGTAGGTTTATGAAAGCTCATTAGACTATTTGCCTACTTTTAAGTGTTTGGAAATTTTTATAATAAAAATTTTAAATAAATATAATACCTGGCCCACAAAATCAGACTTCCTTAAAATAATGTTGTCCCCTTCCCCTAGTGACATCTGTAGACACAGATTGGAACCAGTGGTTTTAGATTACTGGCAAATGCCTGTCATTTAAGTTTTTAAAAAATCTCGTAGCTCAAGATGGAAGACAGCGATGATTCGTATTTGTGTTTACCCTTTTGCTCATCAACCCAGATTTTTCCACTCCATTCTGCGCAGATAATGTCAGTAGCCAATCCATGAGTATGGATTGATCCCCTGTCACATGTTAGGCTCTGAAATGGGTCTAAGAAGACCAAAGAGATGTGGACCTTCCTCCCCAGGCGGCTCACAGTCGTGCGGGAGAGATGGGTGCTACACAAATCGTAATGGATGATTAATAAAATGATTGCAAGGATGCGGTGTTAGGAAGCCAGGGTGAGGGGCAGGTGCTATGGAGGCCCCATAACAGGGAAGCTGTGTCCCGGAGCATGGAGTTGGAAGAAATGAGACCTGAGTTTATCAAGCCCAGAGATCAGCCTCAGGGGCTTTCCTGACATTCCACAGAGCCCGGCCCCCAGCTCCTGCTGTGTGCGCCTCCAGGGTCTGGGGTGGGGGGGCTCCCTGCTTAGCGACCTAATGAGGTCAGAAGGAGCAGCGGGAACGTCCTCCCGCTGCCTTCCAGCCTCCTTGTCAACAGCTGGCCTTTGAGGGGACTAATCTTCGGTATGTTTGATATGAAGTGGGAAAGCAAAAATAATCACCTGCCAGTGAGTCCCTCTTCCTAACAGACAGGGAGCGATCGGGTTTCCAGAGGCGTGGGCAGAGGAGTTGCCGCTCCCGCCAGCATGAGCCTGGAGGGGCCCCTCTCCACACAGAGCATCCATCTCCCCTGACTCCCGGGATGGCCCGCACTCAGCCGCAGCTCATATTTCCTGGGCTTTCGTGTGGGAGATGAATGCGAGGAGCCGCAGGCACGGAAAGACTGCAGCGAGCAGGGTCACGTGGCCCGGGGCCCTGCCCACCCTGGGGTAGTAGGGAGTCGGCCCAGGAGTCAGCGTTTCTGAGGATTTTGCAGGTGCCAGGCACCAGGCAAAATACTCTGTCATGTTGGACTCACTCCTTCAGGATCTTGAATTTGGAGATTTCTCATGTTCAGACCTAAACTCTTGACATCTTCCCAACTCACCCGCCACCCACCATCCATGCCTGTTCTTCCTGCATTCTTGCCAAGCTGCTCAGGTCAACCCCAGGGGCGCGTCAATGGATCACTCTGCCCTACCGCCCATACCCAATCCATTAGCAAATCCTGCTGGCTTCGCCTTAAGCCTGCACCCCTCCCAACTCTTCTGCTGTGGCGCTAGACCATCCTAGCCCACCTATCACCTGGGCAACTGCCGTCAGCTCCCACCCTGGCCCCCTGCAGACTGCTTCCAGCCCAGCAGCTGGAGGGCCACGAGCCTTCGGTCAGATGGTAGCTCTGTGCTCATGCCCCTCTGCACCACCCGCACCACAGGGGCCGGCTTACAGCGACCCTGCAGCCACCCGGGTCCCCGCCTCGCCTGTCAGCTCCTCTCCATAGTCATACGGCTATGTTACTTATGCATTTATTTATTATTCGTTTTCTTCTTTGGTTCATATTTTTATCCATTTTGCTCACTGCTCGGTCCCCAGGGCAAAATACAGCTGGGCCCATTACAAGGGTCTGTGAATGAGTTAAGTGGATTGTGGCTCCGGGCTGAACCACCTGGGCTTGGATTCCAGCTCTGCCCCTTCCTGGCTGTGTAATCTTCATGGAGACTTTCATCATTTTTGATGCCAAAGAGTGGCTAGTTCACCAGCATCCCGTATCGGGGTTCCCTCTGGCCCTAGCAACGCTAGACCATAGGCCAACCCTGCAGCCTCTAAGTGGAGCTGGGCAAGCGGGTGTTGACTGATGGGATATGGGCAGAAATGATGGGCACCACCTCTTGCGGAGCCTAAGGGTGGGTTGAGAGATGTTACCAGCATGTTGCAGGAGAAACTGTCCCGGAGCTAGTGATCCAAGTGACCCCTGAAACACCGCCTGCCAACCCTGGCCTCTGCAGCAGCCAGATTCAGAGACAGGGAAATGAAGAGTCGAAATGGTGAGACTTGCAAGAAAGCAAATCGTCTCCCCTAGAGCATAAATGTCCAGGACTTGTAACTGCCCATGTGTAGCAAGAAACTGAAGTTTTTCATCCTCCAGTCTAATAATTCTGCTTCTAGGCTGTGATCCCTGGGACATAACCTGAGATGCACACAGAAGTTTATGTGCTAGAAAGTTTGCTGTTTATCACCACATTTTTAAGAAGGGGATAAATTTGGGAGTGATGTCAATGTCCAAGAATAGAGGCTTGATAAATAAATTACAAAGTCGTCCCATGGGAGAATGCCAAGCAGCCCGGATCCAGCTGCACTTTCCCCGTAAGGAGCCTGCGGACACGCTTCCCTCTGCAGTGGAAGGGGCAGAGTGGGGTCCTGCACAGAACTTAACGTACTGCTCCATGAACTGTGTTCTGTGTGTGCAGGCAGACAATGAGACTTGAAAGTAATCAAACACATAGCAACATATTCACCTTGGTTACCCCTTGGCAGTGATGTTATATGTGATTCCCCTTTTCTACATATATCTTCTGTATCTTCCAAATTTCCTAAAATACAAAAGCACATTCCTTTTGTAATTAAATACAAGATAGCAAGTGTTAAAAACTTAATTCATATCTCCTGCAACTGACTTGTCACATGGTTAAAATGACAACTCATTAAATCAATCCTCTGAGCTGGTGTGGCTAGCGGGCCTTGGAAAATAGAGTTTTGTGACCTTTAAAAGAAGCCCATTGATGGGTGAAAACCCATTAGCATGTTGAATGAGGTTATTTTAGCAAATGACCAATTTCCAAGATCCCGAGAGGAAAATGATAATAAACCAATGAATGAACATACATCGCACCTAGGACAAAGCACAGAACAGGTACATTTGGATCAGTTGGGGAGCGAGTATTCCAGGCCCATGGGCAGCACGGTGAAAGGTCTTCCACAGCTGCAGGGGGAGAGGTTGCCTGGGCAGCTTTTCAGAAAACAAGGCGGTTAGTTTTCCCCCAGCAGGGGTGCCGAGCCCTGGCCACTGTCTCCATCACACCCACTTGGGGCCCAAGCCCACAAGCAACAAGCAGACAGCATTCCCCAGGATCTGCAAAGCACTGGGCAGAGTTCACGCTCACTGACCTCCTTGGAGGTGGCTGCTCATCCTCCAGCTCAGGCTTGCCCTCTTCCTCTGAAGCCCACCTTGCCTCTGCCTTGCCAGGCACAGTTAAAAGTCTCTCCTCTCTGTGTTGCCACCCCTCAGTTCCATGGCCTCTGTCTATATTGTGGTCCTTTGCATCCTGCCCCGAACGTGTGCTTCTGGGAGGATGGCAGCAGGTCATGGTCATTCCAGCACTCCTGTGCTTGGCCTATTCTCACTGATGTCTCTGGAGTGTCTATATTTGGACCTAGCATTCATCCTCCCTTCTTCTTCTTCTTTTTTTTTTTTAAATGGAGTCTCGCTCTGTCACCCAGGCTAGAGTGCAGTGGTGCGATCTTAGCTCACTGTAACCTCCACCTCCTGGGATCAAGCAATTCTCCTGCCTCAGTCTCCTGAGTAGCTGGGACTAGAGGCACATGCCACCATGCCCAGCTAATTTTTGTATTTTTAGTAGAGACAGGGTTTCACCGTATTGGTCAGGCTGGTCTCGAACTCCTGACCTCAGGTGATCCACCCGCCTTGGCTTCCCAAAGTGCTGGGATTACAGGTTCATCCTCCCTTCTTTGGATCTCCACGCCTTAAGTGATTTATCAATCAAAGTGCCAGTTCCCCTGTTATGAACCGAATTGTACCGCCCCTGCATTTAAATTCAAATACTGATACTCTAAACTTAATGGGCTGTATTTGGAGATAATGTCTCTAAGGATGCAATTAAGGTTAAATGAGGTCACAGGGGTGGGACCCCAATCCAATAGGACTGGTGTCCTTAAAAGAAGTGGAGATTAGGACATAGACACACACTAAGGAAAGACTGTGAGGACACAGCAAGCAGATGGCCTTAGAAGAAACCCTCCCTGCCGGCACCTTGATCTTGGATTGCCAGCCTCCAAAACTGTGAGAAATAAATATCTGTTCTCTAAGCCCCTCAGACCTTGGTACATTGTTAAAGCAGCACAGACGAACTGAGGCATCCCCCGAGGCCAAGGACTGGGCATGTCACCCAAGTGGGGCCAGCCTGACAAACTCTGCTCTCCCTGGAATTTGAATCTGGTGTTAATTGACCCCAAAGCTAGAAAGAGTTGGTGTTCACTCATTCTGACAGTGGTCTCTGGAGGCCCCCAAGCTGTCCCAGTTTCCATCCTTTCTGAGATCTGGTTCTGGAATTCTGCTTCCAAGCCCATGAGCTATCCCAGAACAATTCATGAATTCCTTTTTTCTTAAGTTAGAAATGTTTTCATTGCAACCCAAAATCCTCAAATAATAAAACTTTTTTTTTTATCCTTTCTGGTAGTGTAATATTAATTAACTACATACTTTGTATGGTCCTTAATTTAGCCAAATGCTTTCACTCTTACTGTGTCTGGAGGGACATAAGCAGCAAGATTTGGGACTCCCTTAGTGCTTTTCATCTCCTTTTGTCTCCTCCCCATCACTCATCACAGCGAGGGAGGAATGGGTGAGAATGATTAATTCTCTGGCTTAGCTTGGCCCCTGCCTCAATGGTGAATACATAGGGATTTTTGTCCCAAACTAGATGAACATGATGGCTTCATATTTGGGATGAAGCCAGAGGCACCCTAGGAATGGAGACATTCCTCCACTGTTGTGGGGACATAGGGAAATGACCATCATTTTCTTGCTAATGGATGACCCCAAAATTATAAAGGGGCTGAGGGCCCGAGATAAATTCATTCCTCTTTGCTGTTTTGCTTTGCAGTACTAAATTAGTAATGGAACAAGGTGGTCCAAGAGTTTTCCTTCCTGAATTTAATAAAAGGCACAGGTGTGGTTGAAAGGCACTCAGCCATGTGCAGCTCGGGGCAGTTAGAAAAGCTGGTTCCAAGAGCTCCTATCTACACAGAATCTGTCTTGTTCTGATTTAATACAAACTTATTGCCAAGTAGTAAAACACAAAGAACCCCTTTTCTTTCCTAGCTTGAATGCTTTCTTAGGCTGTGTGTGTATGTTGCTTTTTAATAAATGTCTAGTTGAACACTTACTCCAAAACCTTTGGCCGAATCTAAGGCAAAGAGTTCAACTTGAAAACAGAAAAAGTGGGCATAGCTTTGATATCCCTTCACTCCAATCAGTTATTGAAGAGTTGTTTCCAAGAATGAAAATAAAGAAAAGAGATCTGGTGTAGCCAGAAAGTTTTAGGAATAACCATTATCATCACTGACCTCCCTATCATCATTGTCATCTTCATCATCATTATCATCACCAATATCACCACCATCATCATCATCACTACCATCATCATCATCACCACCAGCATCATCATCACCACCAGTATCATCATCACCATCATCACCATTACCACCATCACCATCATCACGTTCCATCGTTATCTCTATTATCACCATCATCACCATTGCCACCATCACCATCATCACTATCATCATCATCATCACCACCATCACCATCATCATTGTCACTACCATTATCACCACCATCATCATCATTACCCCATCACCATCAATCATCACCTTCACCACCATCTCTATCATCATCATCATCATCATCATCATCACTAATTTTATTTGACCCCTTTTATCTGCTAGGCACTGTGCTAACTTCTCAACATACATTTGCTCACTTAGTATCTCAGTACCTCCTTCTTATTTTTCTCCCTACACACTACTCATTTTTCTTCATTATATCATGTTTATTTCTTTATTGGTCTGTTGTTTCTCCCTCTCTCTCCTGTCCAGAATTTAAGCTCCACAAAAGATTTTCTTTGTTTTATTGACAATAGGACTCCCAAAGCTTAACCCGGTGCCTGTCATATACCAGGTGCCCAATAAATAGTAGTTCTATAAAATAATATTCTTTACAACTCCATGAGTAGCTACTATCACTATCTTTATCACAGAACTGAGGGGAAATGAAGCTTAGAGAAGCTAAATAAGTTGTCCAGGGTTATCAGAGTCAGAATTCCGAGTTCAGTGGTGAGCAAAAATCTCAGGCTCTTTAACCTCTGCTTCCTAGCAGGCTTCAGTTGTGGCTTCATCTTTGCCCCAGAATGAGCAAGGTGTAGATGCCTCGAGACTTTTAAACTTTCATATCTGCAGTTATTTTTGCTAAAGCAAATGAAACGCATCTCCACTTTCCACTCTTTAGGGGTGGAAAACCACCGCACATCTGCTCCTCTGTTTGACATGAATACCGGAGCTTATAATCTCCGAAACACTTAAGAAACGACCTGCCAAAGCAAGAGCCATTTGCCCAAACTGAAGCAGGGATAAAAGTTGATGGACAAGACTCTAATTAAACCCTGATTTATAATTTAACAGCCTAGATCTTTTAGGTCATAAAGGACTTTGATCCTAGAAATCATGCTAATAATAGTTCCCCCACCCCCACCTCCTCCATCTCTGTCCAGCTTCCCTAACTTCAGGATGGGTGCTGTGGCAGTGTTGAAAAGAAATTAGTTCCCTGCAGTGGCTGAATGAGCTGCCTTTAAAAATAACAACCACCCTACATGGGGGCTTGAGATAGCAATCTCCCTTTGGGCTCCCTCCGGTGAGGACGTCGTTTGCATAGTGATGCATGCCAGATGGTTCTGAGACAAATTCCAGTATCTGTGATGATGGAGGAGCTGCCATTGCTTGCGGTGGGGGATGTCTGGGGATGGGTTGATGGAAGAGAGGAAGCTGCCTTTTCATGTTTTCATGGGGAGGAAGATCAAGGTTAAAAAATAGTAATAAAAATATTTGAGAAAAAATAATTTAGCACAATTGGAAGAATAGGTGGTTCTGAGAATGGACATGAATGTGGGGCAGCAGACAGGCTGAGACTCAAGTAGGGATGTCCTCACTCATGGAGCAAATGATCCTTTCCCAGTGAGCTGGAAAGGTCCAGATAAGTAGTCCCAGATTTGAGGATTACAGAGACCAGGAAACTAAAAATGAATATGGGTGGATTGACATAGGTTCATCAGATTTTATGTGCCAATTAAGTAATCAAAAAATAACAAGCAAACAGATTAACAAAAATGATGAAACCCTATCATCTACCCCCATGACCACTTAATTTATTTTAAAAAGAACATTTTAACACAAAAAAGTGGAAAGAACACAATGATAGATAAAGAATAGATTGCCCCAGGAAAGGGCAGTTAACAGTCTTACAACACATTTGTACATATTTACATTGTCATTTTTCTCATTTATTGTTTGGTGCAAATTTGTTCTAGATCTGCTGAACTGAAGGTCTGTGTTTGTAGGCTGACTATACATCCTAGTTGTGCTAGGACAGTTTAATGGAGGCTAGTTGTGAATTAATTAACGTCTACTAATTGGTTCTAGTGCGTCCTTTCATTTTCAAATGGGTCCCTATTTAGACAATAAATTAATGGTCATCATAAGAATTTGGGGAACTCTAATGTAGATAGTGCTCAAGACTTTGATTTTACTCCATGACTGTATGGAGATATTTTTAGTGTTCCTTAAAAATGCTTTTATTCTAGACTTCAGTGTGAGGAAGTGAGAACCCGGTGCCCTGAGAAAGTTTGCTCTCTCTCTCTGTTTGCTGCCTTTTCTGCTCATGTGCATGAAATTCACTGGATACTCAGCACCTGATTTCAACAAACAGGGACACATCACAAAGGGGCAACAGGATGTGGTCAAAACAAGGAGTCTATTTGTCTGTTTCCTTCACTGTATTTTACCACCCACATGTTGCATCTTCGTTACAGAATCACTCCAATAAATGATAAAAGCAATACCTCCTCTCTATAATCATTTTCTAAACCGTCTGCAAGTAGTCAAAAGAGCAGTGTTGGGGAATTAGATGCAAAGGGGTGTTGTCAAGATGAAAGCCAAAATAGGCAGTATATAATACAATTTCTATGTTCACTGAGTGAGAGACAGTGTATCACCTTCAGAACAACCACTAGTCACCTTGAATCTTAGCTCCATCTAAACATCCCAAAATGCTCGTGACCTTGATGATGACGATGAGGAGGAGGAGGATGATGGTAGGAATGGTGATAATGGTGGTGGTGATGGTGGTAATGATGATGGTGATGAAGATGGTGATGGTGGTAATGATGATGAGGATGATGGTGATGATGGTGGTGGTGGTGATGGTGGTAATGATGGTGAGGATGATGGTGATGAGGATGGTGATGACAGTGATCAGGATGGTGATGCTCATGGTGATCGTTTTATCATGGTGATCATGTTATCATGCTGATGGTAATGATGAGAATGATGATGGCAGCGATGACAATTGAGACAGTCACCTTAGGGTCTGCTGGGCATCCTGGCATGATCAATGCCAATTGTGTGCAAAGGTGCTTCATTGACTGTCTTGGAAAGGAAGGGTGAGTAGACATAGTTTGGTGCCCCTTCCCCCAAATAACCCACTTGGACCCAGTAAGTCGATGAATATTAGAGTTAAAGGGCACTTTCAAAACCTTGTGGTCCAATTCACTGATTTTACAGATGAAAAAATACTGAACGTCTGGACAAAGGAAGCTCTGGACAAGGTCTTTCTAATCTTGCTCAAGGCTATAGGTATCCATATGTTATGGGTAGCAATTTTTTAATCTATGGGGAGGGTGGCTGTTGAGATCACCAATGCTGTGTGCTTCATCCTCCTTAGACTTGCTCTGCCAGGCAGGCACAAGGGCTCAGTTCACCTACAAGGAGCTGAGCTAGGCTTTCCTTTGCCAGAGGATTACATCATCCAGACACTTTTCTTCCTAGGCTGTCCAGGACCCACTCCCAGTGGCAACCCCCATAGAAGCCAGAGGAGGTTCTCGGGGTTGGGGGGGGGGTGAGGTCAGGTGGAGTCACCACTTCCTTAAGAGGAAAATCTTGGCCCACAGGCAAGAGTTCTCATTTCTGAGTGAACAAATCACTGAAGAAAACAAACACCTGCTTTGTGTGTGTGCTTTTTCCTGATGGAGGGTTAAGGAAGAATTGACATTGGAGACACTGGTGTAGGTACATGCTGCCAAGTCAGAGCCCTCAGGAGATGAAAGCCCATTGCTAGTGTCCAGAGCAGCAGCCAAAATGGAGGAAGCTTCAGTCCCTGGCCCGTTCAGATTCAGAAGCTCTCAGGTTAACATTGAACATGTGACTTGCCTGGTGGGCAGATTTCTTGTAGCATCTGCGGAAGGCTCAGTGGGACTGGAATGGTGATGACCTCATTGGGTGTGTGGTGCTCTTTGGATCTGGCTACCGTTATTAAGCCCAGAGCAGCTTAAATGACTCCAAAGCCAGCCCCACACTCTCTATGGGACTTGGAAAATCCAGTGTTTATCCTTAGGGTGGAGGAGGGTTTTTTTGTGTTTTTTTGGTGGGGGAATTCAGGCTTACCTGGAGACATCTGTGCTGACCACAGAGCAGTCATGGGGCTTATTGGGAAAAGGACATGTGGCAGAACTAAGCCAAGGAGAAGGTAGATCCAGTACTACGGGGAGAATTTTCTGGGGAATCACGTTCCATAGAGTAACACAGTTTTGTCATAATGAGAGCTGTCCAAAGTACAATACTCGGATTAGAGAGCTGATCTGTCCACGACTGCAATTGTTCAAAAAGAGTGTAGATGACAACACAGCTGGGGACATTGTTGAATGGTTTCAAATTCTGGAGATAGAGAGAGTGGACTAAATTAAATCTAAGATCTGAGAGTCAACTAATTCACTTGAAAAGCCTACAGTCACTTGCTTCTATGTAAGTCTTTGGTACATAGTAATACCTCACTTAACAGGGCTTAAAATATCACGCACACTTAACCAGCTGAACGAGAGCCAAGAATTGGCAAGAAAATACAAAATGACTCTGAAAATCTTTCATGTATTTAATGAGGGCACCTAAGGATCTCATTCATGACCTAGTGAGTCCCACTTCAGACACAATCCTAGCAGACTTGACTGTCTGATCCCCCAGCTGTAGACAACCGAGAAAAGCACATTTAGAAAATCAAGGAAGAATATTACCATTTTTAACCCATTAATAACAGGGAATACATGTGAATAGCACATCACTAAGGTAGAAGGACCAAGATAACAAAATAGATAAAGTATTCAGAAGTATGGCAATCAGAGGCCATTTAACGAAAGGGCAAATAGTTGTACAAATTTTAGCAGCACACAAAGAAGGGAACAGGTTATGGGTCATCGATAAGAGATTCAGTTATCTTCAGGGATCTAGGTTAAATAGGACAGAATAATACACACAATATCTTATAAAGATTTGTAATAAAACATTAAAAGATAATCAATAACTTAGAAATTTGCAACACATATGGCAAACATATGATGAATATTCATATTATAAAATAACACCGGCCAGGCACGGTGGCTCACGCCTGTAATCCCAGCACTTTGGGAGGCCAAGGTGGGTGGATCACCTGAGGTCGGGAGTTCGAGAACAGCCTGGCCAACATGGGAAACCCTGTGTTTATTAAAACACAAAGCATTAGCCAGGCATGATGGTAGGCACCTGTAATCCCAGCTTCTCTGGAGGGTGAGGCAGGAGAATTGCTTGAACCCAGGAGGTGGAGGTTGCCGTGAGCCAAGATCGTTCCACTGCACTCCAGCCTGGGTGACAGAGCGAGACTCTGTCTCAAACAAAACAAAACAAAACAAAACAAAACACCTACGTATCAGTACAGAAATATAAACAACTGGAAGAGGAAAACAGACAAAGGCAGGATGTGATCAGACATCTCATGAAAACATGGCAGCAATGGCCAACGTTCACATGAAGTGTGCTTCAGCACTGTTAGTCATCAAATACAGGCACATGTTCAAAACAGGAGATCTTACTTTTGTCTGCCAGGTTGTCCAAAATTAAAAAGAACCAGAATGTTCCATGTTGGTTGGAATTTTGGGAAGTAAACCCCCTTCAAACATGGCTGGTCTATCTTTTGGAGAAGCCAAGTTGGAACTTTTTATCAAAATGCAATTTCTCCATTTACCAAATTTACCTAGAAATTTCATTCCTAGAAATTAACCCACTAAAAAATAAGCTAGGGGGCTGGGCACGGTGGCTCATGCCTGTAATCCTAGCACTTTGGAAGGCCGAGGCAGGCAGATCATGAGATCAGGAGATTGAGACCATGCTGGCTAACACAGTGAAACCCTGTCTTTACTAAAAATACAACAAATTAGCCGGGCGTGGTGGCAGGTGCTTGTAGTCCCAGCTACTCTGGAAGCTGAGGCAGAAGAATGGCATTAACCCAGGAGGTGGAGCTTGCAGTGAGCTGAGATAGCACCACTGCACTCCAGCCTGGGCAACAGAGCAAGACTCCGTCTCAAAAAAAAAAAAAAAAAAAAGCATAGAAACAGCCCCAAGTCCATTCATAGGGGACTGGGCAAAAACATCAAGAAATATTCATGCAGTGAAATGATATGAAACACATTTTAAATGAGATATCTTTGTAAATCAATGTGGACAGTGTATTATGAATGAAATACACAGTTAATGAAAAAAGGAAGTGGAAGAATTGTATATGTACTATAATTCTTTTGGCATAATAACGATATTATTATTCTTATTCAAACTTTGTTGATACCAAACTGTCTGAAATGATTCTCACTTCTTGGAAGACAATGTACTCTCTAGGAGCAAGGCCTTTAAAATTTTTTGCAAAAAAATCAGGGGGAGGTCTTTAAACCAAACTCATCCAATCCGTGGCCCAGAATGGCTTTGAATGTGGTCCAACACAAATTCGTAAACTTTCTTAAAACATTATGAGACGTTTTTTGCAATTTTTTTTTTTTTTAGCTCATCAGATATGGTTAGTGTATTTTATATGTGGCCCAAGACAATTCTTCCAATGTGGCCCAGGGAAGCCAAAAGATTGGACACCTCTGCAAACTTTTTATGTTAAAAAAGTGTTTTGTTTAACGCCACAGTTGAACAAACAATGCCTTTGGGGGTCTCAACCTCCATTTGATTCTACAGCATTAAATGCTTGTTGTTTTCAGCTTGTATAATTAGATGCTTTCTTTATGCTGTGTACTCTGCTAAGTCGTTACAAATATTACCTAATTTCACCTTCATTGCAACCCTCTAAGGTTGTACTTCCTTATCTGGGGCTGAGTTATTAAGAAAACTGCCTTAGGTGTCCCATTCAATAAGTGACATAACCAGGATTCAAACCAGGTCTATCAGCCTCCCAAATCTGGGTTCTTGGCAATTCACTCATTCATTCGTTTATTCACTCACCAAATATTTGCTGAGGACCCTTTTTGAGCAAAAATATACTGCACCTTTTTGTTTGCAAATATGATTAAGAATATAAACTTCGTGGACTCACTTCTAGAGTGCATGGGAGTTGGTCCCTACTTGAAGAATTCAGAGATAAAGGATGCGTATTCTGTTTCTCATATATCAGACATAGAATCTCCACAGTAGATTTGTTTTGCTCCCCTGCCTCCCCCCCCCTTTTTTTTCCCCCCTGGAGACAGAGTCTCGCTGTATCCCCAAGGCTGGAGTGCAATGGTGCGATCTCAGCTCACTGCAACCTCCTCCCCTGGGTTCAAGCAATTCTCCTGCCTCAGCCTCCCAAGTAGCTGGGATTACAGGCTACCGCCACCATGCCTGGCTAATTTTTGTATTTTTAGTAGAGACAGGGTTTTGCCATGTTGGCCAGGCTGGTCTCGAACTCCTGACCTCAGGTGATCTGCCCGCCTCGGCCTCCCAAAGTGCTGGGATTACAGGCGTAAGCCACCGCGCCTGGCCTGTTTTGTCTTTGTAACATCCATTTCATGACATAGAATAAGTCCTGAACTTAAAAACATTAGGAAATGGAAACCCTAACTCAGAGGAACTAAGAGGCCTTTCGGTAGAGTAAGAGGTAGTTAGACAAGTGGAGACAGAAGAATGAGACCGATTTGAGAAGAATAGCAAAAGTCATTCTGACTCAGGCTTAAAGGCTTAGGTGGGGGGCAGGGAAAGTCAGTGTGCTAGGACTGAAATAGTCAAGAATGAAAAGGCAGCCCAGACCGAAAAGACTGCTATGCCCTTGTGGTCAGCGATGAGAGACAGATCGGGATTCCACCCATGACGAGAGCATGAAGGGTGTGCCAGGCAGACAACATGGAAGCCGTTCACCATGTCATGGTGCTACAGGTCACGGGGAAGCCAGGAGCCAAATACGAGGAGAC
Source organism: Homo sapiens (assembly GCF_000001405.40). Lineage (NCBI taxonomy): Eukaryota > Metazoa > Chordata > Mammalia > Primates > Hominidae > Homo > Homo sapiens. Next base: position 86,794,474 of record NC_000016.10, on the reverse strand, counting down.
CGCCCATCTGGACCTGCACCTTCACCTCTAGGTCATGCTCTGGGTACCCAGGCCAGAGCTCCTGGCCCAAACGGCCCCAAGCTCACTCCCAAGGCCTGTGCTAGTCTTGTTCACAGCACTTCTTTTACAGATGAGCCTGAAGAGGTGGTCGAGGGATGGCTGTTTGCAAGGGATATGAGCAGAGCTTGATGCATGGCTACGGCATCTGCACCGATGAATCTGAGACCCCTCGCCCTGCAGAAAGGGACCAGGATGAGACAAGAAGGGGGACAGGCCATGGTCTGGGGTCGAAGACTGGCTTTCCCCATGTGCACCTGTCAGCATGGAGCTCCTAGGAGTATGACAGTTCTGCATTCAAACCCCACCTTCCGGGTAGTCATGAAGCTCCATTTGACAAGTCAGGAGAAAAGAGTCTATTTAGCTCTTTGATTTATAATGTTAAAATATCTGAATATAAGACATGTGGGTTTTCATATTGACCCTTGTCCTGGGTCCTGCACATGTTATGGACGTGTCTGGCTTTGGCGACAAATCCACTAAGATTGATGTAGCCAGTCAACAAGTCAATGGGTTTTCAGGGGCCATTGTCCTCCATGTTCTAAGAGAACCAGCCTATTTCCCCTTGCGCTATGAGCTCCAACAGGGGGAACATCTCCACTGCCAGGGAAGCCTGGGCTGTGTGACCCACATGTAACGGGCAGAATAGTATTTAAAAGTGTCCTACATGTAGAATGGCCGTAATGCATCATCCAAACCAAGGCACCTTTGAGAGTTGAAAAGTATGCTAACGGAGATGCCAGGTCAGCAGGCAGAAACTGAGACCACCCTACGCAAACTTGGACATGTGGTCGTCTATGTAGATAACCCTCCCAAAACCCAGAATCCGCCTTTCCAATTCTGCCAGGCCACTGCTGCAGCCACATTTGCAAGAGGGAAGCAGGAAAGCCAAGTGGTCTTTTTGGTTTTCTTGGGGGAAGGAAAACAGTTTTAGGGAAGGCAAGTGGAAGTCAGTATGTCATGACTGTAGCCTGGGACCTCTGCTGGAGGGAGTTTGTTTTTCCCGTTGACAAGAAGGAAAACATGGTGAAACATGCCTTTCATAAGAAATATGATTTTTTTTTAAGTCTTCAAAAAAAAGCAGGGGGGGGCCAAGCACAGAACTGAGCTTGCTGTGTAATCCTAGACAAGTCACTTCAGTCCGTGGGCCCCCTCTCCTTCTCAAGAGAGGGAATATGAGATGGAGAACTTTGTCAAAACCACTTATCCCCGGCACCTAGCCTATTGCCTGGACCATTATCCATAGATATTTGTGGGATAAACAACAAAGAAATGAATGAATGAACCAATTCGAGGGTTAGTTCAGATGACTTCACTCAATCCTGGAATGGCAATATTTCTACCTGCTTTCATTCTCTATAAGAATTTTAAACTCAGACTTCTTAGAAACCCTATAACCAAACCCCTCATAGTTCACAAGTTCGTAGAGTTGGAAAATGAAGGCAAGAGGATGCGAAAGTGCTGCTGCTCTTTCAAAACTTTATTTTTACTTGTAAAAAACCTTAAAATGTACAACCCTAAAAACCACTCTTTTCCATGTTGGCTTAGCAACATCACCAACCTGTGTATTTCAGCTCCTAGTTAACTTGGGCTAAAGGGCAGTGACTAAACAGCAGGTGTCCCAGAAATGTCAGTCTTCTTAGACCAGCCGCGCCTTTTGCTTGTCACAGCTTTGCAAGAAGGGACCTGGGGCTTGATCAAGTCACAAATTGTCTGATTTGGGCTTTTCCCCAGTCATTAAATTCAAACCATTTATCAAATAAGAGACTGTTTTCTTTTTGCTTTAGACCCTCACTTGCTTTACTCTTTGAATCTGTCACCGTGGAAATTTTACCCTTCTGGGAGAGGACTTGCTTTACACTTTTGAAGTTAACAGAGAAAAGACAACATGAAGGAGGCAAGCAAGATGTACCTCATGCAAAGCACCTCTAACTGTGAGAGGCTCCATCCAGCATGGATACGCTGTCCCTGCAGCCAAAAGCATGGGACATTATTGTTCTATTTTCATCTGCTTGCTTAACCAACACAATTTTTATGTTACATGCCCCAGGATGAGTGTAGTTTGTCTTTTAAAAGCCTGTTTCACTGTGGCAGACATCCCTGTCTTTTTTACCCTAGTTGGTTTATGGGCAGTTACTGCATGCAGAAAGAAAGAAAAAAAAAAAAGAACAAAAACGCCCCGGAGAGATTTTTAGTAGCTATTTGTTACTCACTTAAAGATGAAGCTCTGCAAGGTAAACTGGAAATGACAACTGTAAAATCAACACCAGCCACTAGCAGTGTGTCCACTATTTTGCTGAAATGTGATCCCGGTCTAAGGGGACAAGAAAAGGTGGAGGTTAAATTGTGTTTCCATGATTTTTGTCCCACCGAAAGGAAAAAAAAAGTAATCAGGGACAAAAGTCAACCTCTGGGATTTGAACCCAGGGACTAGGGAGCGTTCAGGCACAACCTACGGCTTGGCATTGTTGTCTAATGATCTATGGTGTCTGGTTTCCAAAACGTCATGGTTATCAGCGCTTGGGCTTATGCGGATTAACATCTGAATGCCGAGCCTCGTCCTGTTACTTGGGTTGGCTGTTTGTTCACGTGAATTGTATCACACATGCTTACACATCAAGGAGTCACTAGAGCTGTACGCAGTGGGCAATGTTTCCATCGCAGCCAGAAGGTGAGCGCTCGCATGAGCTCTGCCTCTTATTCTAGGGCAACCAGACCCATCCTAATTATGCATCTTTTAAACCCACGTGGCCTTCAGGTTACCAGCCTCCCTAGAAGAAGATTGCGTTCGCTTATTAAAACAGGCAATTGATTATTTTCTCCTAACAAGAGCTGTACGCTGATAAACCTGGGCGTTCTGAAAGGGCAGGAAGTATCGCGAACACTGGGTGAATGGCACTGGGTCTGGGGGCTCAGACTTCCCATCAGGAAGTGTGGTCCCTAACTTTAGGGATCATCTCTAATTTTCTCATTTGTTTTCAGTCCCAAGTATCAAATGAGCAGAAATCAGTTTGAGACATTTTGAGGGAGAGATGCTGGTTGGGTAAGAGGGTTTTACAGAAGTGCTTAGGCTGGAAGGACCAACGAGCTGTCTCAGGCAGCCCAGGATGTGTCAAGTGTCTCTTGAAGCTCCCCCTTCAAGGGAAGCACCAAACATCATACCTGCACCAGCTCCCCGGAGCCAGTGCTAAGAACGACATTTTTTATTGAAGTCATCAACCTCATCAAGCGATATCCACAGTGTCTAGGCCCTGAAGGGCATTCAATAAATACCAGAGAGTAAGTGAATAAACCTACGATGGGCAAGAGACCAGGCAAAGGAACTCCAAGGTCTGTACTGAATGATTCAACCTGCAGTCAAGCTGGAGCCCCGTTCATAGGGCGACTACAAAGTCGTCAGCCTCCGCTTCTCAGATCGTAATGGGAATGCCACTTTGTGAGGTTAATGCTCAACTCAAATTGCATTTGGAGGAGAGCAAAAAAGGCCTCCTGGCCAGAGGCAAGAACTAGACAGTATTGTAGGCTGGGGAGCTCTCTGGCCCAGCCAGAAGCCTGCGGGTAGACCGCAGTACCACCAGCTGTCCCTTTATGGGAGGTGAGAGGGTTTGGTCAATGCGTAGAGAAAAGCCGCCGTCATTTTCTGTGACTTTAGTCTAGGAGTCTTCAATTGCCTCAGGCATCTTGTGTTGGCCTACAATGTTTTCAAAGTGGAGACATCTTACCTTATAAATCCAGTTGTCCTGCTGCTCTTGATAAACCCAGAAGGTCTGGCCACAGGTGTTCCCCGCTGTGTGCCTGGGGCTCAGCCACAGGCCCCACCACTCCCTATTGCCTGGCACCCTCTTGCCTGGCCAGACCACATTACTGTCCTCATTCTGGAAGGCAATTCGGTTTGCAGTGTTTCAGACAGTCGGAAAAAACGTGTCCCCTGCAACATATTTACAAATAACGTTGAGTAGAGTCAGCCACCGTTGAAATATCTTGCAGAGAGAGTGTGGATTGGGTCACCGATGGGGGAAGCCGATAGCCAGTCACAGGTTAACTAGGCTTTGGCTCTAGAGAGGATATATAAATATACTCCAGAGGGGATCTGAACTTTCCCCACCTAACTGATCCGTCTCTAATTGGTACCAATTGGTATTCCCTTACCCTGGGCTTTCTTTGTAATAGGGACGTTGTTCTCATTTTTCCATTTACAGTGACCCTTCATTCCAAGTGCTCATCCGTAGGGGTCACTGATTTCCTGGGACAAGAATTTTCAGTTTTCTGGTGTTTAAAACATCCTGTATTCTTTCCTCCCTAAACCAGCTCCTTTATTTTAAATTGTCCGGAGTGTTAAAACCCTTGAGAGCTACTGTCAGTGTATCCACATCAGCAAGCAGAGTCGTGAGAACTCACCAGCGGTGGGGCATGCTTTTTGCTTTATTTGTTTGTGCATTTCCAAGAAACGACACATTAGCAGAGGAATGTGTGGTGACTGGGTTCTGTCCTGGCTGGCCTTTTAACTCAAATCCGAGATAATTGTCTGTAGAATTGTAAGCTGGTGATTGGCTTAAATCCCATGCCATGCCCTCTGACCTCTGACATGGTGAGGGTATCATGGGGGAGGGTGAGTTCACCTCCCCCAGGACTGCCCTGAGATCTGAGCTGGATCAGGCATCTGAAGCGTGACCCCTTCCCGAGGACAAGGCCACGTCGGGGGCAGGTGCCGGGCAGCTGACTCCAGGCAGGGGCCGACGGACCCTCTGCCTCCTTGCTGTGTAACTGCTCCTGCTCGACTCGGATGAAGACTGGCCACTTCAGCAATAAGCAATGGCAGAAAACAGGAAGGAACAGCGATTTACCTTTTCCTGTAGGTGTTCCTCTTCCCCAGGCACCTCGCTTGAAAAACAAATGAAGCCCCTTGAAGTAGCTTGGGTAGGTTGTGGCACCTAAAAATCCTACTCATTTCTGTGGCAGGAACACACAGGTGACCACTGACTTGTTTTCCAAGCAATTAAAGCATTGGCGGTAACACCGCAGAGCACAGCAGGATAATCGCAGTGAAACTGAGAGAGTGAAGTGGAGTGGGGAGGGGGCCGTCTTTGTCCTCCAGTCCACCCCATGTCCCCAGGGCTCCTGGGCTCATCCAGCTGGTGGTGCTGTGAGAGGCATCAAGGTCGGAGCAGACAGGCCTTATTCTTGGACGCATGCTCTGCCTCTCTACATTAGGAGTGGGTGCCGGTGGGCACGGGGAGAGGGGCGGTGTCTCCAGAGCTGAGGCTGTTGTTGGGGGTAGCAGGGGGTTCTTCCTGAAGCATCGCTAGATGACACTGAAGGGACTTTGTTTAAGGCACAAACCTGGGAATGCAACAAGAGAGGTGGAAACTGCAGAGAAATTTGGAAGCTACAGGCCCCTGGAGGAGTGTTAACTGACCTCGCCTCCCGCCTGCCCCCGGGAAGTTGAATCCTAATGCAGCCTTGGTAGAGAAGGGGAAAACTCCATCCCTCGATGTGGGGCAGAGAACCCCTAAAGGCTCAGGAATGGGTAGCACCAGGTGCTTCTAGGAGTGGGGAGAAGCAGGGCCTCAGCTTTTTTCTCTGCTGCAGACAGCCAGGTGCCCCAACTTTGGCAGCAGATGGAGGCTCGTTCATTCTCTGAAAGGCTGGCACAGGGGTCTCTGGAGCCCAGCTAGGGTGGGAGTCTGTGCAGGAAGCAGGAGATTGAAGGAGTATGACTTGTTCAGTGTGGAGGCTGATCCTTCCCCCCACCCAGGCCCTCACCACCCGCTGACTCTCAGAACGTTAGCCCTGGGCCTCTAGATCTCCAGGCAGGGAGGAGAAGAGCCCACCATGGGGAACTAGAGTCCAAGGAGAAATGCCCAAACGTGCTGACATTGGGGGTCCCTAATGACATGGCCTCGACAGACCCCACAGGGACCCCACACTCATCACATTCTTACCAAGATCCTTGGGGGCACCCCTTGGCCTTCATTGTCCTGCTCTTAAATAGGAGATGGCAACCTGGGACCCCCCATCTCGCAGACACAAGAGGTCTGATTCTGTTCACGTAAAACATTCAGAACAGACAAATCCACAGAGACAGGAAGTGCTTGAATGATTATCAGGGGCTGCAGGGAGAGGGGTGGGAATGGCTGCTAATGGGCACAAGTTTCCTTGTGGGGTGATGGGAGTGTTGTGGGGCTAGAGAGAAGCGGCGATGGCACCACACTGTGAATGTTCTAAATGCCACTAGATTGAAACGTTTAAATGGTGAAAAGGGCAAACTTTATACGTATTTTACCTCAGTAACAACAACAACAAAAAGGAACAGGAAGGAAAAAGACTATTCAGTAAGCAAAAATTTAAAATAAGAAAGGCTACTATGAATAACCTCAGAGAAAGAAAAGAAAATATTGTATTCATGAAACAAAAACAGTATTCCTCAAAAAGCTCTTAGCAGAGAAAAACACGATAGCATAAGTGAAAAAGTTCAAGGCAAAAGTTGGAAGAGAAAGATAAGAAAATCTTCCCAGAAGTGAACAAAACTCCAGACTTCTCAGCAGCTACACCGAGAAGTTTTATATATTTATAAAATTTTATATATTTATAAAATTATAAAATCTAAATGTTTAAAATTATGTTCTAAAATATTCAAATATATAAATTATATAAATACATTTAAATATTAAAATTTCAATTATGTTTAAAAATATTCTATTATAATATAAATTATATTGTACATTATATACATTTAAATATTATATTTATCTGTATATGATTTTTATAAAGACAAATTATCTTAGATCAGAGTTTCTTGCCCTTGGCGTTGCTGACCTTTGGGTGGTATAACTCTTCGTCGTAGGGCACTATTTAGTCCACGGTAGCATCTTCCCAGTAGAGACCAGGAGCACTCTCCCCTCCAAGTAATGGCAAACGAAAACCTCTGCAGACATTGCCAGTTGTCCCTGGGCAGCAAAATCACCCCTGGTTGGGAACCCCTGCCCTAGGTTAACTGCTGTACTAACGCAGTGGGTTTCCACTGCCACATTACTCACACCCAGGGCAACAAGCAGTGCCTCATCCCCCAAAATATCAGTAAAATATCCAAAGTGAAGTAAGAACTTAGATGCAGTTTCCTATTAACCCAAATAGTTGCATGATCATACATCAACATAATCTACTGAAGTGCAGAATAATTGTTTTTCCGACTTTCATGATTGACAACATGTTAATGTATCTCTGGAGGAAGACTGACTCTACATCCAGTAAAACCACATGTTGATGGTGCATGTAAATAGATTCTTTAAAAAAATGCTCACATAAAATTCAAAGTTGACCACATGTTTTTTAAAAACATTCCTTGAAGAGGTTTGAATATTGGGGAAAGTTTGGTTTCTGTTGCTTAGAAATATGTACAGCACCATAAACTCTGGGCAAAAACATTCAAAGATGGGCCTTTTCATGTTGATTTTGAGGTAGGATTCAAAGTGATTTACGAAAAGTAACTAGTTAGGCTGAATTGCCAGATAAAACCTTCCCAGGTCCCTCCTCCAGCAGAAGGTGCCAGGAGAAGAGCTCCTTTGCAATGCACCTGGGCACATGCAATCAGACATCCACAAAGAGTGCGATGTCTATGCAGAATGCACCAATTCCAACTTCCAGGTCCCTGGAGATGCTTCGGACATGGGAAGGGAAGTGATTGGATTTCTGTCTCCCATACCCTGTTGGTGGGTATACAGTGTGCCTGTGAGTTGCAGCACCTCGGCTTTTGCTGCCTGCGTTGCCTCATCAAATGTGTATGACAATCAGAGCCACCTGATAGGAACACTGTGGGGATTAGGTGTTGAGAATGGTTCAATGCCCAGGAGGTGCTCAGCACAGTGTCTGGCATTTGGTAGTTTGTGGTCGTCATCGTTGTGAAAGTTATTTTTATGATGTAACTATTGTGTTCATGGTACAGTGCACAGGCACCAAGCTCTTTAAAAACCAAGAACAGAAGCCTGGTGGAATGACCAGTTAAGCAGTGCCCTGGTGATCAACACCCCTTCCAACCCATCCCCAACCATGGTGCCCCAATGGCTGAGAAGTGCTTTTTCTTAACGTTGCCACTCTTGAGTCTTTGTCAACGATCACAAGTGGCAAATAAGATTTAAAGACATGCACCAACAATTATAATTATGAAGAGTTATTAATGATATTAATAGTTAACACTCCTATAATATCATGTCTAATGATAATATAAGTATTACAAGATGTATGAAAATGGAATTCAAAATTGCACACACATACACAGACATGTAAAGAAGCTGGAAACAAATATACCCACATCCTGGTATAAACTTGATTGATAAGATTATGGTCACTTCGAAATTTTCTTTTATACATTTGTTTTGTGTTTTCTAATTTTTCGACGGTGTTATTTTTTAATTAGGGAAAAAACAATTCTTTATTATTATTATTATTATTATTTTTCTTTTGAGACGGAGTCTCACTCTGTTGCCAGGCTGGAGTACAGTGATGCAATCTCGGCTCACTGCAACCTCCACCTCCCAGGTTCAAGTGATTCTCCTGCCTCAGCCTCCCAAGTAGCTGGAACTACAGGCATGTGCCACCATGCCCAGCTAATTTTTGTATTTTTAGTAGAGACAGGGTTTCACCGTGTTGGCCAGGATGGTCTCGATCTCTTGACCTCGTGATCTGCCTACCTTGGCCTCCCAAAGTGCTGGGATTACAGGCGTGAGCCACTGTGCCCAGCCAACAATTTGTTATTTTTAAAAACCAGTGTAACTAAGACTGATTTTGTTGGTGGCTTAACTTGAGATTTCTGGGGAGACTCCTTAGAAAGAGATGATGTTTACTCAAATGAATCTATTAGAAGGCATCTACTTGTAAAGGTGTCAACTGTCTTTTTTTTTTTTTGCCATTGCTTAAATTACACTATGTATGTTGATAATATTATAATTAATAAGTCAATAAAAACAGACCTCACTGCAGTTTTTTTCAAGAGTGACTTTTAACTACATAGGTTTTTACTCTTCTCATGAGAGATAAAGCCTCTCTCTCTCTCTCACACACACACATAGACACACGCATATCTCTTCCACATCCACACACTAGTGCCCAGCGAGCCCACGTCCAGTCACCACAACCAGCTGGCCACTGAGGCTCCAACACTGGCTGTGATCTGGGCCCACAGCTGCCTCTACCAACCTTGGTTTCCCTACCTGGAAATGAGGACCAAGAATTCCCTGAGGATGTAACAAACATGTTCTCCCAGAATCAATGATCTCAGTGACAGGTTCTCAAACTTTGTGCTACATGAAAGAACAGGGATCTATTGTGTTGGAAGGACATCCAGTTTTTCAGAGCCCTTTTTTGGAACCCAAGACAAACTCAAACCCTAGAAACTCTGAGAGCCTCCCTAGTGGCCTTTCTGTAATTAATTATGTGGGTGCATTTATTTCCCCCCAAATGCCGAACGTTCGGATTATAACTACGGTCAAAGCTGGGGGCCGCCGCAGAGCAAATCCTGTCCCCACCAAAATGCCTTTGATGTCCAGGCCAGGAAGATGTGATTGTGGTTCCGATGAGAAACACAGAATTTGCCTGCATGTGGGGTATTTCAAGCCTGGGTGATTAAACTCAGGAAGACGCAGTCAAACCCTGTGTGTGAGTGTCCCGGGGCTTCCATAACAAAACACCACAACTGGGTGTCTTAAAGCAATGGAAACATGTTGTCTCACAGTGTTGGAGGCCGAAAGTCCAAAATCAAGGTGTCCATAGGGCTGGTTCCTTCGGAGGAAGGTAAGGGAGGGTTTTCCCCAGGCTCCTCCCAGCTTCCAGTGGTCGCTGGAGACCTGTGGTGTCCCTCGGTTTGCAGAAGAATCACCCTGAGTTATTTCTTCATCTTCACGTGGTGTTCCCCCCGTGCGTCTCTGTGAGTTTCCATGACCGTCTTTTTATAAGGACACCAGTCATATTCAATTAGGGGCCCGCCCTACTCCAGTATGACCTCATCGTAACTAATTACATCTGCAACCACCCTCGGATAAGGTCACCTTCAGAGGCACTGGGGGGTTAGGACTTCAATGCACCTTTTTCCGGAGGACACAGTTCAACCCCTAACAACCTGGAATCCCCCCATACCCCAGCACCTCTGAGAACCTCTTGCCTTTTTTCTGGAAACCCACAATGACTGCCCTGGAGCAAGCAGGGTCCTTGTCCGTCCCAGCAGCAAACTCTCCTAAAGGACTTCTCCAAAACCCTGGTTTTCATGGTTTAAAGGGGGCCTAACATTGTAGCCGTGGTTTTAATTAAGGGTTGATGGGCCGTGTCATGACGTCATCAACAAAATGAGCATAATAAAAAGAAATAACTTAATATGGGGTGTGGGAAGGCGGCCCAGAATTTGTCATGAAATTGCATTATGTAGGCAATAAAATGCCATTTTAGAAAACACTGGTACCGTGCAGGCTGCCAAGGGCCGTCCTTTGTTTACTAAGAAGTTCCACTCATGTTTGCCCGCTTTCCACAGGGCATTCAGCCCAGTCAGTGCCCTCACATGTGGAATCTTGTTTGTTCCCCAGTTGGTTGAATGGAGCAGGTTAATTCCAAACCGCAGTGTCTGAGTCAAGTCCCTTTCTGGAAGTCGAGCCCTGGAATTTTTGGCATCCTCTTGCCATGGGGGCCGTGGTGTGACGATGCCATCTGGGAGCCCTGTGTCCTTGCATCCTGCCAGGGAAACCAGACTGAGACTCCAGAACAGAAGCTGGAAGAGCAATCCCCGGGTTGAGATTTAGACTCAAACTTAAATATGGGACTGGGGGCTTCCTTGGCTAGATTCACCTGTGGCTCTCATTTCCTGAAAGCTCCTGGACCAACAGGAATCTTGTGATGCTTTTTGGATTCACTTCTCTGTGTGCACTGTTTAGAAAAACTGCTTTCTTGGGAACTAGAAAGGCTTGGTAACCATGTTGCGTTCTGAATGCTGCTGTTTGGGGGTCCCAAATCCCCAGGCCATGGACTGGTACCAATCTGTAGCCTGTTAGGAACCACGCCGTACAGCAGTAGATGAGCAGCAGGCAAGCGAGCGAGACTTCGTCTGTATTTACAGCCACTCCCCATCACACAAATTACTGCCTGAGCTCCGTCTCCCGTCAGATCAGCAGTGGCATTAGATTCTCACAGGAGCGTGAACCCTATTGTGAACTGCACACGTGGGGGATCTAGGTTGTGTGCTCCTTATGAGAATCTAATGCCTGGTGATCTGTCACTGCCTCCCACCACCCCCAAACGGGACCATCTAGCTGGAGGAAAACAAGCTCAGGGCTCCCACCAATTCTACATTATCATGAGTTGTATAATTATTTCGTTATATATTATAATGTAATAATAATAGAAATGAAATACACGATAAATATAATGCCCTTGAATCATCTCGAAACCATCCTCCCCACCCCTGGTCCTGGAACAATTGTCTTCCATGAAGCCAGTCCCTGGTGCCAAAAAGTCTGGGGACCATTGCTGCCTTTGAAGAACTTTGATCCACAGAAGTGTGGTCAGAGCCCATAGGTGAGACCCAGGAATGAGGGCCTCTGCTTAGGATTGCCCCTGGGTGTGTCTTTCACCAACGCAATCGGGGGCTGAAATGCAGTTTGGGTCCCACCATTCATGCCATAAGCCACTGTAACAGCTTCTCTGCAGAGCAGAAGAATTTTTGCAATTTGCCCACCCAAAGGGGTTTCTTTATCTCTAATTGGCATAAAGACGCCTTATAGGCTGGCATAGGTCATCAGTGGAAAGAATTTGAACAGCATAGACCAGGAGGGTAGACATGCTGTTTTCAAAGTTAACTCCCCTGTTCATTCAGTCAACAGATATTTAATTCAGCACCTACTATGCCCTGGCGCTGTGGCATTCATAGGCAAGGAGGACTGGACCTGGAAGGGGCCTCTGGGTCTCAGAGGACAGGATGTGGACCGGTGAGCAGAGGTTATCTGGAGGCTGACTGCAGCTTCTCAGATGGAAAATGCTGCACCGGCCGGGACACCTCTTGAAGAAATAGTTTGGAATTGTCTAGAAAGTTGAAGTTGAGGACATCCTCTAATTTGTAATTCCATTCCTAAGCATATCCCCTGGCAAAGCTTGTGTCTCGGTGCACCAAGATATCTGTGTGGGCTCATGGCAGCACTGTCTTTAGCTGTCTCAAGCTGGAAATGACACACATGTCACAATAAGACAGGGAGGGAAGGAGAGCTCCCACCCGTGGATAGTGCAGCTTGGCTGGGCCCATGCAGCTCCAGCTCAGGACATTTCCTTCCTGTCCTCCTGCCCTACGAATGGCAGACTTGCTCAGGCAGCCCCCACAATCGTTCAGACTAACTCCCAATATGAACCCATATGTGTGTGTGTGTGTGTGTGTGTGTGTGTGTGTGTGTGTGTGTGTAAAATGTATCGGTCAAGGTTCACTCTGGGAGATTTGCTAAGAAGCCTGGCTCCCCACTTGTTAGATTGTTGAGATCCTGGATCCATCATTCAGCCACCTGAAATGGGAATCATTACCCCTTCAGAGAGATTAAATGAGAAGAAATACAGAAAGTTCTTAGCACTTGACCATTTCCATAAAAATCTCTTCACAAATATTAGGTATTGCGATTGTTATTATTATGAATTATAGTAATTTTGTGGGAAAATTCGATGGAGCCCCTACAGAGGACTGTGCGGACGGCGCCCCCCGCAACACACATACACGGAAATGAAAGCAGTGCTGGGAGACCCCGGACGGGCAGCAGGATACCAAGTATTATTTTCTGGGAAACTCATTTGCAGCGTGTCAAGGAAAGATCAAATTTAAATGCAAAGTCCCTTGAGAAAGGGAACACACTGACTTATTTCACCTTCATTCTCTGACAGATTTTACTGTACAAAAGTGGCCACGACAGTACCTCCCTTGTTCATGGTCCTCTTATGAAGTGCCATTCCCATGTTGCCATCAAGAGCTGTGCTGTAATCCTGTTCCCGGGCCCTGGGCTGGCTTTAGTGACTTGCTCGATCAATAGCTGGCTGCAAAAGTGGCCTTCTGGGACTCATGAGAATGGATCACAGGAAGGCTGACCGCCTCCTCCTGGATCTCCTGGGATGCTCACTCTGGTGGACCCAAATGCCAGGCAGAGGAAAGACCAAGCCACATGGAGGGGTCACGTGAAGGCTCTAATCTGCCACCTGCCGAGATTCCAGGTGACGTCCAGCCCCAACCACCAACATACGTATGCACCGTCCTGGATACCCATCTGACACGTCAGTCAACATCAGACGACAGCCAGATGAGAGACCTCTAGCAAGAGCTGCCCAGCTGAACCCTTCCTGAATTCCCAACCCGTAAAATCATGTTTCTTTCAATCCTTAAGTGGTTTTGTTATACACCAAGAGATAACCAGAACACCTATTAGAGTAGGAATAACTGATGACCAGAAATGCAGAGAGCTAATCTTGAAAGGGAGTTGTTTGTATTTATTTATTTGTTTAGAGACGGAGTCTCACTGTGATGCCTAGGCTGGAGTGCAATGGAGCAATCTCAGCTCACTGCAACCTCCGCTTCCCGGGTTCAAGAAATTCTCTTGCCTCAGCCTCCAGAGTAACTGGAATTACAGGCACACGTCACCATATACAGCTAATTTTTGTATTTTTAGTAGAGATGGGGTGTCCCCATATTGGCTAGGCTGGTCTTGAACTCCTGACCTCAAGTGATCCACCCTCCTTGGCCTCTGAAAGTGCTGGGATTACAGACGTGAGCCCAGCCTTTGAAAGGGAGTTTGAGTGAGATGAATGTTGGGGGTTTGAAGGTGGAGCAGGAATTACTGGGGGTGGGGGTCGGGAAGAAGGGAAGGCGGATGCAATCCGTAGAAGTTGGGGCTTTAGAGAAATGATGGGCTTTGTCCAAAGTCACAGCTGATTTGCAGTGGGGTTTGCAATGCAAACCTAAACATTCGCATTTTCACGCAGATGGTTCCAAAGCTGTGTCCTTCCTGGTGCATGCACTGTCCCTGGAGGTGATGCTGACGCTGGCCAGAGTGCAGAGAGGGCGGACTGTGCAGTGCTGAAGAGTGCCAGCTTGGGGCTGGAATCTCGGCTCTGCTGCTTCCTACTTGAAGACCCTGAGCAAGTTATTTACCTCCCTGGGCCTTAGTTTTCTCATCTGTGAAATGGGATAGTAACGGTAGCCACCTCTCGTGGGGCTGTCCCGAGGAATGAATGAGAAATGCAGCTTCCTGACTTGGCTTAACAGGTCAGGGCCACACTGTCCAATATGGTAGCAATTAGCTAAATAATTTTAAAGAATAATTTGGCAGTGAGCCGAGATCGTGCCAGTGCACTCCAGCCTGGGCAATAGGCTCCGTCTCAGAAAAAGAAAAGAACAATTGAAGTAAAACTTTAAAATAATAATTTGAGGTAAATTAAACAAACTAAAATTCAGCTTCTTAATTGTGCAGCCACCTCTGCCTAGTGGCACAGATACAGAACTTTCCATCCACGGCCATGTGTGGGGACTGGCCAGGGTGTGCACCCTGGCGCCGAGGACAGGGGACTGTGGGTATGTGGACAGGGCTGCCTGGAAATGGGCAGACGTTGGCCAACCATACCGTCTTCCCGGGGCTGCCCCGGTGGGAACTGATGCCCTCATTTGAGTACCGAGGTTCTGCTTCCTGACTTCCCTCTCCGGCTTTATTTCTAAGCAAGGACTGACAAAGGGACACCATGCCACTGGCAAAACAGAGCTCGATTCTACCACATTTTTAGCGAATCTTTGGGAAAACGGGGAAAGTATACACTTTGAAATTTTCTATTATTCATTGAACAATTCAGTTAAGGTACTGAGCACCTGGCATATGCTTTTTTTGGCACTGGGGAGAGAGTAGGGAACAAGGTGAACCAAAGTCCTCACTTTCATAGACGTCGTACCCCAGTGGTGAGAGAGAGAGAAAATATATAAGTAAACATGATAAATGTGGTAAAATATAAATAATGTAATAATTTCAGACTGTGTTAAATGTTATGGAAAAATGTAGAACCCGATGATGAATCTCTGGGGAGGGGTGAGTGCAAACTTGGGGGCCGAGGCGGCTTCTCTAAGGTCATAGCCAAGCGGGAGGATGAGCCACTTTTGTGCGTCACCTTGATAGGAGGGAGTGAATGGCCCATACAGGACGTTTGGAAGCCTTCCATGCTGGACAGGAGCTGGGGTTGGAGGAACAGACAAAGAGGCTGTGCAGCCAGGGTGAGGTGGGGTCTGAGGCGCAGGCTGTGGAGGTGGACAGGGCCAGACCCCACAGGACATGGGCCACGGTGGGGAAGTTCAAATGTAGCTCAAGTGCAAAGGGATGTGACACAAATCTGCCAGCAGTGGCTGCGTGGGGACACCTGCTGTGCTAACTCTTCCTCCAGTCTTCCCAGTCCAAATGGGGTCACGGGGAAGTGCTTTAGACAAACGTGTAATAAAAAATGTTCCTGAAAAGATGTTCCCTGCTCTTCCTGGATGGAATTCTTTCTCTTCCCTTTCTAGATATCATTCGAACTTAGCGCCCAAAGGAGGAGAGACATGCCCCTCCTTCCATTTAGCCAGCTCCACCCCCTCCTCGAATTTGGCCTCCTCTACCAGCTTCTTCTCTGGGATACAGGGAGGTCCTTTGGGGTCTGAATTTCTCATCATCTTAGTCCTAGAGGCTGGACATCAGGTTCCAAAATAAAGAGCACAAAAGGGGCCAGAGGAGCAAGGACAGTTTGAGGACAGCTGGAGAACCCAGAGGAAGGGGGTCAGCCCCAAACAGGTTAGGGGTGAGGGAGGTGTGTGGCCAGTGCCCACTGGGCTGGAGGTGCACCCGCATGTGATTGCTTTCACACATATGGACTGGCTCCAGAAGGACAGGAAGAAAGTGATGCTGCTGCCTCCTGGGAGGCGGCCGGGGCAGCTGAGGGAAGAGTGAGCAGGGTGAAGCTATTTTTCACTGTAAACACTTTTGTACCTTGTACATGTTGTCCTGAGTGCATGAACGACCTATCCAAACCATACAAAGCGAAAAGAAAGAGGTGATGTGGAAGCCGACGGCCCTCTCCCATGAGGTCATGCTCTATGAGCATGTGACATTTCAGGAGGACGTATCGTTTCGTGGTGAAATCACATGATCTGACGTACGGAATATTGAATCTGAAAGCAAACATTAAAGATCAGGCCCAATCCTCTCCTACCACTGTGCCACTGACTTGCTATGTGACCCTGGGCAAGGGACCTAACTATAATGTGCCTCAGTTTTCCTTCCGTTAAAATGGGGGTAATAATACTGACCTGCCTCAACAGGCAGTTTTGAGGCGTGACTAATGCTTTTCATAAAGCATTTTGGGATCTTTCAGCAGAGGAATTCTCAAGACCTGAGTATTTTCATAATAGCAATGTCCACCAGGAACTTGGCATGTCCATGTGTCCCGGATGCTCTCATTGGTCAATATGATTTTCCAAGAAATTGAATGAACCCATTGGAGAAGTGGTGGGTAACTAGCCAGAAAAAATTAGAGAATGCATAAACTCATTGCCATGGAAACATATGTAGGATGCCCTTTCTTTGACTGAGTGGGATTTTCCCCTTCTTGATGTGGGATAGTAGTTATTTGTAACCTAAGAATAATTTTGCAATAATTTCTATTAATATCACCTCTGAAGCTAGTTGTACTTATCTGAGACTGTGTTTGTTTATAATAAAAGTGAAGTGAGTCTCACACACACACACACACACACACACACAGAAGATCAGGCTCAATCCCCACACCACAGGCAATTGCAGATCCAGAGATGTTATGAGACGTGCCCGAGGCCACACATTGGATTTCGGCATATAATGGGATTAACCCCCAGGTCTTCTGCCACCTGCCTCCTGCTCTCAGGAGAGGCTCTGATGTGGGAGAGTTTGGACTAGATGTTCTGCCTGGAACTTTCCATCTCTATGTTTCTATAATCCCGTGGTGAAAAAGGAAAAATGGTCCTTGTGATGGCTTCCACATTTTCCAAGAGAAAAATAGAGACTTATCTGACCCGGGGTCTGTGACAAGTTCGTATGCAAGAAACCTCTGGACGTGCACTTCGGAGGACGGAGCAGGGGGCGCTGGGGCTGTGTTGACGGTTTATGGAGCATGAGGAGGACTGGGAGGCTTTTATGGCCAAACACAGCAAAATATAGAGGATTTTATGTTAAGTAACTGACTAGGATTTAACGTGTAACAATTACTGGAATGAACACAAAATACTTTCTTAATTTATTCCTATTTAACCTTGTTTATATAGCAGTTCCCTTGTCGGGAACCATTCTGAGCACTTTACAAAAATTAATTTATGGAATAGGAGCACTATATGACGGTAATCTCAAGTGTGAAATTTTGGAGTCAAAAAGACTCCAAATTTAGTAAATTTTTAAAAAATTCCACACTTGAGATTAGCATCATGTAGTGCTCCTATTACATAAATTAATGTTTGTATTTAAATCCTGGTTCTGCCACTCTTATGAATTGCATGATCGAGGCCAAATTACTTAACCTCTCTGACCCTCAATTTATTCATCTGTAAAATAGGGATATTATCAATTATCACCTAGACTTTTAAGAAATGGAATGTCTTAGTTTGAACCGTATGAGATCACTCACTTTCAGCCTATTTAATTTATAAAGCTGGAAATTTTGTGGAGTTAAACTACATTTAAAGAGCTTAGCAGAATGCCTAGCACTTGGAGAGTGCTCAATAAATATAAATAATAGCTTTTTAAAAGTTTATTTTGTTTGAGAGAAGCTAACAAACAACAAGAATTTTTCTTACATATAAGACCTTGCATTTTAGCCAGGCATGGTGGCTCCCACCTGTAATCTCAGCACTTTGAGAGGCCGAGATGGGAGGGTTACTTGAAGCCAGGAGTTGGAGACCAGCCTAGGCAACGAGGCAAGACCCCATCTCTACCGATTTTTTTTTTAAGAAAGAATTAGGCAAGTGTGTTGACTCATACCTGTAGTCCCAGCACTTTGGGAGGCAGAGGCAGGAGGATCGCTTGAGCCCAGGAGTTTGAGAACAGCCTGGGCAACATAGTGAGATTCCCACCTCTACAAACAAAACAAAACAAACAAACAAAAAACAGAGAGTGGCGGCGCATGCCTGTAGCTCCAGCTACTCAGGGTGCTGAGGTGGGAGAATTGCTTGAGCCCAGGTGCTTGAGGCTACAGTGGGCTATGATGGTGCTACTGCACTCCAGCCTGGGTAAGGACCCTGCTCTTCTATTATCCTGAAGTCTTTGCGCCTTGTCTAATATTATTCTTCAATAGGCCCTGCTGAAATAATTGAAAAGCTTTCACTGAGTCCCATCCTTTGAAAAGAAGGGAGGTTCCCGTGATGGTTATTAGAGTCACCCTAGCCCTCTCTTCCAAGGACTTCAGCAGCAGGGAAAAGCTGCTTCCCGAAGAAGTCATCTCTCGGCTCAGCCCACTGCAGTGATGAATCTGGGAACAGAGCGTGCCCAAGACCCGACTCCTGGGACTGCGAATTCCTCAGCCATATGTCGCCCTTGCAAGGTGGGGGGTCCCCGTCACAGCCCTGACAAATGCTCAGCCCCTGAGCCGGCAAGCCACAGGAGGTGAGGTCCACAAGGACTAATTACATCAGGAGATGCCGCCACCGGGAGGCCCCTTCTCGTCCCCTTCCTGCCTAAGCACCATGGCAGCCTGCATGGAAATGTCATTCTGTCTCCCGGGTCCCGCCCTCGGATGGCAGCGCCTGTCTCAGGGAAGGAGAACAGATGTGTGTGCAGACTGCCAACTCCTGCCCGAGTGGAGAGGTGGCCCAAGTACCCACCACTGTTCATATCCTGGAAAAAATGTCAAGGGGAGAAGGCTTGGGGGAAACCAAAAGGATGGCCACAGAGGCCCATTAAGTGCTGGTCAGGAATGGGAGGGAAGCCTTCCACTCCCGCAGAAAGCGGCGGAGCTCCTGCTTGGCCCTGAGGTCAGCACCAATGGCGTTCCCACCTGTTCCCACCTGTGTTGCAAGTCATGCATTCAAACGATCGTCATTAAATTCTGCAAGTGTCCACCCTGTGTGACAACTACGTAGAGGGTGTGATGGAGAAAGTTCCATGGATAGGATTCACAGGGGCTTATATTCAAAAGTCCGATCTGCCTCACAGTCCCGCCGGGTGATTTCATTGCTTTCTGATGTGGTAATGGCCAAACGCTGGGGTGGCGACCCAGCCACTACACATCGATCACATAGAAGGCTGAAGTATCTGAGCCCCCTCTCCCACCACCCACCCGCCGCCTGGCCTGCCGGCTTCAGTACTGCAGACCCTCCACCCCAAGGTGCGCCCCACCGTAGGGCAAATGTGGAGCTTTATAAATAACCATTGTGATCATGAAAGGAAGTTGCCAGGAAAACAGATACTTCAATACATTGTAAAGACAGCACAAAACATACTCTCAACAGGTTAAAAAACAAAATGTTCAAATTTACCCTTTGGAAATCAGAATATCATACACAGCATTTGCCACCTGACAAGAGCATTTCCTTCTTCTTCCTATGAATACATGTGTGTAAATGTACACATTCAGCAAATGTCTTTGTTTTCTTTCCTCTCATATTTCTTTATCATGTAACATAAGATGAATTGGCTTTCTATCAGTATTGCAGTATTGTTAATTTGACATCATCGTGTTAAGTTATAAGATGTCGGGAGTGAACACTCAGGGTCTTAATCTCCTCTCTGGGGAAGAGGCTGGTGTGTTTCCGGTTGTATGCAGGAGAGCTGTTTGATGTTAGGTGGATTCACACCTTATTTTGTCTTTATTTGGAGATGATGGAGTGTGATCTAAGGAGATGCACATGGGTGCCAGGTTGATGAAGGGTGGGCTCGTGATGGTGAATTTCGTATGTCAATTTGACTGGGCTAAAGGATGCCCATGTAGCTGGGATTACACGATTTCTGGGTGTGTCTGTGAGGGTGTTTCTGGAAGAGATGGGCATCACAATCAGTAGCCTGAGTAAAAAGAACACTCTTCCCCAAAGTAGGTGGTCCCCATCCGATCCCCTGAGGGCCTGGATAAAACAAAAAGGCAGAGAAAGGGCGAGTTCCTTCTCTCTTCAGGCCTGGGACATCTGTCTTGTGCTGCCCTCAGACATCAGTGCTCCTGGTTTGTGGGCCTTTGGATCCCTGGACTTACTCCAGTATCCCATCCCTGGTTTCAGACCTCGGCCCTGGGCTGGGAGCTGCACCATTGGCCCTCCTGGCTCTCAGGCCTTCAGACTTGAACTGAATTGCGCCACTCACTTTCCCATTCTCCAGCTTGCTTATAGCAGATTGTAGGACTCCTTGGCCTTCACCATCGCCTGAGCCAATTCCCATAATGAATGTCCTCCGATATACATGCCTGTCTATCCTGTTGGAGCTGTTTCTCTGGAGAACCTTGCCCAATACATCCATTATGAAAAATTAGTAGCCAATTCCCATAACGAATGTCCTCCAGTATACATGCCTGTCTATCCTGTTGGAGCTGTTTCTCTGGAGAACCTTGACCAATACATCCCTTGTGAAGAATCAGTATAACTTTAGAAAAAGTTTAAAGGAAGCTGGGTCATCAGGATTTTCACACCTGTTTTTCACCTATAGTCTCTGTGGCACAGATGGTTTTGCAAGCATATCCCTGATAAAAACGGGCCCTTACATTCCTTCTAGTGCCTGTGCTGGCTCTAAGCATGTGCACCAATGAGTGCATCTGATGCTTCCAGCAACCCTAGAGCCAGGGATCCACCTTGGTCATCTCTATTCCATGGGGAGGAAGTGGAGACACACACAGGCTACAAAGCCACTGCCCTGGTCCCTTGGCTGGTGCATGCGGCCATGGCACTCAGCCCAGCAGCCTGGCTCCATGTACACCAGCACCATAGCAGGAATGAGATCAAGGATTCGCCCTCACCCTCAGTTCCCCTCCCTCTCACACAGAGAAGCATCAGGCCTGCGAATGTCTCTTGAAGATGGGATCCCTTCAGCCACTGCAAGGGACTAGGCTGACTGCTGACCCTCCAGTCCTCTCCTCCCTGCTGGCCACGTCAGTCCTTGGAGTTAATGAGCCAGGATGGTTCAGTCGCTGCCCGGGAGCGACTAATACCTGTCACTAAATTGCATGTAACACATTGGCCTGGTCCCCTGGGTGAGGCAGGCCACTCCATGTTGCTGCCCACTGAGTTCAGGAAATGAACCACAGCAGCTTTTCTCTCCCCAGATGCCCACGCCCTTTGGGGACCTCCCTGCTCCTCTCCCAAAACGCAGCTCTAAGGCACACAGGCAGGAGATCCTTCTCCGTGCCGGGGGAGTTAAACCAGCTCAGCAGCACACAGCAGTCCCTCCCGCCACCCTCTGGGGGGATCAGCACACCCTGGGGGCCGTATTTCACATAGTCATTAATTGATGACACACAGTAATGAATGGGCCACATTCCTACTTCAGTGAAGTGCATAATTCTGGGCTCATGATGCTGGGATGGGCCCAGCTCTTGTTTTCTTTTAATCTGGTTTGAAAGACGAGCATTCTCCCAGACGGCAGGGATGGAGTCTGCTACACCGTGAGTTCATCAGTGTGGCATGTGCGGCCTCGTTGCACTTGGAGATAGGAAATGCCAACCGTCACAGCCCCTTAGTGGCCTTGGGGGCATGGGTGAGGAGCCTAATTAGCTGTGGTCACAGTTTATTAAAAATCATAAATATTCCTCTTGGAG
This sequence comes from Homo sapiens, assembly GCF_000001405.40. Lineage (NCBI taxonomy): Eukaryota > Metazoa > Chordata > Mammalia > Primates > Hominidae > Homo > Homo sapiens. The sequence continues at coordinate 86,772,646 of NC_000016.10, read as the reverse complement.
GCAGGGTGGGAGTCGGAGAAGGAAAGAGGCAGTGTCTGGCTGGTGTGTGCATGTGTGTATGTGTGTGCATGCATCTGTGTGTGCACACGTGTACATGTGAGGGTTCATGTGCAATTGATTTTCAACAAGTATGCTTAAGCAGGCAAACCTTACTGGAAGGTAGAGGCATGGATGTGGCTCCGTCGTTTAAGAACATGTCCCACTGCCTGAAGACAGAGTCACAGGCCTTTTGCCTTGTTTTCCTGGGGGCAGAAGTGTCAGAAAAACAACTGTATGTCATCATTATTCACTTGTCCCAATTCACTTTGTTCCCAGTGGAATCCCACAAATATTGGGACAAATGAACAACGATGACCCTGTGGTCAAAGCTGGAAATAATGAGATGAATCAGACACAGCCCTTTGCTTCAAGTAGTTCACAGTCTCTGGGGGAAACCCACAGGGAAACAGACATACTAGGGCATAACAATTACACAGTAATAATAATAAGTGTGTTTAGGCCCAGGGAAAGGCATTGCATGGGTGGTCTCTTTTGAATCTTGTAACAGTCCTGGCTCTTAGCACTGGTAACAGGGGCCTCCCACTACCCCGCCCCCACCCCAACCCATTCCCTTCCTGCCGTTGAAAGCAGAGTGCTCCCACAGCACACAGCCAGGTGCTGCCCACTCGACCACTCCATGTCCTGGCCCCCGTGTCCCCCTGGTGACAGGCACTTGGAGGAGGTTTGAGTGAGGGTGGTGCATGTCACATCTCAGCCAAGGCTTGTGTTATGGAGGTGACATCTCCCCCTCCTTTCCTTCTCACTGGCAGATGTGCAGAACAAGCCCCCAGGGTATGGCGTATTAATTTTATTAGGCCCTGGACCCTTCAACATCTGGTGAAGTCTCTGGAACTTTATCAGAACAATGCTTTTAAATCTGAGAACTATGTAGGAGCAGAAAGGAAATTGATGACACTGAAATATATACAAACATATGGAGCAACATATAAACATGCGTGCACTTTACCAGTGCATTCAGTAACAGGATGTAGTAGCTACTGCAATTTCAAATGAAAGTAGACAAAGTTTCATGATATCCACAGCAGAAATGTGATGAGAAAGTATCTGATTTCCACAGCCAGAAAGTTCACGGGGGCTGCTAATACTACTGCCGTCTGTTTCCGGCATTCATAATAGAACCAAAGCTATATGTCAGTTAGAGGCGAGTGAAAATGAAGGTGTCTGTCTTTCCCATCCCTGTTTATGGAAGCTCCTGAGCTCCCTGTGTCCCACAGGGACTCCAGCTGGGGTTGAGGAGAGCCACCAAGCGGGAGGCACCTGGGTCCCTGAATCACACTGTGGAGGAGAGATTTGCTTTCCAACCCATGAAAATGCCTTTCCATTGGATTCTCTATCCTTGCTTATGCGAGTCCCAAGCAGCAAGTGGAATCATGGAAAAGTAATTAATAAAATCTTAACTAAACCGGTTCTCAGTTTTCAACTCAACCCAGTAGCTAGTGTTCCAGTGCCTCTCTGTACTCCAAATGGTTCGTGTGCCACATCTTCTATCAATCGTATCTCCCAAGGCATGCAACTATTTGAAAAAGCCCCAAACAGTCCAGGCTAACAAGTATATTTCTCCATGAGCAATCTAGAAATCCATCTTTTGATGGTGTAGGTGAAATTGCTTTGACTGCAACAGGAAAGGGAAGAAGGGAGAAGCTTTCCTTTTTAAGGATTACCTGTATATTGCTGCTTTTCATGCACTCTCTTATTTATTGAGAAGCTGAAGATGCTGAGCTCTGGTGCTATGTGACCTTGGGAAATCACATCAACAGTTAGGGTGCAAGTAGCAGATATACAAACTGGTTTAAACAATAAAGGGGATTTACCTGTCCACGTACCTGTAAAGTCAAGAGATAGGAAGGGCTTCAGGCTAGTTTGTTCCAGAGGTTGATAAAGTCACCGGGGCTGTGTCTCTCGCTCTCTGTGGCAGTTTCACCTTCGGAATGATTTCCCATGTGGTTGTCAGGTAGCTCCTGACAGCACCTGGGGTTCTATGCTTCCTGTTTACCTACAGCAGAAGAGAGGGGGTCTTCCCATCACATCTAGTGAAAGTCCTGAGATCCGCTCCGATTTCACTAATTTATGTAGCAACCTCATTCTTAAATCCATAACAGCGTCAAAGAAGACAGAGCATGTGATTGTCCCAAACTGCCCCTGAGCCCACACAAACCATGTGACTAAAAGGCTCAGATTCCTATTAGGAATCTAGGGGGATAATAGATCTTGAGAAGGCAACTAACTACAGCCACAGCAAAATATATATATATATTAATAACGTCAAACTCTCCATGAGCAAATTGCCCGGGGTCCCGCCCCAGCCTGCATTACCATCTCATGCTGTCCATTTACAGGCAATGTGTCTCATTTAATTCTCAACCACCCCCAAGATGTGGAAACTGGTGTTCTCCTCACATGAGCAAACTGAGAGCCAAGAGCTTAAGTACTTGTTTAAATCTAGGTGTCTCACCAGTGGCAGGTTTCATGGGGAACCGAGTCCTACTGAGGGCTCCTTACTCTTCACCACCATGCAGAACTGCTTCCCTGGGGGCCCTGCCCCACTCTCAGCCTCAGTTTACCCATCTGTAAAATGAGTTGAGTTGACTTTATCACCTCTAAGGGCCTCTACTATTCCAAGCGACAAGGCCACCCGGATTTCATTCTTCCTGGGAGACGGGAGCGCTCATTTCTGCTCCTGGTGGTCACTCACCTCCACGTGACCTTTGGCATCCAGGCTTTCTGGGTCTCTGGCTCCTTGATGATGCCATGCAGAGGTCCTGAGGTTGAGATGTCCCTGCTTGTGGCTGTGGCTCCTGGGCACACGTATGGCATATTTCAGGTACACTTTCTTGGAGGAAGAGGGAACATCTGTACACGCTCCTGAGTGTGGGGGTGGGAAAAGACCCCTAGGAGAGAAGGCCTGCAGTCCGAAGGCCTAGACATGAGGAGGGAAGACCTCATCAGCAGCCTGTTCACACATGGGTACGGGCTGTATTTTTACTGTTCTTTTTTCAAGTGGGCATCTGAGATCAAGAAAGACAGTCACCCTGCTAGTCAGTGGGTCAGTGGGAGATGTAGGAATAAGCAACTCCAGGCTCTTCTTTCCCCCAGAGTGCTGGGAGCCTCTGCTATGGCCAACACTTTGTGTTTCCCAGTATCTGTGTCAATTCAAGGATACCAAATGGTGAAACAGAAAAACACACTCAAAACCAGTGGGTCTTGCTTTCGTTCTCATTGTAACCACTGAGCACCAGGACCGACACTGGAGTGAGTGGAATTTTCATGGTTCAGTCATTGGAATAACCAAAATACTTATTGTGCCAACTGGATCGTCACCAAAGTATTTCTTTTTAGTGGACTTTGTTGTCAAAAGTTTGCTCATTGACAACCTGGCAGCTGGCCCAGACATGTATGCAAAGCAGTCAATCATTAGAGCCAGAGTGGGTGCGGTGCTGATGGATGCTGAGCAATAGCTCTACAGGGGAAGTTCTGATCTGTGGGGCCTGCTGTTGGCTGTGGTGTAAACACTCTCACCATGGCCAGTTTCGAGTGCGGAACCCAGGCACAATCAACCCTGAAAAGCAGGTCTGAGTAGACTCCACGCACCACTGGCTGGAGGGGGGGCATGACTTTTCATGCAAATGGGGACACTTTGGAGGGTAATGGGGGACATTGTTGAGGTCCCTACTGAGCAACGGGCATAAATCAGGAGCTCCCCAGGCAAACCGGTCACTCTCATTACAGACCAGGCATCTGGTCACTTTCATTAGAGACCAGGCATCTAATCACCCTCATTACAGATCAGAGAGACCTTAGGGATTATCTGTTCAATTCTCTCTTGCAGATGAGGAAACTGAGACACAAAAATGGGGGATGACTTGCCCAGGAAGCTGGACCACATCACACAACGTTACTATTGTAATACCTTTATCAAGAGTACCTCACATGGCAACAATGGGAGAAAAATCATACAGCTGGCTGCGTCAGGGAGAAAAGGAAGGGTGCCCCGGAGGCCACGGGAGACCAAGACAATCCCTCTGTGGCTCAGAGTCTGGTAATGGCTTAATTATCTTGCGGGGGAAAAAAATGTGAACTGGCTACACCTCCTGATCCATGAAATTGCAATTACCCTGAAGAGTCGTTCATCAACTGCCCTTTTGAAGGTGGGAGGGACAGCATCTGAGGCTGCACATTTTGACGCACACACAGCTTCCCACAGTGACACAGTGGGAGGGACGGTGGCCGGGGTGAGGAATCCCGAACGCGGCTTCCCCTCTGCCTTGGCTACACAGGCGTTCTTTGGTTCATTGCTTCTCCTCTCTGCACTGCATCTGCACTGCACATTCTTTACTTAAAATATGGCTGTGGTTCAGAAGATGGGTTTTTGCCCACTTAGGGCATGTGCTCACTGATTTAAAAACTTCTCCACTCCCTACCACTCTCTGTTGTCTAATGATGCATTTCATTTCATTGATTGATTGATTGACTGAGATGGAGTCTCCCTCTGTCACCCAGGCTGGAGTACAGTGGCACAATCGTGGCTCACTGCAACTTCCACCTCCTGGGTTCAAGCGGTTCTCCTGCCTCAGCCTCCCACGTAGTGGGAATGCAGGCGCCTGCTACCACGTCCAGCTAATTTTTTTATTTTTAATAGAGATGGGGTTTCGCCATATTGGCCATGGTTGGCCAGGCTGGTCTTGAACTCCTAACCTCAGGTGATCTGCCCGCCTTGGCCTCCCAAAGTGTTGGGATTACAGGCGTGAGCCCCTGTGCCTGGCCCTGCATTTCATTCTTTTAAGTTCTATGTTTGGCACATGTCCGAAAGCTGGGCTGCCAGATTTAGTAAATTTAGTATAAGTATGTGTTGTGTAGTATTTGGAACATGCTTATATTTTAAAAGTATTAATTTTTAATCTGAAATTAAAACGTAACTGGGCATCCTGTGTTTTATCTGGGCATTTCACAGAAGCATTTGAGTTTGAGACTCCTAGACTAGAGGGTTTGTGAGGTATATTTCAGCTCTAAAAGTGTATAGCCATCAACTCATTCAGTAATCTTACTGGGTGCCTGTGGCATATATATTTTTGCTTTCTGGGAAATACAGTTGGAACCCTGATAAGCCCAGAGTCTATGTGTTTCAATTTCCAAAAACTGTTACAATTCAAAGATACACAGCGTAAAGAACAAATAATCCAATTAAAAATGGGCAAAAGATATAAACAGACACTTCTGAAAAGAAGACATACAAGCAGCCAACAAATATATGAAAAAATACTCCACATCACTAATCATTAGAGAAATGCAAATCAAAACCACAATGAGATACCATCTCACACCAGTCAGAATGGCAATTACCAAAAAGCCAAGAAATAACAGATGCTGGTGAGGGTGTGGAGAAAAGGGAACACTTACACATTGTTGGTGGGAATGCAAATTAGTCCAGCCACTCTGGAAAGCAGTTTGGAGATTTCTCAAAGAACTTAACACTGAACCACCATTTGACCCAGCAATCCTATCATTGGGTATATACTACCCAAAGGCAAAAAAATCATTCTACCAAAAAGACGCATGCATTCACATGTTCACTGCAGTTCTATTCACAGTAACAAAGATGTGGAATCAACATAGGTGCCCATCAGTGGTGGATTGGATTGAAAAAATGTGGTACCTATACACCATGGAATACTATGCAGCCATAAAAAAGAACGTAATCATGTCCTTTGCAGCAACATGGATGCAGCTGGAGGCCATTATCCTAAGTGAATTAATGAGGGAACAGAAAATCAAATACAGCATTTTCTCACTTATAAGTGGGAGCTAAATATTGAATATGCATGAACATAAAGATGGCAACAATAGGATCCAGGACTGCTAGAGAGAGGAGGGAGGGGTCATGAGCTGAAAAACTAACTACTGGGTGCTATGCTCACTTATCTGGGTGACAGGACCATCTGTACTCTAAACCTCATCATCACACAATATACTCATGCAATAAACCTGCCCATGTGCTCCCTGAATGAAAAAAAAAAAAAATCAAAAGAAATTTTAGAATTTCTCATATCCTTTCCTTACATTTCTCCAAAACCACAAAAGGATCTGGGCACACCATCCCCAACAGAAGACCTTTCCGCATCCATTCTGCCTTCACACCTGGGTACTGCATGAGGGCTACAATTGCTTCCGAAACTCCACTCTGGGTCACCTTTCTCTATCTCCAGCCCCCTCATTCCTTTGTTATGCCATACATCTGCTTCCTTATTAGCTGAAAAGACATTCCTTGAGGAAGAGGAAGGAGGCAGAGAAGAGGTTGGCCATTCCAGAATATTCTGTAGTGGCCCTAGGGGGTAGAGGAAACACCTGAACACATCTATGTTTATAGTTTGTGCTCTGTTATCTGAGCACAGCAAAAACCATGTTTCTGCCTTCAAAGAACTTCATATGCAGACAGGGCACAAGACACACCTAGTAAAACAAGTAGAAAACACAAAGGCAGAATCATTACACACTGGGAATGTAAACACCAAAGAAATCAAAACGAAGGAGGAAGTCAAGACACCCTGGAAAGGCAGAACTATTTTCCTGAAAGGTCTTACAGCAAATGCAGTTGCTGTCAGGTACTGCCTTCACCCTAACCACATCCAGACCCAGCACCTGAAACCCACTGGCTGAGGGCTATCTAAAGCCCCTGGAGTGCCAGGGCATCCCTACCCTCAGGGTAGTTTTGAACCAATGTCAGGTGACAGCTGGTGTATAAATACCCCAGCTCCCTCTCCTTGGGTGGGATAATTCCAAGGTCTGTGCTGTATGGTTTCCTATTGCTTAACACTGACCTAATGACGTCCCCCTCACAGAGGGTCCTCCCCTTCCCTGGGTCATGTCCTTACTTGTCCACTCCCCTGTTGGTGTTTCCTGGGATCACCTCCTAAATTAATGATTTGTGCCAGAATCCTTGTATCAAGGTTGCTTCTGAGGGCCCCGAACAAGACAAGCACCAGCACTCCAAAGGACTGGCAGAGCTCAACTCCAAAGTCATAAGAGGACGGCAGCGATGGACTACCAGGTCTAGGAAAGGCCCCAGAGATTTGCTTGAAGAACACATTTCAGGTAGACAGAGTCCTTGGTTAATTCCTGGCCCTTTCAAAAACTCAATGACCCTGTACTTTTCGAAGCTGAGGTGGGAGGATTGTTCGAAGTCAGGAGTTCAGGACCAGCCTGGGCAACATACTGAGACCCCATCTCTACAAAAAATTTAAAAAATAGCTGGGCATGAAGGTATGCGGCTGTAGTCCTAGCTACTTAGGAAGCTGAGGTGGGAGGATTGCTTGAGCCCGGGAGTCTGGGGCTGCAGTGAGCTATAATTGCACCACTGTGCACTCCAGCCTGGGTGCTGGGTGACAGAGTGAGACCTTGTCTCTAAAAATAAAGAAAGATAGAGAAAGAGAAAAAAAATGAGAGAAAGAGATAAAAAGAAAGAAATGTTTTAAATGTCAAAAAAGAAGGAAAGAAAGAAAGAAGGAAAGAAAGAGAAAGAAAGAAAATTTTTAAATGTTAAAGACCTAATTTAATTAGATGCCTTCAGTTTCACAGATGGAGCAAATGGGCTCAGAAAGACTAGTGACATTTTCTCAAAAATAGGGACACCCATTTCTCTTCCTGGTTTTGCCAGCTTCCTTTCAAGCTCTTTCTATTTCCCAAAGAAGAAGCTGGAATCACCCAATATAGCCCTCTGACATTGCTGACTAATGGGTACTGTCTGAAGCATTATCGTAGCAGTAATGATAATAACATGTCCCTAAAGGGCACTTATACCCTGTGCCTGGCACTGTACAAAGCACTTTACATGCACTGACCCCATCTTCAATGTCACGTGATACAGTAGCTTTACCATCCCTGCTTTACATATGATGAAACAAAACACAGAGAGGTTAGCTGACTTCCCCAGGGACACACAGCAAGGAAGCGGGAAACAGAACTCATACCCACGCAGCCTGGCTCCAGATCTCACACTCTGGAGCCCATGCAAGCCATAACTGATCTAGAATAAAACACAAACCGAGGGAGTCCATTTTTAACTAGCCCTTCCTAGATGCACCCTCAGATACAGCTAGCCAAAGACCAGGTACCAACCTGCATCTTCACTGGATGGGTGGGTTAACCTCAGAAGTTATCCGAGGTTAGTCAGTGGTTCAAGATCTCTTGGTTCCAACCTCTTTGCTCTAGAAACACATCTGGAGAGATTTCTTGCACATTTTCCACTACTTCCTGGTTTATTCCAGATAGAAAAACTTATGAATATGGAAGGTAATAAGCTTTGCCCCTTATGTCTGCTAAAATTTACCTGCCCAGAAACGGGGGTGGGAATTAACATCACAAAGCCCACCTGGCATCTTTTAGAGATGCATTCAAGCTGCTTCTCATTTCATCCACATCTTTCCACCCACGGCCGGTGAAGAACATGAAGAACACGACGTGGTACATTTTTAAACCGTCCGATCCTGTAATCAGCCAATAATATGTGTTCACTTGAAGCCCGCCCAACACACTGGCCAGGCTTTCATCATCATTCCCAATCACCAAGCAGACTGCCCAGGCGGCCACTACCTCTCAGGAAGGCTTCTGGGACAATCTCAAGGCGATGTGTGAACTCGGGAATCTTGTAAGCATTTTGCTCACGCAACTTGGCTTTCTTTGGAACTTGAAGCTTGCTTCTGTTCAACTGAAATCAAAATTGCCTGTCATGGAGATGTGCTTGCAGGCTGTGACTGCGGCTCCACACTGGAACTTTTAGCTACAACCCCCACAAACACTGACTGAGAATACTGAATGGGGTGCTGGGGTGAACAGAGGAAAACTTTGGATGCTGAGAAAATGATGCAAGCTCAGTGACCTCCCATTCAACTGGAGGGGGTCTGTGGGGATCAGAAGAAGCAAGGCTTCACTGGTTTCCATTTTCCTGAGCTAACGGCCACAAGCTTATTCCAATGGACCCTTGTGATTTGAGATAGTTTGTGCTGGCTGCATTTGGAGCTCCAGCTTCCGTGGGAGTTGGAGCGGAAAGAACACTGAAATGTCCTCTTCTTGCTGGGAGCCGTGGACACCTCTTCTGGAGAAGGGTGTGTAGGGAGCCCAGATGTGAAAGCAAAGTATTCCAATCCCTCCTCTCAGCCTGGAAGGAGTCCTGCCCTCTAGGGGTGCCCCATGATGAAGAGGAGATGGGCCGGGCCTGATGGCTTATGCCTGTAATCCCAGCACTTTGGGAGGCTGAGGCGGGTGGATCACGAGGTCAGGAGATCGAGACCATCCTGGCTAACACAGTAAAACCCCGTCTCTACTAAAAATACAATAATAATAATAATTAGCCGGGCGTGGTGGCGGGTGCCTGTAGTCCCAGCTACTCAGGAGGCTGAGGCAGGAGAATGGCATGAACCTGTGAGGTGGAGCTTGTAGTGAGCCGAGATCACGCCACTGCACTCCAGCCTGGGGGACAAGAGTGAGACTCCATCTCAAAAAAAAAAAAAAAAGAGATGGCAGAGAACAAGGTGGGGGGAGCCTGAGAAAAGCCCCAAAGTGGGGGCCACCATGGGACACTCTGGACACTCTGTGACCTGGACCAATTATCTTTCCTCCCTGGCTTAGGTTTGCTTGTCAATAGTAATAACAATGACAGCAGCAATCATAATTGCTGAATATGAATAGTCCTTCCTCCCTGTCTGCACAAAACCCCTCCTTTGGCTATGTCATACAGAACTGTGCCCATCATAACTTCGTGAAGTAGACATGAGCATTAATCCATTTTTACAGATGAAGAAACTGAGGCACAGGGATGTGAAGTAACTGGCCCAAGTGGGTGACAAAGCTGGGATCGGAACCAGGTAATTCAACTCCAGACCCGTGTTATTCACCACAAAGCTATCCTGCCTCCCTTGTGAAATAGGGGTTTGAGCTGGAGCTGGGGTTCTCAACCTGGAGTAACTAGGCAGTGGGTTTCAGGGATCCAGTGAGCCTCTGAAATGGACTGGAATGTGAATATACACAGGCATTTCTGCATGCTCGTAGATTGTGCTAGATTCTCAGAGGGGTTCCTAACCCCTCCAAAAAGACCATGAATCCGGAACCACCACATTGAGGACCTGAGAGCCCCCTCACCTCCCAGCATAGAAAACTTTCATCTCCAAGACAGAAACGCTGTGATCCATGGGCACATGGTGAATACAAGCAGCTGTCCCATTCCCGCCATATCCTCTGGGCGTCCACTCTCAGCACCCCCTCCCCACACACACCGCAGGGCCCCCTCCGGGTCATGAGCACGGCCAGCAACACCCTCCTCTGGTTCTATCTAGATGAGCCTTGTGCAGGCGTCTCCCCTCCTCCCTCACACCTCTCATCTTGTGCTTCTCCCTGTTCTCCTGCTTCTTCATGACCTACTTTTTGTTCTGTTCCCCATAGAAGAGCAGAAAAAGGAAAAAAACAAAACAAAACAAAAAAAGCCTCCGGGCAGCCCCGTGAGCACCTTGTCCTGGTTGCCTTCCTCATTCTGATTTTCCATGTTAGTGCAGCAGATACTGTGTTGGCTCAAAGCAAGGACACTCAGGCTTCCACGTGGATAAGAAGAATCTGCAAAATTTGCCTTAAAAAATGCAAGTCTCTTTTCGTTCTGATGTAATTAGCAGGTATTCACGATTGTGATGCAACCAGCCTCGGAGACACCCTGAGAAACGCCGCCTAATGGAATCCATCCCTCGGGACAGAAGCCGCCGGTCTTCCCTGACCGCACCCACTCGCCCCACAGAGCACCCCCTCCTTGTCAAAGCCGGCGACTCTGCAGGCTTCTGGTGCAGACAATGTGGCCACCAGATGCACGGCACCCAGCTTGCGGGGATGCCGGGCAAATGTTATTACAGCGATAACAGTGATTCTGCTTAGGATAACAATGATGGAAATCTGTATTAAATGACTTGAAACTGCTGATGCCTTTCCTTTTCCCCAAAGAGAAGAAAGGGATGCGAATGTGTCACTTGAACTGGCTGCTGCGGTTCATCTGGACTCCATCGTTCCTGCCATCATCTTTATTAGTAGCATTGTTTTAAAAAAATGAGTAAGTTTGAAACCACCAGGTGTTTTGAATTTTTATCTTGTTCACTTGCTTACATGAGGAAATTCAAATGGAGACCAATGCATTAGTAAAAGCCCAGTGGAAGGAGAGTGCCCCTTCTCTCCCGGGTGGGGGGCTCCCTGCCCTCCCTGACAGGCTCCCCCTAGTTCTGGGTTCTGGCTGCAGTTCCAGCCCCGACCACCAGGAGTTGATCTCGGGAGCGTTATCTGCGCAGCTCCTTCCCAGTCCTCCTCTGAGTCCTCCGTGACTTCAAGCAGCCACACGCCTCCTTCTCCCTCCCTGTTAATCCCCACCGAAAGCAGGCTTGGTGTGGCCGCTCCCCAGACTCACAGGCCCTTCCTGGTTATTTCTGCAGAATCCACTCTCCCTGTCAGTCTGGGAAAGAAAGCAGAGAGAGAAAAAGAGCTGTAGCGTCAAGGGGACTGCCAGATCCCGCAGCAATCCTCCGTGCTCCAGGGTCTCCTTCGGGCGCCTTGCAATCTCAGCGCCAGCTACTGAACACCTAGAGTATTGTTCAGTGGAGGATGCCAAGGGAGGCCTCGAGCCTGAATTAGCCCCGTGAAAGGGGTCTTGCTCCCCCGCTCATACGCTGAGGTCCAGGGAGCATAGGCAGCTTCCCCAGGGCGACCATAAGGGCCCGCACGCAATGTGGTGACCCCCTTTCCCTCTGTCGTTTGGCCACCTCAGCTATTACAACAGGAAGCCATTGGCCGGGCGCGGTGGCTCACGCCTGTAATCCCAGCGCTTTGGGAGGCCTAGGCGGGCAGATCACGAGGTCAGGAGATCAAGACCACCCTGGCTAACACGGTGAAACCCCGTCTCTACTGAAAAAAAAAAAAAAAAAAAAAAAATTGGCCGGGCGTGGTGGCAGGTGCCAGTAGTCCCAGCTTCTCGGGAGGCTGAGGCAGGAGAATGGCGTGAATCCGGGAGGCGGAGCTTGCAGGGAGCCGAGAGCACGCCACTGCACTCCAGCCGGGGTGACAGAGCGAGACTCCGTCTCAAAAAAAAAAAAACAAAAACAAAAACAAAATGCCGTTGGCATTTATTGCCAATACACAATGCATGTGTCAAAGGCACCGTGATGGGGATAGAATGGTATTTCTATGTAGCCTGGAAGAAAAAGTGAGAAAATATCCATTTTACTAGGAAAGCTCTGTCCCCTTCCCCACAACTGTGTAGACTGCAGGGTGGCCCTTTGGTGGTCTTTCTTATCTCTGCAAAAATCTGGGCAAGGGCAGGAGGATGAAGCGAAGCCCGGCTTTTTAAGTCTCGTATTGGTAGCTTTGACGAAACGGGTTTGTGCAGGAGGTGGAAATTAACTAAAATGAGATGGGAGGATTACGAGGGGATTTTTCCTACTCGGGCAATCCTGAGAAGAGAGGGGTGACTTCAGCGAAGGGGCACATGCTGAGCCTCCTCTCGGGGGAGAATTAGACTTAAGAAGCCACTTGCTGATAAGGGTTAATCCATGGCTAAACGCGACAGTACCAGAAGTAATTAACATTCCTTGACTCAGTTTCCCTTTGGCTACACGGCACTTAACCTGGTGAACAAGAATCTCCATTTGTTGTAATGAGCCCATCAGCCTAAGTCTTTGAGTTCTATGCTGTTTTTCCGTAGCTCTTCTGACCCGTGGGGCTGGGTTTCAGCCACTGCGATAGCTGGGTGTGTAGCAGAGCCCCAAGGAGGTGGCCCATCTCCCGTCCTTTTGCACTAAAACAGTTAATCCTGAGCCACAAAAAAGTACTGCAAGCAGCAGAATGCACTGTTAAGGGATTTTCTCAAACAGTGTCCAAAACAAGAAAGGAATGAGGAGGCCATTTACATGGATTAGGACCCTGGGGATGTGGTAACACAGGGTTTTTATTCTCTGCTTTTCTGTTTTTTCTTTTTAATTGACATCATCCCTTGATATTCCCCAAACAGACTCTAACTTTCTTATCTTATTGGAAAGCTCTAAAATGGAAGGGTAAAAGAAAATTCCAGAAACACAAAATTTCTGGAACACTCGAAAACAACGATTCATGAAAAATAAAAAATTAATTGAAGACTAAAGTGGGCCCATGTGCAAGACTTAAACGGAGGCACGATTTAGCACACTTTGCATTTTGCACCTACATGAAGCACTTAATTTGTCTGGGAAAAGAGAGTTGGGGGTGGGGAGGGCCATATGCTGGAAAATGAAACCTTAGCTGATGTGAAAATAAGATCTTGTGCCTTTCAGGTTATTTTTAAGCTTCTCTTTTAAATGAATGAATTTTTTTTTTACAGTGCCCGATTCCAGATTATCTTCTATAATTGCATTATCCTGAGATTTACCAGGATAAAGTGACCCAGCTTAGTTGCAATAATCAATAGCAGTTGTAACAACAAGCACATGTGCAGGCTGCCTTCCTTCACGCCTACTTCCCGGCTCCCTTCTCTGTCGGGATAGGAGCGTGATGCCTCCCGCTGCCCGGCACTCCCCTGTGAAATTACAAATTGCCAGTATTTTTTCCAGCCTAGTTTCATCTGATTCAACACATGGACCTGTCACCAAATCCCCTAATAGCTGTTACCGGGGCAAAACTTCTTGATATCCGGCTTGGTTTTTCCTTTGCTCCATCCATTCAATCATTCTATTAATCCAAATTATACTGCCTGGTACTGCAGAGTAAGTTCCCACTTCTTGGAAGGAAAAGATTTTTCTCTGTTGGTCCACACAGATCACTTATTACATCTTAATTCCAGATGAGAAATGTCAATAAACGGAGGACATTGCAGTTTGCCGGCGGCCACTGTGAGTAAGAGTTAAGGAGAGACGTGGAAGAGATCTAGATCTATGAATATGGGAACCAGAAAACTGAGGACGATAGTCCTAATAGCTGCCTCCACACCCAAGTAAGGGGCATGGAAGCATGTACAACCTCAGCCTTCCTTTATTCTCACAACATATCTCCAGAGATATGTATTAGTGTGGGACGCCGAGGCAGGCACATCACGAGGTCAGGAAATCGAGACCATCCTAGCTAACATGGTGAAACCCCGTCTGTACTAAAAATACAAAAAATATTAGCCGGGCATGGTGCAGGGCGCCTGTAGTCCCATCTACTAGGGAGGCTGAGGCAGGAGAATGGTGTGAACCCAGGAGGCGAAGCTTGCAGTGAGCCGAGAGCCACTGCACTCCAGCCTGGGCGGCAGAGCAAGATTCCATCTCAAAAAAAAAAAAAAAAAATGTATTAGTGTTATCCTTACATTAGGTTGACAATACCATAGGTTGGTGCAAAAGTCATTATGGTTTTGCCATTACTTTTTTTTTTTTTTTTGAGAAACAGTTTCTCTCTTGTTGCCCAGGCTGGAGTGTAGTGGCACAATCTCGGCTTACTGCAATCTCTGTCTCCCGGGTTCAAACGATTAGCCTGTCTCAGCCTCCCAAGTAGCTGGGATTACAGGTGCATGCCACCACGCCTGGTTAATTTTTGTGTTTTTAGTAGAGATGGGGTTTCCCATGTTGGCCAGGCTGGTATTGAACTCCAGTCCTCAGGTGATCCACCTGCCTCGGCCTGTCAAAGTGTTGGGATTACAGGCGTGAGCCACTGTGTCCGGCTGACATCACTTTTAATGGTGAAAACCACAATTACTTTTGCCCAACCTAATATTACAGATATGGGAACTGAGGCCCAGAGAGGGTAAGTAACTTGCCCAGGGTCACACAGCTTGAGCAAGTTGCTACCTAACAGTGGATCCTATCCTGCTACTTTTTGGAGATATTAAGACAAGGGTTAACCAGAGTTGCTTTCCTGGGGCAATAATAACAGAAGTCTGTGTGTCAGGTCAGTGCAGGAAAGCAGACACAGCACAGCAGGGTCAGGAGGGTGCGGTGGCGGCAGGTTCCTTCCAAGCTCTGCCCACAGTCCTGGAACCTGCTTCAAATCCATAGCCAGGCCCTTACCCCAGACTCACCCTCAATTTCCTTTGAAACCTGGAATGCTGCTTCACAAAGTCAAGCCTGTTTCCTTCCTGGTTCTCATTTTTCTTCCACACTCTGACCACAAAAAACCCTTTCAGAAACACCCGCAGACGCAAACCCACCAGCCAAATTCAAGAGAATCTGAGATAAGGTTGAAAACCCCCATTCACCAAGGCAAGGCCTTTTTGCCACTTTCCACATCCCTGGCCCATGGAGGCTGTGTGGGGATTTCATGCTGCTGGCCAGACCGTCCTCAGGGTGAGAGGGAAGGACAGTGAGCGGCGGGGGCTCCACAGAGACAGGAAGGAGAGAGAAGGGGGAGCATCGTGGATCCTAAAGCAGATGTTAATGAGAGCTCATTTTCCTGTGTTAGGTGCTTTGCAGGCACTTTCTCAGCTCTCATTATCTCAACAACTCACACACTCTCTAGTAAGCTGATGCTGAAATGGGAAGTTGTTCCAAGCATTCCGGGCAGAGGCTGGCCCTTCGCTGCCTCCAGGTGACCTCCTAGACCAGAACAAGAAATCCTTTAGCTGGAGCTGGAGTGCCCGGCTCCAAATCTCGGCTTTGTCTCAGCACCTTGAGTCTGTTTCCTCATATATAAAATGGGAATGAAAACTGTACCTCCACTATAGGGTTACCATGAGGGTGAACAGAGTGCAAGTTTATGAGAAGCTCAGAGGAGTGCCCAGCCACAGAAAGTACTCCACAATTGCTGAAAGCTCATGGAATCAAATAAAAATGAGGCTGGGTGTGGCGGTTCACACCTGTAATCCCAGCACCTTGGGAGGCTGAGGTGGAAGGATTGCTTGAGCCCAGGAGTTTGAGACCAGCATGGGCAACATAGTAAGGAACCTGTCTCTACAAAAACATTTTGAAATTAGCTGGGCACGGTGCCATGTGCCTGTGGTCCCAGCTACCCTGGAGACTGAGGCGGGAGGATTGCTTGAGCCCAGGAGGTTGAGGTTGCAGTGAGCTGTGATTACACCACCACACTCTAGCCTGGGTGACCGAATGAGACTCAAAAAAAAAAAAATAATAATAGAGGCCGAGGAGGGTAGATCAGTTGAGGTCAGGAGTTCAAGACCAGCCTGGCCAATACGGTGAAACTCCATCTCTGCCAAAAAACACACAAAAAATTAGCTGGGCGTGGTGGCATGTACCTGTAATCCCAGCTACTCAAGAGACTGAGGCATGAGAATCGCTTGAACCCAGGAGGTGGAGGTTGCAGTGAGCCGAGATTGCGCCACTGCACTCCAGCCTGGGCAACAGAGTGAGACTCTGTCTCAAAATAATAATAACAGTAGTAGATTTAATATAATAAAAAACAAACAAAAGAATTGGTAACTAAAACTTGACAGTGAGACAGGGCACATACATGGTTCAGCCCAGCCAATAGGCATGGGATGGATACTCTGGGGTCTTCGAGCAGCTTCAAAGTAGCATTCAGGTGGAGATTTTTTTTTTTCGCTCTTGTTGCCCAGGCTGGAGTGCAGTGGTGCGATCTTGGCTCACTGCAACCTCCGCCTCCCAGATTCAAGGAATTCCCCTGTCTCAGCCTCTGGAGTAGCTGGGATTACAGGCATGCACTGGTGGGATTACATCACATCCGGCTAAGTTTTTGTATTTTTGGTAGAGACGGGGTTTCACCATGTTGGCCAGGCTGGCCTCAAACTCCTGACCTCAGGCGATCCACCAGCCTCGGCCTCCGAAGTGCTGAGATTACAGGCGTGAGCCATGGCACCAAGCCAGGTGGAGATTTTTTAAAAAGAGGCTGCAATCCAATTCCTTACTGCTGCCTCCATCCACCTGGGGGAGGACCCTGCGCAGTGGTGAAGAACACTGGGTTTGGAGTCAGATGGAGCTGGATCCAGGCCCGGCCTCGGCTGCTCACAGCTGCGTGACTTCAGGCCCGGGTTTCCACCCTCTGGGCCTCGGTTTCTTCCTCTGTTGGTGAGCGGCAGTGAGTTCCGGGAAACTGGCTGTGATAAAGAGCGGTGGAGGGCAAGGACCCAGCCACACTCTGCTAAGCCAGATACCAAATAAAGACAGAGGCAGAAATGTGGACCAGGGCCACTCTCCTCACCACATTTTTTGGTTTTGTAAGATACTTATTTCTTATAAAAATATATTTTTCGTGTTAATGTGAAATGGGCTTATGATTACTTTAAAGTGAATCAAGACGTGGAATACGTTAAAAATTACTTTGTTTCATTTTCTAATACGATACATATTGATGGCTATGACCCGCAGAAGGGACAGTTTGAGGATCCTCAGTATTTTTTATGTATCAGGTGTTCTTGGAACAGAAGTGTTTTCGCACCATGAAGTTAGAAAAGCAGCAGTTTCCATGATCTGAGTCCCTCACGTGTCAAAAAAACAAAACAAACCCCACACTCAGTTCCATGTCCTCTAAGTTCTCCATTTTCAACGATCACTACTGTTGCTGAGTTTTCCTTTTTGTGGCCATCACACGGGTTGTTTGAGAGAATACGAGGTTAGACCTTTCCAAATAAATAGAAATGATTTTGTAGTTACAGAGTGTACACAATACCGACCACTAGTAAATGTCTCTCTCTCTACTTTCTTTTAATCTAAACACAGTCAAAATATATTTGTTTTGAAGCTGAGCATGAAAGGAGAGGGAGAAAGGGTTCAGTTGTTTTCAGGGTCCTCTCTCAAGGAGAGTGAATTCTACCTCTTGCCTGCTCAAGAAAATGGTTCTTCCAACTAAGGCTGAAAACCTGTCATCCTAACAGTGATATTTCCCCAAGAACCTTTAATCTGTCAAAGGAGGCAGCTGCGGTTCCACAGAAAGAGCTGTCCTGGATGAAAAACAATTCCAAATTCTAGCTCAGCCTCTTGTGAGCTGTGCACCCCTGGGCAAGTCACGGCACCTCTCTGAGCCCATGTCCCCATCTGTAAGATGGCACTAACTCCAAGTGCCTCACGGGAGTGGTGGAAATGCAATGAGATAATGCATGTAAAAGTTCCTAAAAAGAGTTGAAGATGTAGGACGGGTGTGGTGGCTCACGCCTGTAATCCCAGCACAATGGGAGGCCGAGGCAGGCGGATCATGAGGTCAGGAGATCGACACCATCCTGGCTAACACGGTGAAACCCCATCTCTACTAGAAAAACGATATAAAAAATTAGTCGGGCATGGTGGCGTGGCGGGCGCCTGTAGTCCCAGCTACTTGGGAGGCTGAGGCAGGAGAATGGCGTGAACCCAGGAGGCAGAGGTTGCAGTGAGCAGAGATCGCACCACCGCACCCCAGCCTGGGCAACAGAGCGAGACTCCGTCTCGGAAAAAAGAAAACAGAGTTGAAGAAGCATTATTGTTTTAACCACAAAATGGGATTACAAAGGTAATGTGTGTCCCACATACAGAATTTAGAAAAAACTAAAACAGCACATTGCAAAGGAGGGAACAAAAATGGCCAGGAATCCCGTTCCACTGTTAAAATGGCTTGCGAACTCCATGAGGCGGGTAGAGAGGTGTTGGCCGTGCCACCTAATCAAGCTGACTTCACTCTGCACAGCGCGCGTTCTGATACATGTGTGCCCGTGGGTGCGCACTAAAGCTCCAGGGAACAGGGTGCAGTGCCAGGTCCCCGCTGTACAGCGAACGATTTCATCATTACAGAACAAAATTTGGAAAACTAATTTTTAAATGGAAATGTTGTAAATGGCCATAAACAAGAGTAGAGCATCCTCAATGTTTCTTCTCCTCAACATCTCTGAGCATGTTCAACAGAAGGGCTCTGTGCACGTGGCAAACATCTCGTGGGCCGGGAAGCTTGCTAGATGGAGCTGCCGCACCTTTAAGACTTGTCAGCCTCTTTGCAGGGACATGGATGGTGCTGGAAGGCGTTATCCTCAGCAGACTAACGCAGGAACAGAAAACCCAAACATCGCCTGTTGTCACTGATAAGTGGGAGCTGAACGACGAGAACACGTGGACACATGATGGGAAACAACACACACCGCGGCCTGTTTCAGGAGTGTGAGGGGAGCGAGAGCATCAGGATAAATAGCTAATGCATGAGGGGCTTAATACCTAGGTGATGGGTTGACAGGAGCAGCAAACCACCATGGCGCACGTTTACCTATGTAACAAACCTGCACATCCTGCACATGTAGCCTGGAACTTAAAATAAAAGTTGAAGCGGGGGAAGAAAAAGACTTGTCAGGCTTCTAAAAGCCTCCTCCTATGTCCAAAGTAAGTCCTCATGTTGGCTTATGGCCAGGCGTGGCAGGGATAAAATGTGTGTGGGGGGTGCATTAGATTTTCGAGCTGCCCCTTTCCTGTTGGAGATACGGGAACACCAGCTACCGTGTGATGGGTTTTTCAGAAGGCATCAGGCCCCAGGCTCAGGCCCTCAGCAAGCTGGGTCTCCATCCCTCCTCCACAAGGTGATGAGGAGTGGATTATGCTGCCCGTCTTACAGATGGTTTTTCAAGGTGTCCAGTGCGCACACAGAAAGCCCAGCTGCGGAGGCCGGCCGCCAGACCCCAAAGGGACGAACCGTCATGGGACGCCGGTTCTCTTCCAAAGCTTCGCTGCGGGAAGCCAGCCTTCTCGCTGGGGCCCTCGAGGCTGACAGATTCCTCTCCAAGCCTCACTCAGGTGGCTCCTCTCTGCTGCCCACTCTGCCATCCCCGGTCTGTGAGGCCCTCGAGGGAAGGAGCGCCTGTCTCTGTGCACGCTGTTGGTGCTGAGTGATGCTCGGGTCCTGCAGGAGAGGAGCCTCTGGGTGAGTCGGATTGCATCAGCCGGCAGCCCACGCAGCGCTGCTTCCCTCTCCTTAGACATCGCTTAGTGCCAGAAGAGGCTTCGTGGTTCCTGCTGGTCTAGAGGAAAGGTTTAGGAATAAAGACACAGGCTCGGACAGCCCTGGACACCCCAGGGTTAGGAGCCTTAAGGAAAAATGGGAGGAGAAATGGCTTTTCAAAATGGAAAGTGTTATGCAGACAGAGCTGGACACAGAGCTGCTATTTGCTAAGATCCGTGAGTGACTTGAGGCCCCTGAACACGCTGCGTTCTGCCCTGGAAGTTGTGGGCTCCGGCTTCCAACACTGGCTTTGGTGCCTCTCGATGCTTGAAAAACTTGAGCCTAAAGGATCAGTTCACAGATCTGAGAGCTGACTCCGTGGGAGTCCCTTCAATGAACTCTCCGGTTGGGTGTGAGGATGTGATGAACTCCGAGGGATGCTTGGAGTCGGGCAGAATGGTCCAGTGACCAGACCCAGACCTGAAACGCTGCAGAGCATGGGGCTGTAGGGGATGGATCATCGAGGAGAGGTTGCGCCTCGCCCAGGTCACAAACAACCTTGACCTCCAGGTTTATGTTTAAAGAGAGAAAAGGCCATTCCCTGTTCACGCTGCAGGCCCGTCACAGAAGGCAGGGGCTGCTATTCACAGAAGCCCCCAAGGACATGGCCCATGCAGTGGTGGCCGTCTTGGCCACTTCAGTTGCTCCCCTGACCCCCAAAAGGGGGTTTGGAGGCCGCCATTCAGCAATTAAACGCCCTAGCCCATTCTTCACTGGCTCATCCTTCATTGGCTGAATTAGTCAGGTGCCCACCCAGCCCCAATGGGGACTGATGGATGGGCGTGGCAGGAAATGGTTGGCAAACAGCACCAGTGACCACCACACAGAATAGAGAGGTTTCTGCTGAATCCTTAATCGCTCAGAGAGAGCTGGGTTGAGGAAGATGCTGAGGTCAGTGGGGGAATGCGTGGCCGCCAACAGAGGGTGCCGGGGGAGGGCTCTGCTGGGGGTGTGTGCCCTGGAACTGCCTCCCCTGAGCCACACCAACTCTCCCACTTGCTGATAAGAAAATGAGGGTGCAAGGCAGCAGTGGAGGGTGAGGCGAGAGCCAGGGTTTCTGACTCCCAGGCCAGTCTCCTCCCAACCTTGGCCATGTTGTTACTTCGAGGACTCAGCTGGAAAATCAGATAATTGAGGGTTTTAGATTTCCTGTCCCCATTACATAGCAAGACTCTCTCCCTTCCTTAAGAAATAACACAAGAGGTGCCAGTGTGTGGCCTCTTCCCTCCAATCTGGAGCTGCTGACACAAGGGGGTCCCACAGAATGCCTAATGTGGAACTGCTGAAATTCCTGACATTGAAAAAAAAAAAAGATGGAGAGAAAATGTAACTGAATCTCTGTTGTTTGTTCACATAGAACTCAAATGATCCTGTCTTTTATTCCTCAGTGCAGGCTCATGTGGTTGGCCACATGTTGGCATCTGGGTTTGTAATTCTTACCAAATGAGTCAGCAGAGAGAGGAACATGGAGTTTTTCTTAACAGGCGTCTTTGAGTCAGTGCCCACTACCATTTAAAAAAAATGCTGGAGTCCCCGCTTCCTCTCTTGCTACGGAGAGACATGGCTGGCTTGTTCCAATGTGTGAATGCACACTTGTTTCCTTTCTGGAGGGCAACCCGGGCAGTGTTTCAGGCACACATGCGCGGACCCAATGTGCATGCACACATGTGTGCACAAACATCTTTGATGAGTTTGCAACTGGAAAAGTGTCTACATCTACCCCAGGCAGGAGCCACCACAGCTATAGACGGGCTCAGCTACAGCTCACCTGCTGGGTCAAGCCCTGAAGCAACTGGCACCAAAAGGCCAAGCTCAGCCCAGAAAAGGAATCCTTCCACAGCTTATTTATACTAACATGTAAATGACTGACATCTTTTTTTCTTTTTCCTGCTTTTTCCTTTGAATAAGTTTTGGTAGGGCAGAGGAGCTGAGGGTCCACAAGATCACAGATGGGTGGATGGTGGGGAGGGCCAAGGATGTAGGGGAAAGGAGTTGCTTTAAAATAAAGGAGAAGGCCAGGCACAGCACAGTGGCTCACGCCTGTAATCTCAGCACTTTGGGAGGCTGAGGTGGGCAGATCACTTGAGGTCAGCAGTTTGAAACCAGCCTGGCCAACATGGCGAAACCCTGTCTCTACTAAAAATACAACAAAACAAAACAAAACAAAACAAAACAAAAATTAGCTGGGTGTGGTGGTGCACACCTGTAGTCCCAGCTACTCAGGAGGCTGAGGCAGGAGAATTGCTTGAACCCGGGAGGTAGAGGTTGCTGTGAGCTGAGATTATGCCACTGCGTATCTTATGCCTGGGTGACAAAGCAAGACTCCATCTAAAAAATAAATAAATAAATAAATAAATAAATAAATAAATAAATAAATAAAAAGAAAAGTTTAAACAGAGGAAGATACAGGACTAAAGACAGACTTTTGTCTTTTCAGACGTTTATCAAGAAGTGACTTTGAGCTCACTTTGACTTGGTCTGATTGGAATATATTAAAGATCTTTCTCCCCTAACTGCTGTTACTTGGCTGGAAATCTTCCAGCTTAGGGCTGCACAGGTCCCACAGGCTTTGTATCTGTTCCTTTGTTTCAGGCCCCCTTGGGAAGTCCCCCAAAGCACACCCTAGTTATCCCTCCTTGGGAAGTCCCCGAAAGCACACTGTAGTTATACCTCTTAGACATCCTTTTGCAATAGATGACCTGTGCCACCAAAACCAGACACTGTGCTTTTACGTGCGGTGTTTAAACGAAAAGCAACTTGCAGAGGGATGTTAGGGAATGAATGTGGAACAAGGGAGAAGAAATGGACAATACAGAGAATGACAGCTGGGGTCTTCTCCCCCTCTTCTCTCCAAGTCTCAGAATGTTGCAGGGGAATCTAGGAGGTAGTGCTTGGCCAAAACCGTATTCAGGGCTTCTTAAATCTCCGTGCCTTTTTCCTGGAGTACTAGGCTTCACACGACTAAAAAGGTATGATTATTTTCAGGCATGGAAAAATAAAGTGGGGGTTGGGCTTGGCTAATATAACTCATGTTCAGTCCCTTCCCTGCTCCCCGTTGAGCTCTGTGAGTCCACATCTCTGTATCTGACCTCTAAGAAAATATGCATCTCAGGGGGCTCTGATACGCATCACTGCTCACGCATGTGTACACGAGCACACCTGGCCACGAGTCCACGCCAAACACACGCTTGCCAGGGATGCTGGCAGGGTTCTGTGGGGACAGCCCCAGGAGGCGATGGACCAGTGGACAGCCAAGGCCAGGTAGGGCACAGGTGATGGGAACCTCATTCACGGCCTTCTGCTGGCCCAAAGCCCAGTTCTTAGCACTCCATGCCTTGAACAAAGCCCTTGGAGGCTACCTCCCACCTATAGGATAAAGTGCAGGCAAGTGTTTCCCCCTGGCTTTCAGAGTCCAGGAGCCAACATCACACGGTGGCACTTACCGTGGCTAGCAAGGCCCCTCAGCAGCTCCCCTGCCCCTCCAGCCCCTCTCTTTCTACATCCTCCTAGGCATAGCCAGCCTATCCATGACTGGGATGACACAATGGTGTTAGCGAGGTTTAAATAGTTTATGGTCTTTGCATAACCATAAAGCAAGAGTTGTAAGTTATACGACAGGCTAGAAGCTTGTAGAGCATTGACATTAGCTGGGGGTGGGGAGGTAGGCATTAATAGCTTTTTTCTTACAGATGAGAAAGGTCTGCTCTAGCCCAGTGATATTCCTATGCAGGAATGCCTGCTTGCCTATGTTCTTCTGCTTCTAGCACCAACATCCCCCAGTTACCAAAGCCTGGAATCAATGTGCCTGACTGTGCCTTGCCCCAGGGCTGGTGGATCATCAGGTCCCAGCCACAGCTGTCCCTGAACATCTCTCGGCCACTGACTGAAGGGAGCTGGGGTAACTGGGGCAGGGGTATACACTGTAATCCAGGGCCCCCCAGCGGGATTCAGGTCCAAATGCCCTGAGTGATGCTGGGTGGGATCACACGCCCTCAATGGGCCCTTCCCTTCCCTGCCTCCCCTCCCACCCTTCTACAGGTGTGGCCAGGGATCACCTCCCAAATATGTGAATCCTTGATCTAGAATTTGCTCCTGGCAACTCAAACCAAGGCAAGAAATTTTTTTTCTTTCTTTTTCTCTTTCTTTCTTTCTTTCAGACAGATTCTCATTCTGTCACCCAGGCTGGAGTGCAGTGGCACAATCTTGGCTCACTGCAACCTCCGCCTCCTGGGTTCAAGTGAGTCTCGTGCCTCAGCCTCCCGAGTAGCTGGGACTACAGGCACGGGCCACCACGCCTGGCTGATTTTTGTATTTTTAGTAGAAACGGGGTTTCACCATGTTGGCCAGGCTGGTCTCGAGCTCTTGACCTCATGATCCACCTGCCTCGGCCTCCCAAAGTGCTGGGATTACAGGCGTGAGCCACTGCACCCAGCTGGCAAGAAACTATTGATGGGAAAAGAACAGCATATTTGAAATGCAGCCATTTCGGGAAACAACCACCACCCAGAACATAGGATCACATTCAGAGGAGACACAAAGTAAACACAGATGAGGAAATGAAGGTCTTCGTGGCTCACAGGCGATAACCACGCAGCCTCCTGTGGCGCGGTCCCCAGCTCTCCAATGGCAGGGACAGTCTACGGGTCGTGTGTCCAGACATCAGTTCTGGTCCCACCCTACACTGGCCTGGTTCCACCTTCTGATTCCGTCAGAAGGAGGCGATGGCCTTTGCTGCTGTCTGTTAGCTGAAAGCATGGGCAGCCCATCCACGCTGCCCCAGGGCACTGACAAGACCTGGCATGGTGGGTGGTGAGCCTCGCCACAAGATGAGCCTGCAGTGAGTTCAAGCAAGAAAATGAGAGATCCTGATACGCTGTCCAGGACTCTTCCTGGGAAGCGTGTGAGTGGAAAATAGACACAACTTCATGATGAAGGCTGGGTATGCCCAGGAGGACGTAGAAAGAGGAAGCTGGCAAGTGCGCCTGGGGGAGAACAAAAGACAGAAAGGGGGGTGCAATCTGCCTGATATGGTTGCATTAGTTCATGGGGTGATTGTCAGGCCTCTGAGCCCAAGCCAAGCCATCGCATCCCCTGTGACTTGCACATATACGCCCAGATGGCCTGAAGTAACTGAAGAATCACAAAAGAAGTGAATAGGCCCTGCCCCACCTTAACTGATGACATTCCACCACAAAAGAAGTATAAATGGTCGGTCCTTGCCTTAACTGATGACATTACCTTGTGAAAGTCCTTTTCCTGGCTCATCCTGGCTCAAAAAGCTCCCCCACTGAGCACCTTGCGACCCCCACTCCTGCCCGCCAGAGAACAAACCCCCTTTGACTGTAATTTTCCTTTACCTACCCAAATCCTATAAAACGGCCCCACCCTTATCTCCCTTCTCTGACTCTCTTTTCAGACTCAGCCCACCTGCTCCCAGGTGAAATAAACAGCTTTATTGCTCACACAAAGCCTGTTTGGTGGTCTCTTCACACGGACGCGCATGAAATTTGGTGCCGTGACTCGGATCGGGGGACCTCCCTTGGGAGATCAATCCCTCGTCCTCCTGCTCTTTGCTCCGTGAGAAAGATCCACCTACGACATCGGGTCCTCAGACCGACCAGCCCAAGAAACATCTCACCAATTTCAAATCCGGTAAGCGGCCTCTTTTTACTCTCTTCTCCAACTTCCCTCACTATCCCTCAACCTCTTTCTCCTTTCAATTTTGGCGCCACACTTCAATCTCTCCCTTCTCTTAATTTCAATTCCTTTCATTTTCTGGTAGAGACAAAAGGGACACGTTTTAGCCATGGACCCAAACTCCGGCGCAGGTCACGGACTGGGAAGGCAGCCTTCCCTTGGTGTTTAATCACTGCAGGGACGCCTCTCTGATTATACACACACATTTCAAGGGTGTCAGACCATGCAGGGACACCTGCCTTGGTCCTTCACCCTCAGCGACAAGTCCCGCTTTCCTGGGGCAGGGGCAAGTACCCCTCAACCCCTTCTCCTTCACCCTTAGCGGCAAGTCCCACTTTCCTAAGGGGCAAGAACCCCCCAATGGCTTATTTCCGCACCCCAACCTCTTATCTCTGTGCCCCAATTCCTTATTTCCATGCCCCAACCCTTTCTCTGCTTTTCTGGAAGGCAAGAAACCCCTACCCCTTCTCCGTGTCTCTTCTCTTTTCTCTGGGCTTGCCTCCTTCACTATGGGTAAGCTTCCACCTTCCATTCCTCCTTCTTCTCCCTTAGCCTGTGTTCTCAAAAACTTAAAACCTCTTCAACCCACACCTGACCTAAAACCTAAATGCCTTATTTTCTTCTGCAATGCCACTTGACCCCAATACAAACTCGACAGTAGTTCCAAATAGCCGGAAAATGGCATTTTCCATTTTTCCATCCTACGAGATCTAAATAATTCTTGTTGTAAAATGGGCAAATGGTCTGAGGTGCCTGACATCCAGGCATTCTTTTACACATCAGTCCCTTCCTAGACTGTGTGCCCAGCGCAACTCGTCCCAGATCCTCCTCCTTTCCCTCCCGCCTGTCCCCTCAGTCCCAACCCCAAGCATTGCTGAGTCTTCCCAGTCTTCCTTTTCTACAGACCCATCTGACCTTTCCCCTCCTCCCCAGGCTGCTCGTCACCAGGCCGAGCTAAGTCCCAATTCTTCCTCAGCCTCCACTCCTCCACCCTATAATCCTTCTATCACCTCCCCTCCTCACACCCGGTCCGGCTTACGGTTTAGTTCCGCGACCATCTCTTCCCCACCTGCCCAGCAATTTACTCTTAAAAAGGTGGCTGGAGCCAAAGGCATAGTCGAGGTTAATGCTCCTTTTTCTTTATCCCAAATCAGATAGCGTTCAGGCTCTTTTTCATCAAATATAAAAACCCAGCCCAGTTCATGGCTCGTTCGGCAGCAACCCTGAGACACTTTACAGCCCTAGACCCTAAAAGGTCAAGAGGCCGTCTTATCCTCAATATACATTTTATTACCCAATCTGCTCCCGACATTAAATAAAAGTCCAAAAATTAAATTCCGGCCCTCAAACCCCACAACAGGATTTAATTAACCTCGCCTTCAAGGTTTACAATAATAGAAAAAAGTTGCAATTCCTTGCCTCCACTGTGAGACAAACCCCAGCCACATCTCCAGCACACAAGAACTTCCAAACGCCTGAACCGCAGTGGCCAGACGTTCCTCCAGAACCTCCTCCCCAAGGACCTTGCTACAAGTGCCAGAAATCTGACCACGAGGCCAAGGACTGCCTGCAGCCCAGGATTCCTCCTAAGCCGTGTCCCATCTGTGCGGGACCCCACTGGAAATTGGACTGTTCAACTCACCTGGCAGCCACTCGCAGAGCCCCTGGAACGCTGGCCCAAGGCTCTCTGACTGACTCCTTCTCGGCTTAGCGGCTGAAGACTGACGCTGCCCGATCGCCTCGGAAGCCCCGTAGACCATCACGGACGCCGAGCTTTAGGTAACTCTCACAGGGGAAGGTAAGTCCGTCCCCTTCTTAATCGATGTGGAGGCTACCCACTCCACATTACCTTCTTTTCAAGGGCCTGTTTCCCTTGCCTCCATAACTGTTGTGGGTATTGACGGCCAGGCTTCTAAACCTCTTAAAACTCCCCCACTCTGGTGCCAACTTAGACAATACTCTTTTAAGCACTCCTTTTTAGTTATCCCCACCTGCCCAGTTCCCTTATTAGGCTGAGACACTTTAACTAAATTATCTGCTTACCTGTCTATTCCTGGACTACAGCTGCATCTCACTGCTGCCCTTCTCCCCAACCCAAAGCCTCCTTTGTGTCCTCTTGTATCCCCCCACCTTAACCCACAAGTATAAGATACCTCTACTCCCTCCTTGGTGACCAATCATGCACCCCTTACCATCTCATTAAAACCTAATCACCTTTACCCCGCTCAATGCCAATATCCCATCCCACAGCATGCTTTGAAAGGATTAAAGCCTGTTCTCACTCGCCTGCTACAGCATGGCCTTCTAAAACCTATAAACGCTCCATACAATTCCCCCATTTTACCTGTCCAAAAACCGGACAAGTCTTACAGATTAGTTCAGGATCTGCGCCTTATCAACCAAATTGTTTTGCCTCTCCACCCCGTGGGGCCAAACCCATATACTCTCCTATCCTCAATACCTGCCTCTACAACCCATTATTCTGTTCTGGATCTCAAACATGCTTTCTTTACTATTCCTTTGCACCCTTCATCCCAGCCTCTCTTCGCTTTCACTTGGACTGACCCTGACACCCATCAAGCTCAGCAAATTACCTAGGCTGTACTGCCGCAAAGCTTCACGGACAGCCCCCATTACTTCAATCGAGCCCAAATGTCTTCCTCAACTGTTACCTATCTCGGCATAATTCTCATAAAAACACACGTGCTCTCCCTGCCAATCGTGTCCGACTGATCTCTCAAACCCAAGCACCTTCTACAAAACAACAAACTCCTTTCCTTCCTAGGCATGGTTAGCACAGTCAGAATTCTTACACAAGAGCCAGGACCACACCCTGTAGCCTTTCTGTCCGAACAACTTGACCTTACTGTTTTAGCCTAGCCCTCATGTCTGCGTGCAGCGGCTGCCGCTGCTTTAATACTTTTAGAGGCCCTCAAAATCACAAACTATGCTCAACTCACTCTCTACAGTTCTCATAACTTCCAAAATCTATTCTTTTCCTCATACCTGACACGTATACTTTCTGCTCCCCGGCTCCTTCAGCTGTACTCACTCTTTGTTGAGTCTCCCACAATTACCGTTGTTCCTGGCCCAGACTTCAATCCGGCCTCCCACATTATTCCTGATACCACACCTGACCCCCATGACTGTATCTCTCTGATCCACCTGACATTCACCCCATTTCCCCAAATTTCCTTCCTTCCTGTTCCTCACCCTGATCACGCTTGATTTACTGATGGCGGTTCCACCAGGCCTAATCGCCACACACCAGCAAAGGCAGGTTATGCTATAGTACAAGCCACTAGCCAGCCTCTTAGAACCTCTCATTTCTTTTCCATCGTGGAAATCTATCCTCAAGAAAATAACTTCTCAGTGTTCCATCTGCTATTCTATTACTCCTCAGGGATTATTCAGGCCCCCTCCCTTCCCTACACATCAAGCTCGAGGATTTGCCCCACCCAGGACTGGCAAATTAGCTTTACTCAACATGCCCTGAGTCAGATAACTAAAATACCTCTTAGTCTAGGGAGATGCTTTCACTGGATAGGTAGAGGCCTTTCCTACAGGGTCTGAGAAGGCCATCGCAGTCATTTCTTCCATTCTGTCAGACATAATTCCTCAGTTTAGCCTTCCCACCTCAATACAGTCTGACAACAGATGAGCCTTTATTAGTCAAATCAGCCAAGCAGTTTTTCAGGCTCTTAGTATTCAGTGAAACCTTTATATCCCTTACGGTCCTCCGTCTTCAAGAAAAGTAGAATGGACTAAAGGTCTTTTAAAAACACACCTCACCAAGCTCAGCCACCAACTTAAAAAGGACTGGACAATACTTTTACCACTTTCCCTTCTCAGAATTCAGGCCTGTCCTCGGAATGCTACAGGGTACCGCCCATTTAAGCTCCTGTATAGACGCTCCTTTTTATTAGGCCCCAGTCTCATTCCAGACACCAGACCAACTTAGACTGTGCCCCAAAAAAACTTGTCATCCCTACTATCTTCTGTCTAGCCATACTCCTATTCACCGTTCTCAACTACTCATACATGCCCTGCTCTTGTTTACACTGCCGGTTTACACTGTTTCTTCAAGCCATCACAGCTGATATCTCCTGGTGCTATCCCCAAACTGCCACTCTTAACTCTTGAAGTAAATAAATAATCTTTGCTGGCAGGACTATGCTGAATCTCCTTAGGCGCTCTCTAATCAGATGTCCTGAGACATCCCAATTCTTAGACCTTTTATACCTGTTTTTCTCCTTCTCTTATTCCATTTAGTTTCTCAATTCATCCAAAACCGTATCCAGGCCATCACCAATCATTCTATACGACAAATGTTTCTTCTAACATCCCCACAGTATCACCCCTTACCACAAGACCTCCCTTCAGCTTAATCTCTCCCACTCTAGGTTCCCACGCCGCCCCTAATCCTGCTTGAAGCAGCCCTGAGAAACATCGCCCGTTCTCTCTCCATACCACCCCCCAAAAATTTTCACCGCCCCAACACTTCAACACTATTTTGTTTTATTTGTCTTATTAAGAAGGCAGGAATGTCAGGCCTCTGAGCCCAAGCCAAGCCATCGCATCCCCTGTGACCTGCACGTATATATACGCCCAGATGGCCTGAAGTAACTAAAGAATCACAAAAGAAGTGAATATGCCCTGCCCCACCTTAACTGATGACATTCCACCACAAAAGAAGTGTAAATGGCCGGTCCTTGCCTTAACTGATGACATTACCTTGGGAAAGTCCTTTTCCTGGCTCATCCTTGCTCCAAAAGCACCCCCACTGAGCATCTTGCGACCCCGACTCCTGCCCGCCAGAGAACAAACCCCCTTTGTAATTTTCCTTTACCTACCCAAATCCTATAAAACGGCCCCACCCTTATCTCCCTTCGCTGACTCTTTTCGGACTCAGCCCACCTGCACCCAGGTGAAATAAACAGCTTTATTGCTCACACAAAGCCTGTTGTGTGGTCTCCTCACACGGACGCGCATGGAAGTGATCTTTGCTATTCTGGGTTTGTCTGCTGGAGGAAGAGGGAAATCACCTATTTGATTTTGTATTCATTCATGTCCTGTTCCTGGAGAATCTCTGTTGTGTGTCAGGCACAGCTGAGCCTCCCTGTATAGCCTCCTCTATCTTCCACCTACAGAGGAGGAAATGGAGCCTCAGAATCAGTGCCTTTCTTGTTTGTAAGAAACAGCTATGAATGCCTAGCTCCCCCTCGAATTTCAGTACTGCGTCCCACCATGCCGCACGGTGCCGATGAGCCGGCTGGACCTTCATGGCAATGGTGGCCCTCTAAAAATAGGATCCCCCACCCGGAGGAATGGGGCCACCACAGGAAGCAGCTCAGACCACTTCCAGGGGACATTCTTCTGCCTCCAGTAAGCTGAGGATAGAAGTGGAGCCGCTGACGGATGAATGGACTGTTTGCCTGAGTCATAAATCAACAGGGACCAGCCCTGCCTCTGAACGATTCTGGTCTCTACACTTCGCTCCTGATCACAGGCTGCAGAGGAAGCACGTCTCCCAGGCTGGGGCCGGCATCCGATCCAACGCTGCCTTTCCCTCTAGCAGCGGCTCCCGCAGGGAGGGTCTCCCTGTCCCTAGAACCGGAGCGTGAAAGTCAGCAAAGTCCCATAAATCACAGGAAATGAACTTCTGCCTCTTTAAATTCCTGCCGCCGTCCCCATCCCTCCCACAGCCACAAATAGATTTCTTTCAATATTGGCTCTGACCTCAGCCCTCCCCGCCCCCACGTCTCCTTCTCCACGTTTTTTTTTTTTTTTTTTCCCAGCAAACCCTACAAGGCAGAACTTACCCTGCTGACCTCACCAGCGTGGTTTCTTCTGTTGTGTGTGTGTTTTTGTTTTGCTGTGATGCCGATGACTTGCGGTTTGCCTCACACTTTGTAGTGTGCGTGGCAGTCGTATAAGAAAACAGCAAATTTGTCAGTTAGGCTTGTTATTTATTACAGGAACCATGGGGATGCCAGGCAGCCAGGCTGGCCCCTCCGCCCGCCACCTACCCCACGGTTGAAGGGGCTGCACTGGCCGGGGATGCCAGACCAAGGGCCCAGAGAAGAGGCACGGCTTCCGAGGGTGAGGAACAGCGAGGTCCTGGCAGCTGCCTCTCTTCGAACACAATGTTGAGGAGATGCTTTTTGTTTTTGTTTTTAAAATTCATTTCCATTGGTTTTTGGGGAACAGGTGGGGTTTGATTACGTAAGTTCTTTGGTGGTGATTTGTGAGATTTTGGCGCACCCATCACCCGAGCAGTATCCACTGCACCTAATTCGTAGTCATTTATCCCTCACCCTCTTCCCACCCTTCCCCACCGAGTCCCCAGAGTCCACTGTATCCTTCTCAAGCCTTTGCATGGGAGGATGCTTTTAACTGGTAAAAGGCAATAGTAGAAGTAACAGCCCGAGGGCTCTCCGTGGCCAGTGCCTCCCGAGATCTCGAGGGCACCCCTTCTCCCGCCTCCCCTCCCACCTCCACCTAGGCCACACGGGCCATGCCGGCCCCAGAGCTCCCGTGCCACGGGCAAAACACAGCTGTGTCTCAAAACCCTACGCCCAAAGTGCCTTCTCCCAGGCTTCCTTCCAGCTCATCCGCCACCTTTCTCTGCACTTGGCCCAGACGTCGTCTTTCAAGTCCGGCCTCCCCTAGACCTCGGCTTCTAAAATTGCAAAGCACCCGCACTCCAACAGGCCTCCGTGCCTGGCTCTCCTCTACACCTTCGTCCCCACCTGCGTTACTGATCTCTGTGACTTACTGGCTTCTTCCCCCGAGGAGGGCATGAGCTGCACGACAATGGCTTTGTATCTGTGAGAAGCTCTAATCGTATTTGCTGTTTATTGTGGGCTGGGTTGCATCCCCCCAAACTCACACGTCGAAGTCCAACCCCCAGGATGTCATAATGTGACTGTGTTTGGAGATAGGGCATTTATGGAGGTAATTAAGGTAGAATGAGGTCACCAGCATGGGAGCTAATCCAGTAGGACTGGTGTCTCCGTAATAAGAGGAGATGAGGACACAGACACGCACGGAGGGCGACCTTGTGAGGACACAGAGAGAAGACAGCTCTTACAAGCCAAAAAGAGAGGGCTTGGAGGAAGCAGTCCTGCCGGCACCTTGATCTCAGACTTCCGGCTTCCAGAACTGTTAGAAAATAAATCTCTGTCATTTAAGCCACCCGGTCTGTGGCACTTTATGTTCAATAAATACCTATCAGATGAATAAATGAATCAATGAGCCAGGTGTGGTGGTCCACGCTTGTAATCCAAGCACTTTGGGAGGCTGAGGTGGGCGGATTACCTGAGGTCAGGAGTTCGAGACCAGCCTGGCCAACTTGGGGAAACCCCCACCTCTACTAAAAATACAAAAATCAGCTGGATGTAGTGGCGAGAGCCTGTAATCCCAGCTACTCAGGAGGCTGAGGCAGGAGAATTGCTTGAACCTGGGACGCAGAGGTTGCAGTGAGCTGAGATTGTGCCACTGTACTCCAGCCTGAACAACAGAGTGAGACTGTCAAAAAGAGAGAGAGAGAAAGAAAGATTGAGAGAAGAAAGATAGAAAGAAAGGAAAGAAAGAAAGGTAAAGAGAAAGAAAAGAAAGAGAGAAAGAGAAAGAAAGAAGAGAGAGAGGAAGGAAGGAAGGAAGAAAGGAAGGAAGGAAACTAGAACTTATCAGACACTTCACAAGTGGGGAACCGTTCCTAGCTGAGGCTTGGTGGACTTGGGAGGATATTAGTAATGCAGATGTTTTGCTCCTAAGACTCCAAGACTGTTTTGCTCCTTCATTCTTTGCACACAATTCCGTGGCCATTCTACTCATTTTTTTGAGGATAAATGATCTCAGTGGTGAAATATTGTCATGGGTGAGCAGCGACTATCTGGGGCCAGCGGCTCAGGGTAAAGACAATTGTAGGTTAAGAAAGGCAGATTTAGGCCAGGTGCAGTGGCTCATGCCTGTAATCCCAACACTTTGGGAGGCCGAGGCAGGCGGATCAGGAGGTCCTTGAGGTAAGGCCATCCTGGCCAACATGGTGAAAACCCGTCTCTACGAAAAATACAAAAATTAGATGGACGTGGTGAAACGCACCTGTAGTCCCAGCTACTTGGGAGGCTGAGGCAAAATTTCATCTCAAAAATAAAAAAAAAAGGCAAATTAGAGAAAGTAGGAAAATACACAGCAAGGAGGCAACAGGCAGGCCAGCAAGAGAGGAGCTGACTGCAAGGAGACAAAGGCTTGCTGGGGACTTGATAGGATGGTGCTTGTGCTGTGTGCTGGAGAGAGCGACGTGCAGTACTGACAACACCGAGGCCGCGGTGTGCTGGAGAGAGCGACGTGCAGTGCTGACGACGCCGAGGCCGCGGTGTGCTGGAGAGAGCGACGTGCAGTGCTGATGACGCTGAGGCCGCGGTGTGCTGGAGAGAGCGACGTGCAGTGCTGACGACGCCGAGGCCGCGGTGTGCTGGAGAGAGCGACGTGCAGTGCTGATGACGCCGAGGCCGCGGTGTGCTGGAGAGAGTGACGTGCAGTACTGACGACACCGAGGCTGCAGTGTGCTAACTTGCATTTTTCTATCAGCCAAGGGTCTAATGACAGCTGGACACAGGAAGATTGTGAGTTACTTGTGCAGCAGGACTACGTGTTCTGGATCACGAAGACAGGCAGACTTGGAGCTTCTCTGCCTTCTCTTTTTGCTTTCCCTGGGTCCTGCCAGCCTGACTCCTCATTCCTAATTAGGACTCCGGGAATCTCAACCAGCCATCAAGTGTTAGATTCTGAGCACCTGTGCAGGGCTGCAGGTGACAGTCGATAATGAGGCTCATCTTCCTCACCGCCGTGTCTTTCTAACCGTTTGGCCTTCTTCTGATGGTGGCTGCAACCTCATCAATGGCCAGCATGGAACTAACCCATTGGGTTATGTTTTCATTCCTGTTTTTCTTTACTTTGCTTAAGCAGGAAGTGCAACTGGATCGGGGAGCCTCTCCGGGGCTCTTTTTAATTCATCTCTGCGATTCTTCAAATGGTAGGTTGTTAAACCATGAAGCCAACAGACACCTGGCTGCTTACTGGATTCAAGGCACTGGGATGCTTCACTGAAAATGCCAGTTCAGGGCCCCTCCTCTCCAGGAGCCAAAATTCTGGAGTGGGGCTGGGAGACCAGAAAGAAACAAATTAAACCAGCACTCACCGCTAAAAACAAGCATTGCAAGCAGTAGTGCAATTAGATCAAAACACACAAATCAAAGATGGCTCAAGGGCTTTCCAGTGTTGAGAAGGGCTGGACCCCGCTGTTTGTGAGAACTCAGGTTTGCAACATCTGTCCTGAAGGAGGCTCTGGACACCAGGAGAGGTGAGGTGACCCTCAGTCCAGGCGGAGACGGGGAAAATGAAGCAAAGGTGTTTACCAGAACATACAAATAAGTCTGCAGTTTCCACGGCTTTGTCTGTCTGCCTGAGAGGCTCCCATTGTATGGCCTCCTAATATGCTTGTTCTTCTCAATTCAGCCATTCAGGGGTCCTTCAATCGATCTGTCTGTCACAGGGGTGATCTCTGGGAAGCACCCTCCTCTGCAGCACCTTCAGACCTGCATGTACAAAAGCCAGGAGTGAACCACTGCTCACCGCACACAGGGCTTTGCCGTGAAGCTGGACTCACAGTGCTCAGAGTGAAGTGAGAATGGAGAACAAACACGTGCATGACTGTTTTAGGAAACTTTAGGCCTGAAACAGGTCCCTGAAACAACAGAGAAACTGTGGGTTTCCTTCTCCTCTCCCCACCACCCCCTGCATGCGGCAGACACACAGGCATGCGTCTGTTTACTTGCATGAATGCATGTCTGTATCTTGACCAAAAGTTAAGTCATATCTGAAGTCTTAGCCCAAGTTTTCCACAGGGCCATGGGCACTCGGGGACAAATTTAGCCTCTAGTAAAAGAGCAAAGTCTTCTGAGGCCAAACATTAAGCCACCATTTACCCAAGGACTGTATGGAGCTGGAAGTGAATACCACATTGTCTCAAACTGTGGACTCATGTCTTTGGTGTGAAGTTTCCTGGTTTCAACTACCTCTAATGATATCCTTCCAGATGGAAGGCTAAGCCAACTTGATTTGGACCACATGTCACAGATGCTGGTATGTGACATGGTTTGAGAAGGCTCAATCTGCCCATTGATTGAGAGTGTTTTTAGGGACTCATATCACACAGGCCCTGGTAACCATTCTCCACCCACCTCCTCTGTGCCGCCGTAGGGAGGCTGCAGCCAGTAATTATGGGCTCAGCCACGGCTGGCTCTCACCCAGATGTTTACAGTCTCAGGGAGGCTGGATCCCAAATCCAGAGTGGTCACTGCAGACAGCAGAAGTAAGGAAGGCTCCAGCCTGATTGCCTGGGCTTCTGGATCCACGCTCGTCGATGGAGCTTTTGTTCCCTCATGGGGCAGACAGTCCAACAAGTGGAGAAAACGGTGGGATTTTAGCTTCCTCCTGCCTTCCAGGCATGAAATGACCCAGGAGCATTTTAGGGCACTATCCAGTAGGATCATGGTGTTGGGTGTCGTTTAAGGCTTCAGGGTATAGGGGGCCATCTAACGGAAGGACAGCTCTAGAGCTGTCAGGGTGGGCTGGGGCTGGGGCTGGCCAGGTCCCTCCAGGATGGCAGGCCTTCAACTAGTCTCCTTGAGAAGGCCAAGGTTGGAAATAAAGCCTAGTCCCTGAAAACAAGGGGGAGAAGGTGGCATCTGTGTTGACACCACCCTTGAATTTCCATTTGTAATATAACTTTTGTTTGTATCCATTAAGTCAACTGCCAAGGTTTGAATGTTTGTCCTCTCCCAAACTCCTGTTGAAACTTAATCCCCATGGTGACAGTAAGAGGATAGGAAATCTGCCTCTGCTATTGGAGAGTTGGAAGCTTTGGGATGTGATTAGGATTAGATGAGGTCGTGAGGGTGGGAAGGAGCAGCTTTCCAAGGGGAGAAAGGGAGGGCTTGACTTGCAGGCTCAGCCTCCTCACTCTGAGATGCCTGCACCCCCATGAGACCTTGCAGAGTCCCCACCAACAGGAAGGCTCTCACCAGATGCCGCCCCTTCTGGAGACTTCCCAGCTTCCAGAACTGTAAGAAGTAAGTTCCTGCACCCCCATGGGACCTTGCAGAGAGTCCCCACCAGCAGGAAGGCCCTCACCAGATGCTGCCCCTTCTGGAGACCTCCCAGTCTCCAGAACTATAAGAAATAAATTCCTTTCCATTGTAAATTACCCTGTCTCAGGTGTTCTGTTATAGCAACAGAAAACAGACCAAGACATCAACTTAATAAACAAATTTCATTTTACCTGATCGTTTAAAAGTTTAGAGAATCCCTTTTCGTGGTGTTTCTCGCTATTCCTTTTTGTACTTTTAACCAATTTTTGCTTCTTACAAAAATGGTAAAGCATGTTATTTGGGTATGTTATTTGGGGCATAAATATTTGTGATGGGTGCTTTGTCATTTTTTCTCCCTGGGTACGCACATTATTATTTTTTTATCCTGAATTTCTAGAAGTGCAATAGGACTGTCATATTATCTGTTGAGTCTGGAGCCATGTGTGATGTTACCACATGTGGCCTTGAGCCTCTCTCAGCCTCCAGCCCATAGTAAAATGCAATCATTACTCAAGGAACGAAGAAATACATGCACATCCAAGAGAAGGAACAGCCTCAGAAGTTTGGATTTCCGCGTTTGTGGGTTCTGAGTCAGGCCAGGGGAGTCAGTCACTTCCACTCCCTCACTTAGCAACTGCGTGACCTTGAGGACCATGGTCTACCTCTCAGCGTCCCTCAGGTGTCCACAGGACATTCACTGAGGCTGCTGGGCTGTTGTGAGAACTGTCCTGTTCAGGGCTCTGCACAGAACCGGGCACAGGAGCCGTCCGACGCCGTGTGCTACGTGCCTGTGCCCGGGTCTCTCTGCCCCAAACAAGGATCTGGGTCACAGCCTGTGGATTCCCTATCTGCTCACTGCACACTCCCCCACACACCCAACCTTAATACATTTTCTGAATTAATAAGCAAGGCCGTCAAGTTCTCTCCTCTTCCCCACGTCCCTTACCTGTAAGGAGGAAACACTGACCAGCTTTGGTGCTGCCCCTGTTGTCGGGCCTGGGAGCAGTGGCTGCTGTCTCACCAGCAATCTCTAATGGATACAGAGAAAAGAGTTACTGATTGACCTTTTTTTTTTTTCCTGCTTTGCAATCTCACTAAAGCATTTCCTTTCCCTACCCCCATGCAGGAAGGCGAGAGCAGCATTATTCAGTTTCCAAAGTCTGAGCTCTCCTCACACCCGCAGGACTGGGGCCTGCAGCCAGTGGGGGTGGGGGAGGGCGGTTAACACTTGCAGTGCCCCGGGGGTGGGTGACCTGTGCGCTCTCTCTCTCTCCCACGGAAACACGGAGGCCTGAAAGACGGCAGAACCGCACAGGGGCAGGACACACACGGACGCGGGGGGACGCAGGAAGAGAGTTACCAGATAAAATAGGGATGCCTTTTTAGTATAAGTATATCCCATGCAATATTTGAATTTCAGATAAATAATTTTAATATCTACATCTCATGCAATATTTGAACTTCAGGTAAAAATGAATAGTTTTTAGTATGTCTTGTAATATTTGAATTTCAGATTTAAAAAAGAACTATTTTAGCATAGAATAGGTCCTGTAGAAGTAAAAAAAACTTTTTCATTGTTATTATGGGTTGAATAGCGTCCACCAAGAAGTTCATGCCCACCCGGAACTTTAGAAGGTGACTCCATATGGAAATAGGTTCTTTGCAGTGGTAAATAGTTAAGACGAAGTCATATTGGAGCAGGACGGGCCCTAAGTCCAGTGACTGGTGTCCTCATACCAATGAGGTGAAGACAGAGGAGGAGAGACGCGCAGGGAGGAGCCCGCGTGAGGGCGGAGGCAGAGACTGGAGCGATGCAGCCACGAACCAAGGGACGCCTGGAGCCCCCAGGAGCAGGAAGAGGCCGGAAGGGTCCTGGATCCTCCTGGGGGAGCCCCGCCCTGACACCTTGACGTTGGCCTTCCGGCCTCTAGACTGATAATACATTTCTGCTGTTTTAAGCGCCCCAGTTTGAGGTGATTTGTTACAGCAGCCACAGGACCATGACTAGAATTGCTTATGTAAAACGCACATTGAATCGGGCATCCTGTACTTTTATTTATGAATCTGGCACCTGTGCTGGAGAATGGCTCCCAGGGAGGAGCTAAACGGCTGGCTGGCCTCCCAGGGCTTCCCGCTGCTCTTCCTGCCCTAGAGTGTGGGTCGGGCATTCCTGCAGCTCTTAGAAGGCTCTGGTCGCCCCCGCCACGCACCTGTGTCGTCAACAGCTCCTGCCCACAGGAGCTGTGACCGTGCACCGCAGGTGTCTCCACAGTGACCCTGGTGGAAGGAGCACCAGACCCCCTCCCCCAAATATTTCTGATGGCTTGAGACCCCCTGAGACCCTTAACATACTCTGGAGGATGTTAAGGGTCTCAGCCCAACCCCCTAAAAGGGTAAAAGGACCAAAGTTAAATCTCTCAAAAACCCTGATGCATGGGGCTGGGCAGGCGAGAGTTGCAATTGGGATTGAGAAGAAACTGATAATAAAGAGAATTTCTCGTACACTCAAATGTCATGGGCTGAATTCGTTCCTGCTGCAGCTACCACCGCATGTGCCAGAGTGATTCGTGCCTCCCG
This sequence comes from Homo sapiens, assembly GCF_000001405.40. NCBI lineage: Eukaryota > Metazoa > Chordata > Mammalia > Primates > Hominidae > Homo > Homo sapiens. Next base: position 86,733,278 of record NC_000016.10, on the reverse strand, counting down.
GTAGAACATTTTCCATTTTCTCCTTCCAGGAGTGAAATGTGAACCTCCTCTTCCCCGTCCCGGGAACGGTGGCGGCCCTGGCTCCTGGTCGCCCAGAAATCCTCAGGCGGTTCCCAGGCACTGACGCGGAGGCCCGGCTTCCTGCGCTGTCGGGATGCAGGAGGAGGCCGGCGCTGAGCTCACCAAGCAGCTGAATAAATGCGCACGTCTGCGGGGAAATGCTTCCTCACATCTAATTGCCTGGTGATTAGGAGACCACCCACCATCTGAATTGCCTTCGATTTGTGAAGAGCCCTGGCAGCTCTCCTGCAAGATTCAGCGTTCAAAAGGAGGAAGGTAATCATCTGGAATTAAATTCCTGCGTTCCTCATCTGTCCTAGACTCACACAAGGGCCTGGCAGGCTGCACAGTTACTCACCCAGTTCACCCCCCAACCACGCACAGTTCGCACCAAGCCAGCAGAGCTACTGCCACCCCCCACCCAGCACCAACAGCGCCTGCATCCTACCCCGAAATCTCACCGTCTTTCCTACAGCAAAGCAACCATTGGTGTCCAAACATAAAGGAGCAAAGAGGCCCCCGGCAGCCTTGCTTGTGACAGCTCCAAACTGGCAGAAGCCTGCAGAAATGAGCGCTACTCAGAAATGGTCAAACAATTGCACCTGCCAGCCATACACCGCAGTTTCCAAAGGAGGGGGCCCTCTACATGTTACAGGAAAGATGCTGATGGCATTTTCGAAAATGAGCAGCAGATTAATAAACTCCAAAACGTTTCTGTAAATGAAAAAATGGCAGAACTGAATATGTGTTTAGCACACATGCACGCACGCGTGCACACACACACACACACACCCTGACTTGACAGCCAGGTAGAACCATGCTGGCTCTGATGTCTGCCTGTCTGGGTTCAAGGTCCTCCTCCCTAACTCACTATTTCTCCTCACTTTTTGGCGTGGGGTTTTTAAAAATTATTCTGTGCATGCTTTCACATCTGTGAAATGGGTGCAGCGGCAGTGTCTTCCCTACAGGTTGGCTCTGAGAACTGAGAGAGACGGAACGGACAGTGCTCAGCTCAGCACCTGGATCTAGTGAGCTGCCCTGGAGACCCCCGCTCCAGAAGTACCTTTGTCTATACTATTTTAAATTAGTTACAAGGTAGAAGTTTCATCTGAAGATTTTTAAAACTGACTGATGTCCATCAACACTTTTTTCCAAAGCTCATTGAACAGCAGAAATCCCCACTATAACTCCTTTTTCAGTGGACATCAGAATAACTAGGTATGTCTTGAATCAGGGGTCCCATAAACTCTGAGACTTGGGCTAATTCCTTCTTCCTTTGCTCAAGGGGCAGAGGGGATGTCCCCACCATGGTATTTCATCTTGGGACCTCAACCAGGTCTCTGAGTCCTTTCAGCATCCTTGACGGTGGTGCCCCCACTGGCAGTTCCCACAGGTCATCTCCTGATGATCTGATAGGTGGACAACGCCAGGTGGAGAGGTACCATTTGCAGTCATAAGTCTTTGCTTCTTAGAGGTATCACCCTGTTTCTAATCTGGGATAAATGGGTCTTTAACGATCTCAGTGCCATGAACATAAACAGCTCCCTAGGACTGGATGTCTCGCAGGTGCCCCTCGCCCTGCACAACAGCAGAGTCTGAGACAGAGGGAGGTTCATCACAGCCTCACCTGCCTGGCTCCAACGGCCCCTCCTCCATCAAAACTCCAAGCATCCCATCACCGCCTTCTCACATGTCACCTGTGAGAACTGGTAGGGTCCCCTCTTGGTTTTAGCCTCCTAACGTCTCTGTGAAAAGGAAGGCACCTTCGCAGATGGAGAGAGTCCCAGACTAGGGTTTTCCTGACATCACTCAGCCTCAAACAGCTGAAGAGCTGGGCTTTGAACCCAGATCCTAAAATCCACATTCCATCATCTTCTATATCAGAAATGATACATCACCTAAAAATATTTATATGGAGGGCACCTTCCAGCACTGAGCTGGCTGCTAAAAGCTGTCAAAGATGTGTCCTGAACTTGAACCTGCTTTGGAAGAAAAGTTCAGATTCATTAATGTTTAATAAAAATCTACTATTTTCCCCATTTGCTAATCTAATCTCTGGAGGAAGTTGGGAAGGGCCTCTCCGAAGGTGCCTGAGTCCTCTTTGGACCTAGTTGGGAGAATGCGGCTTCCTGCAGGGCCCTGAGGTGACAGTCCCCGCCCCACAGCACAGGGCACTTCCAGCTCCATCCTCCCGCTGCAGCCAGTGCCATTTTAACGAGCTTTTAAGGCTAAGTCTCCCTAAATCGCCCTCCTTTCCCATCTTTAAAAAAAAGTGAGGGAGGGTTCCTGCAGGAAATAAAAAGCTGCTTAGTAGTAATTCCTAGGAAACAGAATTGGCGTTCTGGGTAAGGAAGGCAGCCCCTCTGTGGTTTTCCTTGAATAGGCGCTGCCGTTGGTATTTAAAGTTGTCACAATGCTTCATCCTTTCCCTTTGATGTATCGCAGACCCCAAGATGCCAAGATGCCGAGAGTCCTCAGGCTGGGGTGGAATATTTACTTCGTTCTTTATGAGATAGAGTTGACTCCAAGCGGATGGTCGGTCCCTCAAATGCCCGTGGGTTTTGCGGGCTCTTTTTCTTTCTCCTCTAATCATTTGTCAAGCTCACGCAACTGGATTTCTTCAACCTTCCCAAGCGGCCTTTTTTGTACAAGCTCAGCAGGTGCCTCCACTTCCTAGGACAGCTGTACCTGCCCCAGAGATGTGGGCACACTCCTTGTCCCTGTCTGCTGGGCAGCTGGCCTTCTTCTTCACCGGAGCTGAGACCTGCAGAAGGGGGTGCCTGGAGAAACAAGAGGCTTTGGAAGCGTCAGGTGACAGGACCTGGCTGTGGTTTACATTTTTCACCTTAATTTTAACAAGTATTTCAACCCCCTGGAAAACTGCTTCTCTACAATAATAAACAGAACCTGCAGTGAGTCTGTGGCAGGCTCCCAAGCCCGGGTGGGGCTGGGGGCCATTCCCAGTAAGCTTTGGGAGACCTAACAGTAGTCAGGAACGCACACAGACAATGGGGGAGGGCTCAGAGGGGCTGCTTCAGCCCAACTGGCCCTAATTTAACAGGGGTGCAGTGGGGTTGGTGAGGTAACCTAAGGTTTTGAGTTACACATAAGCGAGTCAAATAGCATATAAATAACAGACGTAGCGTGTTACAGGGGAAAAGGGGGCCAGTGTGTGTCTGCCTGCCTGTCTGGTCTGTTATTCATCAAGCCAGTGTGGTGCCTTCTGTGGCTTGTCCATCTCTGTTCACAGCTCCAAAGTTAGCCAAAGGCCTGGTGACAAGACTTGGAAAAAGATGCTGAGATCCTGGTCCTGAGAAACAGGGTGTTACCGTGGAGACACCATTCATTCATGAGCATGCGTCAAGCACTTACTGTGTGCTAAGCTCTCTTCTAGGCAAAGGGGTCCGCAGTGAATGGAAACTCAATGAAATATGCCCCTTCGAGCCTCGCCTTTCAAAATGTGATCCATGACTAGCACCATCTGCATCCCCAGAAGTCTCTAGAAATGCAGTATCAGGCGCCTCCCCAGGCTGCAGAGCTGGAGCTAGATTTTAACAATATCCCCTAGGCCTTTTGAGTGGGCCATAAGGTTTAAGGAGCATTGCACTAGGCACGAAGAGAAGATCTAGGAAGGAAGATCTGAGCGGCCCCAGTGGAGCAGAGGTGCTCTCCGGTGGTATGGCGGGCAGCCAGGGTGCAGGGTGGGCTCAGCAGTGGCCGGGGCGTGGGGGAACCTGGCTGGTTAGTGCCAATAACCATGATGCAGGACAGCCTAGAGATGCATGTCTTTCCCCCGTGACATAAACAAAGTAACGGCCACCAAACGATGTCCACATCCTAATCCCTGGAAGCTGTGAATGTGACCTTACCTGGCGAAGGGACTTTGCAGACAGGATTAAGGACCTTGTGATGTGAAGCTTATCCTAGATTATACTCACAAGGGGTCCCCTATGAGAGGGATGCAGGAAGATCAGACAGGAGAAGGTGACGGGGTGACACAAGCAGAGATTGGAGTGGTGTAGCCACAAGCCAAGGGGCGTGGGCAGCCTCTGGACGCTGAAGGGACAAAGGTGGGTCCTCCCCCAGAGCCTGCAGAAGGAACAAGCACTGCAGACACCTTGACTTGAGCCCCATAAGTCTCAGTTTGGACTTCTAACTTCCATCACTATGAGAAAATATATTTGTATTGATTTAAGGGCCTGACTTTGTGACAATTTGTTACAGCGGCAACAGGAAACGGGTACACTCTTTCAACAGAGATTTTCGGGTGATGCCCATATAGAATTAGTCTCTGCTTAGGGAAGGGTCCCAGCATCCACCTCTTTTCACTTCTTAATCTGGTCCTGAGATCAGCCAAACTCAGGGACCACAGACCCAGGCTGCTCACATCCCCATTTTTGAGGGGCACAGAAAGTTCTGGAAGGAATATCTCAAGTGGCGTATGTGAGAAATAGAAGCATTAAATAACAAAGCCTCCAGGTTCTGTGTCTTACACCTCCTCAGGGCTCACAAAGCTCCTAGTTCTGGGTTCTGCATACAGTTGGCACTTTAATAGAGTATCTGCTGACTGAGGTCACATGAGCATCCAAGCTGAGCCCTCTGTCCCCTTCAGCTAAGGGTTCTGATCGATGGTGCCTTCTGTCCAAGAAACAGCCTTCTCCCATCCCCTGTTCGCTCTTCATACACTGGTTTCTTAAGGTTCTACTCCAGGTCTTCTCATGTTCCTCCTTCCCTGGGAATCTTGTCCTAAACCACCACACTCATCACCGCCTCTCTCCCCAGCCTGCTGCTCTCTCCTGAGTCCTAACCAGCTTGATGTCCCTGCCTGGACTCCCAGCACCATCTCATCCCTCCTTCTCACCCCTCTCCTGCCTGGCAGTCCCCAGGAATCATTTCCAACTCATCCTTCTTTCTACCTTCCATCCAATCAGCACAGGGACCTGCCAATCACACTCCCCAAATGTCTCTTGGATCCCGGCAGCACCTTATCACCACCACCCTGCTCCCGCATTCCCTGCCTGGATGCTGGTAGCTGCTCCCAGCTGGTCCCCCTGCAAGCTATGATGTCCTCCAACCCACACCTGATCACAACCAGCTCCTTCTTAAATGACTCTCCATTGCCCTCAAGAGAAGGTGCAAACATCCCCAAGACTGGCACCTGCTTTCCTCTCCAGCCTTCCTCTCCCACACCCCCTCCCCACGGACTCTCAGCCCTTAGGAATCCACTCAGAGATGTTTAATACAAGGATACCTGTTTATGCTAGGAGGTTTTGTTCTTTTTCTTATCTTCCTTCAAATTGGTATTCTCATTTACAAATGCCAAGTGTCTCCACCCAGTAAGAAGTAAACTTCTGCAAAATAACCATAAGCCATCAGGCACATATGATGTAGCAGGAATCATGCCCACTAATTTACATAAAATGCCTCATTTTAGGCTGAACACTCCAAACTTCTTTCAGTTCCTAGGCCGACCATATTTTCTTTCTCCTTGGGGACTTTGATCTGCAGTAATCGCCGGCTAAAACCTCCTCCCCAGCCCCACCTCTGCCAGGCCAACATCTACCTGTCCTCTGGATCTGGAATCCATGGTCTCTTCCTTGAAGACAAGGAGGAGTCCCCGAAATTCGCTGTCTTGGTGCCCTGTATTTGCCCCTGTATTTTCCCCAAGGGGAGGACACATACCTGTTCTCTCCCCAGTGAGAAAGCGTGGTGAGAACCCGTCCTTCCTGCCCATCTCTCCTCTCTCCACCTCAAACTCTCTCTCCCCCAAATAAAAAGGGGGAGGAGTCATACAGCTATTTTAGTTTTTTATTAATTTTTTTTTTATTTTTCGACATGGAGTCTTGCTCTGTCACCCAGGCTGGAGTGCAGTGGCGCGACCTCGGCTCACTGCAGCCTCTCATGCAGCTATTTTGAGCAGTGACATCTGACACAAGTGCATGATAACTTGACTCAGCATCCTAGAGGCGAGTTCTGTTCTCTGCCTCTTCTTGGAGCAGCTCCCATTTTCACTCCTGGATGTTCAGCACCTCAGCCTGCACCTGCACAGGTAAGCTATGTCTATCCTTCCTGATGAGGGTCCAGCCACCTTCAATTCTGGCAGAGACAGGGAGAAGACAAGGGAAGCATGGGCTATCCCAGAACACTGTCTTTCCCAGAGGCTTTAAGTTGGATGCGTCAATAACCCCACTCATGAATGAGGCTTCCATCCTCATCTTGAGATATACATATGTATTTTTTAAATTTGCTTATTTATTAACTTGTCAACCATGAGAAACTAAACAGGAGGAGGGGTAACTTGGGCACCCTCAGTCTTCGTTAAAGCTTGGATGATTATCTCTCTTTTTTACTAGATTCAAACTTTCATCAATACATGATTTCTATCAGTCTTGTTCACCACTGTGTCTTCAGCAGGTAGCACAGGCCTGGAATCAAGTAGGTTAACAGGCTTCGCTGAATGCATTGATCCAGGTTCCCAATCAGTATAGACAAACAGCTTCTCAGAGGGCAGATGACCCCAGAAGTCACCAACCACCAGGCTGGATCTGAACCTGTGACCTACTGGAATATTCCACTACCTACATCTGCCCACCTCCCCTGCCAGTAAAAGCCAATTTGTAAAATTACCCAACAGTCCAGGCAGACAAGCACAGGGATTGTTGGCCGGCTCTTGTGTGCCAACACAGCATGAAATACCTGTTTCTCAAGGACCCGGGAAGGCCATCTCCGTGCTGTGGGCTGCATCTTCCTGCTCCCCTGAAGGTTTCTAAACAACCCACTGGCCCAAGGCCAGGGAAAGTAAATGCATTTCTTCCCAGCTATGTGTAAAAGAGGTTTAGGGTTTGGGATCTTTGTATGCAACAGGCACCGCCTCGTTTCTTTTCATAAGTAGCCTTGGCCACCTCATTATTAAATGGGAGAGGATAAGATAGTGGTACCCATGTTGTGGGGCTGCATGGAGGCTGAGTGAGCATAGTGAGAATTTGGACATGAAATGCTGAGCACGGTGTTGGGCACATGCTGCTGTCCATCACCTGTTCACACTCATCATCTTCACTATCACTTAGCACCCCCAGCACACACACCCCTACCTACAAGCCCTGTTGTAATCCCTGCTTTCAGATGAGGAAACTGAGGCTCAGGGTGGCACAGCTTTTCAGCAGATGGAACAGAGCCTTAGCCCTCCAGGCAGTCTGACGTTACACCCAGAACCTTAATCTCTGCCTTAGTCCAGCGTGATGGGGCTGAGGGTGCTGTGCTGAGACTACAGAGCCCCAGGTTCAAGTTCCAGCCTTAGACAGCCTTGAGCAACTCACCTTACCCACCACCCCATGCCTCAGTTTCCTCGTGCATAAAATTGGGAGCTCTTTTAGGCAATGTTAAGACTTCTCCTAGCTCTAACAATACGCAAGCCCAAAGAGGGCTGTGCACATTATGGCCTTTGTTTTCCAGATTCGAATGTGCCCCCCAGATCTCCACGCCGTGCAATTTCTCGGACAAACCAACTCACGTCTTCTTATTGGTCCCATGCACCCGTGGGATCAGCAGATGTAACATTCTGACATCACACTTAGAAAACTTCCCCCATCTGGATTTCTGCAACCCACAGGGAGTCATTTGCCAAACATATGTTTTACAAAACATGGGCCCACTGCACTCTGACTGGTTGTGGAGTCGATACAACCCACCTTTTCCCCAAGCACATGACTCTGGCCCATGCATGCTGTCTGGCTGGGGAGAGAGATGCAAGACTACTCATGTCAGGAGCGCAGGGTGGCAGGAAACGTGCAAGGTCACACATTGCTAAAAATGTAGGCGAGTAACGTGGTGGTAACAGACACACAACGGGGGTCAGTGTACAGTGGAGAAGAATTCTAGTGTCAGGCCAACTATTGCTGTCAGGAAGAGCATTGAGAAGCGTTTCCACATATCACCGCTCACTTTTCCAGATGACATTCAAGAGAGGAAGAGGCAGCGGACATCACTGGCCAGTGAAGTTAGGAGGCTTCGGAGGCTCCAGAGTCATGACAGATGTTTTGAACCTTGTAGCCAAACCCCTCCACGCAGAAGTTAAAATGCCCACTTTCTCTGGAGCACAACTTTTTAAAAAATTGTTTTTTTTTTATATTGTAGTAAAATATACGTAACAAAATTTACCACAATAACCACTTTCAAGCGTGTAGTTCTGTGGTGTTGACTGTATTCATACTATTGTACAACCATCACCACCATCCACCTCCAGAACTTTTTCATCTTCCTAAGCTGAAACGCTGTCCCCACTAAATTATAACTCCCCATCTCCACCCCATAAGTCCCTGGCAATCACCCTTCTACTATCTTTTTCTTTTTGTTTTTCTTTTTTTTTTTTTTTTTTTTTTGAGATGAAGTTTTACTCTTGTTGCCCAGGCTGGAGTGCAATGGCACGATCTTGGCTCACTGCAACCTCTGCCTCCTGGGTTCAAACAGTTCTCCTGTCTCAGCCTCCTGAGTAACTGGGATGACTGGCGCATGCCACCACGCCCAGCTAATTTTTGTATTTTTAATAGAGACGAGGTTTCATCATGTTGGCCTGGCTGGTCTCAAACTTCTGACCACAGGAGATCCACCTGCCTCGGCCTCCCAAAGGGCTGGGATTACAGGCGTGAGCCGCTGCGTCCGGTGCCTTCTACTTTCCGTCTCTATGATTCTGCCTACTCTAGGTGCTTTATCAAAGTGGAATCACACAGTGTTTGTCTTTGGTGACTGTCTCTTTTGCAGAATGTCCCCAAGCTTCATCCATGTTGTAGCAGGTGCCCACCCTTCATTCCTTGTTAAAGCTGAATAATCCTCCATTACTTGGATGCACCATTTTCTTTCTTCATTCATTCACTGATGGACACGTGGGTTGCTTCCACCTTTTGGCTATTGTCAATAATGCTGCAGCGATTCCCAGGCTGGCTGAGTAATTGGTAGTCTACAAAGCTGCTTGGCACAGCGTCCCCAATCTATAGAGAGTAGTTGTGGGTTCAAAGAAAACCCACAAGACTTTAGAGCCAAAATACATCTGGTTTCCAATGTTTGACTGGCCAGCTGCAACTTTAGGCAAATTTAATCCTCCTGAGCCTCACGCTGCTCATCACCAAACTGGGAATTACAGTAGACAGCACTGGTCGCTGTCCCAGCATCCACACTACCTCCTACATCCTAAGCGAATTCTGATTTCTTTTTTCAACTTTCTTCCACGCCCAGGTGATCTCAAGGGGCTGAGACATTCATAGTTCCAGGGATGGGGCAAGTCCCGCCCCCTTGGCAATGATTGGTTCAGACACCCAGGCTTCAGCTAATCGGTTTCTAGCAGTGCCTTAGCAACTGTTGCTAGTGTTAAGCCCTTGATCTGAGTGGCCCAATCAGGTAGAGGATGGGCTTTTATTCCAAGTTGGAGAAATGACGCTCCTCGGAGCTAGGAAATGAACAAGAGTTTCTGCAGCTGCTGATGCTGCCACCATCCCGCAACAACGAGGGAAAGAGCATGAGAACGAAGCCCAGGCACAGAAGAAAGGCAGCCATAAAAGTGTCAGAAAAACGGAGCCGGAGCCTGATTATCCTCCTCATCTTGGTACACACTCACACTCACACACTCCCTATGTCTGCGGACTGACAGTCAGAATATTCAAGCAAAACAGATCTCCTTAAATGGCAGTGACCTTACCTGAAATTTAACAGGCCTGAATTTACCGGTCTAAGGTCAACCAGGAAGGCTGTGTGCCTTCAAGCCCACCACTCAAAGACGCCAACCAATTCACCTGTCTCCTGTATGATTCTGGGTTCACACACATGGGTGCACAGACTCCCCCGAACACACACACACACACACACACACACACACGCACCTGCACGCATGCACACACACAATTAGGTTCAGAAATTAAACCTCAAAGTAATAGTAGGCCTCAATTATCCTACATAGCTGTGAAACAGATAGCCTGTTAGCTAGTCACTGGAGTACTGCTTGAAATAGAGATTTATTGCACAAAAAGCAGCACATACAAAAGTTTCTATGATCAGTATTACGGCTGATTGTGAAATAAGACATCATTGGAAGTGCACCAAAAATGAATAATGCAGGGACTGAACAGAGAAGCTGAGTGAAGAGAAGCCAGATAAAGAAGGAACACATATTTTTTCAGCCCACAGCTTCACCCATTTTCAGCGAAGCAAGGATTTCCCTTAGGGTGAAGGGAGAATCCTAGGTCTTTCTATTCCATTTCCGGGCATGACCAGACACCAAAATCATGACAGAGTAAGCTTGAAAAGAAAGACTTCGTGAAGACTGTTGGTCAAGACACAACCGGGGAACAGAAACATCTCGGCATGTACAGGAGAAGGAGTTTAATCCAGGAAGGAGATTGTGGCAGGTGGAGGGTCAGAAAAGCCACTGCAGTGTCAAACCACACACAGCGAATTATTCATTCAGATCTCATGACAAGAAAACTTGGTGTCTTTGTCTACCTGGGCTGCTGTAACAAAATATCATCCACTGGGCAGCCCATGCACAACAGAGATTTATCTCTGACGGTTCTGGAGGCTGGGGTGTCCAAGATCAAGGCCCTGGCCACTTCAGTGTCTGGTGAAGGTCACTTCCTGACTCATAGATGGCACCTTCTCGAGAGTCCATATATGCTGGAAGGGGCAAGGGGCCTCTCTGGGGCGTTTTTTATTATTTTATTTTTATTTATTTAATTTTTTGAGATGGGGTTTCAGTCTTATTGCCCTGGTTGGAGTGCAATGGCATGGTCTCCACTCACTGCAATCTCTGCCTCCCGGGTTCAAGCGATTTTCCTGCCTCCGCCTCCCAAGTAGCTGGGATTACAGGCGCCCGCCACCATGCCCGGCTCATTTCTGGATTTTTAGTAGAGATGGGGTTTCATCATGTTGGTCAGACTGGTCTAAAACTCCTGACCTCAGGTGATCCGCCCACATTGGCTTCCCAAAGTGCTGGGATTACAGGTGTGAGCCACCGTGCCCGGGCTTGGGGCTCTTTCATAAGGGCACTATTCCCATGCATGAGGGTTCTACCTCACAAACCACTCACCTCCCGAAGACCTCACCTTTTGATAGCATCACATTGTAGGTGAGAATTTCAATATTCAAATTTGAGGGAGACACACACATTTGGACCATAGCACACAGTTGGGTCATAAAGCCAGGGTTCCGAGGCAAGTCTGAGGTCATCAGCCAAGGGTGTCTGCATCGGACAACACTCAACTCGGGATTGGCACCCAGCCAGTGCCCTACACTATACAAGATGCCACTGTAGGGACAGGGATGACCTCTAGCAAGGTGACCCTCAGTGGGCCAGAGGGGGCTTCTGAAGAGAATTTCTCTAGCTTCTTGGTGTTTCCTGCCTGCTACTTTCAAACAAGGGTCCCATTTTTAATGTTTTCCCAGTAATACCTTATGAATGTTATTGCAAAGGTAAAGGAAATTATATTTTTGCTCTTATTGTTGTTCACTCTACTCCCATTTAGCAATTAACATTGAAAGGTAAGAAAACCAAGAGAAAGAGAGAGATTGCAATGTGGATATAGACGCAGATGTATAGAAATATATACATAGTAGAAATAAAAAAGGGTTGGCTATGGAGAAGGATACACAGATAGAGATAGCAAGACAGTTGGATAGACAGACAGGTTTTTTTTTTTTCTTAATAATAGGAACCAGAGGATGATCAGGAGGGTGAGGAAAAGAAAAAGATGAAAGCCCTGTCTAAGATGCCCACAAGTTCTCTAGTTTGCATTTGTTCCCTTGGTGAGCAGAAGGGTGCAAGTCCTCTCTTACTGTGATGTGAGGAACCTATATCATCCCAGGGCACAAGAGGGTGAAGTTGGCCATCTGTGCCCTTCTCTGCCTTGTACCCTAGGCACGCCCCTCCTGTAGATCCCAGTTTCTCTTTCTGCCAAAAAGGGGGCAGACCTGGTGAGTAGCTAAAGTTCCTTCCGGCCTGAAGGCCCCTCAAAGGTTTTCTCCTGTGCCTTCCCCACAGCCCGGGTCTGCACTCTACTGGGATTTGCTGGGCTAGATTCTCAGAGGAGCTCAACATTGATTGAGTTCCTCGCTCCACGTTAAATCTTTGGAAAATTAACTAAAGATCTCCTAGTAAGATGCTTGTAACTTACTACATAAGGTGAAATAGTGACTTTACAGTACAAAAACTATAACCCAAGTATTACCACCAGCAGCGGGCTAAATCAACACCACAGGCCCCGTGATCAATATATGTGATGAGGACATTACATCCTGGTGTTGTTGCCCCAAGTCTTGACGTGAATCTGACCACAAGGACAATTCGGACAACCTGAAATGGTGACGCATTCTACAAAATAAACATCAATGTCATGAAAGACAAAGACTCAAGATTTTCTGCTTAATGGAGACTAAAGAGATGCGACAACAGAATGCCAGGCATGATCTTGGATATTCTTTTGGCTCAAACAGTCTTAGGACAATTGAAAAAACGTGAATGAGGTCTGTAGCTAATAGAATTGTGTCAATGCCACATCCTTGGTTTTGTTAATTGCATTGTGGTTACAGAAGAGAATCCCTTTGTTTTCAGGAAATGCACACAGCAGTATTTAATAGTAAAGGCACATCTTGTCTGCAACTTCCTCTCTGTGTGTGTGTGTGTGTGTGTGTGAGAGAGAGAGAGAGAGAGAGATGCAACAAATATGGTAAATATTAATTTTGGGGACTCTGGGTGAAGGGTATCTTGAGATTTTTGTGCTCCTCTTCTGCACATCTGAAATCATGTCAAAAAATAAAAAAGGTGTGCACTCTGCAAGGGATACCCAGATACCCATGCAGAAGAGAGAACTGATTCAAGAGATGAACCCAGGTGGGAGCCACGATGATGCCCACTGGGGAATGAGCCTGTAAATCCAGGAGAGGCTGCACCTGCAGCCCATTCCTCCAGGGTGGTTCTCCTAGACCTGCTTCAAGTGTCATGGTTTAAATTCTCAGGCACCCCTTGGGCCATACTGACATTTCTATTGGCTTTGGGCTAGGAGGAGCTAATATGCCTTGCACATGATGATAGCTTGGAGAATGTAAAAATGCTGAGCTGTTATCACACCTAATGACATGATACCTGCAAAGACGTAGTGTGTGCATGGAACAGCGTAATGGAGTCCTACAGCCTTAAGCCAGGATTTCATGTGTGATACACAGTAGTCATGGCTGAAATCTTTCTCCAGTGTGGCTGCTCCCTCCTCATTGAACACAAAGCAAGTTATACAATTCAGTTTTAGCAAATGTCTTGTGAGATGCGCTAGCACAATCTTAAAGATCATGTGTGGGTAAAAAGAACAACCTCCACCCATACCAAGCATTTTCAGTGCCAGGCCCTACCTGAAACACAACCGTGATCTCCATTTGAGCCAGGAAAACCCGAACCATGGGGAGCCGCAGAGCCCGCCCCCCACCCAGTGACTCTCCGGTGTGTCAGTGCCAGGGTCTGAAGGTACTGAGGCTTTGCAGGCATCATCTCAAGCCAGCAGGGTCTGAAGCTACTGAGGATCTGCCAGCAACATCTCAAGACGGCATGGTAGCTCCTTCCCAGCACGCCACGCTGCCCTGCACCCACTGCTAGCTTCTGTCTATACTGCACTTGGCACTGAGAGCAATCCGATCAGAGGCAGCATGCGATTGCTTTGTTCCATTTTCCCAAGGCCCACTCACAGGGCCTGTAGGTACCTGCACGGTCCAGGTCCAGGTCCGTCATTGTTCAATCGAGCCACCATGAATTGGAACAACTGCATCTTTCAATCGCGTCCTCCAATTTGCCCAGAGCCATCCGAGCACAGATTCAGAACTGGATCTTTGCCTCTCTCAACAAAGTACACTAGGGGACTGAAGCATCCAACTCAAGTGTAGTGTTTTAAATAAGGAAGAAGAACTTAAATTCACCCACTGACCCATTTCCACAATCGTCAAAGTCACATGGCTTTATCGGTATTGTCATTTCTGTGTGAAACTTAGCTCTTACATGCTTAAAAAATAAGAATAATTGTTCAGATATGCTTGGGAACCAAAGAAAGAACAGAACTACTGTTTTCCCCACATTGTCAAACTCAAACAAACACCTGTGACAGATGAGCACCGCCTACTGAGGTCGCAGTTCACCTTTCTGCACAAGAGCTGGTGGCTTTGTTCTCTGTCTGGAAGGACTTTCTGTCTCCCTGTGCTGCGTGTCCTCTGGCCTCTTGGGCCCATCCTTCGACGCCAAACTCAAGGGACATATTCAGCCTTCATCTTTGGAGGGATGCCCAGGGACAGATGTGTCCACGGGACCCCCAGCACACAGACTGACCTTTCGGGGCTTACCCTTCAAAGGTGTCGTGTCATTTCCCTGTGCCCTGACCTCCACGCTGAGTTCCCTCTTTCCTTACTGGCCGTGGCATTGCATGGGTATAAGTGATTGTATGTAAGACAGTTATAGGATTTGTTTTCTGATAATCCCTGAGTTTTATATTTCTGCCAAAAGTTATAAGTGAGCAATCTTATATATACATCTGCCAGCTCAAATGGACACAATGTAGGCACAGGCATCTTGTGTTGAGAGGCATAATGGGGCCATCCCCGGGGTCTGCAGGGAAGCAGGCAGCAATTGATGAGGGGCATTCGTCCTGGGACGAAGGAAGGCGAGAAGCAGCCAGTATTTCCTGTTCTTGATACAATGTTACCCTGCCGCAAGGGTGGAAAATCCCACGTTTAAACCTGAAACTGATTGTTCCTGGCCAGCAGCCACTCCCACATCCCCAAACCAGGGGGGTGACTTACAGCAGTGCAGTGACCTGCCTGAATCACTCGAGCTCTTGCTGAAACGCAGGTTCTGAACCAGGGCCTCCAGGGCGGGGCCTGAGACTCTCCATTTATAACCAGCTCCCGGGTGATGTCTGAGGACCACGCCTTGGGTAGTGAGGACCTAGAGTGAGTGAATGAAGAGAACTTACACAACAGCCCAGCACATTCTAATGAGAAAGGTGACACCACCTACCCCTCTATCATTCACGAGCTTAGGACAGCTGGGTACCTCGTGGCCATCCTCAGTCAGCCCCACCTCTCAGGCCAGGGCCTGCTGTCTTTGATGAAACCCCTCTGTCCCTCCCACGCCTTTGCGCCTGTTATTCTCCAGCCCACCCTAAGTCCCCCATGAGGTGCTGGATGTCTCAGGCTTGGATCTCCTCATCACTGCCTCTCTTCTTCCTCAGTACCCTGGGAGCTGCCCACGTGGGCTCTCAGTGGCCCCTGCTCTCTGGCTTCTGGCAGGGGATCGCCCAGGCAAGGCAGGCGGCGACATCCCCCTCCTCAAATGGCACTTGTGTCTCCCGGAGAACTGTGAAGTGCAGGAGGCAGGGGGCCTGGGGAAGGGCCAGTGCCTGGTGAAGGAGGGCCGCTGCTATTATTTCTTAGAACTTTTTGTTACTTTTATTAAATCTGGAGGTTCCAGCTCAGTTCCCTCCTCCATGAAGCCCTCCTGGCTTAGCTCGACCTCCCTTAGTATCTTTCTCCTTTGAATGCACTCAGGGAATAACTTAGGCCCTTATTTTGAGCCATCTTCCTTCTTTTTGCTTAGTTGCCTCCAAGGCTCAGTATGGTCCCCTCGACACGACAAGAAGCTTCGATTCACTCACAGTAAACTTTTGCCAATGAGGAAAACCACAAAACACACCTGAAACTCAAATAACTCAAAAATGGTTTGAAAACAGTCTGTTTCTCTACGTCTCTCCCAGTGTTGGTAATACGTGTTTGGGGAAAGTGTCTAAAAATAATGAAATACTTTTTAAAATCTACTTTTAAAAGAAGCTTTATCGAGATATAACTCAAGTACCACACAATTCACCCATTTAAAGTGGACAATTCAGTGGGTTTTAGTATATTCACAGAACTGGACAACCCTCAACACAGTCCATTTTGGAACATTTTTATCAATTCAGAAAGAATCTGTGTACCTGTTAACAGTCACCCTTCCTCATCCTGCTGTTTTGAGCCTGTATTTAAAACACGAGGCAGGAAAAGACCATTTTACCGATGTAAAGCCCAGGACATATTTTTTGTTTACATTGTCTTTGAGGCTTATCCCTTTTTAAAAATTCACTGGCTAAGTTTCAGGAGAATCAAATCAATGGCATGAAAACCTACCTGTTTTGCAGAACATCCCAGGTCACCTGCCTCCTTGCACACCTGAGGGTTGAAGGAGGCCATGGCACCGTGGCATCCGCCACCCCATCTGGCTTTCCCACGCCTCTGGCCTCACCCCTGTCGGAGGTGAGAGCTGGTTCCTGCCAGTCTAGAAGGAGCTTTAAGCTCTGCCTCCTATGTTGTAACAGAGCCCGGGAAGGAAGCTTCCACTTGTGAGCCAACTGCAGGCTTGACGGACTCAAAAGGGTGGTGTGGAAACAAAGAAAACACTGTATGTTGAAGATGGTCAAGACAATCACAATGCTGCCATTTATTGAATATTTGCAGAGTGTCTGGCATACTGCTAAGAACATTACATGCATATCTGGTTTAATCCTCACGACGACCTTCGGAGGTGGATCTTATTAGTTTGCCTGAGTTTACTGCTAAGGAAGCTTAAAGGAAGAGCTCTAGTAACTGCCTGGAGGGTCTTCCCTGATCTTCCCATCAGTCTAATGATCTGTTTGGATAGAAGGAGGGATCAGTCTGAACTGGATGGCCTTCTGAAGTCTTCAAAGCTCTCAAATCTGAGAATTCTGAATTCTACAAAATCTGAATCATAGGACGCCCTTTGAATAAAAGCGCTGGATCCTTTTAACCCCAAAAAGAAGGGAGATGTGCATGTGGGGGGTGTGGAGAGAGCCTATTTTTAATGTAAGTCAGGAATGTCTGCTATGTGTGGATGACATGAGGGCTCTCAACCTCTGGGAGCCTGTCCCCAGGTCAGCCTTGGTGAGTCTGGCCCCAGCTATGGGTGCCTACCTGGGTTTTCACCTGTTCTGAGGTTTACTGTCCCCCACCTGCAAGCATGAGGCCCAGAAGCTGCCATCAGCCTTTGGTCTCTGGTACAGGCCCTTAGCTGTGAACTCACATTATTAATGTTAAAGACATTGATGTGACTAGCAGTGGTGTCCCATGTGACCATTCAAGATTCCCAGTGGCTGGAGACAGGACTCCAGATGTGGCAAGGGTGACAGGAACCCCTTTCTTCACTTTTAAATGGAGTGAGCCAATAGCAGAGGCATGGAGTCAACCTAGGTGCCCATCAGTGGCGGACTGGATGAGGAAAAGTGGTCCATACATGCCATGGAATACTACATAGCCATGAAAAATAATGAAATCATGTCATTTGCACATCACGGATGCAGCTGGAGGCCATTATACTGAGCAAATTGACACAGGAACGGGATACCAAATACTCCATGTTCTCACTTCTAAGTGGGAGCCGAGCACTGAGCACACATGGACATAAAGATGGGAATGATAAACACTGGGACTAATAGACATGGGAGGGGAGGAGGGAGACAGGGCTGAAAAACGATCTACTGGGTGCTGTGTTCGCTACCTGGGTAATGGGACCATCTATACCCCAAACCTCAGCATCATGCAATATTCCTATGTAGCTAAACTGCACATGTACCCCTGAATCTAAAATAAAAGCTGAAACCATTAAAATAGTATAAAACAAATTTTAAAATGGAGTGAGCCTCACTTTATAGCAGCCATTCAAGCTGAACTGTGGAAAGTCTCTACTGGATCCGGAGCCTGTGGTTGACACTAATTCCCATTGAGCCCGTGAATCCCCACATGTGCCTTCACTCTCCACCTACCCAGAGCCCCCCTCCTTTACAGTGTCCCCCCTTAGAAGTGTCCCCATCACCTCTAAGCATGAGGCCACTTCTGAAGTCCCAGAACATCCCAGGTGGTGTGACCAGCTGTGCCTTATCTCCGGTGCCACTGCTCTGTGAGGAAACCTGACCTTCAGAGAAAAAAAAAACCTAAGTAGGAGATAAGCACTGCAGAAATTTTAGAAGATACAAGTAAGGAGAAAAGAGGGAAGAATGCTCATCGGAAGATAACCACTTGGGCATATGATTTGGTGCAGCCACTTTGGAAAAGAGTATGGCAGGTCCTCCACAACCTGGAGCAACCCTGGGACCCAGTGAGTCACTCCCACCTATCTACTCAGGAGAAATAAAAATGAACTTCCATGCAAAAATAAAAATAAAACAAATAACGTTTTGCAAACTTGTAAACAAATGTCCACGGCAGCTTGTTCACAATAGCCAAAAGTGAGAACAGCCTAAATATCCATCAATGATGAACAAAATATGGTCTTTTTATACAAGGGAATGTTCCTCAGCCACGGAAGGAAGGAAGCGCGGGTACCCCCACCACACACCATGAGCCTCAAAAACATTGCGCCGAGTGAAAGAAGTCAGACACGGAAGCCCACGTGTTGGTCTTCAGGAGGAACAGCAAGTGCAGGCTGGACACATGTGGTGGGCCAGTTAAAGTGCTATGAAAGCAGTGCCTTCAGCAGGGCCTGTGCACGTTGGCCCCATCCCCCTATGGTATTTAAGACAACGTGTTCTCATGGCAACCCTGGGATTACTCCCACTTTACAGACCCAAAGAGGCTGAGTAATGTGCCCAGGGCCCCACAGTGCATCCACACTGAGTCCATGATCCTCCCTGCCCTGGGCTGGCTCTCCATGGCCCCCTTGACTCATCACTCAACCCCCAGCCCCCGTCTGAAGACCCAGGCATGGGCATTTCAATACTCTCCATCAGCACCATTCTAACCATCACCCAGTTATCCCACGGGACATGACACAGAGGCTAGACTCAGTTTCAGGACCTGTCGCTGTCCACTGGAAATTCATTCATTCCCCAAAAGCAGAGGGAAGGCAGTGGCCCAAAGGCCCCAGACACAAAGCTGGGTCCTGAGCACAGCAGTGAAAGGGGAGGTGCCCACAGCCCTGCCAGCATCTTCGGGGTGTCTGGCAAGGCTGGCCAGTGGAACCAGGAGGGCTTGTCCTGCTCAAATATTGACCAAAAAAGAAAGCACAGCAAGGCATGGTGGCTCACGCCTGTAATCCCAGCACTTAGGGAGGCAAACGCAAGAGGATCGCTTGAGCCAAGGAGTTCAAATCCAGCCTACACAACATAGCAAGACCCTATTCTCCATACACACACACAAAAGACGGAAAAGAATGCAATAATCCAACAGATGATTTTCTAAAGCCAGGGAGACAATAACACTTTTGTGATTTAAATTCTGAGCAGCTCTACAGCTCCAAGAGACAGAAATTAGAGAAGCAGAGCCACTGGAAGCATGACTCGTTCTCTTACAATGAAGTGTTGGGTCCCATCAGTAGCTGGAAGGCCTGGAACTGTCAGTCATGCCTCTCTGAAGATGCCAGGACCTGAGGTGCTTTCTCAACAGACCAAGACAGGATGGGGACCCAAAGGGTGGGCTGAGGGGGTACTTTGAGCTTGTGAGCTGCTAAGCACACAGAAAAGGGTCCTGTCTAAATCCTGCGTCCATTTGGGATGTGCACCATGGAAAGGGGAGCAAACAGGGCTGCCCTGGCCTCTGCCCCTCAAAGCCGGGTGTTCCCAAGCCCACTGGGTCCTTGGGCTCATTGTGGCTCGGCACCCCCCGTGGCAAGTAGGGATGCCTCAGAGCCTCCTGGGCTTTTGGGCATGACCTGTCTGTAGAGTACTCTTGGGGCTGAGGCCAGCAGGATGGGGCTGGCTTGGCCGCTCAGAGGTTCCCCTGAAGGAAGCCGCGGGAATAATGGCCAGCGCCAACAGAGCAGTTGCTGCGAGCAGGCCCCTTAGGAGCCGTCTTGGCAAATCCTCCCAGCACCTCGCAAGCAGGTCCTGCTGTCACTCACCTCTCGTGATGCCAGCGCTGGGCTGCCTGGCCTTGTTCCCTACAGCTTATAAGGAGGGAAGCCCCAGACCCCCCTGGGCCTCTGCATGTGGCTCTCGTGGGAAACCCTGTAGTCAGGACCTGCCTCCGAGGCGGGAGATCTCGTCAGCAGCCGACCACGTCCAGCCACGCCAGCACCGCAGCCAGGCTCTCTGGGAGGCACCAGCATCCTCACACCTCACTCTTCCCTTCAGGGTCATGACCGCGGGTCCAGCAACCAGCACCGAAAGCTCGTGGTCACAGTGGACGGACCAAGGTTCCCCAGCCTAGAGGGCATCAGAGCCAGACCCTGGGGTTTCAGCTCCCTGCTCAGGAGTGTGGAACAGGGGATCCACTTGTCTTTTAGTGAGCCGTGAGGTGCATGTGGGTGTATATGTGTATATGTGTGTGTACGTGTGTGCATTTTGTGCATGTATGTGTGTGTTATGTGGTGTGTGTGGTATGTGGTATATGTGTGTGTGGTGTGCAGACATGCGTATATGTATATGTGTATATCTGTGCATGTGTGTATATGTGTGTTGTGTGGGCAAATATGTGATGTGCATTCTATGTGTGAACATATGTGCATGTGTGTGTACACGGTTTGTGTGTACATCTGTGCAAGTGTATATATGTATGTGCCGGTACATGTGTGTAAAGTGGGTCAGTGGGTTGTCACCAAGACACAAGGCGACATGACGCACGTGATGTACGTCTACTCTTGCCGTGCAGCAGGTCTTGTCCAGGGTTTTCCTCATGGACCAGTGCCCAGAGCCATGTGGTACAGAGGCCACCATGGGCACTCACACATGGGATGAGTGACCAATGAGATGACTCTTACAGCAGGAGACCAGCTGCCAGGTGCCCTCGTGGTCGCCCTGTGAGGAGACCTGCCCCCGCCAAGGAAACTCCTGCCCAGGGCAACACGGACGTAGCCCCAGGTAATGCACCCAGCTGCGGGGGTCCAGGGGCAGGGCAGGTGAGCTGCCACAGCACCCACGGGAGGGGAAGCAGGGTGCTCGGGAGGGAGGAGGGGAATGTTGGCATCAGGAAGCCCTGGCCCCAGACCTGAACCCCCAGCTGTGACTGAGAAGTCATATAGCCTCTCTCTGAGCCTCAGCTCTGCCATCTGTAAAAGGGGATTTATGATCTTTTCTTCAAAGAGCTGCTGTGAGGGTTAGTTCAGCAAATAGCTAGGTAAGTCCATGACAGACACGTGTGTGTGCCTGTGGTTGTATGCACATGTGCGTGTGTGTGCGGAATCTAACACAGAGCCTGGCGTGTGGCATGCACAGGTGCAATCAGTGTTGCTCGTTCATGTATTTTCCCAGTGCGTGCTTATTAAGCTCCTACTGTGTGCTTGGTGGTGCTCCAGGTACTGGGGATACGGAAGCGAACGAATATGCACAGTCTCGGCTCGTGTGTAGTCAACAGTCTAATGTGGGAGTCAGGAAACAAGTGAGGAAACAGCCAAGCAAATACTGTGTGTTCAGTAATGACAAGTGCCATGGAGAAAAAAGAACACACAAATAAATCCCAGGTGAGGGATGGAAGGTGATTCATTTTGGGGAGACTCTGTTTAGATGTGGGTGTTCAGGGGAGGCCTCTGGAAGATGGTACCGTCTGAGCTCAGATCTGGATGACAAGAAGTAGGCAGCCACACAGAGTTCTGGAGGGAGAGCATTCCCACTGCAGGACCAGCAGATACAAAGGCCCTTGAGTGGAGCAACCCCGTGGCCCGAGAGCACGCCAGATGTCCAGGGCACATGGCTCAGACATCAGGCACTCAGGTTAGTGGCACACCTGGCACCTTTCTGGGCCCTGAAGCCACCATCTCCAGCCTCACTGCTTCCCCTCACCCTTAGGGAGGAAGATGGCTGTAGCTGGCAGTTGCCAGCGACAGGCTGCACCTGGATGTAATTTCTCCCCCGTGTTAATTGGCAGAAGGTGGGAGAGGGGAGAGAGGAAACAAAATAAAGCTTCAAAGTTTGGCTGTTCCTCGCGTTAATGCCCTCTCCGGAGCACCAAGGTGGGGGCCCAGTGGCCGAGAATGGATGCCCCAAGTCAGCCTCATCATCTCATTAAATCAAATTAACGGGCACAGCAGGAGTGCCGGGCCCCGAAACAGGCTGCTTCCCTGCTGTTCATGAATAGCCTGTCTTGTTTCCCTTCAAAAATAATGTCTTTAATGTCTTGACAAAAAACCCCTCTCTTCTGGGATATCCAAAGTTAGCAAAGAATTGAGCTCCAAGCAGCAAAAAGCTGAGTTGGTGTGCGGTGTGCAGTTTCCACTTCCTTCACTGCCCCCTTCCTGCTCCATCTGAAGGAAGGGGCAGCAGATGACGCCATGCGGGAGGGGGCTCTGCCAACCTGTCCCCATCCCTTTGTTCCTTTGGACAGCTCTGAGCACCCCTCCAGCCTCCTCTGCCCCACCTTGGCACAGGAAAAGTGTTTGGAGACTGGTCCCTGGCCCTGTCCATGACCGGTGCTCTTTCAGGCGTTTTCTTCTCCAATTGTCAACGGTGTGTTCTGGGAGTTTTTCTGCCATGAGCCCTGCTTGCTGGTGGCTGCAGGAGTGCTGAGCGTGGCGTGGTGGTGGCACAGGGCTGCCTGGATCATCAGCTGCCTCCAAGAGCGATGGCTCTGTCAGCTCCAGCAAGGGGCCCATGAGTTCTGATGCATCTCCCTACCCGCCTTGGACGGCCTGACCTTCCTTAGCAAGGGAGAGGCCAGGAGGGGTGGCCAGGGAGGAGCTGGTCGTCCTCCTCTGGTCATCCCCAGACCATGGAGAACAGGACGCAGGAGTGCAGAGCCGCTATCAGAGGCCAGGAGGCTCTGCCCGCCTTGGGTGACGAGCGAGGCTGCAGCGCCCTCTGCCCAACCCCAGTCAGTGCTTACGGAGGGCCCTGGTGGGGAGGCACAGGCAGAAAGGCCACCTCGGACTCCGTAGGAGCCGCTACCAGGCCGTCTCGGGGGGCAGGCACTCTGCTCTGTGAGTGCATTTGTAAGAAGCTGTATTAGTCCGTTTTCACGCTGCGGATAAACACATACCCGAGATTGGGTAATTTATAAAGAAAAAGAGGTTTAATGGACTCACAGTTCCACGTAGCTAGGGAGGCCTCATGATCACGGCGGAAGGTGAAAGGCGTGTCTTGCACGGCAGCAGGCAAGAGAAGAAGCGCCAGCAGAGAAAATGCCAGACAATGCTTTTAAAACCATCAGATCTCGTGAGAACTCACTCACTATCACGAGAACCGCATGGCTGAAACCACCCCCATGATTCAGTGATCCCCACCTGGCTCTGCCCTTGACACGTGGGGATTATTACAATTCAAGGCGAGATTTGGGTGGGGACTCGGAGCCAAACCCTATCATTAGCCTTTCGGGATTTTTCAAACGGAATATCATTGCATCAGATCTCTAACTTTACACTTTTCAGAAGGATCGGTTAAATGAAAACAGACCTTAACATTCAGACAAGTTTATGTTGTTGCACCTTAAAGATTTGGGCCTGGGGCTGGGATGCACATATCCAGTGCATGGGTGGAAGAAAAGAGCAGAGTGGGGCTTGATCCTGAAGGAGTGGGGAACCACCGTCCTCCGCATCCAGTCCCTGCTTCTCTCCAGCTTCACTGCTCACTGCTTCTCCCCGAAGGGTCTCCCTTGCGTCCACCCTGAAGGCATTGCCACTCCCCCAACATGAAGTCAGCTTGCTTGATGCCACTTCTGTTCAGGCTGTGCCCTCTGCCCGCTCTTCTCTTGCTACCATCTCCTCCTCCCCGAGCTTCTGCATGGACCTCACCGCCCCCAAAACTGCCCCTGATTTCCCTCCCAGTACTTCCCCTACAGTGACTCACACAAGATTGTAATTGCTGTTTATCTCTGTCTCTTGCACTGAATTTGGAGTCTAGGAGAACAGAAAGTGCCTGTTTTTCATTGTGTGTCCCCAGCACAAGGCTCAGAACGTTTCATCCCCAGGGATCTTGCCTCATTGTTGCAACATGGCTGCTGCAGCTCCAAGCATCACGTCCTCTTCTGAGACTTCTTCTCTTTGAATGTCTCTCCCTTACATAAGGAGGAAAAATATTCCCCAGAAACAGACTTTTTATGTCTCATTGGGCAGAACTGGGTCAAATGGCTACTCTAAACATTGAAAGAATTAGATGGAGGGAGAGAGGTGAGAAGAATGGATAGAGGAGAGGAGGGAAGAAAGGAGGAAGGAAAGAAGGAAGGAAGAAAGGAAGGAAGGAAGGAAGAGAGGAAGCAATTCCCTGAATTGCTTTTCACAATGCTCCACTATGATTATATTGTAGGTTTTATGGGAATTGCAGTCAACCGAATTGGGGAAAATATGGGAATTGCTGACAAGAAGTCAGCAAATGGGAGACCCGGATTCCAGGTCTGGTCCTGACTTGTTAGAACACTGTGAGAAATACAGACAGCCTATCTCAGCCCAGCTCTATTGTCCCTGTCCTCAGATGGCCCTGGGGTCTAGCCACAGCTTTCCAATCAGAATCCCCACCAGGGGCTTCCCACAGCAGATGGCATGAGTCGTCTCCCCAGAGCCAGCCCTTCCGTTCTTGCACACAGACAGTCGGCCTCCCGTGACACAGGCTGCAAATGCAACATGCTCCTCTTCCAGGAGCTACCACAGCACCCATGGCAGGAGGCCAGGTAACGCATCCAGTCACAGGGGTCCAGAGGCACGGCAGGGGAGCTACCACGGCACCTATGGTGGGGTCCAGGGGTCCACTGAGGAAGGGTCTTTTGGCCCAAGTCGACATAAGGGGAAGTCTCCTTCCGGAAAATGCAAAGACAGGCCCCCTGCCCCACGCTGGCTTTGGATGTTGTCTTGAGAGGTTGAGATGCTCGAGTCTGCGGCCCCTTCCTATAGCCTGAGGACGAAGTGCCGTCACACCGAGTCTGGACACACCTGGGCCTTGGTGACATCATTAGGGCCCTGAACTCACCTGGGCTCACTGTGTCTGTGCCTCTCACGAGAGAGCGTTAAAAGTCGTGTTAACACTGTACCTAGATTTCCCACCACTTTTCGCTGGGACATCGTTAAGTGAAACATTTCTCTTTGGTAGTGGCTGCAGCTTTCAATCATGGCCTTCAAAATGTCCAGAAAGCAGGGATGGCTGGGAGGAGAAGGGTGAGCTTCAGTGAAAATGGGACCCTAAGGAACATCAGTGTTTATGTTGCTCACATAAAGCCTGTCTGCTTTGTACTTGGCCTTCCGAAATCAGAGTCCATACACTTCAGTGTAGAAGTGTCTCATTCAGCCGTGGAATAAGAATCTAATGACAGAAAGTAGAGTATGAGATGTGATAAAAGACATGGGAAATTCAAATGGCGTTGGTGGAAGTCATTTGCCAGAATCCTCCGACCCAGGAGAACGAGTCTTAGAGCCCACAACTCCCTGAATATCGGGTCCCTGAACGCTGGCTGTCTTCTCCGGTCACGTCTGACTCAGCAGCCTGGGTTTCCGTCACGGGGCCGTGCAGAGCGCATTTGGTGTAGACGGCCTGCAATCCACGAGCCTCTCCTTGGGATTGCACTGTTTCATATCTGGATTTCCAGTAAGTTTCTGTGCGTGAAAAGAGGGAGCACTGTGAACACGCATGGCTCTCAGGCCACGTCGCCGGTCCACAGGTATGCCAGAGCACAGTGGCCCTTGTTTATGCCCATGAAAGGCTGCGTTGGCGTTTTCCTGTAAAACCCTTGCTTTCTTCAAATGAGATGTGTCCTGACTTGACAGGCTTTGGCAGAAGGTGGAAAATTCCAGTAACTGAGTAACCCAAAAGGCAGCGTCTTTATCGAGCCAGGATGTCAGCAGCTGTCTCTCGAAGCCCTACGCTCACATCTGACACTTCGAGGTATCACTGCAGTCACGCACTCCACGAAGGGCATGAATGGACGGCGCTCACTTGGTTCTGCTCGAAGCCAGGACGGATTCAGGAGCATGCCGCAGTGGAGTAGGGAGTTTATTTAAAGAAAGGTTGTACCCCTTAGTGTTTCGCAGAGTTAAATCAGAGGTGCTTGTGGCACCCACTCAAAATTGACGAGGCCACGCCGGGCTGCACACTTCCTCCTACACTCTAATATCTCTCGATTCCAGAATATTCCGCACAGTGCTGATCAATAAGGGGAACTACGGGGTTGATAGCTGTCGAGGCCCACTCCGCGTGCAGCTCATGTGCTCCTCACAACTCCAGGAAGTGGATGTTGCTCTTATTCCTCACTTACAGTTGGGGAAACTGAGGCCAGCAGGGTGAAATCACCCGCCCCCAGCTCCTACAGTGGTTCCTGTATGGGGCGGAGGTGGGATGTGAATCCAGGCTGCCCAACTCCAGGCCCAGACTGTCTCTCCATCTGGGGAGCCATCAGCTGACACCGATGAGCCAGAGTCCTCCCGAGCTGCCACTTGGCTCTGGAGCGCAGCCCCTACTTCTCCCACTGCCTCCCACAGGTCTGTTCAGCCCCCAGTGCTGCCTCAGACTCAGTGGGTTACAAACTGACCTTGGCCTTCACAATGGGAAGGTCAAACTTCACTCACCTTGTCTTCCTAAGGACACAGGATGAGAAAGGTGAGGAGCTTCCCCGGTCACAGGGCCAAGCTCCTGCTGCAGCCACGGCTCTCTGAACCACCCCATTCATACCTACATGGCTGTACCCCCAAAATGCCCCCTGGAGCCTGCTACACACAGATGCCAAATCAGAATCGCCGAGGTAAGGCACAACTATTTGGGGACCCTACCACTCCGTCTGTTCTCCCATGCAGGGATGTCCACTTTCCTCTCTTGAGCACACACGCTAGGAATTGCAGCACTGGCCTCCAGCCACCCTCAGGCTTCACAGGCTTCTTCCCATGGGGAAGGAGGGGTGGCTTATCTGGCAGGTCAGCCTGGTGCTCCCTGGGCCAGGAGTTCCACCTTAACACACAGCCAGGGGCATCCACGGTCGGAGGATGCAGGGGCGTGTGTGCCTGCCGCTGGCTGGTGAGGTCAGGGCCATTACAGATCAAGATCTAGGTTCCCCAGCAACAAAGAGGGTTCTGGACGTTGATCCTCGTGGTTCCTCGAATCTGTGCTCTGTGGTTTTCTATCCTAGAGGAGAGGTGATGTGATTAATTCGACATTCCCAAGCACCATCCTTACAAAAGCTCTGGCAGAAGAGATGGGACTCGAACCTAGGTCTTAGCGTGTTCTTTTTGCCCACATCGCCTCCCTTTTCTTCCAGAATTCATGACTCATTTTTTAAGACATGATATTTTAGAAAATTGGCCCATTTTCTAAGAAAGAATGCAGACATTGGCCAAAAAAAATTTAAAATTCCGATAAGGCATATATTAGTCCATTTTCATACTGCTATGAAGAAATACCCAAGACTGGGTAATTTATAAAGAAAAAGAGGTTTAACGGACTCACAGTTCCACATGGCTGGGGAGGCCTCACAATCATGGCAAAAGGCAAAGGAGGAGCAAAAGCATGTCTTACATGGCGGCAGGCAAGAGAGCATGTGCAGAGGAGCTGTGCTTTATAAAACCATCAGATCTCGTGAGACTTATTCACTGTCATGAGAACAGCAAGGGAAAAACCCACCCCCATGATTTAATTACCTCCCACTGGGTCCCTCCCATGACACATGAGGATTACGGGAGCTACAATGTAAGATGAGATTTGGGTGGGGACACAGCCAAACCCTATCAGGCACTTTAGGGAAGACTCATGAAGCCCCTCCCCCAAGCCTCTCTCAGTCTGGTCCACCTCTGTATCTCACTGCCAGGACCCTGGGCCATGCTGCATCGCCTTGTCCAGGACCATCCCACAGTTTGGACGGGGCTCCCTGACTCCCACCCCCACCCAGTCCACGTCCTGCAGCTCAGCAAAGGTTGATTTATTTATTTATTTTGAGATGGAGTCTCGCTCTATCGCCCAGGCTGGAGTGCAGTGGCACAATCTCAGCTCACTGCAACCTCAGCCTCCCAGGTTCAAGTGATTCTCATGTCTCAGCCTCCCAAGTAGCTGGGATTACAGGCGCATACCACCATGCCTGACTAATTTTTGTATTTGTAGTAGAGACTGGGTTTCACCACGTTGGTCAGGCTGGAATCAAACTTGTGACCTCAGGTGATCCACTCGCATCGGCCTCCCACAGTGCTGGGATTACAGGTGTGAGCCACCGCGCCTGGCCACAGCAGGGTTTAAAGAAAGGTTAAACCACTTAGTGTTTCACAGAGTTAAGCATGGCTTTGAATGATCCAACACCAATTCTCTTCTTTGTTTAAACCATTCAAGTCTTCCCTGGGTCCTCAAGACCCATGCAGTTTGAAGCCATCAGTGGGCCCTACTACACCCCAACCCCATCTCACCTCTACCTCTGCTGTTCTCCCTCTCTCAACACTCACCCCCGAAACAGAGAGTGAGCTCCTCATCTGGTCATTACCACCCTTCCGCTCTAGGCTTCAGTGTCACCTCCACCAGGAAGCCCTCTGCTCTCTGAACTCGGGACCCCCATTACTGGGTGCTCCCTCTGGATTGTGTCAACCTCATCCGCTGTGTGAACAGCTCCATGAGGGCAGTGATTGTCTGTCCCTCACATCCCAGCACCTTGGGCTCCCCCACCTGGACTTCCTGAAGGTGCCCACCAGCTCCTGTCCCCGCTGGTCAGGGGTCGGGGCAGCAGGAGCAATAGGGCCCTGCAGTCTTGCGAGCATCCCTGGTAAAATCAGGATTGCTTCCCGGGAGGAGTGGGCCCTCCTGAGATGCTTTTAGAGTTTGTTTCCAAAGGTGCATTTTTAAAAAACTAAGATCCAATCCAAGAGAAGAAATCCTACTTTCCTTTGCCATTTAGTGAGAAGGCATTGAGTTTGGCGGCGAGGGGCACCTTCAGGAAATTTGGGGGTTTACTTCTTTGCAGGAAGAGTTACCGCTGGGGGATTTTGATTCTCATCCTCATTCTTTTTTCCTGGAATGTGCGTGGAATTCCCGGGGCACTGCATGCCCTTTCCAGGAGGCAGGCTGCACACTTTCCACCTGGGGCCCTTGCATTGCCGCCCTGCTGCTTCCGCTGTTGGATTTTGGGGTTTGAGGGGCCCTTCTCACTCACCTCCCCTGAGCTCTGAGAGCTCACCTCACCCTCTTGGGGCTTCCAGGGAGACAGTTACCATCCCCATGAACCCATCAGCTTCTCCCTGCAATGCCCTTTTCACTCTGGTGGAACACGATCATCCCCTTCACGCCTCTTCCTGCTCCGGGGCCTCCTCCCAGAGTCTTGCCTTTGAAGTGCGTCTGAGCCCTGGCAGCTTTCAGGTGAAGTTACACCTCTTCTTATCTTCCCAGTGTCTCTGGGGGTGAGGCCTTGGCAGCTGCAAGACTCTGTGTGGAGGAGCCTGTCCCCGGGGTGACCTTGGGCTTTCTGAAGATGGCACCTGGGCTGCAGACAGATGGAACAGAGGCAGGGCCCGGCCCAGCCTGGCCCTGCACCCAGCACCTGCCCCATCTACCTGTCTCCTTTCATAACTCCTCCTCTGCAAGGCGGGCTCCACACGCGTGGAAGGTGGCAAGGGTGACACCCTACACAGGTGCTAGTGGCTGCCAGACTTTTATATAATTGCAGCAAAATATACTTGTTATCACCGTTTAAACCATTTTTATTCATATTGTTTTGTATCCATCACTACCATCCATCTCCAGAATTTTTCTATCTTCCCAAACTGAAATTCTGTCCCATTAAACGCTAAGTCAACACTTCCCATGCATCCTCTCCCAGCCCTGGCACCCACCATTCTTTCTGTCTCCATGAATCTGACTACTCTAGGCACCTCGTATATGTGCAGTTGTACAGTATTGTGTGTGTGTGTGTGGGTGTGTGTGTGTGGGTGTGTGTGTGTGGGGAGGTGTGTCTGGGTGTGTGGTTATGTGTGTGGGGGTGTGTGGGTGTGTGTGTGGGTGTGTGGGTGTGTGGGGGGTGTGAGTGTGTGTGGGGTGTGGGTGTGGGTGTGTGGGTGTGTGTGGGTGTGGGTATGGGTGTGTGTGGGTGTGTGTGTGGTGTGTGGGTGTGTGGGTGTGTGGGGTGGGTGTGGGGGTGTGTGTGTGTGGTGTGTGGGTGTGTGGGTGTGGGGGTGTGTGTGGGGGTGTGTGTGTGTGGGTGTGGGGGTGTGGGAGTGTGTGTGTGTGGGTGTGTGTGCCTGGCTTATTTCACTGAGCATAATGCCCTCAGGGCTCATCTATGTTGGAGCATGGGTCAGGATTTCCGTCTTTTTTAAGGCCGCGTAATATTCCACTCTATGGATGGACCACATTTTGTTGACTCATTTATCTGTCAACGGATACTTGGATTGCTTCCACCTTTTAGCTATTGTGAATTGTGCTGCTCTGAATGTGGGTATGCAAAAATCTCTCCAAGTCCAGGTGCAGTGGTTCACACTTGTAATCCCAGCACTTTGGGAGGGTGAGGCAGGTGGATCATTTGAGGTCAGGCGTTCGAGACCATCCTGGCCAACATGGTGAAACCCCGTCTCTACTAAAAATACAAAAAATCAGCCAGGCCTGGTGGTACACACCTGCAGTCCCAGCTACTCAGGAGGCTGAGGCAGGAGGATCAGTTGAACTCAGGTGGCAGAGGTTGCAGTGAGCTGAGATCATGCTGCTGCACTCCAGCCTGGTCAACAGAGTGAGACTCCATTGCAAAAAAAAAAAAAAAAGAAAAAGAAAAAGAAAAAAAAAATCCCAAGACTCTGCTTTTAGCTCCTGTAGGTATATACCTAAGAGTGGAATTGCTGGGTCATATGGCAACTGTCTAATTTTTTGAGGAACCTCAGAGTGTTTTTCACTGTGGCTGCACTATTTTCCTTTCCCGCCAACTGTGCACAAGGATTCTGTCCTCTCTGCGTCCTTGCCAACATGTGTTATTCCCTGCCTCTTTCAGAACAGCCGTCCTAATCGGTGTGACATGGAATCTTTGCTTGTTTTTTTTTTTTTATTTTTTTTCGAGACAAGGTCTCACTCTGTTGCCCAGGCTGGAATGCAGTGGTGCAATCTCAGCTCACTACAACCTCAACCTTCTGGGTTCAAGTGATCCTGCCACCTCAGCCTCCTGAGAAGCTGGGATGACAGGCATGTGCCACCATGCCTGGGTAATATTTTTACAATTTTTAGTAAAGCTGAGGTCTTGTTATTGCCCCGGGTGATCTTGAACACCTGGGCTCGAGTGATCCTCCCACCTCAGCTCCCCGAAGTGCTGAGATTGTAAGTGTAAGCCACCGTGCCTGGCTCAGATAGTTTCTGAAACCTCCGTTCTCAAAACCTGTTGGTCATCTTGTCCTGGAACACCATTTTGAAGTATTTATCCCTCTCTCCTCTCTATTATCGAAGAGGTAGTTTTATGAAGCTGTGGTCCTGCTTTAGGTGCCAGAAACTAGCTGTTGTCATTGTGATACAAATGGGAACCCAGGTCTCCCCAGGAAACTGCCCGGATACTCACTCTGGAGGAGGCAGAATGCGGGCGGCCGTGCTGGGAACAACCCCGGCCTGCTGGCTGTGGCCGGCCTGCAGATCCCTGAATCTGTAGGTATCCAAGACTTGAGGATCACCTGAGCCTCACCCCAGAAGGCGGTCACGATTCCCCATTGTACCAAAGAGGGAGTCAGGGCTTGAAGGGAAACTCTGCGCTCAAAGCACTTACGCGAAAAGCACATCTGTCTTCAACCGCATCCAAAGTGCTGGCCACCGGTCTTCCATATGGTCTCCCGGAGTGGGGCGTCCTGGCCTGAGGAACAGGACCCGAGGCTGCGGTGGGGTCTCTGCCTCCTTTTGTGTCTGCCGCCCAACCGTCTTCCGACAGGAGCAGGTGTGGAGGTCCCTTAGCTCTTTCTGTGATGCGCGCTGGTTCATTCCATCGGCGTTTCCGAGCACCTGCTGCATGCCCGCAGGGTGCGTGCACAGAGGGTACATCAGGGAACAGAATGGGGCGGGTCCGTGCCCTCCCAGCTTGTGAGGGTGGGGGTGGGTAATGAGGAAATTAGTGCGATGGCCTCGGAGGGCGCTGAGAACCACGGGAAATCAACTCAGGGAGACTATGGGGTGAGGCTTCGATTGGCTGCTCAGGAAAGACCCCTCTGAGGACAGAAGAAGCTACCAGG
Organism: Homo sapiens; assembly: GCF_000001405.40. Taxonomy (NCBI): domain Eukaryota; kingdom Metazoa; phylum Chordata; class Mammalia; order Primates; family Hominidae; genus Homo; species Homo sapiens. The sequence goes on along the minus strand of NC_000016.10, from coordinate 86,701,159 downwards.
GAAGAGCTTGCCAGACAGGGGGGAACACCATGGGTGCAGGAACCCCTGCGGAAGGTCAGGAGGACAGAGAGGGCCAGGGTGGCCATGGGGGGCGGGAAGGGGAAGGGGAAAAGCGGAGCAAGGGAGCAGGTCCTGGATCGTGCACGTCTGTGGGAGCCCAGAGAAGCCCTCTGGATTCGATTCCAAGGGTGATGGAAAGCCATGACCCAGGCCACGGTGGGACGGGGACTGCAGGTGGCGGGGGACGAGGGAAGCAGCTGGCTCTGTCCTCCGGAAGGAGAGGATGGAGCTTAGCTCAGGTGTGGAGGCTGTGGAGCTTCTTGGGTGCCCATGGAAGGCTGCACGGTCCACACTCAAGGAGGGCTGGACGGGGGAGTTCAACAAAGACAACTCTGGGAGGTGGAGGGTGGGGTGCCCTTTTCAGAGCCATGGAGGAGGAGAGGAAGAGCAGGCCTGGGCAGAGCCCAGAGGGCCCGTTTGGCCATTTTACATCTGAGATGCCTCCAAGATGAAAACCCGGGGCATCTCCAAGGCATCTGGACGTGGGCCTTCCTGATCGGGGACTCGACAGGCCCTCCCGCAGCTGGGCGTGGGCTGCGACCTCTGTGAGCCGTCGCATTTCATCCTCCCGGCAGCCTCACTCCCCTGCTTTCACAGGTGGGGCGGGCAGCACGGCTGGTGAAGACCGGCGAACGAGGCTGCAGGTTTGATGGCAGCTCCCCTGACACCGCCCTGGGCTCTTCTCCAGGACCAAGGGCTGGAACCACATGCAATTGCCCAGGCGGGTGGAATGGAAGAAAAAGGATGGGATGGGAGGCTGTCACCCAACCAGCCCCCTTCTCACCAGTGAGCCCAGATTTCGAGTTGACATTCCTTTGGAATCCATCCAGTAGAAGAGCTCTTGGTAGAGAAATCTCTCTCAGCATGATTCATTCTTATTTTTAAAAAGAGAAGACAAAAATGTAGAAGAAAAGAAAAGCTCATCCTCTCTGTTTGAGGTCCTGCAGCTGAATTCATCAAGAAATGCAGGAAGCTGATTTTCTGTCTCCTTCTGCCACTTTGAGGATGTGCGGTCTTGTTTTCGTTTGCCATTTTAAGCCCAGCCTTTTAAAGAAAGATATTTCACTCTATCAATGTTCAGTTTATTTTGTTACATAAAATCCCCTAAACCTGACCTCGTAAAAACCCTGTTGAGCTCAGTATTCAGAAAGGCAACCAACTCACAATGAGCTCACTGTACAAAGAGGGTGTGTGTTGGGGTGTGCTGCATGTGAGCATGGTGTGTGTATGTGTGCGTGTGATACCGCACACGTGCAAACTCTAGAACATTATAGCCAGAAACAGCGGAGGCCCTCGAAGAGCACCCCTGAGAAGTCTCGCTGAGCAGGAGAAGTAACCTGGCCCTCTTCACCTGTCCACAGGTCTGCCTACAATGCGCAAACCCACAGAGGCCACCTGTCAGGGTGTTGGCGGGCCCCGTGGGTTACGATCATCCCCTGAATATCCCCTGGTAACCTTTGCACCCTGCTCTGAGTCCTGGAGTTTCTGTCATCTCCTACAGTTACATCTTTTTGTTGTGGAGATTACAAGCTGGCCAAGGAGTAAGACATTTTCGGCTGGGCACGGTGGCTCACGCCTGTAATCCCAGCACTTTGGGAGGCCAAGGCAGATGGATCACAAGGTCAGGAGATAGAGACCATCCAGGCTAACACGGTAAAACCCCATCTCTACTAAAAATACAAAAGTTAGCCGGGCGTGGTGGCAGGTGCCTGTCGTCCCAGCTACTGGGGAGGCTGAGGCAGGAGAATGGCGTGAACCCGGGAGGCAGAGCTTGCAGTGAGCCAAGATCACGCCACTGCACTCCAGCCTGGGCGACAGAGCAAGACTCCGTCTCAAAAGAGAAACAAAACAAAACAAAACAAAAAACACATTTTCAGGGGCCTCCAAATAAAAAGATATTTGTTCATCAGCACTAAGCTATGGGACCATGACATCACACAGAACAAAGGCATCGGGAACACAGTCGAGATTAGGAACATGAATGGGAGAGGAGGGAGGTGGAGGGAGTGTAGGACCTCGTCATCGAGTTATCAAACCAGTACTTGGACAATCAGGGCACAGCTGGAAGAAGCAGCGTGTCAGCTACACCTAAACCTGGTCCAAACCCTCCTGATCTGCTTCCCATCAGGTAAAAAATGTTGACGCCACACAACCCATGCTCATTTATTATAAATTCTATACAGGCCCTCCATGTGCATCATCTACTTTGTAAAACAAAAATAGAAAAAATTAAAAGAATATGCTAAATACAAAAAAGCAATAATTAAGTATCATTTTATGTTATAAACAGTAAAAAAACTTTTGCTCTCATTTTTTTTCAGAAGCACTGTGATTACAGATACAATGTTGTTTTGAAAATCTTTCACACTTTTTAACACAGAGATGTAAGAATCTGGTTCTGAGTTTAGTTTATTTCACTATCCCTCTTGAGTGCTCCTCAGAAAGGGAAAAAATCTCTTACATTTTTAATAGAGCACCTCCAAATGGAGGAAAACCTCACAGAATACATGCCATGGTGTCAATGCCTTCCTAAGACTTGGTCTCTTTTACTTTGAGATGAAAAAAAGATGTAAGTAGAAGTTCTGTTATTTACCTCCCTCTCCTGGAGGTCACTTCTGAGGTGGTCTGACCCACAAGCACCCACTTTGGAGACCACGCATTTTGAGTGAGAAGGTGGCCAGGCTAACCGGGAGGTGGGGTGGTGGGAAGACAGTGTCCAATGTGTCCAGGAAAGCCCATCAGAGAAGGAGGCTGTGGGGCCCACCGCCTCCCATGGCCCACCTGGATGCCCCCACAGCTGGAGGGGGCAGGTCCCCAACACCACCCTGCTTAACAGGAAGCAGGCTGGACATCCAGACAGTAATGACCCAGGAGCATCCCCAAATCACAAAGAACAGGAGCTGGCAGACTCAGAGGAGGTTCTGCACACTCCTTGGGGGTCTCCAGCAGAAACGAGACCCCCTTGCTGACATTGCCCATGCCCTTTCACAGTTTCCTTCCACCCCACCCCTTCTCCCCTGCTTCCTGGATCACCAATCCCACCCCAAATCAACTACTTGCATCCAAATTTTTGTCTCTAACTAAGACCAGGGGTAAGGAACTTCTGGAGCCAGATGAGGGCTTTGAAAGCTCAGAAGAAGGATTTGGAATCCTGCCCAAGGACCACAGCCACAGCAGCGCCGGCGCTTTCAGCCAGGAAGTGATGAGATGGGATTCAAGTTTCAAAAGCTTCTTTCCTTCAGGCAGTGGAGACTGGAGCCTAGAGATGGGAAAGGGGAGAGAAGGCAGCCCTGTAGTCAGGTGGCCTCAAACTACACTCACTAATTGAGTGGAGGCAAAAATGTAGCAACATGCTTTCTTCTTAGCTATCCCCAAAAGTTATCAGCTCTTCTCTCCTATCCTTCATAATAGAAACTTAAACAAGGGGTTTAAAAAGTGTCACTCCCAAAAACCGGATTAGTTTAATCATGAAAAACACCAGGGTGGGAGTGGTGGCTCATGCCTGTAATCCCAGCACTTTGGGAGGCTGAGACGGGCAGATCACTTGAGGTCAGGAGTTTGAGATCAGCCTGGCCAACACAGTGAAACCATGTCTCTGCTAAAAATACAAAAATTAGCCAGGCGTGGTGACACGTGCCTGTAGTCCCAGCTATATGGGAGGTTGAGGCAGCAGAATTGCTTGAACCTGGGAGGCGAGGTTGCAGGGAGCCGAGATCGAGCCACAGCACTCCAGCCTTGATGACAGAGCAAGACTCCATCTCAAAAAAAAAAAAAAAAGAAAAAAAAAATCAGGCGATCAAATTGAGGGACGTTCTACAAAACGCCTGACCAGTCCTCGTTAAAACTCTCAGGATCATCAAAGACAAGGAGAGTCAGAAAGTGTCACAGCCAAGAGGAGCCTGGGGACACACAATGACTAAATGCAATGTGGGATTCTGGGACAGAAAAAGAACATCAAGTATGGACTTCAGTTAATAAAAATGTCTCATTCTGCATTAATTGTAACAAATGTTCCACCATACTAATATAAGATGTTAATAATAGGGGGAACTGGGTGTGGGGTGTATTTCTCTGTACTATTGTCACAATTTCTCTGCAAATATAAAACTATTCTAAACTTGAAAGGTTTTTTTTTTTAAGCATAATTATGTAGGGAAAATCTCCAGCTTTCCTAGCAAGAAAGGGTCCACAGAGATGAATGTTGAAGTGCTTGCTGTGTTTGATGCAGTTAGGATTAGGGGGATTCTGTTTCTTCTTCTCATTCGTGTTTTCAAATTGTCTAGAACAGAAAGAAAAAAAATCATGCGGCTGGGTGCGGTGGTGCACACCTGTAATCTCAGCACTTTGGGAGGCCAAGGTGGGTGGATCACCTGAGGTCAGCAGTTCGAGACCAGCCTGACTAACATGGTGAAACTCTGACTCTACTAAATACAAAAAATTAGCCAGGTGTGGTGGTGGGCGTCTGTAATCCCAGCTATGTAGGAGGCTGAGGCAGGAGAATTGCTTGAACCAGGGAGGCAGAGGTTGCAGTGAGCCATTGCAGTCCAGCCTGGTCAACAGAGTGAAATTCTGTCTCAAAAATAAAATAAATAAATAAATAAATATAAATAAATCAATCACGCTTTGATGTTGGAGAAAATAAAGATCAGTTTGTGCATTCTCTCAACTTTTATTTTACTATGCCATTTTTGTCTGGACTGCAGGTAACAACAGAGAAGGGACATGCGGGAACAGTCGGAGACTCCAGCTCTGCAGACAGGGGTTGAAGCTGGGAGAGAGACACATCAATGCATGCCGGCTGTCTATACGGATGGGCTCAGCAGGAAAACTGGCTGTTCCATCACCTCCTATGTCAACCTCCGTGGCTCCGTCTCCTCAGCTGTCCTGAGTGGGCACTTCCCCAGCAAAGGCAGCAAGCTGAAGAAGGCTGGAATAAGATTGATGACACTGGTTAGTAGCTTCAATGCATGGCGGACTTACTGCATACAGGGCCGGTGAGTAGACTTCAGTTCCCTTTGGAACAAGATTGAGTTTGGATGGATGGATGGGTAGATGCATGGATGGATGCATGGAGAGATGGTCCAATGAATTGTTAATGATTATAACAATGCTGCAAGGTGGATACTATTGCCATCATTTTACAAGAGTCCCAGAAACATCAAGAGCCTTGCCTGAGGTCATACGCAGGTATACGAATGGCTCCTCCCCCTGTCTTGGGTCAAGGCGATGTTTTTTTACAATGCAGTAAGTGTTCCAACTGCTGACACACAAGATGTTTTAGGTCATACACCGACTTTTTAAGATAGTTGCATATTTAAAGTTAAGTTAAGATTTTAAGATACACATTAAGGGCATAAAACTCTTAATTTTGCAGTAGTATTTCTTGGCTTGAAGATAACTGCATTCTTATAAAAAGTGAGCGGATTTGAAGACAAGTACTAAGTAAATAACAACATGTAATTGCATATTTCAACAAAACTCTAGTAACTTGTGCTCACCCCTTACGCTTCAGCATTTATAATCCTTGGTGGGTTTGGGCACATATGATAGCAGGACAGATTTCCCACAGCAGAAGCACCAGAGACATGCCATGCAGAGCCCGTAGAAGACAGCACTGTGTCTTTTTTTTTTTTTTTTTTTTTTTTTTGAGAAGGAGTCTTGCTCTGTCACCCAGGCTGGAGTTCAGTGACTCGATCTCGGCTCACTGCAAGCTCCGCCTCCCAGGTTCACGCCATTCTCCTGCCTCAGCCTCCAGAGTAGCTGGGACTACAGGCGCCCACCACCACGCCCGGCTAATTTTTTTGTATTTTTAGTAGAGACGGGGTTTCACCGTGTTAGCCAGGATGGTCTCGATCTCCTGACCTCGTGATCCATCTGCCTTGGCCTCCCAAAGTGCTGGGATTACAGGGGTGAGCCACTGTGCTCGGCCAGTACAGCGCTATTTCGTCATGCAAACGCCAACTGTGAACAGAGTCCATTCGATGACCACCATGCTTCCTGCCTGGCCAGTTGTTTGGCTGGTCATGTCTTCAACAATCATGAGCAATAAAGAATACAGAGAGGGGCAGATCTGGGATCCGAGGAGCAGAAGTTATTGACAGGCCTTGTTTGGGTGTATGAGGTCCTCCCCCACAGTTAGTTCCACTCTCTTCTTTTCCTCTCAAGCATGGTGATGTTTGTTATCTTTCTTGTTTGCCTGTTTGTCGTCTTGCTGTGTTGAACTGTACATTTGTTCATCTTGTAAAATGATTAAGGATCATGGTGATCATCCCTTTGTGCCAGGCAGGGTTGCAGGAAGAAACAGCTGATGCTCTCAAACAGGGCCATCGAGAGAGTTTAATAAACAAGCTACTTACACAGGCTTGGCCGGGACTAAAGGAATCCGTAACAAGGGAGAAGCAGCCCAGGCTAGCAGCAGTGGGAGTGACTGTCATGGGGCACAGAGCGTGAGCTGCACCTGCGGGAGAGGGCCAGCCAACGTGTCCCTTCAGTCAACGGATGCTGCCAGCCCAAGGGAGCACCATGGGGAGGTAAATACAAGGGTAAATACTCCTCCTGCCTGCTGCTCCCCTGCCAAGGTCCAACTCTTTTCCCCACCTGAAACCCTCTTCCCCAGCCTGGACCGCTCCTCTTCAGCCTTTGAGTCTCACGTCAAGCAACACATCCCCAGCAGATGGGGCGTTGCAACCCTGTATGGATGAAGGCTGTTTTTCCTGAGGAACCACAGTGCTGGTGAAGGCAGAGGGCATGGCGAGCATTCTCTAAAGCTGATGGCAGAATTCAAAATCGCGGCCGGGAGTGGTGGCTCACGCCTGTAATCCCAGCACTTTGAGACGCCAAGGAGGGTGGATCACGAGTTCAGGAGATCACGAGCATCCTGGCTAACACAGTGAAACCTCCTCTCTACTGAAAATACAAAAAAAATTAGCCAGGCTTGGTGGCGGGTGCCTGTAATCCCAGCAACTTGGGAGGCTGAGGCAGGAGAATGGCGTGAACCCAGGAGACGGAGCTGACAGTGAGCCGAGATTGTGCCACTGCACTCCAGCCTGGGCCAGGGTGCGAGACTCCATCTCAAAAAAAAAAAAAAAAAAATCACCCCCGCCTTTCTCAAGACCAGCTTGGAAATACAGGTCCAAATGTAAGGAGAACAGACCCTTTCTAGAACAGCACCTGTAGGAATATGTCGCGAGTAAATATATTCAGACTAGACCGAAAAGTCCTGTATGCAAAGATGTTTATCAGATGCTGTCAATAATAGCAAAATTAAGTAAATTAAACAAATAGATGACAACCCAGATGTCCATTTGTCCCATCAGTAGACACTTGGTTTTGAAGTCAACCGTCCATCTGTACCATGAAATATGATGCCATTAGCTCTAACCAAGGAAAAAGGAGCATGACATAGATGGCCCCAAAAGCATTCTGTAGGACAACGTGATTTCATTTTTGTGGAAACTTCTGCCTCAAGCTACAATCACTGTGCCGGCCGAGGAACACCCTCCCATCTCCTTCCATGCAGCCCTGGTCTAAACTGGAAAAATTCTGCCAACCAAGAGGAATCCTTATTTAGTGGTGTTGTCAACGTGGCTTTTCAATAGCACATTCATTCTCCACTCTCCACTTCAGCCAGGAAAGGGTGGGGGGAAGCGGGGAGAAGAAAAAGAAAAAGCCGAGTGTTTTGGAGACTGAGCTCAACAAGGCAGGTGTGTTGTGTTGGTTCCTTCAAGACCACAGAAGCAAAAGAAGCAGTGAGAGCGGGGATTAAAAGGTGCCAAATATGTGAAGCTCCGTAAACCCCAGCTGCAGAAACCCAGAGGTCAAAGTGCTTAAGGATGCATAAAATGCGGATTTTTCCATAATTATTTAAATATGTGTTAATGAGTGCTCAGAACACAGTCAGAGTATGTCCATTAAAGGATTAAAAATAAAGGGAAGTGGAAAAGGAACAGCTCAAACAGGAGAAAAAGCACTCTTCTGGGGGTCAAAACTTCTCCCAAATTTCTCTTTGGCTCTAGTTCTACCACTCAGAGCAAGTCACCCAGTCTCAGCCGGGCTTCCCCTTCCCATCTGAAAATGAACGGTGGGTGGGATAGATTGTTCAATGCCCTCAGCACAAAACCCCTTGTTCATGAAAACCAGCTCATCTTCTGTATTGAATTGAATGAGGAAATAAGAATTTTCCAAGGCAAGGGAGCTTGCAAGAGGACTGTGAAGTGTCCTAAGCTTTCTCAGGTCTCTAAGCAGAGGAAGGGCGCTGTTTTGTAACCAGCTGACTCCAAAATACAAATGAGCCACTGAGAAAACCCTGAAGAATCTGATGTGGGGGAAGATTTCAAATCCGACCTACTCCATTAACCCCTGTGGTCCTCTCATGCACCCCGCCTGGAAGCCCATCAAAGTGTCAGCTCAGCCTGGAGTCCCCGGTTAAGGAGCGAGGCATTTACACCATTTGCTAGGAGTGCAGGAAATACAGGAGTGACATTTCCATCAGTTTTCTTCCCCAAGCGAGAAAAGAGCGGCAGGGGCGAGAAAGAAAGAAAGCAACCGCGTCCAAGGCTTGGCTGCATCCCAATGCCTTTGACACCTAGGCTTTTATTGGAACTGCTACTTCCAAAATAAAGAAACTAGTGACTTCAGGGTATATTTTGCCTCCGTTTTTGAGGATGTCTTGGGCCTTTCATCTCCTCTGAAGGCGTGTCCCCTAATTATGCCCCTTTCATCCTTGTGTTGCTCAAGCAGAACATGCCAGTCTGCTCTACAGCCATTGATTATGACTGAGGGCTTTCCACGTTCCAGCTGCTGCCGAGAGCCTGGGTATTTGTGAATACCTGAATAAACTCCTTTAATCCAAAAACAAACTCCTCCTGAAAGAAACTGCCTGAAAAGGCCTTTCATAGAGTGTTTCCCAACTCACTGGTTCATGGTTTCTTTGGATTTCACTGTGCTTCCTGAACTAATGGTCTCTGAATGCATTCCCAACTGTGGCTTCCTGGTCTACCGAGGTCCCCAGCACGAGGTCCCTGGCATTAAAGGAGAAGAAGGAAAAAAGTAACACAGCAGATGCTTATAGGAGTTGCCAGGACTGGATGGGTTGAAACTGAAAGGAAATACATGTGGGTGAGAGTGTTACGTTGTTTCGACAATTTTTATAAGAAATGCTTCCCCAGGTAGTGCTTTAAAAACAAAGTTACAATCACACAGGACACACATGTGGGGTGTAGCTTCTGCTAGATGGAAAGCAGATTGCTTGAATTAGCACTGGAAGACCTTAACTACAGAACCTGATGACTCTCTTCTAATTGACAGATTTGCTTTAAGATTCACAACTTGAATTGGAAAAAACATCTGTGTTATTGAGATTACAGTGGGAGCACTAAGAAAGCCCAGAATTGACTTGGGAACTTCCCAATGGCCAGCTGATATGTTCAGATTGGAGCCCTGGACTTGGAGTTGCCAGATTCTAGGGTGAGAAATGGCATGTTCACGTCCTAGCCTTGTAAACCTCAGCTCATTACTTCCCTGCTTTGCCTCTGTATCCTGATCTCCAAAATGAAGGGGCTAGGTGAGACCAGGGGAACTTTCCTCCAACAAATCGAATTCCTCTCACCTGAGCAAGTAGGGAGGGAGGGAGGGAGGCTACCAGAACCCCCACCATGAAGATTCTCACCCTGCCCTCTCCCTGCCTTCCAGGGATCCCTGGCATGGTCTAGTTTGGTTACTATTGCTACGTAACCAATTACCCCAGAAATCAGTGCTATCAAACGATTGCCCTTTTACTTTGTTTACGATTTGGTGGGCTGGGATTTAGAGAGGGATTGACTGGGCAATCATCACTTGGAGTCTCTCAAGAGAGTGCAGCCAGGTGTTGGCTTGGACTGCAGGCAGCTGGAGGCTTGACAGGCCGCATGTGTGTCCAAGGTGTCTTGCTCACGTGGCTGGTGTTGATGCAGGGGCTGTCAGCCAATGCATCCACATGTGGCCTCTCCAGCATGGCGGTCTCAGGGTTGTCAGATTTCTTACTTGGTGGCTGGCTTCCTCCAGAGCAAGAGTTTCCAGAGAACCAGGTGGAAGACATGTGGCCCATGTGACCTAGTCACAGGAGTCACACAGCCTTACTTTCACCACATTCTATCGATGGTCAAAGGGCCACCAAATTCAACCACAGGGAACACAGATCTCCCTCTCAGTAACAGGTGAGGCAAGACCATGTTGTGGGAGAGCCTACAGGCATCAGGGTATGATTGCGGACATCTTTGCAAATCATAGTCCACCTCAGGTTCCAAGAAACACAGTTGGAAAACAACGAGGTTAGACGGTCTCTAACGTCTCTTTCTGTTAGAAAAGCAAAAAACTCTAAAAGGGCAACATTTACTTGTCCAGACTCTTTCTTTTTTAAAGAGCTTTACTCCTTTGGGAGGCCGAGGTGGGCGGATCACGAGGTCAGGAGATTGAGACCATCCTGGCTAACACAGTGAAACCCTGTGTCTACTAAAAATACAAAAAATTAGCCTGGCGCAGTGGCGGGCGCCTGTAGTCCCAGCTACTAGGGAGGCTGAGGCAGGAGAATGGCATGAATCCAGGAGGTGGAGCTTGCAGTGAGTCGAGATCGCGTCACTGCACTCCAGCCTGGGCAAGAGAGCGAGACTCCATCTTAAAATAAATAAATAAATAAATAAATAATAAATAAATAAATTAATTAAATAAATAAATAAATAAAAATAAAGAGCTTTACTGGAGTGTGCAGGCCTCCCTTGTTTTATTATGCATTTAAGTGCTTTACTGTCTGTGTTTCTTACAAACTGAGGGTTTGTGGAGACCTTGCATGGAGCAAGTCTATCAGCGCCATTTTCCCAACAGTACGTGCTTATGTCATGGCTCTGTCACATTTGAGTAATTCTCACAGTATTTCAAACCGTTTCATTATGATTACTTCTGTTATGGTGATCTGCGATCGGTGAGCTTCGTCACTATTGTAATTGTTCTGGGGCACCATGAACCATGCCCCTATAAGACAGTGAACTTAATCAATAAATGGCTTGTGTGTTCTAACTGTATCACTGGCTCTTCCCCCATCTCTCTCCCTATCCTTGGGCCTCTCTATTCACTGCAACATAATAATATTGAAATTAGGTCAAGGAATCATCCTACAGTGGCCTGTAAGTGTTTGAGTGAAAGGAAGAGTCACAGGTCTCACTTTACACCGAGAGCTGAAACGATTAAGCTTAGTGAGGAAGCCATGTCAGAAGCCAAGGTACGCTGAAACTAGGCCTCTTGCACCAAACAGTTGGTCAAGTTGTGCATGCAAAGTAAAAGCTTTTGAAGGAAATTAAAAGTGCTACTCCAGTGAACACATGAATGATAAAAAAGTGAAATAGCCTTACTGCTGATATGGTGAAAGGTTTACGGTCTGAATAAAAGATCAAACTAACTACAACATTGCCTTGAGCCAAAGCCTAATCTGGAGCAAGGCCCTAACTCTCTTCAATTCTGTGAAGGCTGGTGACGTTCAGTGTTTTTTCATGTGCTTATTTACCATCGGTGTAATCTCTTCAGTGAAATGTTTCGTCATGTCTTTTGCCTAATTGGATCGTTTGGTTTAACTGAGTCTTGACAGTTCTTTATATATTCTGGATACTAGTCCTTTTTCAGATATGTTGTTTGCAAATATTTTCTCTCACTCTGTGGATCTTCTTTTTATCCTTAGAAAAGTATCTTTCAAGAGCAAAAGTTTTTAATTCTGATGCAGTTGAATTTATCAATCTTTTTCTTTTGTGGATTGTGCTATTGGTGTTAAGTCTTAAGACCTTTTTGCCTAGGCCTATATTCCTAAGACATTTTTCCCGAAAGTTTCATAGTTTTGTATTTTACATTTAAGTTCATTATACATTTTGAATTGATTTTTGTATAAGATGTGAACCTTACATAGATGTTGATTTTATTGCCTATGTGCTATTCTCTGGCACTGTTTGTTGAAAAGTCTCTTTTTTTCTCCATTGAATTGCATCTTTGTTAAAAATCAGTTGGGCATATTGGTGTGGTTCTATTTCTGAGTCTCTATTCTGTTCCACTGACATATGTCTATCCTTCCACCATTATCACTGCCTTCTTGATTACTGTAGCTATGTAGTCACCCTTGACATTGGGGAGACTGATTCTTCTCACTTTATTCTTCTTTTTTTCAAAATTATTTGAACTTACCTAGTTTCTTTCCATTTTCAAATAAATTTTAGAATAACCCTGTCCATCTGTTAAAAAATTCTGCCGTTATTTTGATATTAATTGCATTAAACTTGTATATCAATTTGAAGAGAATTGACCTCTTTACTATGTTGAGTCTTTCAATCCCTGAATGCAGTATATCACTCCATTTATTAAGACCTTCTTTGATTTCCTTCATCAACATTGTATATTTTTCAGCATACAAGGTATGTGTTTTGTTACGTTTACTACATCGTTTGAGCAATTATAAGTGGAATTGTATTTTTAATTTTGGTGTTTATTATTCTGGCTAGAACCTATAGCACTACACTGAATAAGAGTAGGGAGAGTGGACATTCTTGCTGTGTTCTCAATCTTAGGGGGAAAACATTTAGTCTTCCACAACTAAGTATAATGTTATCTGTAGCTTTTTGTAGTTGCATTTTGTCAAGTCAGGAAGTTTCTCCCCTATTTCTATTTTTCTGAGCTTTTTTTAAAATCACAAACGGATGTTGAATTTTATCAATGCTGTTTTTTGCATTGATTAATGTGAATATGTGATTTTTCTTCTTTAACTTGTCAGTAGGGTGGATTATGTTCAATACTCATAATTTTTGAGTATTGAAACATGCCTGCATCCTTGGAATTAATCCTACTTGGTTATGGTGTATAATTCTTCTTATATATTACTGAATTCTGTTTGCCGATATATACTCAAGAATGTTTGCCTCTACATTCACGGGGAATATTAGACTAAAATTTTATTGCCTTTGTCTGGTTTCTGTATTAGTGTAATACTAGCTTCACAGAATGAACTGCAAAGTATCCCCATCTCATGTATTTCTCAGAAGAGACTGTATAAAATTGGTGTTAATTCTTGTTTAAACATTTGGTAGAATTCTCCAGTAAAGCCATATGAACAAGATTTCTTTTGTGGTAATTTAAAAATTATTAATTTAATTTTTAAAGTACTTATAGGACTATTGAAATTATCTATTTCATACTGGGTGAGTTGTGACTGTGTTTTTCAAAATGAGGGGGATGTCCTTCTATTCCTTGTTTTCTCAGACTTTTTTAAATTAGGAATGAATGTTGGGTTTTGTCAGATGCTTTTCCTGCCACTATTAGATTATCATGATTTTCTTTTTTCTCTCTTTTCTTTTTTCTTTTCTTTTCTTTTCTTTTCTTTCTTTCTTTTTTCTTTCATGGAGTGTCACTCTGTCGCCCAGGCTGGAGTGCAGTGGAACAATCTCGGTTCACTGCAACCTCCGCCTCCCTAGTTCAAGTGATTCTTCTGCTCAGCCTCCCAAGTAGCTGGGATTACAGGCATGTGCCACCACGCCCAGCTAATTTTTGTATTTTTAGTAGAGACAGGGTTTCACCATGTTGGCCAGGCTGGTCTCAAACTCCTGACCTCAAGTGATCCGCCTGCCTCGGCCTCCCAAAGTGCTGGGATTCAGGCATGAGCCACCGCACCCAGCCATGATTTTCTTGTTTAGTTTGTCACGATGATGAATTACATTGATTGATTTTCAAATAAACTAATCTTGCATTCTTGGGACTCACTTACATGTGATGCATTATCCTTTGTTGGGTTTGATTTCCTAAAATTTTATTTAGAATTGTTGCTTCTTTGTTCATGAGGAATATGGCCCTGTGGTTTTCTTGTCTTGTAATTGCTTTGTCTGACTTTGGTATTAGGATAATGCTGACCTCATTAAATGAATGAGAAAGTGCTCTCCCCTTTTTGGTTTTCTGGAAAAGTTTATGTAAACTTGGAATCGTTAGTCTCCTTAAAGCCTGGGTAGAATTCATCAGTGAAGCCATATGGACCTGGAGTGTTCTTGGTGAGAAGGTTTCTAACTACAAATATAGTTACTTTCATAGATAGGACTGTTCAGGTTATCCATTTTTTCATGAGTTAACTTAGTAGTTTGTGCCTTTCAAGCAATTTGTCCACTTTCCCCAAGTTGTCTGTAAGATCTGCAGTGATGTCAAGAATCTCGGGCCGGGCGCGGTGGCTCACGCCTGTAATCCCAGCACTTTGGGAGGCCGAGGCGGGCGGATCACGAGGTCAGGAGATCGAGACCATCCCGGCTAAAACGGTGAAACCCCGTCTCTACTAAAAATACAAAAAATTAGCCGGGCGTAGTGGCGGGCGCCTGTAGTCCCAGCTACTTGGGAGGCTGAGGCAGGAGAATGGCATGAACCCGGGAGGCGGAGCTTGCAGTGAGCCGAGATCCCGCCACTGCACTCCAGCCTGGGCGACAGAGCGAGACTCCGTCTCAAAAAAAAAAAAAAAAAAAAAAAAAGAATCTCATCCCTGGCCAGGCTTGGTGGCTCATGCCTGTAATCCCAGCACTTAGGGAGGCCGAGGCGGGCGGATCACAAGGTCAGGAGATCGAGACCATCCTGGCCAACATGGTGAAACCCTGTGTCTACTAAAAATACAAAAAATTAGCTGGGCATGGTGGCATGTGCCTTTAGTCCCAGCTACTTGGGAGGCTGAGGTCAGAGAATCGCTTGAACCTGGGAGGCGGAGGTTGCAGTGAGTCGAGATCACGCCACTGCACTCCACCCTGGCGATGGAGCGAGACTCCGTTAAAAAAAAAAAGAAAAGAAAAGAAAAAAAAACTCTTCCCTAATAATTGGTAATTTGTGCCTTTTCTCCCCTTTCCTGATCAACCTGGTTAGATGTTTATCCATTGTATTGATCTTCTCAAAGAAGCAACTTTTGGGTTCATTGTTTTTTTGTTTGTTTGTTTGTTTTTGTTTTGTTTTTTGAGAGGGAGTCTCACTCTGTTGCCTAGGCTGGAGTGCAATGGTGCGACCTTAGCTCACTGCAATCTCTGCTTCCCCGGTTCAAGCGATTCTCCTTCCCCAGCCTCCCAAGTAGCTGGAATTACAGGTGCCTGCCACCACGCCCGGCTATTTTGTTTGTTTGTTTGTTTTTGTATTTTTAGTAGAGACAGGCTTTCACCACGTTGGCCAGGCTGGTCTCAAACTCCTGACCTCAAGCGATCCGCCTGCCTCAGCCTCCCAAAGTGCTGGGATTACAGGAGTGAGCCACTACACCTGGCCCATTGGTTTTGTCTAGTGTGTTCTTGGTCAGAATCTCCCTGGAAACAAAGGACACTCGCTCTTCCTCCTTTCCTCTTGTCTAAGGAATTCTCTAAGAGAACTAGCTCACTTGAACCTTGTCGAAGGCTAACCTTCAAAATAAATCCACCTACCAACTCTTGTTTTTCTCAAAACTCTCAGCCAAGTACCACAGTTTCATGTCACAAATAATTTTTTCGAAGGTGCAGCATTCTGATCACATTCTGCAGAGAAAACGGATGTGTAGCTTTTGAAATATTCTGCCCCTTACAGAAAAGCTTCAGTGACAGAGATGTGATAATATGGGATGTCCATTTAGTGACAGGGATATTCTTGAGCCGGCTCTGGTTTTTGCTAACATGTGACCTGGAGCAAGTGACTAACAATCTCTAAGCCTCAGTTTTCTTCTCTCCAAAATGGGAATAATAATGGGGTTGTTGAAAGACCCACTTTGATGATGAATGCAAAACCTCAGTGCAGAATCTGGATGTGGTAAGCATTCCATTAGCAGTGGCTATTAAAATATGATAGCAAGGGTTATGGTCTGGGATTCCACTCCCTTTACTACTGGAAAGGAAGGATTTATGGTCTTCCTTTTCTTCTGTTGATGTTGGAGCCAACATTTATTGGTTGTAAATGTTAAAAATATAAACCTGTGGTGGAAATCCACGGACTGTGCATTTCATCCCATTATGGACTAGTCTATGGTCACACCTGGTCAAGCACCAAAGTTTATATTTCCAACACCCAAAATACACTTTAGTTATAACAAATATTTCTTCAGGAAGTTTGACAACTCTGCAGCCATGTCTCAGGAAGAATATGGATCCCGGGAATTTGCCCAAACTGGCCTTCCTGGGTGTGCAGTTGTATTCTCATAGCTGGGGAGGACCGGCCCAGGGGGCGGGGGTCCAGCAGGCCCAGTTGTGGTGAGGAGGCCTCTGAGGCCATGCCAGCTGGCCCGCTCCATGAAAGAGCATCTCACTGCCTCTCAGGGAAGCAGGTGGACGTGAAGCCCTGCTGGAGACGGGGAGAGTGGGGGGTGTGAGAAGCTGTGGGAAGGGGAGGGCTGATGAGCATGATATGGGGTGGGGCCGAGCTGGGGAGAATGTAAAACCCATAGCACCTTCTGTGACCTTCCTGCCATGGAGAGGGGCAGCCCCACCCCTACCCCACTGTACAGGGCGAGGCTCTGCAGCTGCATCCTGAGTGGGGCATGACAGACATGCTGCTGTGTGACCTCCCAGGTGGGCTAGGAGAGGCCAGGCCACCTCTGCCCAAGTTTCTTGGGACACTCACTCTGGGAGCCTCCCACTGCCACAATAGACATCCAATCACCCTATGGCATATATATATATATACACACACACACACACACACACACACACACACATATATACACACACACACACACATACACACACACATATATATACACATATATATACACACATATATATATACACACATATATATACATATAGAGAGAGAGAGAGAAAGAGAGAGAGAGAAACAGAGACACAGAGAGAGAAACAGAAATGGAGAGAGAGACAAAAAGAGATAGAGAAAGGGACAAGAAAGATGGACGGAGAGAGAAAAAAAGATGGAGAGAGAGAAAGAGAAATGGAGAGAGACACACAGAGAGATGTAGAGAGAGAGACAAACACAGAGAGAGAAAGAGGCAGACAGAGATGGAGAGAGAGACAAAGAAAGATAGAGAGAGGGACAAGAGAGAAATGGAGGGAGACACAGAAAGATGGAGAGAGAAACAGAGAGATGTGGAGGGAGAGACAGAAACACACAGAGAGAGAACGAGGCAGGGAGAGATGAAGAGAGAGACAGAGAGATGGAGAGAGAGACATAGAGAGAGGGACAAGAGAGAAATGGAGGGAGACACAGAAAGACGAAGAGAGAGGCAAAGAGAGATGTGGAGGGAGGAAGAGACAGGTAGGGAGAGGCAGATGGAGAGGTGGAGAGAGGGAGGAAGAGGGAGAGGTGGAGACAGGTGGGGAGAGGAAGATGGAGAGAGAACCTCCAGCAGCTGCAACACCGGCCATTTTGGGTCTTCCCAGCTGGGCTCCAGCCTTGTGAGGGAAGAACCCGAGAGATGCCCCAGCCTGGCACGTCTCACTGCCCTGGCCTGAGGACCCTGAGGGAGAAGTGCTGGCTGAGTCCAGTCAACCCCAAGACTTATGAACAAAATCAAAGAAGGCTGTGGATTTTCTTACCACGTGGGGGACAGAGGGAGCCAGTTGTCACCCAGTGAGAGGGAGCTGGAATGTAAGCCATGGCCTGGCCGGAGCTGCTTAATCTCTCTGGGTATCTGGGTCTCCATCAGTCAAATCGGAGTCATGGTGCAGATTTCTGAGAGCTGCCGTGAGAATCCAGTCAAATAGCAAGCGCAGGGTCCCCTGGGGTGCCCGCCTCCACGTGGGCACAGTGCACGGCCCCACCCGACAGTCTTCCTCCACAGCCTCCCAGCACACTCCACCTTTCCACAGACTTGGTTTCACTTCCTTTTGCTTATCACTGCATGGAACGGTCTTCCTCCCTCCCTCCCTCCTTCCTCTCTCCCTCCCTCCTTCCTTCCCTCTTTCCTCCCTCTCTCCTTCCTTCCTTCCTCCCTTCCCTCCCTCCCTCCCTTCCTTCCTTTCTTCTCTCCCTCCCTTGTTTCCCTCCTTCCTTCTTTTCCTTCTCCCCTCCTTCCTTCTTTTCTTCCTTCCCTCCTCCTCCCTCTCTTTGCTTCATTCATTGATTGTTCCCTCTCTCTCACCCTCCCACATAACACACTCAAGGAAAGGAACTTGGTCGTGTTCACTGTCCTCTGCCCTGCAGTGGGGCCTGGCACCCCACGGATGTGCTATACGTTTTTGTCAAATAGTTGAGCCATGGCTCTCCTGGGATGAGCATGGGTAGGAGGAAGGGACATACACGTGCCCAGGACCTGCTGGAGACTTGAGCAATGCAGCCTCTCCCTTTGGGAAGGCCCCTGCATGTGGTGGAGGGCAGGGATGTTTGGAAGGCACTGACCTGGCTCCCGGCTGCCAGGGCCAGCCTGGTGCTGGAACCCCTCATACCTGAAGAGGCACAGGAGAACCAAAGGCGGAGAGGCCTGCATCCTTCAGGGCGGCTGGATGGGTGTTCCGGGTGCGTGCCACAGTCCAGCAGAGTCTTACTTTCTCATGGTTCTGGAGGCTAAAAGTCCAAATTCAACTGTTGCTGGGTTTGGTCCTTTCCAGGTGCTCCTGTGGTCATATGTTCTGCGCCTCTGTCCCGCTGCTGGGGGCTCCAGCCAACCTTGGTGCTCTTTGGCTGGTAGCTGTGTCACTCCAGCCTCTGCCTCTGTCTCCCCACGGCCTGCTCTGTCCCGTGTCTGCGTCATCTTCTCTGACTGTCATAAGGATACTTGGCACTGAACTTAGGGCCCACTGTCAATCCAGGATGACCTCATCTTAACTTCATGACATCTGCAAAGGCCCTTTTTCCAAATAGGGTTACATTCGTGGGTACCGGGGGTTCAGATGTGAGCAAGTCTTTTTGGGGGGAAACATTTAACCCACGACAGTCACCCTTCCCTGAAGGCAATGGGAAAAAAGAAGCCCAGCAGAGGCAGCTGGAATCCCAGCTCACTTGCTTCCCGGCTGGGTGACCTGAAGCTCTGAGTCTTAGTTTCTTCATCTGGAAAATGGATCATGCCACACCGTGGATGTGTGAATTAACGGAGATGGCACATAGAAAGCCAGCAGTGTTGAACTTGGCCACGTAGTAAGGCCTCGATAACCGGCAATGCAGAATTACGTTTCCCTACCAATTAGTGGCCGACCACAGTCTACCCAACCAGCAGACAGCAACGCGTGAGGACTTGGAGGGCAACGGAAATGTGCTAAAGGGGCAATGAGGGTCCTTTCTGAATACGCACCCCCCAGTTGGAGGACTGGGTGGATCAGAGGAGAGTCCAGGGGACTTCCAGGCTGGAGATGGCCTGCGGTTAACCCCTCGTGCCCCATCGGGCAGGAGGCGGGCCCTTCTCCCATCTCTCCCTCCCTCTCTCCTGTTTATCGGGACTGTGGGTGCCAGCCCAGACGACATCATCCGCTGAGTTCCCAGCGTGTCAGCCAAGGGTGAGCCTCCCACGCGCCCTCGGAAGACAGAATTTTGGAGCACACGCAGTGGCATTCTTGGATAACGATGGCTGCCTTCTACGAGCTGAACCCCCTCCACAGACGTCTCCCTGCCAGCCCCTCGCCGGTCTTCCCGCCCTCTGCCCAGCTCCTGGGCCCCACAACAGGCCGGCACGAACGAGGTTTGGGAGCTCTGTGGTGGACTGAACCAAGCGACCCGGCCTTTCCCAGTCTGCACCCAGCACCCGGCGCCAGCACCGACCAGGGAAGGGGCCTTCGAGCAAGCCCGGGTTGGTGGTTTGGGGTTTGGAACATCCGTTTTCAGATAAAATCAGAAGTTTTTTTATTAAAAAAAAAAAGGAGAGAGAGAGAGACAATTTCAGAGACAGCCTGAAAAACAAAACAACCCTTTAGCTCTTTCTCTGAAATGACATCAGCGGCCACCACAAAGCCGAATCGGCCTCACTGCATTCAGGCCATCGGGATGTATCATTTCCCCTTCAAAATACCCACTGCGGCATCGTCCCCAGCCCCGCCGGCTCGGAGCCTGCTCCCTCAGTGGGAGCGGTGCGCTTTCCCACCCAGGCTGCAGAGGGGCTTGTAATTGGAAAAGTGCAAGTTGCAGATGAACTGGGAGCCGAGGCCAGGAAATGGGTTTATGGTGGCCAGCTTTGTCCTCCTTTTGCACTCGGTCTCTAAAGCACTGTCCACATGGGCATTTGGGTCCTGGGAGTCAAGAACGACCTTGCCCGGAACGAGCTGTCCCCTTGTCCCTCTCAGTGGATGTGTCCCTCCCACCCCAGGCCCCCACTCTGAGCCCGTCCTGTCCCCTCTCCCTCTAGACGCATCTAGACTCCCCAGCCCCCACCAACTAGCCGCCTCTGGAGCATTTAAGCTACATGGAAACTGGAGAACGTTTTAGAAATGGATGTTTGTTTCACTGAAGCAGCAATGCAATTGCATTTGAATTTGTTTAGCATCACATAAAAACAGACATATCAAAAATGACCAGAAAGAAATATTAATACAATGGCATATTACGAATTATCTGGTTGTCTGTGGCTAATGAGTTGTTTTTTCGTAATTCCTTCTTCTGTAAATTTTCTAAATTTTACTTTTGTAATACAAAAACGTTATTTATTAAAAACCACCAACTGAATCTTGTCTCGGGGCCAAAATGAGCTACTTAAGAGAGTGGAAAGTCAGCCTTTATAGAGAGCCAACAGCCTCCAGGGACTTATTTCTTTGAAGAGTCACTTTTTAAATCTCAGAAATAATCTGCATAGTTGAAACTTCTGCTCCTCTGGGATTGTTATTCCTTCATTAGTTAAAGTGATTTACTGAGTCACAGGAAATTTCACTGCTGGACCAAAAAGTGATTCAATTTCCCAAGCATTTACTGAGTGTTTTCCCCAAGCCTGGCTCCGGACTGATAAAGCTGCCCTGTTCCTGCCCTGGCGGGGACACTCAGTCTAGTAGATGCCCTGAGAGTCAGTTCTCTCAGTCATTCAACAAACGTAAATTGAGCTCCTACTCTGTGGCAGGCACTATTTTGGGGTGCTAGGAATAAAGCAGTCTACAATAGAGACAAAACTCCTCATCTTCCTGCAGCTTACATCTATGGCAAATGTGCAGAAAGAGTGTCTTAGTCTATTTTCTGTTGCTATAAAGTCATATCTGAGGCTGGGTAACTTATAAAGAAAAAAAGGTTTATTTGGCTCACAATTCTGGTGGCTGGAAAGTTCAAGATTGGGCATCTGCTTCTGGTGAGGACCTCAGGCTGCTTCCAGTCATAGCAGAAGGTGAAGGGGAGCTGTGTGTGCAGCAACCTCATGGGAGAGATGAGGCGAGTGAATGGGGGGAAGGTGCCAGGCCTTTTTAACAACCAGCTCTCATGGGAACTAATAGAGTGAGAACTCACTCACCCCTGAGGGAGGCCATTCATCTGTCCATGAGGGCCCCTCCCCATAACCCAAACACCTCCTATTGGGCCCCACCTCTAACACTGGGAATCAAATTTCAACCTGAGGTTAGGAGAAGACACACCCCAACCATAGCAAAGAGAAATGCACAAAACGCTCAGAAAACTCAGGGGAAGTGGCCATGATGGGAGAGAGGGTGCTACAGGCTGAACTGCACCCCTGAGAACTCATGTGTTCAAGTCCTACCCCCAGAGCAGCAGAATGTGACTACATTTGGAAATAAGGTCGCTGCGGGTGTTATGAGTGAAGATGAAGTCCTTAGAGCCCTAATCCATTCTGACTGGTGTCCTCAGAAAGAGGGAATGTGAGATGAGTAGGTTACCTGTTCACTCTGATGGTAGTTTCTTTTGCTGTGCAGAAGCTCTTTAGTTTAATTAGATCCCATTTGTCAATTTTGTCTTTTGTTGCCATTGCTTTTGGTGTTTTAGACATGAAGTCCTTGCCCATGCCTATGTCCTGAAAGGGCTAATATCCAGAATCTACAATGAACTCAAACAAATTTACAAGAAAAAAACAAACAACCCCATCAAAAAGTGGGCGAAGGACATGAACAGACACTTCTCAAAAGAAGACATTTATGCAGCCAAAAAACACATGAAAAAATGCTCATCATCACTGGCCATCAGAGAAATGCAAATCAAAACCACTATGAGATACCATCTCACACCAGTTAGAATGGCAATCATTAAAAAGTCAGGAAACAACAAGTGCTGGAGAGGATGTGGAGAAATAGGAACACTTTTACACTGTTGGTGGGACTGTAAACTAGTTCAACCATTGTGGAAGTCAGTGTGGCGATTCCTCAGGGATCTAGAACTAGAAATACCATTTGACCCAGCCATCCCATTACCCAAAGAACTATAAATCATGCTGCTACAAAGACACATGCACACGTATGTTTATTGCGGCATTATTCACAATAGCAAAGACTTGGAACCAACCCAAATGTCCAACAATGATAGACTGGATTAAGAAAATGTGGCACATATACACCATGGAATACTATGCAGCCATAAAAAATGATGAGTTCATGTCCTTTGTAGGGACATGGATGAGATTGGAAATCATCATTCTCAGTAAACTATCGCAAGAACAAAAAACCAAACACCGCATATTCTCACTCATAGGTGGGAATTGAACAATGAGATCACATGGACACAGGAAGGGGAATATCACACTCTGGGGACTGTGGTGGGGTGGGGGTAGGGGGGAGGGATAGCATTGGGAGATATACCTAATGCTAGATGACGAGTTAGTGGGTGCAGTGCACCAGCATGGCACATGTATACATATGTAACTAACCTGCACAATGTGCACATGTACCCTAAAACTTAAAGTATAATTAAAAAAAAAACCAAACAACAACAACAAAAAAAAAAAAAAAAAAGAAAGAGGGAATGTGGGCACGAGATAGGCATGCCTAGAGGGAAAGTGACTTGATGCAGGCAGAGACAGGGCCAAAGGCTCTCCACAGCCACCGGAAGGTGAGGGAGGGGCCAGGAGCAGAGCATTCCTGACAGCCTCCAAAGGAACCCACCCTGCCAACACCTTGCTCTCAAACTTCTGGCACCCAGAACTGTGAGAGGATCCATTTCTGCTGTTTAAGCCACCCCGTCTGGGGTTCTTTGTTAGAGCAGCTCAGGGAAAGGAATCCAGAGGGCTCCAGAGAGGGGCATCTGGCCTTGATAGGCAGGTAAGCAGAGTTCGCCAGCAGAACAGGAGACAGTGCTGGCAGTGACAGAAATAGGCTGGGTGCATTTCAGCAGACAGGGACTCTCTGCTGAAGGAGGAGGAAACTGGGGAGCTCCCACCTTGCTGGGAAGGCTGTGGAACAAAACTTGGCAAAAGGCAGAGACAAAAGAGACCAGACAGGAGGCAGAACAGGAGGAAAGTCTTGTTGAGCACAGTCTGGGCAGACATGCTTTGTGCAGAGGGCCTCCTCATGGTGTGGGGATGGCGGGGAGAGGGGAGGGGGGCAGGGGGTGAGCGCCAGTGATCACAGTTGTCCCTGTACTCACTCCATTCCTGATATGGTTTGGCTGACCATATCAAGATGGTCAAATCCCATCTTGAATTCCCATGTGTCGTGGGGGGGACCCGGTGGGAGGCAACTGAATGATGGAGGCAGGTCTTTCCCCTGCTGTTCTCGTGATAACAATTAAGTCTAATGAGACCTGATGACTGATTATAAAGGGGAGTTTCCCTACACAACCCTCTCTCTTTGCCTGCTGCCACCCACCTAAGATGTGACTTGCTCCTCCTTGCCTTCCGCCATGATTGTGGGGCCTCCCCAGCCATGTGGAACTGTAAGTCCAATAAACCTCTTTTTTTTTTTTTTTTTTTTTGTAAATTTCCCAACCTTGGGTATGTCTTCATCAGCAGTGTGAAAACAAACTAATAGGGTTCCTTTTGCCTTTGGGAAAGAGAGTCTTTTAGCTATTTGGGCACAAGGGTGTGGTATCCAATTGCTTCTGCCCAAATATTACATGGGGCCTACATATACAAATAAAAATATTTGTAGTTTACCTAAAATTTAAATTTAACTGGGCATCCTGGTTTTTGTTTTGTTTTGTTTGTTTCTGATTTTTCTCTCTAAATCTGGGAACCTTAGGTGATATGTCAGGTTGGATTAGTTGTCTCCAAAATGAAAGAGCCCCATGCCCTCACCCCAGTTCCCTCCAAGCAGTGGCCAAAGGTCCTGTTTGGAGGAAACCTTCTGGGTTCAGTGATATAAGGGTGTGTGCTGGCAGAGAAAGTCCAGCCAGCAACTCACCCCATGGCCACAAGAGCAAAGGCTCCCAGTAAGAAGCCATATCCTGAGAATATGGCTGGTCCAGGCCCCTCTGGGGAAGTTACCAAAGACTGAGCTCTCCTCTCCTTGGCCAGGTTATGGCAGGAAGAGGTGAGCTTCTGACCAGGAGGCCATGCAGGAACACTCTGCCCTACCACTCTGTGCTTTTCTGGCAGAGCTTCCACCATGACTGTGTTTGCCAGCAGGAATTGCACGGCCCACCCAGAAAACCACCGTGCACCCCTCCAACGAGCAGCCCAGCCCCACACAGTCCTAGGAGAGGGGCCGCATACAGGCCTTGGGCACATGTCACCAGGAGAGGATGGCGTTTCCTTCTTGCAGAAGGCTGCTGGCCAGTGACTCATGCCTATAAGACAGTGACCAACAAGCCCTCAATTTGCAGACCTCACTTTAGTCCACAGAAGTCTATAAAAACCAGACCCGACCTGCACAGAACACATTTTGAGCCACCTTGTCTGGGAAAAGCCAAGAAATGGGCTGATTCATGCCCTTTGACCACCTCTCTCTCTCCTTGTCCAACAGGCTCTGATTCACACAGACATGTCAGTGCATGACACAGGAGGAAGAGCCCTCAGCAGCCTGGAAACACAAGCTCCTCTCTAGCCATGGCAGGCCTCTGAGAGAGAGGGAGCTGATGAAAATAGGTCTCTCACAATTTATTCACTCATCAATTATTTCTAAGCTCCTACTCTGTGACAGGAGCTGCTCTAAGTACGGGGAATGCAAGAGTGAACAAAACAAATACAAACTCCTGTTCTTATAGACAAGAAACCCTCACTCTTATAGTTAAGAAACCTGGCTCTTATAGACCAGAAACCCTCGCTCTTATAGACCAGAAACCCTCACTCTATAGACAAGAAACCCTCGCTCTATAGACAAGAAACCCTCGCTCTTACAGACCAGAAAACCTTGCTCTTATAGACCAGAAACACTTGCTCTTATAGACCAGAAACCCTCACTCTTATAGACCAGAAACACTCGCTCTTATAGACCAGAAACCCTCGCTCTATAGACAAGAAACCCTTGCTCTTACAGACCAGAAAACCTCGCTCTTATAGACCAGAAACCCTTGCTCTTAAAGACCAGAAACCCGCGGTCTTATAGACCAGAAACCCTTGCTCTTATAGACCAGAAACCCGCGGTCTTATAGACCAGAAACCCTCACACTTATAGACCAGAAACCCTGGCTCTTATAGACCAGAAACCCTCGCTCTTATAGACCAGAAACCCTCGCTCTTATAGACCAGAAACTCTTGCTCTTATAGACAAGAAACTCTTCTGAATGGCTCCTCTGTGCCAAAAACTGCTTGATGACTAGATCCAGGGTCAAATAAGACCAAGGTCCCTGCCTGCCCTGCATTTATTCATTCATTCACTCATTCATTTTTTCACTCACTCTTTGACTGTTTCTAATCATCTACTGTATGCCAGCAAGTTGCTAGATGGTGCAAAAAAACAAAAAGTAAGATAGACATTAACAGTCTCTGATCAGGGAAAGAGGTGTGTTAAAAAAAAAACTCTGAACAGCAAGATAAATTCCTTAATAGAAGGAAGTATAAAGTGCTTTTAAAATGCATGAGAGAAGAGGCAAACAACCTGGGATGAAAGTATTAGAGAAAACTTTGTCAAGGAGACGGGTTTTCAAGGATGCATAGGTGTTCACCATGCAGAGAAGACATTCACCTGTGCAAAAGCAAAAAAGCTTGAGAGAAAAAGATGTTTCTGGAACAGCCAATCGAATAGAACATGAGACAGGTTAAGAATCAAGATGAGGCTGGGGAGCTAGGTTGGAATTCAGCTTTAAAGAACCTGATACTCATTCTCTAATTCCACAAATATTTATTGAGCACCTACTATGTGCCAGGCATGGAGGATACAGCTCAGAACAAAACAGTGAAAAACTCTGCCTTAAGGGAGCATATTTTTAGCAGGAGAGGCAGAGAAGAAATACAAAATTAGAAGTGAAAGATATGGATGTTAATGAGCAGGAAGGGAAAATAAAACGAGAAAGGGGAAAAGTGATCAGGAAGAGTCTCGCTGAGGAGGTGACCTGAGAAGGTGAGGCAGCAAGTTATGCAGCCACCTGGGGGAAGGTGCTCCACCCAGGGGCATGGTAAGTGCAAGAGGCCTGGGGCAGGAGGCAAAGCCAGGGATCGAAGGGGCTGCAACAGAATAAGCAAAGGGGAGAGCACAGGGGACAAACTCCAAGCGGCAGAGCAAGGACTTTCGCACAGGACTGAGGACAGAGGGAGTCACTGGGTCATGAACAGAAGGGCATGTAGACTGGCATCATTTGGAAGTATAACTCTGGCTGCTGACATGATAGAAGTGGGCAGGAGCAGGGAGAGGCCAAGATGTCAGCCCCCAGCAAAGTCCCTCATGCTGATGCCAGGTATTAAGGAAGGAAGGAAGGAAGGAAGGAGTAAGTGAATGGATAAATGAATAAACAAATAAGTAAATAAATGGATGGATAAATGAATGAAGGTATGGAAGGAAAGATAAATGAATGAGTGGATAGATGAATGGATGAAGAGATGGAGGGAGGGATGAAGAGAGAGGAAAGGATGGAGGGTGAATGGCCGAGTGGATGAACAAATGAATGGTGGGAGGGATGGAGAGGGGTTGGAGGGATGAAAGGGATGGGAGGATGGATGAATGGATGAAGGGATGGACAGATGGATGGGTGGATGAATGAAGGGATGGAGGGAAGGATGAATCGGCAGACGGATGTATGAATGAAGGAATGGATTGAGGGATGAATGAATGAATGGGTAGATGGATGAAGGGATGGAGGGATGGATGGGTGGTTGGATGAAGGGATGAAGGAAGGGATGGAAGAATGGAAGGGTGTATGGATGAAGGGATGGAGGGGGGTTGGAGGGATGAATGGGTGGATAGGAGAATGGATGAAGGGATGGAGGGAGGGATGAACAGATGGATGGGGGGATGGAGGGAAGGATGAATGGGTGGATGGATGAATGAATGAAGAGTGAATGGAGGGATGAATGGATGAATGAGTAGATGGATGAAGGGATGGAGGGAGGAATGGAAAATGGATGGGTGGTTGGATTAATTGATGAAGGGATGGAGGGAAGGATGGAGTGATAAATGGGTGGATGGAGGGAGAGATAAATGAGCAGATGGGCAGATGTATGAATGGATGAAGGAATGGAGGGAAGGATGGAGAGATAAATGGGTGGGTGCATGAAGGGAAGGAGGGAGGTATGGAGGATGAGTGGGTGGATGGATGAATGGACAAAATGATGGAGGGAAGGATGGAGGGATGAATGGGTGAATGGACAAATGGATCAAGGGAGGAAGGGAGGCATGGAAGATGAATAGGTGGATGGATGAATGGATGAAGGAATGGAGGGAAAGACGGAAGGATGAGTGGGGGGATGGATGAATGGGTGAATGAGTGAATGAATGAAGGGATGGAGGGAAGGATGAATGAATGCTGCACAAATGAATGAATGAAGGGTTGGAGGGACGGAAGGACGGAGGGATGAATAAGTGGATGGATGGATGGATGAACAGGAAGCCTCAGAGCACTAGGGGCCAACTGGGGCCTGAGAGGACAGTCTGGGGAGGAAGCTCAGTGTGAAGCTCTGTTTCCTCTATTAGTAATAGTAATAATACGATTGTATTCATTTCCTGTGGCTGTGGTAACAAGTGGCCAGAAACTTAGTGGCTTAAAACAACACACTTTCATTCTCTCACATTTCTGGAGGCCAAAAGTCTGACACAGGTCTCACTAGGCTAAAACTGAGGTGTAAGCAGGCTTGGTTCCTTCAGGAGGCTCCAGGGAGGGTCTGCTTTCCTGACTTTTCCAGCTTCTAGGGGTGCCCACATTCCTTGACTCATGGCCCCATCCATCTTCAAAGTACCTCACTCCAATCACTGCTACCCTTCACCCATCTCCTCTAATCTGACCCTCTTGCCACCACATTCCAAGAACCTTTGTGATGACATTGGGCCCCCTTAGATAATCCAGAATGATCACCTCATCTCAGGACCGTTAACCTAATCGCCTCTGCAAAGTCCCTTTTGCGACGTTAGGTTGCATATTCACAGGCTCCAGGGATTTGCATGTGGCATCCTTGGGGGGCCATTATTCAACCAACCACAGTTTCCACAGCCAGGCTGTGCAAGCTCACTGTGCCACCTGTGGCGTCAGTGAATCCTCCCAGCAGTCCAGGATGGCAGGTGCTATTGTCGCTCCCACTTTCCAGGGATGAAACGGGCTCAGAGAGGGTCAGTTACTTTCCCTGCTCACACAGCTGGAACCCGGAGGAGCAGGGATGCAAAGTGCTGGTTCTCCTGCCCACTCTCTTGCGTGGCCCGGCCTCTCCACACATCCCTGAAACCACTGCTTTAGAACAGCACATCAAATCTGAGAAAGATGCACCCCAGGACCCCGGCCCTGTCACCTCACATGAAAGCAGGTCACCCGCTGGTGAGAACAAAGTGCATTTTGAGCTCTCAGGGGGTGCTCTGAGGAGCCATTTGGGGAGGACAGCTTCTAATTCCCTGGCACTGTGACAACGCCGCCTCATGCAGGGACCGCAGCAGGGTGGCTGGGTGAACCCCCCTGTCATGAGGAAAAGAGCCAGAAGCCCCTTCTGGCACCACGCACGGGAGAAAAGTGCCGGCCCTTCTCCAGAAGATGAGTTCAGCCTTGTTTATTTTCCTTTTTGAGATTGAAAATGCTCAGTTTCTAGTCCCAGCCGGACAGTAGAGATGCTCCTTTAAAAACGAGTAGGAAGTGTGGTCCTGGCAGAGTTAACTGGAGCAATAAAAAATAAATCTTTGTAATTGTTGTGGAGACAGAAAGCAAAACAAACCGGGCTTAAGTACAATGTAAGAAAATGTCAGCGTTGGAGGGGCTGGCCATTAGCATCAGAAATCATTTCTCTCCCCCGAGGAACTGCTGGAGGGAGACCAGCGCGTTTGATTCTCTACATTCCTCCTGGTGGGTTTCTTGGAACGCCAGAGACTACGCTTTTTTCTGTTTCCTGAAAAGGATGGTGGCTTTCAAGATGGTGATGGAGGGACCTTCAGAAATAAGCCTGGGAGAGACGATGGCCAGCTCCCACCCCTCGTGGCCTCCCTCATTATCCACGGAGCCCGGCTCCACGTGGCACACCAGGGCAGGGCCGGGGAGGGTGTGTGCAGACACCACCTGGGTATCTTGGAAATCAGCTAATTCCCTGTTGATGTCATCCAACAGGAGCATCCAGTTCCATGTCTACAACACAGAAATAAACCAGGATCTTTCCAGACTCCAAGGTTGACCTTTGCTTCCAGACATCATAATAACATCCTCCCTCTTTGTGCTACTTGCCACACATGCAGACACACAAATACACACACACAGATGCACACACACAAATACACACACATGCACACACGTGCGCACATGCACACATGTGCACACACACAACTTTATAGTTGTGAGTAGGTGTTCAAAAAGGACCCAGAATTTGCTGGGGACAGTCATTCAAAATAGATGCCCCAACTGGGCGCAGTGGCGCACATCTGTAATCCCAGCACTTTGGAGGCCAAGGCGTGCAGATCACGAGGTCAAGAGATCGAGACCATCCAGAATTGCTTGAACCCGGGAGGTGGAGATTGTAGTGAGCCGACATCACAAGATCGCACCATTGCACTCCAGCCTGGCGACAGAGCGAGATGCCGTCTCAAAAAAAAAAAAAAACATAGATGCCCTGATGGAACCATTAGTTGTGCCCTCTTTCATTCTCAGAAGGTTCCGGAAAGGATGATTGGGTGACTAGTGGCATGAGATAGCCCATTTCCCAGATGAGAAAACTGAGGCTCAGACAGTGAGGTAAGCGGCCCAAGTCACACAGTCGACAGGAGCCACACTGGGATTCACACTCTAGCCCAGGGGAAGCCAGCACTGTTGGTTTTCATCCCAGTCACCTCCCGACAGAGCAGACCGGTGTGGGTTTTACATAGACAGGCCCCCAAGCACTGACACAGCCACGCTGCCGGGGTTTCCAGTGTCTGCCAGGATCATAACAAATCAGACTTCCTATCTGAGGTTCTCTTCTGAACTGGCTTCTCTTCTGAACACTCTGCATGAATTTAAGTCAAGACCCAAAGATCAGCCATTTGCTTGGTAGAAAGACTTGCACTGTTTTCCCAACAGCACCTCCTGTCCGGTAGCGGGAAGCCTCTTCCCGGCAGTCTCGGCTTTAGAATTCTGGGTTTATCTGACAAAGCTTCATGGCGTCCCAGGTCCCAGGGCAGCAAGCAGAGACAAACTCTTTCCTGAGATTTTCCTGGGAGAAGCCAAAAGGGATTTTCGTTTTGCATCCCATCTCCAAATGCGCCCTCCCCGCGATCGTTTTTGCCACCGGTGCCTTTTACACTGGCCTGGCTATGAAGGCACTGAGGGAGATGTCCTGGGCCTCTCCCAGTAAATCAGACATTTGGACATTAAGTGCACGGAGCGGGAGAGCTGACCCTCTCAGCCCTGAGCTCTGAAGAGAGGCCCATTAGCTTGCTGCGGATGACACAGGGTCGGGGATTAGCGGGTTTTACAAACTCCAAACATCGGTAAGGGTGAGACAGGAAGAGCTGCAGCTGCCCGGCTGGGCCGCTTGTATGGACACTGGGGGGGCGCAGGGGGGGGCATGCATGTGCGGGCCACCCCTCCTCCACTCACTAGCTGTGCAGCCGTGGGCAGCAGGTGTCACATCTCGGGAGCCTCTTCTGTATGACAGGGATTTGCATTCATTCCTTCCCTGACAGATGCATCACGCATCCACCACGGGCGGGCCTGGGTCCAGATGCTGGTAGCGGCACTGGGAACAACACGTCCCGGCCCAGCTTTGGCTCTCCAGGGGCTCACATTGCAGTTGCAGAGAAATATAGTCCACAAGGAATGCATGAGACAGTGATATCGCCACAGGGAAATAAAACAAAGTCTGGAACAAGTGGCTAACTCTGCGAGAGATTCTTCTAGCCAGGGGCATTGCCGGCTGGAAGGGAAGCCTTTCACATGTGAGCCGAGATCTGAAACAAAGGAGAATGCGAAGGCAGCAGACACCTGGGGTGCAAAGTGTCCAGTGCAGGGAGTGCTCCATGTGCAAGGGCCCTGGGGAGAAGAAGGGGTAGCTGGTTCCTGGAAATAATGGGTGAGAGGAGCTGGCAGTTTTAGGAGCTGGCCCCGTGGTAAAGGCTGTACAAGCACTCCCTAGTGAGGAGGAGGAAAAGAGGCAGTATTCAGAAAGGGCTGAGGACTGTGCCCAGGATGGGCCCCATGAGCCGAGCTGTGGCCGGTGCTAAGGCAGAGGGGATGCGTAGGGGCTGCAGGATCTGCCGTCGGCCTAGAAGCATGTCACTGCAGAAAGCACCCCACAGGGTGTCAGGGAAAAGCACCTGCAGGCTCCTTCTCACTCCTTCATCAGCCATCGAGCCCCCACAGGACCCAACTGGGAAAGGTCCGTATTCCTTTTTGAAAGAGGAAGCGTGGAATGATTTGCCCAAGGTCACACAGCCAGGAAATAGGAAAATGTGAACATGTGAGAATGCGAAATGTAAAAATGTGAAAATGCCCTTCATTCTTAACAGAAGTCTGTTATTCTTGCCTCTGTGACAGCATCCTCCAAATACACAGACCCCAAAACAAACTGAAAAACAACGGTGAATGGGCATTGAGGGAAGGGCCCCAAAGTGTGGGCAAGTTAGTCTACAGAAAGCGAAAGCAAGATGCTTGTCTCTTTCAAGCAGGTGTTTCTGGTGAGAGTGTGCTAAACATCTTCGTGCAACTGATATTCGAGGGTAATAATCGCCAATAGCAAACATTCCAAGCACTGTGGAGGTGCTTCCCTGCATCATCCCTCATCTTCAGGGATGAATGTCCACTTCACTCCAGGCCTGGAGAGAGTGTGGCCCATCATAGGTAGTGAATTAATGAATGCCCTTCAAAACTGGCATTTCTTCTCATTTTTAATGCAGAAACTGAAGCTCAGAGAGGCTTGAAGAAGGTCCCCCCAAGATCAGATCCCACATCCGATAAACAGCGCTGGGAATCGAACTCAGGTTTGTCCATGCAAAGCAGCATTCTTTTCTTCCATCCCCCAGAGGTTCAGAGTCACCATTCCTTCCAAAGTGGCTCTAAAGAGAAGCAGATGTAAAACGAAGCCAGTGGCTGAAGGGAGAGATCATTATATTATGTCAACAATTATACCCTGACACCCCCTACTTTCCCTCGAGAGGGCTCTTCCTGACTCTAGGAAAACAGGAACAGTATCTTATCCTACCTCCATTCTCTCCTGGCAAAAATAGCTTTCCTCCTCATTTGGGAGACAATGGCTTTTGAACTCATGAAAGGCAATCAAACAGTTCCCAGATTGCACTGGGGACCTCAGGTTTTGTGGAGAGTCATCGCTTGCCATGAAAAGTAGCTCATCCTGAGGAAGCCAGATTCCATACACGTTTTTGTAAGGGAATGGCAGCGGCTTCAACTGCTGTCAACTAGTAGTGCCTGCCTTGAAGTTTCTGAGACTCTGCCCAGACAGTGGAGAGAGAGGGGATTGATTGGTGATGTCTGCCTCTGACATCAGTGGTGGGAGTGGTAGAATATGAGCTGTGAATTTACTATTCCTGGTCTAGACCTTGGGCTAATCAGAGGGAAGAATTCAACATGTGTGAAGTAAACTGGAAGAACTGTGTGTCTAGAGCACCATGACCAGAGTAGCCAGCATTCATTGCACCATTCTAAGAGTTCAGCATATTTAGTCCTTCATCAGCCCCAGGAGGTAGGTCCATGATTAGCCCTTTTTTTTTTTTTTTTTTTTTTTTGAGACAGAGTCTCGCTCTGTTGCCCAGGCTAGAGTCCAGTGGCGTGATCTCAGCTCACTGCAAGCTCCACCTCCCGGGTTCACACCATTCTCCTGCCTCAGCCTCCCGAGTAGCTGGGACTACAGGCAACCGCCACCACGCCTGGCTAATTATTTTGTATTTTTTAGCGGAGACGGGGTTTCACTGTGTTAGCCAGGATGGTCTCCATCTCCTGACCTCGTGATCCACCCGCCTCGGCCTCCCAAAGGGGATTAGTCCATTTTTATAGATAAGAGAACTTAGAAGAAAAGAGGTTGAGTCACTTACTCAGTAAAGGGTAGAGAGAAGCAAGGAGTCTATACCTGTAACCACTTGTCTCCAGGCTTATGGGTGATGGGAGGAAAGGATGCTGGCTCTGAATAGTCAAATCTGGGTTCAATTCCCAGAGCTGCTGTTTATCAGAGAGATAAGTGGTTACAAGCTCTCAAAAGACAATCGGATCCAGCCCCAGATGCAGGTGGATATTAGTGTTTCCATTTTATCATTTGGGGGTTCAGAGAAGAAAAGTGACCTATCAAAGTCACATAGCTTGGAAGAAGAGGAGTCAGGACCCGATGCACGCCTTCTATCTCCTCTCCCTGGCATGCTTCCTGCTGCATGAGATGAGAAGGGGAAACATCCTGTGTGATCAAGGTCAAGCAATCAGAACCAGCCCCAAGAACGAGACAGAAATCGAAGCAATATGACTGTTCTTAAATACAGAGGCTGCTTGCACAGAAGTGCAGGTTTCCAAACCACCCTTCCCTGTGTCCATGAAATTCCAGGCTTCCCAGTTGCTGTTCAAACAGATGCAGATGCCCTGGACCAGCACCAGAGCAGCTGTTTGATGGTATTCCCAGCCCAATTGGAAAAAGAAATTAGCACAAACCTCCAGAGAGAGTCTGTTCTCATGAAATCCACAGCCTGGTTGGGCTGTTTAGAGTGGGAAGGGAAGCTCCGTCTAATTTCACATTCTCTTATCTATTGACTTGTTTGTTTCTGTCTCCAGCCAGTCCCCAGCCCCACAAGGGAGGATCTGGCACATATGGGAACACATCAAACAGTGATCCAATAGAGGACTGAACAAAATCCAGATTACAAGGCCTTTACCTACAGCTCACCACCATGGCCTAAAGACCACTGTTGGGGGTCACTATCAGACCCCTTGCTGGAGGAATACAGCCATGGGCATCTCCTGAGCGCTCTCTTCTGCAACTAGAGGGAATCATCTCTCCATCATGATCCAGGAATCAGCAGTTCCTGGGTGATTTCCTGTTGTTTTCAAGCACTCCCAAAATCTGAGTGTTAGGAACATTTTCTTGACACGTAGCAACCCCAGGAGTTCATTGCTTACCTCCACCACAACACTCACATCCTCAGCAATTACACATCATGCCATTTTCTTTGTCATAGGGCTTTCCTTCAAAGCAGTGCACACAGGTATGAACGCTTCAAACCACACACACGTGTAGGTAAAACGTGAAAATTCCCCATGCTAAAGACCACCATTGCCAAGAAGTGTTCACACCAGCAAATGTACATACACCCCCTGAAAACATTTAAATTCTTATGAACTTAAATTTTTTAATAGGTGAAATATTAGCATTAATAGAGTTGCAATAATCAAAACTCTATGAAAAAAGCATACTCAGAGGCTTTACCCCCTCCTCTATCCCTTCCACGCTTTCCCACTCCCTGTAGGTAATGAGGCCCCTGAATTATTCCTTGTTTATCGTTCCTTCATTTCTTTGCCAGAGGCATATTATCTGCATTTTGCCAAAACATGGTATGACATGCTTTCCGTTTTGTGCTTATGTCTTTTTTTCCTTGTCATTTTACTCATTTTACCTTGGCTATCACTCCACTGCAGTTCATAACACACTGCCTCACTGTTTTTGACAGCTGCATAGTACTCCACTGTATGGAGGTACCATAGGATATCCCATTGGATATCCTAGTTGTGGGCATTTTGGTGCTTTCCAATACTTGGTAATTATAAGTTGTGCTGCAATGAATGACCTGTACACATTTACTTTCCTCTTGTTAAAGCATGCATCCTGTAATCCCAGCAATTTGGGAGGCCAAGGTGGGCGGATCACAAGGTCAGGAGTTTGAGACCAGCCTGGCCAATATGGTGAAACCCTGTCTCTACTAAAAATACAAAAATTAGCCAGGCCTGGTGGCACGTGCCTGCAGTCCCAGCTACTCGGGAGGCTGAGGCAGAAGAATCACTTGAACCCAGGAGGCAGAGGTTGCAGTGAGCCGAGGTCGCGCCATGGCACTCCAGCCTGGTGACAGAGCGAGACTCTGTCTCAAAAAAAAAAAAAAGCATGCACAGACTCTGGGGCTAGACAGCCTTGGCGGCAGTTCTGTCTCTTTAAATCATTAGCCTCTCTGTGCCTTGGTCTCCTCATCTGTAAATGGAGATGATAAACAGTACTCTTTCTTTTGGGTCATGGTGAGGATCGAATGAGCTAACATGTATAAAAATGCTTAGAACAGTGCCTGGCACCTAGGAAATGCTCAGGAAATGTCAGTTGCATGAGTCTGTACCAAACATTGTCAGTGTTCCAGCCATGCTGGTAAATGTTTAACAATGAGCTCTCAAAAAGAAAACCCCGAATTATGGCACTTGCCAATTTCCATGGTGTAAATACTCCCACATGGCTGACATCAAACTAAATTAATGGTTGTCTCCACACATGTAGCTGGGAAGCAATGCTCACACCCCAGAGGGAGCTGGCCCCGAACACCCCCCTGTGCCCTCTTGCCTGACCCGGTTTGGACACCAGCTGCCTGGCGGCCAGTGCTGGGGCGTTTTGTCCGGTGCTGCCCTCAGAAGGCACTCTGCCTGAGAGTACGCAAAGCCAGCAGTGCCTGGGAGTTTACAGCCCCCAGGGGGATCTTGTGGGTACAAATACTGCAACTGTTGGCTCTGATTGGCTGGCTCTGGGATGTGACTTCCTCCCTAGAGGCTGAGCCAAAGGCATCTTCAGCTGACTTTGCTTGAAGCCTCACCTTGGCTTGGCTTCCTGCCTTTTTTCCTCTCAGTTCCTCTTCCACCTGTCTTTGCAGATAACTTTCCTGGTAACTTCCTTTCACACGCAACCTTGTCTCAGGGTCTACTTCTAGGGAACCCACGTAAGGCTGCATCTCTAGATATCTTTTTCCCTTAAATGCCCTGGGGTTTGGGAGAGTTTCCCACTCAATAATACTCAGTAAGCTTTCCCATTAACCCCGCTATAAGCTTTTCTTGGTTTCCTCTGTGTCTGTGCCCCAAGGTGTGTCTGTCGTGGGGGGATGAGTCATGGAGCAAAGTCCTCCCCACTGACTCAGCAATGCCATTTCCTGCCCACAACCTTCTAGAACTCTTGCACTTTGACACAATGGGGACCAGCCCACCCCTGATTCACCAGCTCAGTTTTCTGTCACATCCTGTACTTTCCCTGAGGATTTTTCTGTTCTCCTTCTGACCAGAGTCAACGCCAACCAACCCACAAGCAGCAGAGAACAGAAACGTGGCCAGATGGTCTCCAATACGGATCAAAAACATAAAGAGGCAAACGTGGAGGGGCGGAAGGTCCTTGGCCCTTTTCTCTTGAAATTGAGTTCGCTGTGTTGAAATGTCCATCGTGTCTGCATCCCCTTCCTGGTTTTCCCCAAAGAGGCCGTGGCGGGGGAACAGGTGGCGTTCCATGTGGTGGCAACATGAAGGGATCACTCGCCAGCGAGCATAATCGCTCTGGAAACATTCGGAATACTCATATGTTCTGTACTTTTCCCCTGAGTCAATAAGGTAGAAATGCATCAGGAGAAAGTCAAAGGTTTCTGTCAAAATCCAGACCACAGGGAGAAAATGACGAGTTGATGGGGCTCACCCTGTGATCAATTTCTCCGTGAACCTGACAGGGAAGTCTTCTTAGAGGGCACCTCAGCGTCTGAAGTTGGCTTTCACAATGAGCAGAAGGTGAAAAGCTGCCAAACAACAGCCACTTTCAAAATCCAGTGAAAACAGAACTAAGCCAACAAAGGAATAACAAGGTCCCAGGTTGCAAAACAAAACAAGTTGGGAAAACTTGTCCAAGAGCTGTACTGAACTCTTGCATGGGCGCTGACGTACACAAATCATCCTCATCACCTCTGAAACGAGGCAGCTCTAAATTACTTCTTGAATTCCATATGGTTAATCTGCAGGCACAGGAACATGCTTTAGGGTGAAATTTAGTTGTTGTTGTTTTCACTGGGCTTGCAATAACATATTGTAAATGACTAAGGCTAGATGACACTTTCACACCAGTCTTGAAATCATCCCAGTGATCTTGACCCAATGCCAGATGAGGATCTTGGTGCAGATAAAGCGACTGTGCTTCTTCTTCCTGCAGAATTAACATTAACAATCCTGCACATTAACAATCTAGAACTATGTTAGCCAGGGTATTTGAGGCAGAATTCTGAACTGAAATTGGTCGTCTCCTAGCACAATGATTTTTAAATACAAAACAAGCAAACACACAAAAAGAAAAAAAGAAACAACAAGAAATTTTAAAATGTCGTATCTATCTTATGAAAGCCAAAATGAAAGATTGGCAACCTTTCCTGAATATGGGCATTGTCCACATCTAATCTAGATGATGTGGGTCCAGTTTTCTCTTTCTTCAATCATCTGATGTTTTTACATTCAAATTGGTAGGAAAAGGATGCTTTCCAGTTTAATTTTCTTTAAAATAATTTCGCAGATTTCTGAATCCATATGCAATTTTTAAGAGCACAGACTTTGGACTCAAAAATGAGTTTAAATTCTCAGTCTGCCACTTACAAGATGAGTAAGGTGAAAAACCCCTTCACCTCTGTAAGCCTCAGGTGAGTATCTTATAAGGTTGCTGGAGAGGTTACGAGACACAAGGCATAGAAAAGGGCTTCCTGTGTTATAGTCTGCCCATAGAGCAAGCACGTCTTTCTTTCTTTCTTTTCTTTCTTTCTTTTCTTCCTTCTTTCTTTTTTTTTTTTTTCATTGAGATAGGGCCTCACTCTGTCACCCAGGCTGCAGTGGAATGGTGCCATCTCGGCTCACTGCAACCTCCACCTCCTGGGTTCAAGCCATTCTCATGCCTGCCTTCTGAGTAGCTAGGATTACAGGCACCTGCCACCATGCCTGGCTAAGGTTTGTATTTTTAGCAGAGATGGGGTTTCAACATGTTGACCAGGCTGGCCTTGAACTCCTGACCTCAGGTGATCTGCCCACCTCAGCCTCCCAAACTGCTGGGGTGACAGGTGTGAGCCAACGTGCCTGGCCCAATTATGATTATTTCTGTTTTCTTAGTTTGTCCCTTACTTGAAACAGATTAGTTATTTACAACATGGAGTTTGTGTCTCTGTAACTTTGTAATCATGCAAAATAATTGTACATGATCCACATATACACACACACACCACACACACACACATATCCTTAGAAGAATAATTTTCTCCAAATTGAACTGTAAGGGTCTGTGTGATTTGGGCAGAGATAGTCGCTGCTGCTTTCCCAGCTAATAAAGTTGTCCGAATCTGTTTACTCTCAAATTTATAGAAAGAGCTTCATTAGCAGCCTCCACGGATGACACAGCCACCACATGGCACGCAGAGTTAGTCTGAGGATAAATCTTGGTTTGCCCAGTTTTGCAGAGTGATTCGTTTTTAATGAATTATGCACACAGATCATAGGCTCTGCTCAAAGCCTCATTTACTCTGGAAATTCCTGAAATTACTATTCATTTTGCTGAGTTCTTTTTTTACCCTCTTGAAAGCTCACAAAAACCCTCTGAAAAAGAAAAGCATCAGCATACATATTGTTGTAGATTAGAAAACACAAATGATTTGATAGAAAGCAGGTTTGGGGTGAAATAATCATAATAGTGAATCAGCTCTCTGACTTTTTTTGATGCTATGGAAACCCTGGCAGTGAAGAAACTTTGATTAAATAGATTCACAATAGATTCAAGCGTACTCAAGGGCTGGGGTCTTAACATCTCTGGAGTGGCTCACAGTGCTGAGCACATGGCAGACGCCCAATCAATTCGTGCAAACAAATGAACAGAATCAGATTTCCAAGGAGTTCTTCAGGAAGTCAAGTAATGCATTGACCCTTTCCTTCAGCATTACATCCACGGAGCCTGCCTGTCTAAATGATTCAGATCCGCTCTGCAACTCTATGCAGGAGAAACACATTTTCCTTTTCTGGTGGATCAGACAACAGCAGGACTTCTGGATTATGTCTTCTGCATAGGTTGCAGCAGGGAAACATAGCATTACGCGTGTAGACAGGGCAGGTTTAATGCTAGGCAACGTTCTTAAGGGAGATCAGAAAAGCAACTAGCATGCCAGGTCTACTGTCCCGGCCCCCAAGGCTCAGCACAGATATTTGGAAAACCAGGAGTTGAGCATTTGACTGGAAAATAAAAACAACATAGACTCGTGCATTTGATCAGTGAACTTGGAGCGCACACCATGGATTAGGCACAGCTGGGCACCGAGGAGACATCACCTGGCTTATAAGTCATCTGTGCCCTCTGGGGACTGACAGTCCAGCTGGGAATGAGGATCAGGAGGTCAGAAATTAAGTAAAGAGCAAAGAAGAATGCAACATGAGTAAACGCAAAAATAAAAAATAAAAACAAACAAAACAAGTTGGCCCTGACCATCAGGCAGTATGGTATGGAGAAGACCACGGGCTTGTGTCTATCAGTCAGACCTGCTTTGAGTCTTGGCTCCACCATAAACCAGATGAGTTAAGTTTCATACCCTCTCTAAACGGTCGCCTCAGCTATACAACAGGCTCAATGATATTCACCCCACAAGATTGCTATAAGAAGGAAATGGTATGACCTTGGGGCAAGAAGAGGTACCATTGTCCCCACTGTCCACAGATGGTGACATTTGTTCAGGACAACCTGGCCATTAAGGAGGAGAACTCTATGAGAACAAGGTCTGCGTCCCTAGATGGCATTCATACAGGTACTCACGATGCTAAGAGGTATTTCATGAAATAAAGAGTTTGTGGTCAAATAAGTTTGGAAGATGCTAGGGTGAACAAGCTTCTTTACTATAGGACTTCAAGTGTCTTTAACTTACTGTCATATGTTCAAAATATTCATGAGTCAAGAGGTGCTTCGTAAGCAAGAACCATTTCACAAATCTGGCTTACTACTGCACAGAAACATGTTCAGTGAAGGGCCGAGCTGTGTGCCTGCCAAGGCCTGGCACTCCCCTCCCAGCCTCCTTCTATGCCAGGTGTCCTCTTGGAGTCAGGAAATGGTCTTAGCCAACTTCAGAATTTCTCCGTGCTTCATGTGGTGTTTGGTTATTTTAGGTGATCGATTAATCAACAGAGGAATGCTGAAAAGAGTTAAAGAGTTAAGCAGTAAACCACTTAGGCACAGAGGTTTATGGGTGCATAGAGGCAGAACTGGAATAGAATGGGTGCTTGACAAGCAACGATTCCATTCCTTCTTGCACAGGACAGATCCCTACCCCCTGGAGTCAGGTGAGAAAAGAGGCTTAGGGCGGTGGCCGCCCCAAGCCACCTAGCTGAGTCTGCAGGGCAGGTGGCATGCACGAGCTGCCGGATGTAGCACCTGGCGTCCTGTGTGGACCTTCCAAGCAGGAAGAATGTGACTGCTCCTCTGCCTTTCAAATCTTGCACAAAATGTGTCTTGTGGACCACACTAACCTGTAATTATACAGGAGAGGGGACTTGGGGGACATGGTTGCAGCTTAGCTCAAGTGATGCGGGAAGAAGCCCTACTGGCCTTCTGGAAGTTCTTCAGGCACATGGGCAGGACACTACCACCCTCCCCAAGCTGTGTACTTTCGTGTGAATCAGAAAATAGTGCCCTGTCTGGTGGAAGTGGCATGGCAAGCAGCAGGGGGGTTGGAGTCTAGCTTCTGCCTTCACCAGGCATCCTAGGATGGTGCACAGGCTGTTCAGCATACGTGTAGCCCAGAATTTAAGCTGTGGTCACTAGGCTCATGTGCTTCTTTAAAAGCAAATTCCTCTCAATAATCCACCAGTCGTGACATACAAGTAAGAACTGACAGTCCAGCAAAAGAGCCAGAGATTATGCCTGCATTGAATCTGAATTGGAAAGGAAACTCAAGTCTGTAGTTTCAGGTGTAGAAGCTTTTATACCCAACTGTCATTTCCACAGAAGAGGGAGAGCAGAATTCTTTCCAGACACAAGAAACAATACAATGCAATAGAAAAGATGCCCTTGCCACATGCCAGCCTTCAAACGGCAGGGAAGGACAAAAATACACTTCAACTACAGACTCAGGCTGAGTTCCAATGATGTCTTTAATTTAGGAAGGGAGACTCCGTGAGACTGCCTTACCCTGGCATTCATGGACCATGACCCCAGCACCCACTTCAAAAATAAAATAAGTAGATGGATGGATGGATGGATGGATGGACGGATGGATGGACTAATGAATGGATGGATGGAAGGATGGATGGACGAATGGATGGATGGATGGATGGATGGATGGATGGATGGATGGATGGATGGGTGGGTGGGTGGATGAATGGATGGATGGATGGATGGGTATATAGATGGATAGACAGACGGATGGATAGGTAGACAGACAGATAGATAGAGATTGGTATGTTG
This sequence comes from Homo sapiens, assembly GCF_000001405.40. Classification (NCBI taxonomy): domain Eukaryota; kingdom Metazoa; phylum Chordata; class Mammalia; order Primates; family Hominidae; genus Homo; species Homo sapiens. Next base: position 86,659,392 of record NC_000016.10, on the reverse strand, counting down.
CATGCATTTTTCAGAAGATAGTGTTCACGGTTTTCATTACATTCTCAGATGAGTCGCTTACTCTGCTTTCAATGTAATAATGGCCAATAAAAGTGGGTAAACATGGCAGAATACTAGTAGAATGGCTGAACCTGCATGTGCAGGTCATAGTCGATGCCCTGGGAAGTGGCTGGATGTCCTCTGCCTCTTGGCTCCTCCTCTCCCTCGAGCTCCAGTTTCTCACTTTTCCTAGAAGGGACAGGACTTCCTGACCTATGGCTTTGAGATAGGGCACAAGAACTAGCTCCAGAGGAAAACATGAGATTAACCCCAGAAGGATAGCCCAGGGTGGCCCCTTTATTGGGCCATTCAGAGCCCTCCCACCCCACCCAGACTTCTTCTGCTCCTCGGTGGCAGACATTTCTGGCTAAAGTCACTCAAGACAAGATGCTGAAGATGTCTTCCTGCCACAGCCTCCACCTGCTGTTTCCCAACAGAGCAGCAGGGGTGGCTACAGGCTGGACCAGAGTTCTACCCAAGATCATCACATGGCTTCCCAATAGGAGAAAGGAAACAAGTGCTACTGCCCACATTGTGAAGGGTGGATGTCCCCTGTGGCCCATCCAGCCCCACCGTGCTCAACCTCAACTGCACCAGGCTCCTTCCTGCCTCAGCCCAGTGTTCTTCACCTGGCTCTTCCAGGGAAGCGTCCTCTGCTTTCCTTAACCGCCCCCCTTGACAGGCCTCATACTTCCCTTGATTCCCTGGCATTGATCTGACCACATTGAGAAGGGAGGTGACTTGATTGGTGCTCGGCTCCTTTGCTGGACCAGAAGCATCTGTGGCAGAGACTGGCTGACAGGCTTACTGCAGGCTCCCAGCCCCGGCCTTCACACAGTAGGTGCTAAATACACCCGTGCTAGGTGGGCAGGTAGAAAGATGAAGGCGGGAGGGAGGAAGGGACGAATAAACAGATAAGGCACTTGGCATGGTGTGCAGCACATAGAGGGAACTCAGAGAATGCCAGCTCTAGTAGTGAAAAATGGTCCTTCCTGTGGGTCTCCAGCCGCTAAGAGGAAGAGCCAGCACTCGAGCCCACCCATCTTCTGTCCCAGGCTGTTTTGTTTACCTGTTTACCATGTGCCTAGAAATAGCACCTGGCACACGGTACGTGTTCAGTAAACCTCACAGATTAGAATAAATCCAGTGTCCCTGGCTCTGCAGTCACACTAAGTACTGGAACACGTACTGTTTGTTCATAAACTGGGAGGCAAGGCAGGTTTCTGGTGAGCATCCAAGTGAGCTCTACTTCAGTTAGCATTGCTCAGTGTGCTCCACTGGCAAGGGAAGGCCCCGGGACCCTTTCAATGGGTCTGAGAGGTCAAAACTGTATTCACAATGATACTAAAGCATGATTCACCTTCTTTACAGTGGTGGTCTTTACACTGCTGGTGCTTTGAGAGGAAGAAGGGCAGTGACACCAACCGGACTACGGTCAGGGTATTCTTCCCTGCCACGAACTCACATTAAAGATTTAAAACCCACTGGCCAAGGTGGCTCATCACTGTAATCCCAGCACTTTGGGAAGCCAAGGTAGGGGGATTACTTGAAGCCAGGAGTTTGAGACCAGTCTGGGCAACACAGCAAGAGCCTATCTCTACAAAAAATTTAAAAAATTAGCCAAGTGTGGTGGGGTACCCCTGTAGTCCCAGCTACTTGGGAAGCTGCAGTGGGAGGATTCAGTGAGCCCAGGAGGTTAAGGTTTCAGTGTGCGGTGATTGTGCCGCTGCACTCCAGCCTAGGTGACAGAGCGAGACCCTGTCTAAAAATAAATAAATAAAAAATAAATAAAATAAAAATTGAAATCCCAGTTTCACTAAACAATGTCTTTGATAAGGAATAAGCAGGCCAGGCATGGTGGCTCACCTCTATAATCCCAGCACTTTGGGAGGCCGAGGCAGGTGGATCTCTTAAGCCCAGGAGTTCGAGACCAGCCTGGGCAACATGGGGGGCCCTGTCCTTACTAATAATGCAAAAAAAAAAAAAAAAAAAAATAGAGGGTGTGGTGGTGTGCACCTGTGTTTTCAGCTACTCAGGAGGCTGAGGTGGGAGAATCACCCGAGCCCAGGAGGCTGAGGCTGCAGTGAGCTGTGACTGCACCACTGCACTCCAGCTTGGGTGACAGAGGAAGACTCTGTCTCAAACAAAGTCTTTCTTTATAAGACTGTTTATTATTTATCAACAGTGTTAGTTTTATTCAATCATCCTTGGGTATATGTCTTTTTCATAGTCTATGTGATAAACGGAAAGCTCATATGACACTTTGGCTGTGTGCTGAAGCACAGTGGCTGCGTCAAGGAAAAGTCATTGTGAAGTTGTCTGAGTCCTAGACTCAACAAGCCTTTTTTAAAAAAAGAACGGAACATCATTTTTACTTGCAACAACACTCGACAGACAAATCATGGTTATTCAGGCTTAGGTAGGTGGCAGACACTTTCTCGAAAATGAACAAAGTGAGCCTGTCACTTTCAAGGAAAACAATAGACAACTGGTTGCCAATGATAAAATTTGAACATTCAAGTAAAAATGAGAATGTTAAAAAACGTGTATTTGCCATGGCAAGCTTAACAGATTCCCAGTTCTCAAAGACTTTTCCAGTGAGATTAGTGGCAATAATTCATGAATGTGATTTTTAAAATATTGTATTGTCAAATATGCCAACATTTGTAGGACTTTAATAGCTAAGCAAACCAATATTTTCCAGATGACCAGCGCATGATGTGACAAAACCATCCTCTGGTAAAAGATCCATTTAGAGTGCAGATGGGCCAGCGAATTCTAATGAAAGAGAAGATGAAGTGTTCATTGATGTGGTTTCAGATTTCCACATTGCCGCTCACCTTTAAGAAACTGCCACTTGTTGAGTTTTGGTCTAGTATCAAGAAGAACAGCCACAATTATCTGGAAAAGTCTATCACAATACTCATCCCTTTGCCAATTACATATCTGCATGAGCTTGATTTTCTTCATGTACATCAATCAAAATCTATTGCAACAGACTGAAGTCAGAGGCAAGTACGGAAATTCAGCCCTCCTAAAAGCACATCTACCATTCAATCCAGCAATCCCACTACTGGGTATCCACCCAAAGGAAAATAAGTCATTATATGAAAAGGATACCTGCACACATATGTTTATAGCAGCACAATTCACAATTGCAAGCATGTGAAACCAACCTAAGTGCCCACTGACTAATCAGTGGATAAAGAAACTGTGGTATATGTACACCGTGGAATACTACTCAGCCACTAAAAGGAACCAAAGGCCACGTGAGGTGGCTCAGGTCTGTAATCCCAGCACTTTGGAAGGCTGAGGCGGGTGGATCACCTGAGGTCAGGAGTTCAAGACCAGCCTGGCCACATGGTGATACCCAGTGTCTACCAAAAATACAAAAAATTAGCTGGGTGTGGTGGCGGGTGCCTGTAATCCCAGCTACTCAGGAGGCTGAGGCAGGAGAATCACTTGAACCTGGGAGGGGGAGGTTGCAGTGAGCCGAGATCACACCATTGCACTCCAGCCTGGGCAACAGGAGCGAAACTCCATCTCAAAAAATAAATAAATAAATAAATAAATAAATAAATAAATAAATAAGAGGAACGAAATAATGTCTTTTGCGGCAACTTACATGGAGGATGGAGCTGGAGGCCATTATTCTAAGTGAAGTAATTCAGGAGTAGAAAACCAAGACCAATGTGTTCTCACTTATAAAGAGAGCTGAACTATGAGTATGCAAAGGCATATAGAGCGATATAATGGACTTTGGAGGCTCAGAAGTGAGAGAGCAGGAGGCAGGCTAGGGATAAAAAGACTGCACATTAAATACGATGTACACGGCTTGGGTGACTGGTGCAGTAAATCCTCAGAATTCATCCCTGTATAATACATTTGTGTAATGAAAAACCGTACCCCAAAAGCTGTTGAAAAGATTTTTTTTAATTAAGCTATTCTCTATTAAACCTGACATTAAAGAGATTTGCAAAAATGTAAAATAATATTACTCTTCTCACTGATTTTTTTATTTTGGATCATATTTTTCACTTTTAAAAGTATTATTTAGGTTATCAGAGGCCGAGTAAAGGGGCTCACGCCTGGAATCCCAGCGCTTTGGGAGGCCAAGGCAGGCAGATCCCTTCAGGTCAGAAGTTTGAGACCAGCCTGGCTAACATGGTGAAACCCCGTCTCTACCAAAAATACGAAAATTAGCCAGGCATGGTGGCGCGCGCCTGTAGTCTCAGCTACTCTGGAGGCTGAGGCAGGAGAATCGCTTGAACCCATGAGGCGGAGGTTGCAGTGAGCAGAGATTGCGCCATTGCACTCTAACCTGGAGGACAGAGCAAGACTCCATCAAAAAAATAAAAAATAAAAAGGCCGGGCACGGTGGCTCACGCCTGTAATCCCAGCACTTTGGGAGGCTGAGGCAGGTAGATCAAAAGGTCAGGAGTGGCTGGGCGCGGTGGCTCACGCTTGTAATCCCAGCACTTTGGGAGGCCGAGGTGGGCAGATCACCAGGTCAAGAGATGGAGACCATCCTGGCTAACACGGTGAAGCCCCGTCTCTACTAAAAATACAAAAAATTAGCCGGGCGTGGTGGCAGGCATCTGTAATCCCAGCCACCTGGGAGGCTGAGGCAGAAGAATCGCTTGAACCCGGGCGGCAGAGGTTGCAGTGAGCCAAGATTGCGCCACTGCACTCCAGCCTGGGCAAAAAGAGCAAAACTGTCTCAGAAAAAAAAAAAGAAAAAGTCAGGAGTTTGAGACCAGCCTGGCCAATATGGTGAAACCCCGTCTCTACTAAAAATACAAACATTAGCCGAGCGTGGTGGTGGGCGCCTGTACTCCCAGCTACTCGGGAGGCTGAGGCAGGAGAATCGCTTGAACCCCAGGGGCAGAGGTTGCAGTGAGCCGAGATTGTGCCATTGCACTCCAGCCTGGGTGAAAGTGCAAAATTCCGTCTCAAAAAACAAAACAAAAAAAGACACAAAAGGTTATGAGTTTACTGTTGTTTTCAATTAAATTAAAAGTTCTGAAAGTTTCAACCAGTGAATATCAATAGATATAACCCACATAGGGAAAAGCTCCTAATAATTAAGATTGTAAAAGAGTTTTGAGGCCAAAACATTTGTGAATTGCAGCTCTACATACTTCCCGAAATGTTCCCCCAAACCAAACACCAGGGAATGTCTTCCAAGGCAACTAGAGAAATGTAGATGCGTGATCAGGTGGCCTTGGAGTCCCTGGGAATTTGAAGACCTTCTGTGGGACTATTCCTGCTGCTTTAAGGCTTTCGAGTTCCAGGGTGTTTCACAGCCATATTGAAATTATTGCAGAGAATTTTAGAATTATGAGAAGGGACAAGGCAAAATTTGCCCATTATTCAGAAAGGAAAAAAACCGAGGTAGGAAATTGAGACCCTGCCAAAGAACCAATCTGAGCACCTCCACCCTGTCGTGGGACCAGGAGGAAACCAGCAGGGCCAAGCTTCCCAGGAGCTGCTGCAGCCGGGAAGATGGGGCAAGACCCGGCTTTTCTCATGACACATCCACAGTTTGGCCTGTGGTCTCAGCTGGAATCATCATGGGAATAGCTTGTAGTATTCTGGCCCCTGTTCATTTCCGTCACCACTAAAACCAGGAATTATCCAAGTGGGTGGAATAAGAAAATTAGGGCAATTTAAGAAACACGAAATTAGAGAGAAACAATAGGCCAGTCACCTCCTACTTGTTTCTCTCCAAATTTGTTTCAAACGTTGTGTTGCTCATCGGGAGGGATCAATGCCCAGGCTGGAAATGCGGGGATGATTTAAAGTGGCAGGCGGGGCCCCCACACTGCAGCCTGCAAGACTCCAGGCTCCCTGAACTACCCCGGTGATGGTCCATGCTCAATTTCCCACACACAGCACTGAAAAATGATTCCCAACACTCGACCGCAAGGGGCTTTTTATCTTAGCTGTCAGCCTGAAATACATTCAGAACTCAAGGCAATTATGGAAGCATTTGGGTCTCCTGAACTTTTCTCTGCTGGGTTTCTCTCCCAAATAAAATGAAATGAAGCTTAGTTCTTTGGGGATTAATATAAACAAAGATCATGCAGGCATCTAATGAACGCTGGTGGGGACAGCAAGTCCATTAAGGAACCACTGCCTTTGCGTTCAGCACAAGCGCATCAGGCATGTGGCAGAGCAGGGGCATGTGCAGAGGGGCCTGCCATGAATAAGGTTAATTCTTCTAATTAGAGCCCAGGAAAATGTTGTTTCAGCTCCCCCCATCCCACCCCGTCAGCCGACATCTCGCAGGTCCTGAATAGTATCAAATGCAAATATCCTTTTTTTTCAAATGAGGTGGTCAGAGGGTCTGGAGGGAAGAAGGGGATTTTTGAAGTAGGCACTAAGTCAACAGACCCGTGAGCTGTGGGACAGTAAAATTTCACAGCCAGTCTTTGATCTGGATTTCAGAAAAATGAAGCCATAAATGTAGACTGTTTTATGAACCCAAAAATAAGAAACTCTTTGTCTTTTATCTAAAATGTCTACTGAGAAAAATCAGAAGAATATCTAAACGTCGGGCTCATTATATTTTATTTGCGGCAGGGTAAAAAGAGAGCATGAAAATATTTACCAAGGTTTATTTTAACTCCAAATAATCTTAATGTCATTTTAAAATATATGTATTTTTCAAATAGGTTTCAATGGGCAAATCCATCGACCCAAATGCATAGAAATGAATGCATTTTCTTGCTGTAATTGAAATTTCCCCTCTGAAGCTACCATGGCCTCCGTGAAAGTTTTGTTCTGTTGTCACCTCTGCAGGTGAAAAGCCTCCCTCTTCCCAATGCTACCTGCCAGCTACGCTTCTCGGCAGATGTTTCTGGACTTCAGTGGCCTCATTTGCAAGCTGAGAGGGCTGAACAGATGAACCCTACACTCTTCTGTCTGAAGTTTCTGTGCTCCCAAATGTCTTCATTTTAAAGAGGAGGTGGGGAAGAGATGGAAACTTCTAAACTAAGTGCCTCGCCCAGACAGCTCTCCTCAAAGAAGGGGAGCAACCCCAACCCCTCCCCAGCAGTGAGGGTCCTGAACCCACCCTTGGCCCATCACCCACCCCCAGCCCACAGCAAGGGTCCATCCCTGCCTCCCTTAAGATGGGGAAATGGGTCTCTTGGGCTGCCAGTATGTGAGCCTGCTCTCCCCAGAAGGCATAATCCCTAGTAGGTGAGATTGTTGAGAATAACGCTGGGGGGTCCTCTAGCCCGGAAACCCTGCAAGCTGACATGGGGCCTTCTCAATCCCCGTTCCCACCACACAGAGCTGCATTCCTGGAAAATGACACGGCGCCAAGAGGTTTTTAATAGAAATGACCCTGCTGATCATCCCAGCCACCCTGTGAGTACACACAGAGTATCAGGAAAACCTTGTTTTTCAAATGAAGACACTGAGGCTGGAAGCCACGCAGTGACTTGTCTGGGCTCTGGCCCAGCAGAGCCTCACATGCAAATCTCAGGATCCTAAACACCATTTTCATTGCTTTCTTTCCCCAAAATGTTTGTGGTCTCTTTTGTGTCAGGTAAAGCACTAGTCACTTTCTACAAAGCCTTGCACGTTTTATGTTGGATTATTCTGCTATTTTGGCAAATAATGTGAAAGTGTTTAAGCACTTTTATGTCAAACCTAATTTCCTTTCAACATCATGTGATAATACCAGAAGTTGGCAGGGGAAATTTTGTTGTTTTTCTCTTATTTTTAAGTTAAATATTAATGATAAAAAAGAACCATCAATAAGAGCCCCTTGCAGTCCCTGAGCTCTTCACATCCTGGTGACTATTTTTACTGGGAAGATGCTTTTATTTCTGACTCTGCATGGTAACTGGGATGACATCAATTATTTGTTTGTTACCTCCCAAATTATCAAGGAGCCGATGATCTAATGATGATGATCAATGACACAGGTGATAGATGATGTCACAATCTGAACACCTGCCGGGTGCCACCCAGCACCTTTCCTGCATCGCCTCCCATATCCTCTGAGGACCCAAGATCCACTTTAGTATTTGCCACATAGTAAATGCTCAGAAAATACCAGCGCAGTCACTCTTCTCTGGAGTCCAATCTTCCCTGAACAGGTGCTCCTGCGCCCATTTTATAGGTGAGCAAACCGAGGATAGAAAGTTTACATCACTCCCTCAGGATCCTGCAGCCAGTATTTAAATGCGAGGACATGTTCTTTCTTCTACCTATTGCTTGTGAAGCTAGGAAGGAGATGGGGGTGAGGAAGGAGCAGAGCCCGAGGAAGGTGAAAATACCAGAAGAAAAATGGAAGGTGGAGGCCGGGCACAGTGGCTCACACCTGTAATCCCAGCACTTTGGGGGGCTGAGTCGGGTGGATCGCCTAAGATCAGGAGTTCAAGACCAGCCTGGCTAACTGGGTGAAACCTTGTCTCTACCAAAAATACAAAAATTAGCCAAGTATGGTAGTGCACACCTGTAATTCCAGCTACTGGGGAAGCTGAGGCAGAAGAATTGCTTGAACCTGGTATGTGGAGACTGCAGTGAGCCAAGATTGTGCCATTGCACCCCAGCACTCCAGCCTGGGCAGCAGAGCAAGACCTCATCTCAAAAAAAAAAAAAAAAAAGAAAGAAAGAAGAATGGAAAGTGGAGAACAGGTGGTCTTAACAAGTTGTCCAGAGGAGGAGGAAATGGATAGCCCCAGGGCCCTCGTCCTTGGCACATATGCACATGAACAGACCAAACCTGCCAGGTGGGCTTGAGGTTGGAAGGAGCCACAGGGCTGTGTCTACACTGTCCAGTATGGAAGCACCCAACCACCTGCCACCACGGAACACGTGAAAAGTGTCGAGGTGACTGTGGAACTAAATTTTTCATTTTGCATAATTTTAATTTAAATTTTAAATGATATAATTTTTACATTATTTTCATTCATTTACATTCTAATATCCACAGGTGGCTGCCACATTGCACCACACAGCTGGAGAAGGCTGAGAAGAGGGGGATGGAGAGACCCTCCCCTCCAAGGGAGAGGTGCAAGGGGGGCCTCTCTGCCCTCCAGGGCTCAGTATCAATGGTGGGAGACTGCCTTCATCCCCCAGAACACACTCCTGGGACAGCTGCAAATAGGGAACCCCCAAAGCCCAGCAGCTGTGGGAGGTGAAGGGGCAGCTCGGTTACAGACCAGGCTGCAAAGCATCTGTCTAAAAGGTCAGTGTCCACAAGAAGCACATCATCTGACCACCCAGCAGTTTCCCGGCACCAGCTCCATGTCCAGCCCTGTGTTAGGTCCAGCTGAATCAGCAACTTACTGGGGAAGTCATGTCTCTAAGAAAGGAGCCCTCAGGCCTGCAGAGGCTCTGTTAGCCCCACTGCAGACAGCAGAACCCAGAAAACACTGGTGAGAGCAGCGGCCCCGGGAGAGGATCCTGGAGGACAATCATCCTCACACCCTCGTAGAAGGCAGGCAGGTGTACCAGTCAGGGTCCGGGCAGAAAAGAGGACCAGGTGCAGATCATTCATAGGAAGAGACGGCGAGGAAGAGGCCTTAACAAAGGGGAGGGCAGATTCCAGAACAAACATGAAACATGGGGGAAGAGCGAGAAGCTGACTAGGGTCAAAGGGTCAGAGGAGGAGACAAGGCTGCAGAGGGAGCGGTCAGGGCTGTGGTCCCAGAGAAGCAGGGATCAGGCAGTCAGGAGGTGGCCAGACCAACTGAGGAGCAGGAAACAGATAAGGAAACCAAAGCTCAGAGAGGTTAAGTAACTGGCCCCACATCACTCAGCTAGAAGGAAGTAATAGAGCTGGAATTTGAACCCAGGCTACAAGTTGGGGGTGTCCGCATTGATTTTTGAGTAGGTTTGAGTAGTAGCCTCTCTCTTTCCACCCAGGGGTCTCCTGCGGGGCTTCCCATTGGCTGACGGGAAGAAGCGTGAGGCAGAGTAACCCTGGCAATGAACTTGAGGGATCCACTGAGGGCTTTCTACAATTCCCACAAGATGCTGTTGCCCTTCCCCATCCAAGAGGATGCCAGAGCCCATGTGATGACCTTGTTATCGTTAAGAGGCTTGAAAAAGCAAAACAAGATCGTCCTGTCTCTGGATGCACCTTTGATGCCTCCATTCTATCAGGCAAGCAAGGCCCTGGAAACATCCTTTCTCTCCAGCAGAGGAGCCTGATAGGTTGACAGGGAACCCTGGTCTCTGGACTCCCAGGCTTAATCTGGGCCAACAGAGGAAGGGGTTTCCTGAGAAGTGAGACCCTCCAGAGCCCCTGTGGAAGGCTCCCAGCTTTGGGGGCATTTTTGGTTTCTTAATCTGCATTTAGCTCCACCTCAGAGTGGGGCATGGGGAACCTGATTGGGATTTAGAAGGTGACGAGGCATTCTTACACTAATTGTGCCCCTCGGGATGCATGGAATACTAGGAGACACCATGGCTTTTCACATTCAGGTGCTCGTGTGAACATCACCAACTGCCTCTAAACACAGGTAGCAGCAACATGCAATCTTTTGATGGGAAGCAGTTATTTCTTGATCACTCGAGGGTTTTGAAGGCAGCCAGGCAGCTCAGGGGAAAAGCAGGTTCTACGAGAAGAGAGACATGATATGCTCAGACATTTCTGCATCCTTGTCCTACACACAGTGTGATCCACAGTGGTAAAGGTGAAGAAACTGAGATTCACGAGTGTTTCAGAAAACTGCCTAAGATGTTAGAACTAACAAGTCCTGAAGTTCAAACCCAAGTATGACTGTCAACATGAGGTTCTTTCTACAAACAGCAATTCTGGAAGCTTCCATTTACAGAGTGTTGCCCACAGAAGGGGCCTGGAATACTGGTTGTTCATGGAATCTTCACTACTGCCCCATGAAGTAGAGACAACGATTAAGCCCATTTTACCAATGAGGAAAATGGAAGCACAGAGAGACCTAATAACCTTCCTAAGATCACACAGTGAGACAGGACCCACAGTTGTTCTCTTTCCTCACCTCATCACACTGCAGCCATGACCAACCAAGAGGGCACAATCGTCACTTAAGGCATGAAGAAGCTCTGGTCATAGGCTTGACTTGCAGGTGAGCCACCGATCGGGGTTGCTCAATGTGTCCTGAGCCCAATTCAAGTCAGATTGTGAAACCTTTGCTTCAACAGTCCCAGTGATGGGAAGCTCAATGGGAAGCGAGTCTCTCAGTCAGCTGCCAATGAGTCTTTCCTTCCCTGAATGCACATAGTGGGTATCATATTAAGATGTGAGGGTTACATTCTCTCCCCTTGAATCTGGGCTGGCCCTGTGATATGATGAGCAGAATGTAGTAGAGGTGACACTCCAGAACTTCCAAGCCCAAATCCAAGATTAGCAGTTTCTCCTTCCTTCCCCTTGGGACACAATCACAAGAGAAGCCTGGGCCCCAAGGAGAAGCCACATGGAGGAGAACCAAGGTGTTCCAGTTGACAACTCTAAAAGACCTCCTGCCAACAGCCAGCACCAGCTGCCAGCAGGGGGAATGAGCTGCTTTAGATTGCCAGCCAGCATGGAGACCCCAGGTGACTGCAGCCAGCGACATCATGAAGAGCAGCAGAACCAACCAGCTGAGCCCTGTCACCCCACAGAATCACAAGAATAACAAAACAGTCGGTGGCTTAAGTCATTGATCTCCTAGACATTTTACTGTGCTGCTACCAATAACTACCTTGTGAGGCAGCCTGTGTACCTGGAGACTGTTCCACCTTTAGGTGTTTTTTCCATAAAGCTAAATCCTCATTCTTTCATTTGTCTCCCTGGTTGGAGATCTCCCTCAGGAACCACATAGAACACATGACAGAGAATTAGAAATGAAGGGGTATGAGTTATTAAAGACCAGCTTGTCCATATTGCTAACTATACAGATTAGTGATTGAAGGCCAAACAGATTCTGTGGCATTCTCTGACCTCCCATCCAGGTTGGGTACCCCACTCTGAGCTCCCACAATCCCCTCTGCTTTTCCCACGAAAGCACTTACCACACCACACTACCTCCTAATAACGTGGTAACATCTCTTTCCAGGCAAGAGGCCATAGGCTGGACCAGAAGCTCCCTGAAGGCAGGACCATGTCCATTTTGTAGGCTGCCATATTCTCAAAGCTCATTCTAAATGCATAAATGAATGAATGACTTGCCCGCATCACAGAACATGTGGAATGCCTTCATTCAGTGAACAAGCCTGGGTCAGGAGTCTTCCATGGGCCAGGCACTGATCCAGATCGTCCCCCTAGCACAGGAGATGCTGCCAAGAGAAAAATAGATAACAGTCCTACCTCAGGAACTTCCAGCCAGAAAGGGGAAAGACAAACAGCACAAATAACTAAAATAAGTAAACTATAGAGTGCACCTGCATCAGACAAGAGTAGTGCTATGGAGAAAAACAAATTGAGAAAAGAGGGTAAGCCATGCAAGCAGTTGGTGGGGGTGGTTCTTATGATGAGATGACACCTGGGGAGCCGTGGGTCCTGGTGCATCCGGGGAAGACCCACGGCCAAGGGGAATGGCAACACAAAGACCTGAGACAGGGCCTGCTAGGCCTGTTGGGGAACATCAAGAAGCCCCAGATGGCTGGAACAGAGGGTCAGAGGAGAGGGATCCTAGCCTGTGGCCAGCCAACTGGCTTTTGGAGACAGTTACCACGTTCCTCATAAGACTCTGCTTCTAACCATTCAGCTAGTCTAGTTCCCTTTTCCTTCAATCCCAGCTAGTAAACTCCTCACCGAATTCCAATCACCTGCCTTCCCGGAGAATGCCAGTGGGATTGGGGCTGGAGAGGGGACAGACACCCTGGAGGGCCAGGTCACTTCCTCTAAGAAGAAGACAAAGCTGTGCCCCTCCCAGGGGCAGTCACATCCGAGTCGGAAGCATCTAGATTCAGTTAGCCACAATCTTACAATATTCCTTCATTCTTGGACCCACCAGGACATAGCATGCTGCCTGGAAAGAAGGGACTTGGGGACACAGTGCCTACCGTGAGAGCCACAGGGCTGGGCACACATCTGAACGTTCTGGGATGCTTTCATGCCACTGAGTTCAAAGTCAGTGCCTCCCCGGTGATGCAGCCACCTCTATGGAGCCTTCCCGGCCTGGAGTCACCTGGCTTCCGTTGCCCAACAATCTCCAAAAACCCCTCGCGGGGAGGCCTGTGTCCCGCCTGTGGTCCTGGGCTTTTGTTCTTGTTTATTTATCTGTGTCTGTCTCAACTGTCAGGGCAGCTTGCTTTCTTCCACCCCTTGTCTCACCGTGCCTTGCCTTTGGGTCTTTGCCTTTGGGTTTGTGAATTGTCTTCAGGTGCTCCAGCCCTGCAGGTCCTAACCCACTAGCCAATCATGTAATCAGCATAATGAGCTCACGCCACCTTGGAAAAAAATACAAAAGAGCGGAGTAGAACAGACGAGAGCACACATCACAGGATAAGAAAAGGCACTGCTTTGAAACCTTTGTGTCTGCGCATGTGTGTCAGAGTGCATGTGTGCACACACACACGTGTGTAAGTGTGTCCCTGTGTGTCTTGCACACAGTAGTCCAGGCATATGCTATGATATTGTAATAAAAAGAGCAAAAATATGGTGGCTGAACCAGATGGGATTTTTATTCTCTCTCCTGTGCCAGTCCAGAGGGGGACAGGTGGGCAGGGCTAACAGATGGCTCTGTTCCATGGGCTAATCTAGGCACCAGATCCCTCCTATCTGTCCCTCTTCCCCTGAGTATGACCCTCACCTGCATGGCAGGAGCTGACTCCACCCTCGGGGCTGCCCACAGGAGGGAGATGGAGAGGAAGTGGAAGGCAAGTTCTGTTCTTTTCAAAGGACGTGACCAGATCTGTGGTGCACACACTTCTTTTTGCACCCTATTGGCCAGAAGGCGGTCTCACGTCCATACCTACTGGCAAGAGGTGAAGGCTGGGGAAGGTGGTCTCCCACCTTCCAGACCCTCTAAAACCTAGGAGGTTCTGTTGCTAAATGCAACCAAAGGAGAACGAAAGCCAGTTAGTGTTCTCTGCCACCCCAGATAACCAGATAAAATGACTCCTTACCGGGGTGACATCAGGAAAGTTGAGAAGTCACCGCTTTACGCCACTCTCTGTCTTCCTTTGTGAAAACACCCAGGATCCTCTACCTAGTGGAAAGGGCAAGCTCTGAACTTCAGGAAAGCATGACCACAGTCCTCTTCGGCATTAACTGGTTCCGTTCCATGTACCAGTTAGACACGGGATCTCCTTGTGCCTCAGTCTCCCCTGCAGTAAAATAGGGGCAGGGGACCCAACTCCCAAATCACAGTTCCTGGATGTCTGAAATGAGATTGGGAACGTGAATCCTTTCTGAAATGGGAGTGACGTCTCTGAGAGAAAGACGGGATTCTCCCCTTCCTGCTCTCACTGTACTGTAAATTAACCACATGGACTTGAAGGAGGCCTTCCTTCTGGGTCTCAGCTTTTACTTGTAACACAGAAGAGAGTTAGAGTTGGTGTCTTTAAGGTCTGACATTTGAGCATCATTCTTTCTTGTCCCTACACAGAGTCTTCTCTATCTGGTCCCAAGCTACTGAACTGCAAGTTTAACCCAATGAGCTGGAATATGACGAGAATGTTGTTACCCTGAATACACTTCAGGGGAGACCATGAAATTATCTCTTCAATGACATTTGGTGTTTTAACACGATAAGGCCTGATTTGTGACTGAGTTTGCAGATGGAGAATCACTGAGGAAAAATCTTGGAATATTAAAAAAATAATAACTTGCTCTTTAGGTAACTATGTTGGAGGGGCTCATTTCTAGCATCTAAGCCTCAGATGTTTTTTTTGGGTTTTGTTTTGTTTTGTTTTTTTGAGACGGAATTTTACTCTTGATGCCCAGGCTAGAGTACAATGGCGCGATCTCGGCTCACTGCAACCTCTGCCTCCCAGGTTCAAGAAATTCTCCTGCCTCAGCCTCCCGAGGAGCTGGGATTATAGGTGCCCACCACCACGCCCGGCTAATTTTTGTGTTTTCAGTAGAGACGGGGTTTCGCCATGTTGACCAGGCTAGTCTTGAACTCCTGGCCTCAGGCGATCTGCCCGCCTTGGCCTCCCAAAGTGCTGAGATTACAGGCGTGAGCCACTGCACCCAGCTCAGATGCTGTTTTAAAAGACAGAGATTGCCAAAAGACAGGGGCTGCTTTTTAAGTAGAATGATCACGTGTTAAGAATGCTTCCTTTCCAAACCCTTTCTACCCATCTCCAAGGTCACCCATCAAAGCCAGCCCAAGATCAGTTAAGCAAAGAGCCATCAGAAACCAACATTCTACACAAAGGGCAGTGGGTGGCTTCAGTCTCCGTGCCATATCATTATACCTTGAAATCAAGCTCTTGACATGTTGTGCTTGAAATGTACAACTTTTAGCTAATTAGAAGGCTAAAAAATGCAACTTAATGAATTCAAGACTTGTTTATGCTAACCTGCCAAGGCGTTTGGCAATGAAAAAGTGTGATTTGGTGAACATCTGATTGCAGGCCGTGTGGAATTCCACATGTAGAGAGGCTGGGTTGGATCGGGTTTTTACTCAACTATTGTCTAAAATGTGAACTAATTTCCGACTACCTCATAAGAACTTCTAAGTAGGGTTGACAAAGGATTTATCATAATTATTGCTCTGGCCAGGACCGTGATTATAAGTGATACATGTGTAAACTGTGTTTATAAAATTTCCGAGTCACAATTAAAACATGCTGTATTTTTTCTCCCTTTTCCCTTTGACTTGCCTTAAAACTTTTTCTCCCTCAAATTAATACCTGCCAGTGATTTCCTTTGGACAGAACAGACTCCCAGCACATACTCACACAAATTCTCAAGAAGCTTTTGATCTGCCATTTTTTTCAAACCCACCCTCTGAGAAAGTCGTGCAGCTATCAATACTTTCCATAACCCTTCTTTTCGAAGCCACAAACTGAAAGTAATTTGCAAATGCCATTAGGTGCTTTTTTCTTTTTCTTGTTTAGTGCCAAGCGATGTTAAAACTATAGGGTTTATGGAGGCTATGTCTGAAGAAGAAATGAAATGGTTTTCAAGGGGTGGCAGAAGGAAGATGGGGGAAGAAAAGGAGAATGTGTTGAGAACTGAGATAGAAATATCACCAAAAAATGTGCGTACGTTTAACATTCATCTACTAGAGCAAACTTAGTCATTCAAGGTTTCCATATATGTTATTCAAATCTTCAACATATGTGTTAATTTTGTCTATTTGACCTATCAATGTTTAAAGATATGCTAAAATCTCTAACTAGTGAAGATTTGATTTACCTGTTTCTTCCCATTGTACTGTCTATTGTGGATTTATTGGTAAAACCATTATAGAAACATAGATTTTGTAGGCAACGAATAACTTTTTTTAAGGCATAAAAACTATATAAGACAAGAAAGGCCCAGGAATAGATGGTGAAATCCTCAGGGTCAGGCAGCACCTTGATGATCCTGACCCGCCTGAGTTCCCCTTCTGTCAGTGACGGGCAACCATGCTCTGTACCACGGCTCCCTGGCAACAAATCTGATTGGTCCATGTCTGGCCCTGAGCCAAGGGCAGCCAGTCCACTGGGTTCCCATAGCCAATAATGTGCCTCCAGCAGGCAGATGGATAGGCCAATCAGACGACCTCTCTTAAGAATTTGGACTAGGATATGTCCCTGAATGAGGTGTGAGGGGCAGGCACTGCAGCTGCCAGGGATGGTAGAGCAGGATGCGGGAAGCCCCATGGTTCTAAGGGATCTTCCCCTGGACCACAAAGTCCACCAGGGCCAGGATTGCCTTTGCTTAATGTGGGGTTGTCCATTTGAACAAAAGTTCTTTGAAAAGAACTTTGAAGGAAAGAGAGTTTATTCCAGTGAACAGTTTGCAAACCAGGGAGTGGCAGGATCCAGTGTAAGATGAAGGTGTGTTCCAGAGAACAAAGAGAAGGCTCCATTTTATAGCAAACCTTCCTATCCGGGTTCCCAATAAGGTCCCTGTATGCAAATGAAGACTTGAAACTCACTTAGTTCTGATTGGTCAGTGATACTGAGCTTTGATTGGTTGATGCAGCTGAGCTTTGATTGGCCAAAGCAGGTGAGCTCTGATTGGTTGGCTCAGGTAAGCTCTGAAAGTTTCAAAGAAGGTACAGGTCTTCCCAGAATTCACAGTAATATGTCAGCAAATGGCCACTTAGCTCTATTTTAAATGTAGGCCTAATTAGCCACTTGGGAGCCATCTTGAAGGACTGGCTCTTTTGTGTTCATATTTGTTAACATATGATTAGTTTAGATTTTTATGTTAGAAATCCCAAGGGTTTATTTCATTTTATTTTTTGAGACAGAGTCTCGCTCTGTCACCCAGGCTGGAGTGCACTGGTGTGACCTCTGCTCACGGCCACCTCTGCCTCCCGGGTTCAAGTGATTCTTGTGCCTCTGCCCTACCTGAGTAGCTGGGATTACAAGTGGCCGCCACCACACCCGGCTAACTTTTGTATTTTTAGAAGAGATGGGGTTTCGCCATGTTGGCCAGGCTGGTCTCGAACTTGTGGCTTCAAGTGATCTGCCCACCTCAGCCTCCCACAGTGCCCAAGAGTATTTAAAAGCCAAAGCTACAAGGAAGGAAAACATCCAGCAAAGAAAAGATACTCACAGCGATAGACTACAGGACAACAGAAACACAGGAAGCCACCGGAGGCCCTAAGTCCCAGCACCCTAGGCCCAGAGACAGACCCAGAGCAATGAGGCCCCAAAGCGGGCTCTGGCTTCTCCATCCTGGAACCTTCCAGGTCATAGGCAGCCATACAGGAAACCCCTTTCCGGGATGTGTTCCCAGCGGGCCCCTGCTCCCTATACCTGCGAACCAAACCTACTCAGAAATCAATGCAGAGACCTCGACTTTCAGCCTGGGTTCGAATTCCAGCTCCATTACTTCTAGCTAAGTGATGTTGGACAAGTTACGTAACCTCTCTGAGCTTTGCTTTCCTTACCTGTAAAATGCAGATACCAGCAGTGCCAATTTCATAGGTCGCTGTAGGCATTATGTGGAAATCCACAAAAAGCCCTCTTCATAGCAGCTGGCACTTAATAAACACGTGACTGTTAGCTATTATGGTTGCTTTTTCTTTATTAGATTTTGCTGTGGATAAGAATGCAGCTAGAGCAGAATGGCCCATTGGTTTCACGTGTGAATTTCTGAACCAAATCAGCTGGGCCCAAGTCTTTGCAACTGAGTTCGCTGTGAAACCTTCAGCAAAGTAAACTCTGTGGGCCTCAGTTTCTTTAAGCATCGAACAGGGATGACAGTCACACTTAACTCACGGGGCTGTTGTTAAAATTAATGAATTAATATTTGTGAAACACTTATCCAATGCCTAGCACAAGGTTTATGCTGAGTAAGTATTGTTACAATTGTGTCCGCTTGTTCTCTTCAGAAAACACCAGAAGGCTGGGTAGAATATCTCTGAGGCTCCGATCTGTCAATGGTGCTCTCATGGGAGCTCCCTGAGGCCAGCAACCACACCTTCTGCTCTTCTACACCCAGGCACCTAGCCCCAAGCTGGCCCAAGACAGGGGCTCAGGAGAGACGTGCTGACAGACTGGTGGTACATGTCCCCCAGGGTCTGGTAATGCTACGCTTCTCCTGGGCCTGGGCCACGGTTGCTAGAGAATGGACTAGCCATCCATCACGCCTGTCATCGATGGCTGAGGCTCTGGGAGGGGCGGGGAGCTCGTACTGGAGCATCTCGTGGGTGAGCAGGGTTGTCTTTGCTCACTGGATGCCTCAGACGGCAGCATCAAAGCCTCTGAGCTCCAGCATGTCCAGTCCTCCATCGCTGGGGACTTCATGCAACAGGACAAGTCTGACCTTTCCTCCCAACCCCCTGCTGTCTGGGCTGATTCTGAGAATAGAAAGAACAGAGTGTGACCCTCTGGGACCCTAGCTGAGAGTGTCCATCCTGACCCATTGGCACTGGCCCCTGCTTCTGCCAGAAAAACAAGGAAAGCAGATGTCGGCAGAATACCAAGGTTTAAATGGTGGCGGGTGATGCCCTCAAAGGTGAAATAACCAGAAAGGACCGTGTCCATTGTGACTGTCCTGCTCCCCGTTGGTTGGAGTTGTGATTGTCCACTCCTTTCTGAGGGCACTTGGGAAGAGTCCAGAGAACCACAAGTATAAAAGGGAGTTTAAATGGGCAGAGATTTCACTGGAGCCCACCCAGGTGCCCTTGGCCCACCAGGAGGTTACCGACAGACATTGCCATGCCAGCAGCTTCCAGCATTTCTTTAGCTGAAGACATTCTCTAACCACAAGACTGTCCTTAGACCATGCATAGGTCAAGTCTGAAGGGCCAAAAAGCCAGCACGTCCAGGAACAGCCCCAACCGATGGGGAACAGGAGTGGCAGGATGTGTCACCAGTTTCTGGGCCAGCTTCTGGGTGGACGATCCTGAGGCGTGTCTGCTCCATCTTATAGAGAGTTGTACTGGGATTGGCCTTCAGAACCTGCACGGGTAACATATTCACGAAGGCACCCTTGGTTGCCTGTCCCCTTCCTGATCTCACTCCCTGGCCCCTCACCTCCCAAGAAACCACCTGTGCCAGGTCCTCGTCCCAGGCTTTGCTTCTGAGGAAGCCCAGACTAAAACCAGGGCTGAACCTGTAGCCGTAGAGCACAGGCTGTGGACCACGAGTTCTGATTTCAGGCTTCCCCGTGGCCTCGGGTAATGGATCTGCTTCACTGCTCCATTCTTCATTCGTCACACGACAATCATAAGGGGACATCCCTGCTGGTGTTGATCTCAGGCTTGTCTCCATGTGGAGGAAGGGCTCAGCGCACATGTCCTCTGGGACCAAGCAGGACGTGCAGAGCCACAGCTGCTATTTGCACTTCGGCTCGTTTCTTCACCAGTTGAAGACTCAGTTTCCACATCATTAAAATTGGGAGAATAAATAGTGACAAGTGCCAGTAGGACACTTGCCCAGAGCCTGGAATACGAGGAATTCGATAAATACTGACTATCTTAGAATGCTTATGGATAGTAATAGCAATCGTTGTATCACCCACAGCTGCTTTACGGCAGGGCCCCACGATGTGGATTGAATCACAGTGAAGAGAAGCCACTCGGACCACGTTTGAGTCAGGAGGGGCAGTTGTGAGGTTGGGGGCAGGGGGCTGAGTCAGTCACTGAAGTAATATCCCCATGGAATTGTGCTCTGGTGACACAATTCCATATCAGAATCCTCCCTCACCCTCAACAAAGGAACACGCTGCAGGGGCCGGGGAGGGGACGTTGCTAAGACAGAAACTGCTAAAATCACACCCAATGTGCTAGAGATCACAATATGCATCTTCCAATTCACTTTAATATTCTGCTTTTTCTTCCAACTGTTCCGCCTCAGTGGTGCTGAGATGCCACAGCCACCGCGTTGTCCATGGGTGAACCATTCATGTCATCCCCATGAGGGCAGTGTCGTGTGGACCAGAGGGTGAGCCTGCTGCTTTACCAACATCATGTGGGCGAATCCCAGCCAGCAGGCGAGGGGCGTTTGCAGGGGCATCATACAGATATGGAAACAAAGACTCAGACACATAACTGCCCTCGCCCAAGGCCCAAGGCCACACAGGAGCAGAGCCAGGGCTCAAATCCAGTCTGTCTGACTCCATCGCTCTACACCCGTTGCATTGTCTTTACCTTTCTTCTAAATAAACCTCATTAAACCTTCAACCTCATTAAACCTTCAAAGTTAGGCTCTGCCCCCTCCAGGCAGCTGCTCTCAGGGAGGCAAAGAGACCTAGCCCTGACTCCCGTGACTGTCTAGTGGGAAAAACACCCAAGCATCCACCATGAGACTCCTCAGCTCTTCAGCATCCCGGCTTTGAAGAGAACTCTTAGTCATCCTTCAAAATCCAACCCAATTAGCCCCTCTTTTATGTAGCCTCCCATGACCCTTTCAAATACTGCCTGGTTTCCAAACTCACTGCACTTTCTTCACCTAAAGCATGTCCATGTCCTGGGAGTTTTCATTCTGCTTCAACACCTCCTCCATCTGTCAATCCATTATCATGTACTGAACACCTAACTGGCCTTTTGCTGGGTATGGCAGGGGACAGAACACCCACTATCCAGGCCCTGCCCTTGAGGAGCTCACCACTTAAGTAAGGAGATCAGACACACATGTATTTTGTACAGTGCATAGAAATAGCCAGCAACTCTCCCTCTCTTTTTTCACCTGAACAGCTCCTGGTCATTCTGCAGACACAACTTTGAGATCACTGATTCCCAGCAGCCTCCCCTGACCCCCAGGAAGAAGTGTCCCTTCTCCATGGCCCCGTATCACTTTATCTCTTCCCTGCCTGTTTCTCTCCTCCACAGTCCCCACCCTTCCACCCCCAGATTCTGCTAAGCTCCTCCGGACAGGTGCTGTGACATTTTTAAGATTCTGTGGGATGCAAATTGGAGAAACCAAACAAGCTGGCTTAAAGATAAAAGGGGGAAGTTATCAGAAAGGTCTGGTGGTGTCTTATGGAACCTGGAGTCACAGGGTGCAGGGAATCAGAATTAGCAGCTAGAAGGAGTTAGGAAAGCCAGGCTGCATTCTCTCCAAACCTTGTGTCTCTGTCTTTTCAGTGTTTTCCTTCTCTCTCTCTCTCTCTCTCTCTCCCTCCCCAGAGCTCATGGTCCCAGTGGCAGGACGTCCGTTATGCAGGTCCAGCAGTATGGAGTTGCTCCTGCTCCTGCCCCTCCACATCCCCAGGGAACAGATGCTTCTGGCAGGTTGGTGTTGGATGAACATGAAGTCCTGGCCCAGCAAACCATGAAGCTGAGCTGAGGTGAGCCTGGCAAAGCCCAGAAGCTGTACGTGTTCCCTGGCTCCTCTTTTCCATGCATTTGCTTGGGCAGCGACTCTTTGGAGTCACTGTCACTCCTCAGTGTCCCCATTAGTGCAGGGGCTATGGCCAAGTTGCTCAGAGCTTCCTGGGTTGTGTCTGTGAAGAGCCTGCTGCCTGTCGGGTGTTGGTCCCAGAGGTCTGAGCTGGGGTGGGTGGGGTCCATGGGCCATGGCTGCTCCTCAGGGATCCTGCAGATGCTGAGTGGATGGCATCCCCTGGCAGAGGTCACACTGAGAGGAGGTGACAGGGGAGCCTCTCCACCTGGAGTCACAGGCTGCAGGAAAGAGGAGCACACTTCACAATATAAAGCCACCCCCACTGCAACTTGGGCCCAGAAAGCCTGCCAAAACCAGGGATGCTGCTCCAGGTCCTGTTACATCCACTCTGCAGAAAAGACACATTCCTCAGTGGATTGACTGCCCCAGGAGCACAGGGACCTGGCAGTTCTGGTAAGTGCCACCTTGCTGATCCAGAGCCCTCATCCTCAGGCTTTGCTCTCCATCCATTTGGAAAGCAAATCCACTCTAGGCACTGCCACCAGAGGGATTGAATACAGGGATTTGGTTGCACTGGGGATGGAAGAGCTAGGGGCCATGGAGGGACCTGTGAGGCAGTCAAGATACTGGCAAGAGCAGCAAGTCCAAGGCAGGCTATTCCTCTGGCCCAGAGCCAGGTGGGCTGCCCAGCAAAGGCAGGACAGGGAGGTTATCCCCAGGGAGCTGGAAGCACAGAGGAGACTCAGAGGGAACGAGGAGGTGTAGGTAGCTGCTCTTCCATGTGCCACCCTACCTCCTGTTGACCCAGTGCTTCCCATGAGTGAGACCTGGGCAGGAGCCAGTATGCAGGGGACACTGGCAGTGTTTTCAGAGAAGAGCAGGGCCTGGGTCTGAGGACAATCCCATGTTCTGCCCCACCCCCAGCTAAAGGAGGAGAAGTTACCTTCCTCCAGACGGGCCCACCTCCTTCGCCTACACCTCCCTTCCCTCTTCCTTTCTCAGAAGGGCCGCCTGAGGACCCTAAGCCTCCTTCTGCCCCTCCCTCTTCTTCAAGGCAGCTGGCAACCTCCCTCTCTATAAAAAAGAAGGGGAAATGCATGAACACGTGGAACGTGATAAAATACGCTGTTTATTTCCATGTGATTAGTCTGATCATTTCCTACTAAACCACTCCTTTCTTCCATAAAGTTCAGCCTCGTCTCAGAAAGATGAACAAGAGTACTTTACGCTGTATAAAAATCTGTATAGTAATCCCACAACCCCTAGATCATGATGCAGTGGCCGAGCCTGTGCCAGAAATGGACCACCAAGCCCCCCAGAACGCGTGGGCGAGCGTGCAATCATGCGGCACAGCTGGCGGGCCACAGTGTGGCTCTGCCACAAGCTCCATTTCCCATCCTTCCAGAGCCGCCACGGCCTCCTTTTTGCATAGTTTGAAAGTTGGCTTCCCTGGATGGGGTTCAGACATCTATACATTTTTATCAGCACTTAAAAAATGGAAGTTAAAAGTCTAATGGGATTGCTGAGTAGAGATTGAACGGTTCCAGGGGAGGAAGTAATACAGGATAAAAAGGGGGTGTTCAGTTTCAAAGGCTTGTGATAGAAAGTTGGAGAAAGCTTGTATAGAAAGCACTTGTCCTCAGAGTGCCAGATTTTATTATGGATATCTGGTCAGAAAAAGAAATGAACACGTCAAGTAGAAAAAGAAATTCGGGTGACCAAGGACTTTCATCATGGGAGGAAATATTTAACTAAGTGCATTATTCATTTTGCATTGACTTAAGTGCCAGGGGCCTTAGCTCATAGTGGGGGGCTGGCAGGAACGCACAGGCTCGGCTCAGCTCTGCACTTACACGTTTTTTCTCTTTTGTAATCTCGGTTAAAGAGTTCTGCTTCTTTGGGGTCTTTTGGCTGAGAGCAAATACTCCGTCTTCTCTGGGGAAACTCTGCCTTTGCTTGACAGAAAAATGGAAATGGTAACCTAATAGAGCCTGCTTTTCTCTGGTTACCAGGATTTTAGTGTGCCTTTAATCTCCATTGAATTACCAAGTCCCCTGGGATTGGGTGGGCGGTCTTTGAGTCAGTGAAAACTTCACAGTGGTTTTGGCAGGCCTGCTATTTCTTGCCTCTCCATTGCGGACCCTGTGAGTGAGCCATTCTTGAAATCAGACAAAAAAGCCTCACTTTTGCTTTCTGACAGTGACATACAACAGTGACTTCTCTTTCCTATTTGATGTGTTTCAAAATGCAGTAGTTACTGCAAACTATTTCCCTAATTGATCTGGAATGCAGACTAATTCCTGTGCCTTGAATTCGCCCATGCGTCTCAAATTTGAAAATGGTTTCATACGTTTAAGACCAGCCTTACTAGGACTGCAATTTAATTTTGTTTAACAAGCAGACCCAAAAAAGAAAAAAAAAAAAAAAAAGCGGAGGAAGATGACAAACTCTAACCAGGTTGTAAATGTTGACGAAAAATCCCACAAACATCTTGGTAATGATCATTGGAAAGATAACAAAACTGGAAGTGTTTTCTGAGATACTGCCTGCCAGGCCCCATGCTAAGTATCTTCCATACTGAATGCATTGGCTTTTCCGAAAATCTAGGTGAGGTGGGCATCAACGCTCAAAAATAAGTTCACAGAGATGCACAGAAGTGATGTAGCTTGTTCAGGCTTACACAGACAATAAGAGGTTGACCTAGGACAAAGTTCTCTTTGTTTGAGATTCACTAAAATCTGATTCACTTGTGAATATACAATTTATGGCTATATCTAGAGATGCTGTTTAATGCAGTGCTGATGACACAGCTTGGATTCAAGGACCACCATACCAAATGCTTCTAGCTGAGTGGAAAGTAAGAAACAGCACCCAATTTCTTCTTCCCACTTATCCATCACAAAGTCCTGTTCCTTGGCTTAATTCTGATGCTGAATGCATCATTTCCATTCATATCCCATTGGCCAGCAATTCATCACATGACCACATATAGCCACACAGGAGGCTGGGAAATGTAGTCCTTAGCTGGGCAGCTGTGTACCCAGCTAAGACATTAGGATTCTACTACTAAAGGAAAGGGCAAAGTGGATACTGGGTAACAATGAAGTATGTTCGCTACACCCTTACTCACCACTGTGTACCTCCCTCTATCCCAGCCTCTAGTCTTTAAGCCTTGAATGAATAAACTCGCCTGTCAAAAGTTGCCAACCTGTGGTAAAAACCCCACCACTATTCCAAGCTCCTGCTTGTTCCAACATTAGATGTAGACATTCTCTTATCAGCATAGGTCAGGCAAATGTTAGTTTCCCCATTTACAATTGAGGGTTGGAATCTCATGCTCCCCTATTTCCTTACTAACAGGGCCCCAATTTTGTCTTGAGTCATGACATAGCATCATTCCTCTCTACAGAAGAATTCTAAGTCATATATGTCAATACTCTCCCTCAAGGAAGTGGAGCTTAATCTCTCCTTTGAGGGTGAACTAAACTTAATGGGTTGCTTCCAAAGAACAGAGTGTGGACAGAGAATGACAGGAGCATTGCAGAGGAGAAATCTGGCATACAATACGGTAACCAAGTGACCGAGTTTGACATCGGCAGTGATAGGTCATGGGGATATCACGTACCCCCAATATGATGCTATGAGACACGTACTTCATCTCTGTGGTCTTCTTCCTCAAAGCCCCTAACTGTAGTCTAATCAAGAGAAAAACATCAGGAGAGCCCAAGTTGAGGGACATTCTACAGAACACCTGACCAGTCCTCTTTGAAACTGTCAAGGTCACGAATAAACGAGGAAGTCTGAGACATTCTCATGGCCAGGGGAGCCTAAGGAGCCGAGATGATTCCACAGGCCCATGACTGTGACGTTAGCCACGCAGTGTAAATAATGAGGTGTGACAATGGCCACTCACCAACAGTTTTATCTGGAGAAAGGATTTGGTCTCTGAAAAACCATAATAGATTTTAAATATTGTGTTTTCCCTTGTATTTTGTGTTTTCTTGGTAATTTAGTTGATTCAGTTAAAGAGACTCCCAACCTCTCACTATTGCATGCATCAGAGGTCACTGAGGAACACACCATTGATATTATGAAAGAAAACCTTATCTTCCCAGCAGTTTCACTCCTGCGTATCTACCCAAAAGAACTGAAAACATGAACTCAAATACGTGCACATGAATGTTCGTAGTGGCCTTATTCGCAATAGCCAGAAGGTGGAAACAACACAAATGTCCATCAAATGACAAATGGTTAAACAAAATGTGGCCTATCCATATGATGGGATATTACTCAGCCATGAAAAGGAAGGAATGCTGACACATGCTACAATGTGGATGAACCTTGAAGATGTTATGCTGAGTCAAACAAGCCAGATATAAAAGGAAAAATAGCCTACAATTACATTTACACAAAACGTCCAGAATAGGCGAACCCGTAGAGACAGGAAGCAGATGGGGGGTTGCCTGAGGCTAGGAAAAGGGGAATGTGAAGAAACTGCTTTATGGATACGGGTTTCCTTTTGGGGTGATAAGAATATTTAGGAACTTGATAGAGGCGACAGTTGTTCAACATTGTGAGGGTACTAAACGTCACTGAGAGGTACACTTTAAAATAATTTTATGTGAATTTTACACTCAATTAAAAAATACTTTTCTTTGCTATTTTCAAATACATGATAAAACCAAAATAATAATCGTACAAAATGACATATTTGAGACAAAGCAAAATGAGACTGAGGTAGCCAAAAGAAAAAAGTTCTCAGCAGTTCGATTTCACATCATCAGTGTTGTAGTTTCCTATTGCTGCATAATAACCCACTCCAAAATTTAGTGACGGAAAACAAAGACCATGTTTATTTTGCTCACAAATTTGCAAATCGGGCGGGGCCGGGCAGGGACAGCTCATCTCTGCCTGACTCAGTGTCACCCAAGGACTCCTCAAGGCTGGAAGCTGGAATCATCCGAAGGTCCCCTCACTCTCCTGGCTACTGGTTCGTGTTGGCCGGGACCTCCCGTGCATCAGGACACCTGTAGGTGGCCTTTCCGTGTGGCAGCGTGCCCTCCTCACAGCACGGTGGCTACTTTCCAAAAGTGAGCATCGCAACATGTCCGGTTGGAGGTCTTTGATGGCTTAGCCTTAGCCGTCACTGCGTGGCTAACGTCACAGTCATGGGCTTGTGCGGAGGCACAGGGAGGGAGGAGTCCTGGTCTGATTGTAGGAAAAACAGAAGGCTGGGATGGCACATTTCCACTGCATTGCAGGTATTTACACTCCTGCATAGAAAGGGCTGACATGGGAAGGTTCTATGAAGAAGCCTAGTTAATAACGCAGAACTGGAAACCGCACAGTAGTTTGGGATTGATGATGGAGACAGTCTCTGGGTTTTCATCAAAGAACCTAGAAGTCAATTATCTGTACTCTCAGCTGTGTTAAATTCCCAGTCCACTGAACTCTGCATTCAAACGTTAAAAATCTCTCTCATCAGCCTCTTGGGTTTCCAGCTATAACTAACAACCTCAAGGCTGATTACTGCCCAGAGATATTTAGTTGACTCCACATACACTGTGAACTGACTTAAAACATTAAATACATCTGTGTTTACCCAATCAATAACTTTTCCCGTCAAAGAGAGAGAGAGGAAGAAAAAAAATCTATCCGATATTGTTTGGGTTCAATGCTGGCATTTTAGTCTTGGGGTTGAAAACCACTTCCTCCTATGGCCAGAGTTCCTGAGCACACGCCCTCCCTCAAGGGAAGGCATCTGGTCTCCTGGGGCACAGACCAGAGGCCCATGTCTCAGGCCTCCTTAGATCTTGATCTTTATTCGGGGTCAGCCAGTAAATGTTTGCGGAGGAGAATGACACCCCGACTGCTCACAGCCTCGCCCCGTGATTCAACATCCTCACGAGGTCTCCTACTCAGAGAGTGAGATAGGTTTATTGCTTCCTTGCTATCTGCCAGATTTCTGTCACCACACAAGTGGCGTCCCCCAAATCACCAGGGAAGACTGGGAGAGAGGATGAGGACGGGGCAGTGCCACCAGGATGAACATTCTGGAAACACGGCAAATCCCACAACGCCTGGAGCCGTTCCTTCTGCTTCCCGCTCACCCGCTTCCCACTTTTCTCCTCAAGTCTCATCACATGTATCTTCCATCTCCACCCCAGCTGGATGCCAGAGTATGGGGAGTAAAAGCTGACTGCTCTTCCGTAGCCATTAGGGAGGGCATGACCCACTTTGTTCTACTTGCTGGAAGGGTCAGAGATCAACCAGGGCTCTGCCCACTATGCCGGGGCACCCCTTTGCTAACACTGAGGGCCCAAGACAATGCCACACGCAGTAGAAACCAGCCATCAACCAAAAGCTAAAATGTTCCAGCCTGCAGGCTATCACCAGTCATCACAATATAAAGACGTATCAGAGCTCAGCCCGTCGGTGATTTTTATCCTTGTGTTAGTCCTCAATCTTTATGGGAGAGGCATTTTTCAAATCTGTAAGAACAACACTTACAGCGGATTCTGGAAGGATTGGAGAGTGGCAGTGAGCAGCGCTCGGTACCATGTAAGCTGCTGATCACGCTTACCAGGGCCTCCTGGGAGAGGGAAGCGTAGCTTGCAGGGTGAATGCGTACAGACCCAGGGCTGCACCCACCTCCTCACCTTGATGGAGTGGTTTGCCCTCCGGCTCCACTTCCTGGGGCAGACATGAGCCACAGCCTGCTGCTGGCTTTGGGATAGATACATGCTCCTGCCAGGGATGGGGATGGATGCTTGCTTTCACCTCTGGCGGGCCTCCCAGCTGAGGAGTCACCCGTTCATCTGTCACGTGGGTGGCCGGTCTTGGTCGCCTCTCCACGGTGCTCCACCTCCCGGCTGATTTTTCTCCTGAGGTTTTCCTTTCTGTCTTGGTTGTCGGAGAGGCTGCACACAGCTCTGGACGCTGGATTCTAGGCCATTGCTTCCTGGGCCCTTTGCTCCATTCATGGAGGAACCGCCAGGAGGCATTGGGTACCAAGCTGGACATGGGATGGAGAAAGTGAGCAGGAAAGACACAGCAGCATGGGGTGAGGCTTCCTGAGGACCTGGCGGGCAAGGAGCTGCCCGTGAGGGAAGGCCGGGTGCTGCCAGCTGAGACACAGTAGTGAGGTCATCTTCTTTAAGCTACCTGCCTGCTCTCTCAGAGCCAGCTTCCCCACCCAGAAAATGGAAGACGTCACGACCTGGTCTCCCTGCCTCCTCCTTAGCCTCTGATGCTTCCTTTCCTACACATGAGCTGGAGTGATTCTGTAAGACCTAAGTTAGCCCCTAACTTTGTTCTGCTCAAAACCTTCTAGTGGCTTCTCACGTCATCCTGAATCAACATAAAGTCTTTATTAACACTAAGTCCTGCAGGTTCCAGCAGCTCTCCCTCCCTCCGCCAACCTCCTCTCCCCAACAACCCCTTCTGCTGTAGCCACGCTGAGCAGCTCACTCTTGCACACAAAGACACCTGCCTCAGGGCCTTCACACTGGCTGTTTTATTCCCGCTGCCTGGAAGATCTCCCCCTACACCCTCCTCCCACACGTCCTTCCGACCTTGCTCAAATGCCTCCTCCTTTGAGAGGCTGCCCCCAATACCCCTCTCTCCACCATCACTCTTTGTCCCCTGACCCTCTCATTTGCCTTCCACTTGATACAATGTATCTTTTTCCATTTCCTGTTGGTTCTCTTCTATTCTGTTCATGGCTGGATCTCTACACCTAGCCCAGCACCCGGCATATAGTAGCTGCTCAGTGAATATTGGTGAAGTGTGTGGAATTAGTTTAATCCCATACCCCTCGGGAAGCCTCTGAAGATGGAATCTTGGAAGAAATTCACTGGAAATGGACATTTCTCCAGGCTGTTGCACTTGAAGAGTGATTTCCTGCTGGGAGAACCAGTCCCCCCACCACGTTTGCCACCATCAGAACTGCCTGAGAGGGTGCCGATAGTTTGCAATGTCGTATTGTATACTTAAAATTTGCTAAGAGGGTAGATCTTATGCTAAGCATTTTTATCGCAAAATAACAATAATAAGTAAAGAGGGTGGGAGGAAGCTTCTGGAAGGGATGGATATGTTTATGGCATAGACGATGATGGTTTCATATATTTACGGCACAGATGTGGTGGTTTCATATGTTTGTGGAATAGACAGTGATGGTTTCACCATAGGTGGTAATGATTTCACATATTTATGGCATAAAAGGTGGTGGTTTCATACGTTTATGGCACAGATGTTGATGGTTTCACCATA
Organism: Homo sapiens; assembly: GCF_000001405.40. Lineage (NCBI taxonomy): Eukaryota > Metazoa > Chordata > Mammalia > Primates > Hominidae > Homo > Homo sapiens. The sequence continues at coordinate 86,629,194 of NC_000016.10, read as the reverse complement.
GGTGGTGATGGTTTCATACGTTTATGGCATAGAAGGTGGTTTCGCACCTGTGTACTTATCTCCAGGCCAAACAAGTTGTATCCATTCACTATGTATGCCAGTTACACCTCAGTAGAAATTTTGTAATAAATGAATAGCCTGAGAGGAGCTGGGCCTTCTTCATATGGCCTCATCAGGCCTGCTCTGAACCATAACTCGGGCCTGCAACCCCCAGGTGCAAACCAGCCTCCACAGCTGAGCCTCTGATTAGCCAGATCGTTTGTCTTCTTCCAAAGGCAGCACTGCAGGGCTGGTTGATCTTGAATTTCTGACGCATACATTAAACATCCTCTGCAACCTGCAGGCACTGAGTGGCTGTCCTAAGAGCCCTCTGCACTGCTAATTTTAAAAATGCTTTGAAAAGTATTTTTCCTGATGCATTCCAAGGGCTAACAGCTTGCTTTCCTGTGAAGGCCCAGTGAGTGTCTGAATCACCATGGCAAACCTTACTTGAATGTTTTGGAGATTTCTGCTGATCGTGACGGACTGGATTTAGGGGGAATCCAGCCATGGTTTCCAGCCATGTTGCTCAGATGCTGGGAGGTGGAGAGAATCCCGCTGAGGTTCTCACCTCCATTCTCCAGGGCATTTCTGAAAGCAGAGTTTCCGTCTCATCGTTGAGCCAAGCATCCCATTAGAGCTCAGAAATGACATACGAAAACCATAAAAACAGGCATTGCCCTGTGAGGCGACAATTCTGCTTTTAGGAATTTATCCTAAAGAAATAACTAATGATGTGATTATAAAAGAATTAGCTCCAAGGACATTCATCACAAGCCTGTTTATAGATTGAGAAACTGGAAACAAGCTAAATGTCCAACAAAAAGGGGTTCGTTAAATGTGGCACAACTGTGCAATGGGAGACTAATGACGACCTCATGAAATACCACAGCCTGGGGTCGAAGCTAGCCCACCTCCTGTTTTTGTAAATAAAGTTTTATTGGACATAGCCACACCCATTAATTTACATATCATCTGTGGCTGCTTCTGCACTAAAATGGCAACATTGAGAAGTTGCAGCAGACACCGTATGGCCCACAAAGCCGAGTATATTTACTGTCTGGCACTTTACAGAAGATGTTTGCAGACTCCTGCTATTGGATGACAAGGAAAAATTCGTAATGCCCTGCCCAGTAGGAATATGTTACAAAACTGTGCAATTTTCATAATCCCAGTGGTGACTTAAAAGGACTGTGTATATACATATATGTATTTTTTTTCTTTGTGTCATGGAATTTTGAATGATTTGGAAGAGCATACCTATATTTTCTAACTTTACCTGCTCCTGAACACAGCCTGAGGCAACTTACTTCCATCCTGGTCTCAATTCCTGCCATGTCCAGTGCTTCCTGGGACGACTCTGGATGGTGGTGGCCTCCAAGATGCCCCCCGAGGCCTCTGCCTTATGTGGCCCTCACTGAATCACAGCTGATCCAGGTGACCAGTAGAGTAGAAGGTGATGCTGGGTGACGTCTGAGATTGGGTCACAGAAAGACTTCCAGCCTCACTGTGGTCTCTCAGAAGCTCTGACTTAGGAGCTCTTCGCTGCCCTATGGGAAATCGGTTTCCTCATGTCCACCATGCTGGAGACACCCCAGGAGGGTCTATGTGAAGAGACAGAAATGCCAGCCCCAGCCACTCCAGGCACCTAGAAGACGCCTCTGACAACATGGAGCAGAGATGAGTCATCCTCACAGAGCCCTATCCAAACTGCAGACGCATAAACAAAATAAATGGCTACTGCTGTTTTAAGCCAATAAGTTTTGGAGCTGTTTGTTACACAGCAGTGGATAACGAGAAACCCTGCCAGATAACAAGCTGTCCTTGAATCCCGATCTCAGAGTCTGTTTCTAGGTAACCTCACCCAAGCCCTCTGTGAGCATCTAATGAGTCGTGCGTGCAGTAGCTGTCCTGGAACGCATGCTATCGTCGGTGACTATTCATGTCTCAATGCTAACCTACCCCAAGAGCTTTACAGAGATGTCCAACCACACTTTAACAGGAGCACTGCACAGCACCTGGCCAGGGGCCAAAGGGAGTAGGGACTCTGGCAAGCTGGAGGACATGGGGGCAGTGGAGAAAGTGGCTCTCACCAAGCCTTCACAAGATGCTGCATATTTTTCTTGGGCCAGAGTCACTAACCAAAATGTAGCTGGAGGCACATAGAATTCACATGCAATGATGCTTCGCACAAGGCCACAGCAAATTGAAATCACTTGGCAGCTGCACCCTGGGGCTCTGTGATGGTGCCTGTCACCAAGATCGTGGACTGAGGTCCAGCTCAGTCTGTACCCCACAGCAGCACCTCATCTGTGGAAAGGGCTGCAGATGTGGGGAGAAGAGGGCCTACCCTTTTAGAAGAGGCCAAAAAGTCAGAATTTCAAGCTAGAGTGGAAAGACACACTGCAGGGGAGCTGCCAGGAAGAAGAGTGATTTGATTTCTTAACGGGAGACTCCAAAGGAGTCAGCCCGCGGAGACAAAATCAAAAGAGGCCCGGACTTGGGAGCACAGCCTGGGAACGCAGGCGGGGGCCTCTGGGACTCTTCCAGCTCAGACCAGGCCTGTGTCTGGGGCTTCTGGGGGCAGCCTGGGAACTGGAATTTTCTTGTTCCATAATGGACTTCTCGGACCCTGCAGGTGGCCTGCCCGGGATGGCACTCCCTGTGGTATCAGTGGCTCCTGTCACGGAGGGCACATGCTGGCTCCATGCTCAGGCTGTCCTGTAAATCATCTCACCGAATCCCCACTGTGTCCTTACAGAGCAAGCACGCATGCCTGTGTCCTCCAGAGAAGCAAGCCAGGCCCGAGGAATGGGCGGCCGATGGCTCCAGGAAGGTCACTGACTTTGGAGGGAACTTGGGATCTCCTCCCCACTCTCTCTGTCCTCAAGGCCCATCTTTTTAAAATCAACTTTTTGGGATGTAATTGACATATAATAAAACCATCTTAGGTGTACAGCTTGATGAATTTTGTCCCACGTATACAGCTGGGTAACGACAGGAATCTGGACATGAGGTTTGCGTGGGCAGCCAAGCTGGGGCCTCAGGATGCCCTTCGTTCTGAACTTGGCTGCCATGCCAGGGCCTCGGGATGCCCTTCCTTCTGAACTTGGCTGCCTGGCCATCTCACAGTTCCACTTTGTCAACTCTTTGAAGTCTGGGAGAAGTGACTCACCTGAATTTTTTTTCTTTTCTACATTCCCACCATTGTCCCATCTCCTTCCCTGCTTTGGACAAAGATTTCTCTTTTCCACGTGATGGGAGGGGGATTGTAAACATCCCAAGCTTTGGAATCAAAAGACCTAGGCTCACACCGCAGCCCTGCTATGTGACTCCGGGCACGTGACTTAACTTCTCTGGGCTCCTTTCTTCATCTGTGTAAAACAGAGATCATAATGGACCCTCTAAGGTCATTGGGAGACTAAAAGGAGGTATTATATGCAAACAATAAATATTATTATTTTGAATTGCACTGGCTTTAATGACACAAATGTGAAGAAAAGGGTAGGATTGTAGGGGAAGCCTGGGAAAAGGAGAGATTAAAAGACAAAAACAATTTCAACTTTTCTGAAAAACATCCCAATGCTCTAAGTCAAAATCTGTTTTTCAGTTGTCATAGCACTGTGCCCCTGTGCCCCGAGTCTTCTGATCTCAGTTGGAAAAGGGCTGCTTTCTCCAGCAAGAAGCCCTGGAAACAGCACCGAGGTTCAGTGTCAGAATGGGCTCCCGGCCCTCGAGACATCGGGTACAATCTGGTCTGACCAGACCTGGCGTGTTTTCCTGGGTGCTCAGGATTGTCTAGACGTGGCCTGGCCATGTCCGAGCATGTGAAACGTAGTTGTGGGGCCTGATGGCTCCATTTGGCAGCAGCCTGGGCCAAGTGATTGGCGCCGAGACCATGAGGATGACAAAGTGCTGAAACCTCCCTGAGACAGGCGTCATATCAGATTGTGCTGCTGCCAGCGCAGGGCTTCCAGGCACGGCAAGCGCATCCTCAGCACCTGATGGAGAGATAGCGCAGTAGACGTGACAGCAGCCAGCCGAGGAGCTGGCCAGGTGAGTCCGAGGACTCTCTGGGGGCAGTCATCTCTCCCCAGGGAAGTCAGTGTGGGTGGTAGACAGAGCACTGGCCCTGTTCATGCCACAGGCCAGAGACGAGAGACGAAACTGCCAAATAATGAAGAGTGGAGACCCTTATGTCGTATGCAATGTGTGGGTCTCTTTTGCAGCTTGACCTGAATAGATAGGGATAGGTAGTTGGATAGAGAGTTAGACACATGATAGGTGGATGGATAAATGGATGGAAAGACAGATGGATAGATGACAGAGAGATGGAGAGATAGATGGCTAGATGGAGAGAAAAAGAAAGCTAGATAGATGGGAAATAGGTGGATGAATGAATAGATGGAGAAAAAGAGACAGGTAGATGAATGAATGGATAGATAGATAATAGAAAGATAATTGATAGATAAAGAGAGATATGATAAGTAGATGGATAAATAGGTGGAAATACAGATAGAAGATAGATAACAAAAATGGATAGATGGAGAAAGAAAGCTAGATAGCTGGAAGGTAGGTGGATGGATGAAAGATGGAGAGAAAGGGAGAGATAGATGAATGAATGAATGTATGAATGAATGAATGAATCGATAGATGATTGATAGATGGAGAGATAGAGGTAATAGGTGGATGGATAAGTAGATGGCAAGATGATAGACAAATGGAGGATAGATAGAGAATAGATAATATAGATGAATGGATATATATACATAAAGAAAAAGATGCAGCTAGGGATTCGGATATGTATTTTGCTAACTGGGAAAATTTGAGCAATGATTGCGTGTTTGATTATTTGGAAGAATTACTGTCACTGTCAGGTGTGCTGATGTCACTGTACAGAGAGCAGGTGCAAGGCCAGGCCCAGCCCATTGGAACCTTCCATGACCTTCATGTATCCACACTGAGGGGACAGAGGCTTCCATTCACCTGTTCACCTCTCAGACCCAACAAGGTTAGAATAAAAGAGAGGAATAAAATAAAGTCCCAGACACTGTCAGATCCTCCCAGTGGTGTGGAGGAGGCAAAGGTAAACACGGCTGGGCTTATGTTCTCAGGGTACCCTGTTCCATGCTTGGCCCACTAGCCACGTGCAGCTATTTAAATTTAAACCCTTAAATCTAGGTGAAATTTTAAAACCAGTTCCTCAGTGACACCAGCCACAGCTCAAGTGCTCTAAGAGCCGCAAGTGGCCAGCAGCAACTGTATGGGACTCTGCAGTTCTATAACATTCCATCACCCCAGAAAGACATCCCTGCTGGGAGAGTCCAGGTCTGAGAATAGATGCAGCTCCTATTAGGGCAATGAGCAGAGAGGTGCTTCGAGGCACAGGGAGTGCAGATGAAGACCACCACATGTCCCACAGGAGGAGCGAAGGAAATGGCTCAGGTCCACCCAGCAGCCCTTCCTTCCGGGACCCTTCTCTCCATTCCCTCTGTGCTCACAGAACGTGGCGTCAGGTGCAGAGAGTAGGCATTAGTCAGCCTATCCAGTATGTTCATTTATCCATGAAGGCTGCTTGTTAACCAGCCACGGCCTCCCCATTTACTGACTTCCCAAGTGAGGCCTCAGATGTCGCAGGGAGGCCCTGGGTCTGCGTCTGGAGTTTCTTCTGAAATCTGAGTTTAAATGTGAGTCCCACTGTCTCTCCCCAAGTTTCCATTCCCAGATTCGCATTGAGTGGCGCTCCGCACACAAAGCAGGCCAGCGACGCCACCAGCTCCCCTCTGGTGGGCGAGCCCCAGAAATAGCCCTCCCTGGCAGCCCAATCATGGTTCACCACTAACAACTGAGGCCCATCCACCCACCCCGCCTGGACCTGAGCCCCAACACCCCAACCGTCTGTTTTCTGCCGATGTCACCAATTTCTAAATGACCTAGAACTAAACCGTATCATTAGTCCTTTCAGTATCTGTTGGTGACAGAGAAAACCACAAGTGGCCTTTCTGCCCTGAGCCTCTGTGACCCTTGAGCTGAGATGACATGAAGGGCACCAAGGCCAGCTCTCTCCATGAGGAGGGGAGCTCCTCCCTCCACATGTCCTCAGTGCCCACCTCTTGGGCTTCAGATCAACCCCAGACCTTTCCGGATACCACGTAGTTTTCTTTCTTTTTCTTTCTTTCTTTCTTTCTTTCTCTCTTTCTTTCTTTCTCTCTTTCTCTCTTTCTCTCTTTCTCTCTTTCTTCTTTCTTTCTTTCCTTTCTTTCTTTCTCTCTCTTTCCTTCCTTCCTTACTTTCTCTCTTTCTCTCTCTCTCTCTTTCTTTTCTTTTCTTTTTTTGAGACAGCGTCTTGCTCTGTTGCCCAGGCTGGACTACAGTGGCCCAATCATAGCTCACTGCAGCCTTGACCTCCTGGGCTCCAGCAGTCCTCCCACTTCAGCCTCCCAAGTAGCAGGGACTACAGGCACACGCCACCACGTCTAGCTAATTTTGTCTATGTTTTGTAGAGACCAGGTTTCAGTGTGTTGCCCAGGCTGGTCTTGAACTCCTGGCCTCAAGCAATTCTCCCGTGTTGGCTGGCCTCCCAAAGCGCTGGCGTTATAGGCATGAACCACCACGCCCAGCCTAGTTTTCTGTTTTGATCAAACATCTCCTCTGGAGTTGATGGAAGCTGGCTGCCTGAGTGACTTTTAAGGTGCCCAGGCTCCAGGTGGTCATGATGAAAGGATTTACTGGGAAGGGGGATTTGGACAATTTGGATGCTCTGTGACTTGATTTCTTCCTTTGCTTGATTAGCATGGGGGCCTAAAGGAGTAACATACAAATGTCAATCCCAGCACTAGCATGGTTGAAGGAGGAAGAACTGGGCCTGCTGGCACTGGGAGCTGGAGATGAGATGGAGAAAACGGAACCCTGGGATGGGCTGTGGGGCCTGGCGACGGGAGGAGCCTCAAGGCTGGGGGCGTTTGGTGATGTGGTGCTGCTCTGGAGTGCACTGCAGCAGGCAGCAGGTGGCCGTCAGGGGCCGGAGCTCCAGCAGGTGGGCAGGGCCCAGCCCGGCGGCAAGGGAGCAGAAGCCAGAGGTGGCGAGATTTGGACAAAGTTCCTGAGGCCCTTGGTGACAGAGGATTCAGTGACAAGAGAACGGAGCCCAGAAGAAGAGGGGAACATCCCACAGAGACCCCCTCCTGAGTAAATGAGAGAATCAGACCAGAGCACCGGTCCCAGCAGCAAGGCAGGAAGACACACACTCAAGCAGACCGTGCTGGGGTTTGGGTCACAGGGAAAAGGTTAACAGCCCTGTTGCTAGTCCATGCTTGCCGCAGAGAGGCTCTGAGATGATGGTGGACGCCAGCGCCAGTGGCCAGACCCTTTACAAACTCAAGGCCTGGTCTGTTCTGCATCGCGTGGATCCTGTGCCCTCCGTCTACACACCACATAGGGTCACCGTGCTCAGTGACTCCTCCCAGGCTCGGAGCTCCGTGGGGCAGGACCTGGTCTGTGTCCTCCGGCTGCAGATTAAGGGCTTCGCAGCTGGTTCTCAGGAAGGCTGTGAGGGGTGTGGGGCAGGGATGGAAGGAGGAAGAGGAAAAAGCAGAGAGAGATGGAAGAAGAAATAAAGAAGAGATGGAAGGGTAGGAGAAAGGGAAAGAGGAAGGAAGATGTCCAGTCCTTAAGACGGCACCAGCCATTGGTGCCACAATGACCTAGCAGCTCCCATCTGATGGGGGCTCCGAAGGGTGCACAGGCTGGCCCTTTAGGGAGCTGTAGGGGCAGAAGAGTGTGCACAGCATTCTAAGAGAGTAAAGAGAGGAGAAAAATCAATGGCAGGCCGGGTGCAGTGGCTCATGCCTATAATCCCAGCACTTTGGGAGCCTGAGGCAGGTGGATCACTTGAGGTCAGGAGCTCGAAACCAGCCTGCCCAACATGGTGAAACCCCATCTCTACTAAAAATACAAAAAGTAGCCAGGCATGGCTGCAGGCACTTGTAGTCCCAGCTACTCAGGAGGCTGAGGCAGGAGAATCGCTTGAACCCAGGAGGCGAATGTTGCAGTGAGCCAAGATTGCACCGTTGCACTCCAGTCTGGGCGACAAGAGCAAAACTCCGTCCAAAAAAAAAAAAAAAGTCAGCATCAGCTGCCCCATCTTTCAGCCTATCTGGGAGTGAGACCAGCTTGCTCTCGGTGGTTCCTTCACCCTCGAAACACCTCTTCCCCACTGTGTTCCTCACAGCTTTGGTGTTTTCTGATTACAAAAGTAGTACACATGCATTTCAGGGAATTCAGAAAGCCCAGAATACCAGAGAACAAAATAAAAGAGGTCTTTAGATCCCACCACACATAAAATGTTGATGTTTACACTTGCAGATTCTCTTTCTTAACAAATAGAAAATCACAAACATAAGTGTGAGTATGGATGTGTGTGTTCTTATAAGTAGAGAATGGATTTATAGAAATGCTCTTTTGGAACTTGTTTTTTCCCCACTTAACATGTCATCATAACTTTTTCATGGTATTAAAAACATACAGCAATATCACCCTCTTTCATGGCTCTGCTGTATTCCACTGTATGGATAACTCATCACTTATTTAACCAGCTGTATCCATTAGGAGTGTGTTTGGCTGAACATAATAGACAACCCAGCCACAATGGCTTTAAAAATCAGGTTTATCTTCTCACATGTGCCAAAGTCATGGCCAGTGGTTCAGCAGGTTAACAACAGAGTCCACGTCTCTGCTGCTTTCTTGGCCATTCCTCATGGCACAAGGTGACTGCTGCAGCTCCAGACATCACATCCACATCAAGATAAGAAGGATGGGGGTGATGTTTTATAAAGAACACAAAGCTTCCCAGAAGTTCCTCCAGAAGACTTCTGCCTTGTGTTATGAGCCAGCATCAGCTCATGCAGCCACTTGTGACTGCAAGTGGGGCTGGGGAGGCCCTTGTTTGACCTGCAGTCTTTATGGCAGGAAACTGAGAGGATGCAAGGAGCCTGGAGGAAGACGAGGGATGGTGTTGGGTGGCCAGCAAATGGTGTCTGCCACACCTGCCCTCTGTTGAGAGCAAGATTCTCCTTCAGTTAATGCCGCCCCTTTGGGGTGCAGCAGAACCCCAGGTGTCCCTGCTACATGCACCCAGGCTTGAGTCCTCCCCAGTGCTCCAGGGACCCACTGACACAGCTCCAGCTGCCCCTTGGCCAGTAGAACTTCTAGTCCAATGCCTGCTCCCTCGAGCTTCTATGGATTTGATGCAGGGTGGGCGAACCCCAGATTGGGGCTTAACCAGGGCTTTTGCTTCACCCAGGAAAGAATTCAAGGGTGGGCTGGTGGTGGAAGAAAACAGCTTGACTGAAGCGGCACCATTGCAGCTCAGGCAGCGCGACAGCTCCGTGGCTGCTCCCGCAGAGCTGGGCTAACCCTTAGGCAGTGTGCTGAGAGCAGCAGCTCCCGGCAGTCCGGCAGTCATATTGATACCTACTTTTAATTGCATGCAGATGCAGGGGCGGTTTATGCAGAAATTTCTAGGGAAAAGGTAGTAACATCTGGGTCGTCGGAGTCATTTCCGTGGAAAGGAGTGGTAACGCCCACGCCCACTGACTGGGCACACTGATGGGCGTGGCTTATGGAGAGCTGCTTCCACCCCACCCTGTTTTAGCCAGTCCTCAGTCTGGTTCAGTGTCCAAGCCCCGCCTCCACAGTCGAGTCCCACCTCCTACCTCCTACCTCAGATTCATACCTGAGCTTCAATAGGAGCCTCTGGGAGCCAGCGCCCTGCTCCAAGAGAACGGCGGGAATGGCGGGATTCAGGCATGGGGGCAGCTCCGTGAGGGAGGTATTTGGGGACAGGTAGAGTTTTCACATCACCTCACATCATTTAGGGAACCACGCACGCAGTTGCGCACAGAGGGCAAAGCCAAGTCAGAAGGATGTGGTGCTGGCAAGCAGACCACTTTATGTTGCAGACAGCAACCGTGATCGCTGACACTTAGGAAGGCTCCCCATACACCAGCGGCTGTGCTGAGCACTTCACATCTACTTTCACTTTCCTCTTCACATCTGCCAGGGAAGAGATCCCAAATGCTCCACAGCCACTATAGCACAGGCACCAACCAGCAAGGGTGGACCCGCCAGCGCTGTCCTGTCCTGCAGGGCCCCTTGGACACACCCTACTGAACCAAGCATGAACCTTTCATTTTTGAATCATGGGACGAGTCCCCAGCTGGAGCAGAGGCTGCCAAGATGGCAAGGGGAGGCTCTCAGACGGCTGGACAGGGTTTGCTTATCAAGCTTGGCAACGTTTTAAAACTCAGCCCAGTCTGCAACTGTATACAGGCCGAATCTCAGAGAAAGCTTTCAAAGGGGCATAGGCTCCACCTGAAGATGGTGTGTTAGTCTGATTTTTGCGGCAATCACGCCACATACCGTCCCGCCCTCATCACAGTGGCTTAACAAAAGGTATTGTATTTTGTGCTCACAATACACAAAAGGGCGGCTGCGGCCTGGCTGATCTCTACTGGGCTCAGTTGTGCCAGGTTGGATCCTGGGCTGTGGGTCAAAGTCAAGGTCAAGTTTGCTCCCTGAGGTTCAGGATCTCTTTCTGAAACCCAGGCTGAAGGGCAGTGCCACCCAGGGCATGTTGTTCTCGGGGCAGAGGCCAGAAGGACAGGTCCCCTAAAGGCTCAGCTGGGAAACATGTACACCACTTCTGTCCCAGTTCAAGGGATAGAAAGTCACTCCACCTGCAGGCAGTTGGGGTTGGGGCAGGAAGGGAAGACTTGTGGACTTAATCAACCTATAGCGTGCAATAGAATTGAGGTAGACAGACAAGCACAGACATAGCTTGAACAAAGGCATGGAGGGAGGGTTATGGATGGCTTCCTAGAACAACCAAAGCCACAGGAAAAAGAGATGATTCTGTTTCTTTGTGTTTGAAAAAACAATATGGCAACCCCAGACGCATTTTGCAGAGATTTTACAAGAAGAACTTCTCATCATCCAGGAGAAGGCCCTTCTCTAGAGTCTTATCATTCCATTATTTTTAAATGAGAATGTGTTTACCCCAAAAGTTAAACAGGAAAAGGGGCTACCTAGTTCTCAAAGGCCACACACAGGCCATATGACAGAGCCCTCCGGTCATAACACCAGCATGTGAAAGGCACTGCAAAGCGAGGCTGAGTTGTCAGCATTGTACGTTCTGCTTATAAGATTAATCGTGATGGCCAGGCTGTGTGGCTCACGCCTGTAATCCCAGCACTTTGAGAGGCTGAGGCGGGCGGATCACCGAAGGTTGGGAGTTCGAGACCAGCCTGACCAACACAGAGAAACCCCATCTCTACTAAAAATACAAAAATTACCTGGGCATGGTGGCGGGCGCCTGTAATCCCAGCTACTCGGGAGGCTGAGGCAGGAGAATCACTTGAACCTGGGGGGTGGAGGTTGCAGTGAGCCGAGACCAAGCCATTGTACTCCAGCCTGGGCAACAAGAGTGAACCTCCATCTCAAAAATAAATAAATAAATAAATGAATAAATAAATAAATAAAAATTAATCCTGATGAATGAAGCGCTCAAGAGCCCCTGAAGGAGGCGTCTGACGCAGTAAGGTATGGCAAGCACTGAAGCAGTGGTGCTCATTACAGAGTGTGGCTGTTATCTCTTTAATAGTGACAATAGCAGGTAATGTTAACGGCACAGTCAAGATTCTCTTGGAAAAAAAATTTTTTGTTGTAGCAATGGCTGTAGGTACTTCTGAAAAAGCAAGCTGTCATTCAAGGCACCCTTCATTGGTACAGGATGTTAAACAGGTTATGGAATAAGAAAATCCATGTGGGAGCACCTACTGGTTCAAACAACCTGTGTGAAGGACAAGATGCTTGTATGTAGTAAGTTTTCTTTAAAGAATTACCTCTCCTTTGACTTAGAGTTCTTCTGCGAGAAATGTATCTGGAAAGGCACTCTCATAAATGTGCCCAATAGCCATACGAGGGTTTTCACTGTAGCACCATTTGTCGTAGCAAATAACTGGAAGCAACCCAAGTATTCACTAAAAAGGGATTGGTTAAATGAACTACAATCCAGGGAAAACCACCCAGCCACGAAAGAGCAAAAGATCCGTGTGTGTAATCATGGAAAATGCCCAAAGTCTATCATTAAGTGAAAAAGAAGCAATAAAGCAGGAAGTAAGGTCATTTCCTATTTTTTATTAAAAAGAAATAAAAATAATAGCTGCTGGATTTTTCATGCAAATATGTTCCAAATGTCTGTAACTGTGGTTATCCCGAGAGCGAGGACTGATACCCACTACATTATAGATTTATTTCATTGTTATTTGAATTTTTAAAAATAACTGTATGTAGCTAGGCACCATGGCTCAGGCCTGTAATCCCAGCACACTGGGAAGCCGAGGAGGGCAAACTGCTTGAGCCTAGGAGTTCAAGATCAGCCTGGGCAACATAGCAAAGTCCCATCTCTACAAAAAAAAAATACAAAAAATTGGCCAGGTGTGGTGGTGCGTGCCTGTAGTCCCAGCTACTTGGGAGGCTGAGGCAGGAGAATCGCTTGAGCTCAGGAGGTCGAGGCTGCAGTGAGCTGAGGTGGTACCACCGCACTCCAGCCTCAGCGACAGAGTGAGACCCTGTCTCAAAAATAACATAAAATTAAATTAACTGTGTGTCACTTATTTATAAACATGTTTAAATACAATATAACTGAACAAAAATAATTAGTATAAAATCACCGATTAAAATCCCAGAAAGTGAGATGAATAAAATGTTTTAAAAATAAAATCTTTTCTACATCTGTAATGTTTGGATTTTTTACAAACACTTACTAATTTTACTGTCAGTAAATGACCAAAAAAGTCTTTGAAACTCATCTGCTGGGACTTTGTAAACCTTTGGAGAAGTTGTTTATTATTATTATTATTAATTCTCCTGGATACTGTTTCTTTCTCTACTAAGGCATAGTAAATATTTACATTTACTTCACTTTGAAGGAACCAAGAAGAATCTTCCAGGCCTTCACTGAGTGCTTTGAATCCAATTTAAGTAAAGAAGTGCGCCAAATATTACCAGAGTTGATCACTTGTGTGCTAGTTTGCTTTCTAATAATTTCACGAATAAAAAAAAAATTAGGTCCCTCAATATAAGCAAAACCTGGGGTGATGGTGAGGCATATATAGTAGACAACAAACAACCAAAAAATCATCCTTTGGATTTTTGTTGATCAGATACTCAGGTGCCTTCACACACCCTCCCATCCCATTTGCACTTTTGAAGATCCCCGGGTCTTATTTTCTGAATGAGTGGATTCCTTCTGAAACCAGCATGCCTCAACTATTACTGTCATTCAGAAGCATGCAAAATAAATGATTCTGAATAATAATAACTTATCATGTACGTCCACACCCCAGTCCAACAAAGACCTCACACCAACGTGTCTGACAACATCAAATACACAAAAAAACCAAACTGAAAACTCCACTAGACATAAATACGTAGGTGCACACATACATAAACATAAAAGCCCGCAGTAGCCAGCATTCATCAGATTCAGCATGTCGTGGTCGCTGTAGGGAGCGGGAGGCCAAGGGGAGGCTGATCCACACATCTACGTGGCCTTAGAGTGCTCCCCAAATAAAATAAGTGTCTCTGCAGACATGCCTGGGAAGCCGCTCCAAGTAGCAGAAAAAAAAAAAATCTAAATCAACCTTTCTGTGTCGCCTGTGTTATCTTTGAGCTTCTCTGGGTCTTAATTTTTATCTGGAAAGTGGGGCCAGCTATACCTGCCTAGCAAGGAACACAGGCTGAGCCCCTGCCATGTGTCTGCTGGCATGCCGAGCCCTGGGGGTACAGAACAAAAGCCATATAGAACATGCTTCAGGGAACATGTGGAAAAGACGTGAGACCTTGTAAACTATGTGAATGTTGTCTATTTGCTATCAGAGCCCACGTCTCAATTTCACAAACAATTTGAAATGCAAAGTAGAGTTTAGCACTGTGCACCAAAAATTCTGGTTTCCCTCCTACAGAATTACACACCTCTGCCCCATTTAAGTCCAGCTTGGCCACATGACTTGCTTGGCCTAATGAAATATGAGTGGAAATGCCTGTCACTTTAAGAACCAGACCGTAGTTCGCCAAGCCCTTTTCCCTCAGCTCCAGGTAACAATGTTGCAAATGAAAGCGGCTTCCTCCTCCTGGGTTCTGGGTTGAACACCTGAAGAAAACATGGAACACAGCCATGCTGACCTGCAAGGGACACTCAGTACTAGCTAGAAATAGAAAGCCACTGACATCCAAAGGGGATTTGCTACTGCCACATAACCTAGGCCGCCCTGGCAGCTACTAAAATGGAAATGCTTGTTTGAGTGACTGGAGCAAGCATACAGATCTCAGAGGGTGTGCTTCGTGCAAACAGGCAAGCTTTTAGAAAAGAAGAGACATTTTTTACAAGTCCCTTAAAGTCACACTGATGCATTTGTAGTCAGGCTATAATGATCTTTGACATCTTGCATGGACTTGCCTCCCAGAGCCAACCCAGATTCAGCAGCTTTCGAAATTCTAAAGCACAGGTTACAGGTTTCTGCGCATTTTACAAAATTCAAAAGTATCAACACAGGAAAAAAAATTTCCAAAGCTGGACTTCTACATAAACAAAGACAACCCGAAGAGAATGTGACAGATACTCTCGCTTCGTGCCTCTAAACCAGGACATGCAAGCCTGGACTTGGAGTTAAAAACAAAGGCAGCCCCCCTGCCTGGACCATCACTTTTACTTAAGGAGTTTGGTCTGGAGGGGCTTGCTTCTGTCCGTCTTCTTTTTTTAGGGGGCATTTTTAATTCTTGTTTAAGAGATCCTTTTCTGTATCAAAGTCAGGAATATATCCACCTGCATTTTCCACTAAAACTTTTAAAGTTTTGCTTTTTACATTTTAGTTCTTAATCCATCTGGGCTGTGTGTGTGTGTGTGTGTGTGTGTGTGTGTGTGTGTGGTGAGAATAGAGATGCAATTTCACTTTTAATCTATGTGGATAACCAATTACACCAGCACGTTTACTCAATAAACCCTGCCATCTCTCTCATACATGCAGATTATTTTTATAGTAATCTGAAAGTGTAGCTGTTATTAGAGAATGCAACATTTGCATGAGTTTCCGTAGATAAAATATGAGTTCAGCAATTGTCAAAACTCTTTTGGTTGCAAGAGAAAAAACCTAACTCAAACTGGCTTAAACAGTGTGTGTGAGTGTGTGTGTGTGTGATTCTATGTGTGTGTGAGTGTGTGTGTGTGATTCTATGTGTGTGTGTGAGTGTGTGGCTTCCCTGAGGGAGGCACGGTGGCTCCTGTACTCCAGACTTTGTGTCCTAACCCTCTGAGCTACCCTGCCAAGCAGGGAAATTTTTATTTATTTATTTATTTATTTACTTTTTAATTTTTTTTTTTTTTTTTTGGTGACAGAGTCTTGCTCTGTCACCCAGGCTGGAGTGCAGTGGCGCAATCTCGGCTCACTGCAAGCTCTGCCTCCCGGGTTCACACCATTCTCCTGCCTCAGCCTCCCCAGTAGCTGGGACTACAGGCACCTGCCACCACGCCCGGCTAACTTTTGTATTTTTAGTAGAGATGGGGTTTTACCGTGGTCTCGATCTCCTGACCTCATGATCCTCCCACCTCAGCCTCCCAAAGTGCTGGGATTACAGGCGTGAGCCACTGCGACCGGCCCAAACAGGGAAATGTTTTTCCCAATGGTCCATGACCACTGGGTCACTGTGGCTTATATGGGTCCCAGGTGCACCCCTGGCCCCAGCACTGTCCAGGGGTTATGTGGGGTAGTTGACTGATTGGCGAATTTGAATTCCTCAACCACTTCTGGACACAGAAGTAAAGTAACCTGGACGGGCGCAGTGGCTCATGCCTGTAATCTCAGCACTTTGGGAGGCCAAGGCGGGTGGATCACCTGAGGTCAGGAGTTCGAGACCAGCCTGGCCAACATAGTGAAACCCCATCTCTACTAAAAATACAAAAAAAAAAAAAATTAGCTGGGTGTAGTGGCAGGCACCTGTAATCCCAGCTACTTGGAAGGCTGAGGCAGAAGAATGGCTTGAATCTGGGAGACGGAGGTTGCAGTGAGCCGAGATCATGCCACTGCACTACAGCCTGGGTGACAGAGCAAGACTCTGTCTCAAAAAAAAAAAAGAAAGAAAAAAAAGAAAAAGAAAAAGAAAAAACTTAGAGAAGCATGGTGGCAGGCACCTGTAATCCCAGGTACTTGGGAGGCTGAGGCAGGAGAATGGCTTGAACCTGGGAGGCGGAGCTTGCAGTGAGCCAAGATCGCGCCACTGCACACCAGCCTGGGTAACAAGAACAAAACTCCATCTCAAAACAAAAGAAGTAAAGTAACCCCATCCAAACCAAAGGGACTGAATGTGGGGGAGCAGTGACCTCCATGGAAAGCCACAGTGCTGATGCCAGAAGACAAAGAAATGATACTGAGTCAATTTATTACTAAGCGATCATAGAATAAATCTCTGCGTCATTGACACTTATTTTCTTCTTATTGAATAGTAACTAGAAGGATGATTTAGTCCAAATCGTGTATAAGTGAAGAGGCTCACATCCAGCGTACAATGTGATTCAAGGTCACCCAGCTGCTCCAGGAGACCAGGTGTTGTTTCCCTCCACGGATTTGAGTCACCCAGTAGTTCAAACCACTGGTGTATGTATTCACATCTGACATAACACGAATCTTCAAAAGAACGGTACAGAAAAAGCAGAGCCAATCAGTATCCATAGTTATTCTTACAAATAACCCATTAACAATAATTTTTGCAATGAATTCAACTACATTTTGTAAAATGTGGTGCTAGGGTTTTGATTTTGTTTTTAATTCCCAGATGAAAAGGTGCTTGCATCTGGTTCGGATTCCAAGATTCTAACTAGCACTTGCAGTGGGATCTGCAGTGATGTATCCTAAGAGTCAAGTAACCCCTGAAAGTGCTTATTCTGCAAATCGGACAACTCGTCTGTCTCTGCTCTCTGATTACTAGGGGATAATATCCCTTCCTGATAAGAGAACTTAACTGGGAGGATTTTTCAAATCACTGCAGGAAAGCATATTCTTGCAAGGTATTTTGGAGGTAAAAGTAATAATTTTTTCCTCTTTATGTCCTTCTGGAAAGAATGTGTGGGCTCATTCCACCTGAATGTCCTTGGCTGTCCCTCTTAGAGGTAGTGAGAAAGGCTTTGAAATAGAGTGTGGGCTCTGAAATGAAAGATGCAAAAACAGATGCTACAACATGGAATGAAAGCAACATGCTTTTCTTCAACATAAGATTTCCTCCCCCAAACAGCATCAGAGACTGTCAGAAGCTGGGCGCCTTTCCAAAGGTCACAGAAGGGGCCAAAACGTATAATTTTAGCCTTTTCAGATGGCCATTTCTGTCTCTAAAATGTTAAATCGTGTCTCACCACAGTTGCAAAATCCTCGCACACAGCCCAGAGGGTGAGCCCTAGCCTCTTGGTCTCCAGGCACGGAAGACTACAGGAGACTAAACAACCACCAAGCTTCTCCCGAGGCCAACAGAAGGGCTGTGCTGCTGCCCTGAGCATTGCAGGAAAGGGCCGTACTCAGGAGGCAGGAGGCCTCGGTTCAAGAGGTGTCCTTGCTTCCTGAGAGCACCGTGGCCCCGGCTGAACCACCCGTCTACCCTGGCCACAGACGACTCAGCTGTGAAGTGAGGAAGGTAGAGTTTGCTCATTTGCATCATGGGGTGGCAGCTGGCCGTGCCCTGTGAGACAGCCTGAGGCTGAGCCCAGGCTCAGGGTGCTGGGAGGCTATGGCAGGAGCAGAGGGGCACGCATCTCCTCCTCCTGGTCCCAGGATGAATGCAATCCATGGTCTTTCCAGAACGTTGGTTTTGCAGCCCACTGTCACAGGTTAAATCCTCCGGATCATCGAAAGGAGGTCCCTGTGCTGGACTCCAGCCTGTTGAAGGGGAGCTGAGAGCAGAAGGGCCCCTGACCTTGGTGAACTTTGAACGCAGCTCAACTCCAGCTGGAGCCTCCAGAGTCAGGGAGCCTCTGGCAGGGCTTGCTGGCCACCTCTCCCACTGCCTGTCCACAACAATGGCTTCCCACCACAAGCTCCTGAGACCTGCTGAGGATGTTCCTGGCCACGGGTGCTGAGGCCTCGTTCCTGCCAGGAAGGGCTGGGAAGCACAACCCCACCCCAGAGCAGCCCTCAGCCGCTGACAAGCCGGAGGCAGTCCGTGCTCCTGCAGCCTGTCCCAGCATGGGACAATGCTGAGGCCTGTGCTGTGACCTCCCGAGGTCCCCAGTAGGGCTGAGTCCAGGTGCCCTCACAGCGACCCCCTCATTAATGCACCCCTATTGGCTCCATCCCTTCCCTGCCTCCCTTCCCCACTCCCATATGGGCACTTCCTGGGGCCACCTTGCAAATAAACTCCTTGCACCCAAATCCTTGCCCCAGGCTCTGCTCCTGGGGACGCACATCTGGTGACTGAAGGGCTGCTGGGAAAGCTCTTTCTCCCCTATGACATCTGCCACCTGAGGCCAATCTCACTCCTGAGTTTCGTCATTAGAGATTCATCCTGTGGGGTTTAAAGATTGAAGTCTGGTCCTAGGATCCAGCAATTCCTAGACAAGAAGGAACTGAAAGCAGGGACTTGAACAGATATTTGGACACCCATGTCCATAGCAGTGTGATTAGCCAGAAGGTGGAAGCAGCCTACATGCCCTCAGATGGACGGAGTAATATGTGGCATATACTTACAGTGGCGTGTTATCCAGCCTTGGAAAAGGAAGAAGATCCTGACCCAGGCCACGGCATGGATGAACCCTGAGGACGTGATACTGAGTGAAGTAAGGCAGACACAAAAAGACAAAGACTGCACCTTTTTGAGTTTTCTAAAGTGGTCACAGTCATAGAGACAGAAAGAGGAATGGTGGGTCCTGAACTGTGCACTTCGAAATGGTTAAGATGGTAAATTTTGTTACATGTATTTTACCACAATTAAATATGAAAATCTAAAGAAAAAAAGGTTTAAGTCTGGAAATAGCAAAACCTCATGGGAGGTGGCACATCACTGCTTCCTCCTTGCTTCCCAGGAAACACACTGGCGAGTGGAGCGGCACATCCAGGAAACTCGTCACCAAGGCACCAATCCTGGGGGACATCCCAGACTTCCCACTCTTTCTCACCCCTTAAACCCAGCAATAACAAGCCCCAGCGTCCTCCCCACCCTCACGGCCACCCTGGCAGCCCTGGAGAGCCACCTCACCCTGCCCGGCCCTCCCAGTAGCCCCATTCCTCCCACTCTCTACCCGGGAAT
This sequence comes from Homo sapiens, assembly GCF_000001405.40. Lineage (NCBI taxonomy): Eukaryota > Metazoa > Chordata > Mammalia > Primates > Hominidae > Homo > Homo sapiens. The sequence goes on along the minus strand of NC_000016.10, from coordinate 86,609,811 downwards.
CCCACTGAAGCCCACTCCTGTCACGCTCACGCTCTCCCCCAGATCCCCAGAGCTCAGGACTGTATTTTCCAAACATCAGGGATTCATGTGTGACCTTCAGAATCCCAGCCATGGCCAGCATGGTGGCAGATCCTTCAGGAGACTTGACGTAGTCACCAGCACTCCTGGTCACTGACACCCTTCCCTAAATTGACTCACTTTCATCCAACTAAACTCACTTTAGAAGAAATCTTCACATCGCTAATATAAATGGAAAACCTACCCTGGGGTGCCACCAAGAGAAAGTCACAGTGTATATAAATAAATGCCACGAAAACAAAACAACGTTTATCAGTATCTAGCGAGACACGCTGGCTGCCCTCAGCTCTGAGCTGAGACTCATCTCTTTTTGTTAAAAATGCAGATGAACAAGTGGTAAGAGAGGGGGTAAAGGCATAGCAGGGCAATCAGATCATCAGAAATCTTAAAGAAGGAGTGAAAGGAAATAACTTCCTGCATTTTTAAGCCAATTCCATTAAACATAAGCCCTGACATCCCACCTAAACCATCTGAGGAATGCCCAGTAGAATGTGGCTCAGAACTTGGGACACACTGATCTTTAGCAAGAACTGCAGATAGGTTTCGACTTCCCTGCCAACTCTAACCAATTGAGGGTGACTTCCTGGCGCTTATCCTGAGAAAGATCCCCAAAGACTGCACACCGTGTGATACAATTCCATTTGCAGCCCCAGCAGGAAAGACACGATAATCGATTAGCAATGTCTGCCACAAACACGGGATGGGGGCTGGACAGCACCTGCCACACACTGACATCTCCAAACTACAGCATCCCAATTCCCAAAAGATTTCTGTGATTGACCAGCTCTCCTCTCCCAGCTCACATCAGGCCAACCCTTCCTATCCCAACATGTCACTAAGGCAACTTGTTTGAAATTGTGTTTGCATCCATCCTTGTTGGCTCCTTCTCGAAACCCTGAGAGGCAAGGTGTGTGATTGCCATTTTGCAGGCAGAAGGAAGGCAGGGCTCAAGGAGGTTAGGTGACTTGCCCAGGGTCATTCTGCTAGGAAATGACAGAGCTGCAGCACTGCCCAGGTCTCCTGGCTCCAGACCCAAAGCCCTGCCTCCCTGCCACCCTGCTAAACCACCAGAGGGGGAACTGATCCCTGGAAACTTGTCCCCCTGACCTAAAATGTATGACTGAGTCAGGAGAAAAGATGTTGAGCTGCATTTGTCCTACAGCCCTGTCGGCTGCCCTCTCCCAGGACAGTGGCTGTACCATCAGAGTAGACACAACAAACTTTTAATAACTCTACACAGCTCCAACCAGAAGTGTATTTTTACTCTGGTGAGTCAGTCATTTATTTGTCAATAGAGGCCAGTAAAGGAAAAGGCCCAGGGTCCATTTATAAACAGACTGTAGCCCCTGGAGACATCCCAGGGGAAGCCAAACGGTCTAGCAGTGCTCTTGTTTCTGCAAACAATGCCACAGAGCAGACAAGCTGCCAAGAGCTGTCTGAAAAACGGATTGCCAGGATGAACCTAAGGCATTAAAGTGCCCAGAAGCAGACAGTGTTGGGGCTGAGTGCACGGCCTTGGGCAGATCCGTGACCCAGCTAGAAATACGCTGGCAGGAGGTCACCTGTGCTGAGCCTCAGCTTCCTCACCTGTGAAATGGGTACACTGATACCAGCCTCAACAGCCTCCGTGAATATTAGAGAAGATGATTGATATGGTTTGGTTGTGTCCCCACCCAAATCTCATCTTGAATTGTAGTTCCCATAATCCCCATGTGTTATGGGAGGGACCCAGTGGGAGGCGATTGAATCATGGGGTGGTTACCTCCATGCTGTTCTCTTGATAGTGAGTTTTCACAAGATCTGATAGTTTTTAAGAGGCATCCCCCGCTCCATTGCTGGGCATTTCTCCTTGCTGCAACCATGTGAAGGAGAACATGTTTGCTTCCCCTTCCGCCATGATTGTAAGTTTCCTGGGGCCTCCCCAGCCCTGCAGAACTGTGAGTCAATTAAACCTCTTTCCTTTATAAATTACCCAGTCTTGGGTAGGTCTTTATTAGCAGTGTGAGAACGGACTGATACAACAATGTCCTTAGGGAGATCTCCTCAAGCGTCATCTGTGATGGCAACGAGACTGCTGGCAGTGACTGTCATGACGGTGAGATGGGAAGAGGGATTTCTTCAGTATTCATTCCTCAACCACTAGCTGTGTTTGCTGAACACCTGCTATGTGCCAGGCACTTTACTGTGTGTTGGGAGAGAAGGGGGGCAAAGCATGTGCTTATGTAGCCCCCCAAAGAGTAAGAAATAGAGGAACAGGATCTTGGCCTCACGAGAATGCAATCTGGCAGAACCTACCAAAGCTAAAACACCACATGACCCAGCAAGTTCTTCTCCAAATCTATACCCAATAGAAATGAGGGCTTGTGTTCTCCAAGGAGGCATGTGCAAGAAAGTTCTTTACTCGTAATAGACAAGAACTTCGAACAATCCAAGCATCTATCAACAGTAGATAGAATGCCAGGTGCAGTGGCTCACAGCTGTAATCCCAGTACTTTGTGAGGCCATTGTGGGTGAATCTTTTGAGCTCAGGAGTTCAAGACCAGCCTGGGCAACATGGTGAGACCCCATCTCTACACAAAAAAAAACAAAACTAACGAGGTGTGGTGGCATGCCCCTGTAGTCCCAGCTACTCAGGAGGCTGAGGTAGGAGGATGGCTTGAGCCTGGAAAGCAGAAGTTGCAGTCAGCCAAGATCACACCACTGCATTCTAGCCTGGCTGACAGAGTGAGACCTTGTCTCAAAACAAACAAACAAACAAACAAACAAACAGTAGATGGAGAAACAAATTGTGGTCCATTCATATAGAGGAATACTACACTGCAACAAAAAATGAAAAACCACTGCTAGATATGCCACATGGATGAACTTCACAATCATAACGTTGAGGGACAGAAGACAGATACAAAGGGGCACACTTGTTATGATTCCATTTATTCTCTGACAATCAGGAATAGAGAAAAACAATCCATGGTGCTACAAGTCAAAAAAAAAGGCTTCCTCTAGGTTGGGGCGGGGGCAGATATCAACTGGAAAAAGGACACAAGGGAACTTTCGGGGAATGAATATATTCCATTCCATGACCTGAGCAGTGATCATAAAGGTGTACCAATACTAATACTAATACTAATACTAATACTAATGCGAAATGTTGTATATGTTGTACCTATATTAAAAAAAAAAAACTAAGATTTAATACTAGCAAGGTCAAGAATAGAACATATGCCAGAGACTACCTAGTGGTCCAGGGGTTGCAAACTCATAAGTCTGTAAGGGCCAGGAAGATAACAAAAATGACTGAAGTAGGCCAAGCATAAGGCAATAGATGCTAAGTGGCTCAAATGGCTACCAAGTATAAGATCTGCCTAGATACAGTGTATTTAAAAATATTGTTGAACCAAATAAAACTGCCAAGGCTTGAGTGCTCACACTCATAGGCTGCAAGTCATGAGTCCTATGTATCCAATGCTTTGTTTCACAGTTAGGAGTGCAGGGCCCAGAGACATCCACAGATCTGCCTAAATTGGCATAGTCAAGCAGGGTCACCCACCTGCACCAGTGGGAACAGGCCAGAGCTTGACTCTGATTGGCTCCAAATGAGTCATGTGCCTGACGCAGGGCCAATCGCTGTGGCCCAGGGGTGGGGTCTGACACAGACACCCTACTTTAGATCAAGAGAAATATCTAAGAGTGGGTATCTTTCAAACACTGCAAAATGGCAAGCAGGCTGAAGTGGAAAGACTCCAGTAGGGAGGTTAAGAGATATGGCCTGGCTGGGCGTGGTGGCTCACGCCTGTAATCCCATCACTTTGAGAGGCCGAGGCGGGCAGATCACAAGGTCAGGAGATCGAGACCATCCTGGCTAACACGGCGAAACCCCGTCTCTACTAAACAAAATACAAAAAATTAGCCGGGCGTGGTGGCGGGCGCCTGTGGTCCCAGCTACGTGGGAGGCTGAGGCAGGAGAATGGCGTGAACCCGGGAGGCGGAGCTTGCAGTGAGCGGAGATCGCACCACTGCACTCCAGCCTGTGCGACAGAGCGAGACTCCGTCTCAAAAAAAATAATAAAGAGATATGATATGACCCTACTCCTGGTTCCATTTTAAAGCTCCAAGACTTCCCAGGCGAGTCCCTTAAACTTGCTCATTGCCTCAGTTTTTTTTTTTTATTAAATGGATAACGATATCATTTTGGTGCAAACGTAAATGCAGTAATGGCAAAAACCGCAATTAGGTTTGCATCAACCTAATACTTGAGTGTTAGGGCCATATTCCTTAACCTCCCTACTTGGCTACAGAAATTCTGTCTTACATCCTTATCCCCCAAGGTTCCCCAACTTTTGGCAGGTGATCCACAAATGTTGCTTGGTCAAATTAATTAATCAATCCATCCATCGTTCTTGACCATATCAAAGGGACACTGTGAGAAAGAAATGGCACAAACATGAAAACACGTAGTGAGGTGATGAAAACGTACGAGCCCGAACAGGCTATCGCAGGAACCAGCTGCTGGCAACGATGCTGAAGACATTTAAAAGTCAAATACCTGAACAAGAATGCAGCTCCTCTCTCCAGAGCACTTCAGGAGGCCAGCGCAAAGCAGCCAGACCCACCCAACGTCTGTCCACAGACGCCCTATTTTCTAGCCACCAAATGAATTGTTCAATATGTACTTTGAAGTGTAACGTTAACAGATGTATTTAGTCAGGACTCTGGATTGACGGTGACAAAAATGAAACAGAAACTGGCTTAAGCGAGCCAGCTTCAGAATTTATCAACTTCTTTAATCAAATATCGGGGTTAAAGAATGTATCAAGTTCTTTAATCAAATAGCAGGAGCGGAGTGGGCCTTGGAGACTCAAATGTTGTTCTCTCTCTCTCCCTCTCTCCCCTCTGTTTTTCCTCTCCAAGAAACAAAAAAGGAACTACCAAACTGAGCCCCTGCGTCTATAGTCAGACGCCACTGGAGAGAATGGAAAAGGGAAAAGCCTTCTTACGGGGGCCTCTCAGTCAGCTCCATCGGCCCCCACTCCCCGGTACCTCAATCACAGCCCCCAGGCCCCCTCCTGGGGAAGAGTGGGGTCACCCACCTGCGCCAGTGGGAAATAGCTGGAGCTGGACTCTGATTGGCCCAATATGAGCCATGTGCCTGACACAGGGCCAATTGCTGTGGCCTGGGGGTGGAGTCTGATACAGAAAGGCTGCGGGAGGTGTCCCTGAGCAGCCAGCCCAAATTATTTCTAGTACCTCCAGCAAGGACTCATGGCTTTCGTTTTAGTTTCTACCTGTGTTAGGCCATTCTTGCATTACTATAAACAAATACCTGAGGCTGAGTAATTTATAAAGAAGAGGTTTAACTGGCTCACAGTTCTGTAGGCTGTACAGTAAGTGTGGCACTGGCCTCTGCTGGGTTTCTGGGGAGGCCTCTGGAAGCTTCCAATCAAGGCAGAAGGTGAAGCAGGAGGAGGCGTGTCACATGGTGGGAGTGGGAGCAGGAGGGGAGGGGAGGTGCCACACATTTAACCAGATCTCACAAGAGCTCACTCACCAGCACTAAGCCATGATGGATCCACCCCGCAAGACCCAAACACCTCCAACTAGGCCCCATCTCATGTTGAATTGCAATCCCCATTGTTGGGTGGGGATGAGATTTGAGTGGGGACAAATATCCAAACCATCTCACTACCCAACTGCCTGCATGATATCCTTTCATAGCTCCAGAAAGATGAGTAAATGGGGAATCAAGAAGAAAGCAGAAAGACTGTATATTGGAGGAGGGAGGAGGAGGAGGAGGGAGAAGGAGAAGGAGGGAGGAAAAAGGAGAAGGAAAGGAAGGAGGAGGAGGGAGGAGGAGAAGAAAGAGGAGTGAGGAGCAGGAGGAAAGAAGAGAAGAAGGAAGAGGGAGAAGGAATAAGAGGAGGAGAGGGATATGGGGGGCTGAAGGAGGAAAGAGTAGGAGGAAAGAGGAGGAGGAAGACGAAGTAGGAGGAAGAGCAGGAGGAGGAAGGAGGAGGAGGAAAGAGTAGGAGGAAGACGAAGTAGGAGGAAGAGCAGGAGGAGGAAGGAGGAGGAGGAAACAGTAGGAGGAAGATGAAGAAGGAGGAAGAGCAGGAGGAGGAAGGAGGAGGAGGAAAGAGTAGGAGGAAGACGAAGTAGGAGGAAGAGCAGGAGGAGGAAGGAGGAGGAGGAAAGAGTAGGAGGAAGACGAAGTAGGAGGAAGAGCAGGAGGAGGAAGGAGGAGGAGGAAACAGTAGGAGGAAGATGAAGAAGGAGGAAGAGCAGGAGGAGGAAGGAGGAGGAGGAAACAGTAGGAGGAAGATGAAGAAGGAGGAAGAGCAGGAGGAGGAAGAAGGAGGAGGGGGAAGGAGGAGGAGGAAGGAGAGGAGTGAGAAGGGGGAGGAGAAAAGAGGAGGAGGAAGAAGAGGGGGAGAAGGGAGGAGGAATAGAAAGGAGGAAAAAGGGAAAGAGGAGAGAGAAATAGAAGCTAGACAAGTACAGAAATGACCATTAAATTACGCATAATAATTATTGTTTACAAGGCACTTTCACATTCATCTTTCTGCTCCGTAACCACAACTTCAAGGTGAGACGGGAGTTCTGGGCCGAGATTATTGTCTCCACTCTACAGATGAGACAAACAGATTTCAGAGAGGTGAAGTGGCTTGCCTGTGGTCATGTGCCTTGTTAGATTATGGAGAAGAGGAAAAAGCCCCAGACTTTCTCACTGCCTCCTGCAGAACCCTATCCTGCCCAGCACTGCTTCCCGAACATTAGCCATTCTAGTGAGCATGGTGCTTACCGGAGCACATGCCACTGTTCCACTATTTCGTTAATATTTTCCCTTAAGTCGACTCACATTTTTTACTTCAATAATTTTTAAAAGTCAACTTTACAGCACTGATGTAAATGGAAAGTTAGTATCTCTTGATAAGGAGAATGTAACTAAAAATAAACACAATAAAAGCAAAGCGATGTGATTAAGCTCTAGCTAGACATCACTACCCGCCCAGGGCTCTGTGCTGCAGGCCTGGATCTGTCTGTTAAATGAGAAGATTAGCAGGTGCTGGACAGGCCCACACCAAGCTGAGACTCTCCTTGATACAATCAGGTGGTGTGGAAGAGAATGGAAAAGGGAAGAGCTTTCCCACTGGGTGCCTCAAAGATAAGCAACACTGCATCTGCTCACCACCTAACAATCAAATAGGGAAAAGCATGCTCACTGTAGTTAACTGCTCATTTTCAGGGCCATCCTTTATTTATGGCAGGGATGTCTGGCTTTCCTCCTCCTTAGGGACATAAAGTTCCTTTTTGAAATAAATGCGTTTGGATTTGCAGTTTTGAGAAAACAGAATAGGCCAGGCGCGGTGGCTCACGCCTGTAATCCCAGCACTTTGGGACGCCGAGGCGGGCGAATCACGAGGTCAGGAGATCGAGAGCATCCTGGCTAACACGATGAAACCCCGTCTCTACTAAAAATACAAAAAATTAGCCGGGCATGGTGCTGGGTGCCTGTAGTCTCAGCTGCTCGGGAGGCTGAGGCAGGATGGTGTGAACCCGGAAGGCGGAGCTTGCAGTGAGCTGAGATCGCACCACTGCACTCCAGTCTGGGTGACAGAGCGAGACTCCGTCTCAAGATAAATAAATAAATAAATAAAATAAGAAAAGAAAACAGAATAATCCCTCTATGCTTTAAAAAAAAAAAAATCTCCCCCTGCAAGGAAAAAAAATAGAAAAATGCAAACCCAAAGTCTCCTTTCCATGAAATGAGACGACCATCTGTGACCCTGAATGGCTCTAAGGTATTGTACATGAAGCTGGGAAGCAGCTGGAAGAGACCTCCAAAACTATGTGTTTAGGAGGGTATCCCCACAAGCCTATTGGTTCACTATACTCCTGTAGACCCCTGGGAACGCTTGGGAGTTGGCAGGTGAACTGAGACAGGGCTGAACAAAGAGGCAGCATGGGGGCAATTAGACTATACAGGTCCCTGAACCAGACCTCAGTCCCACATCATGCAGACAGGATATCTGTCCACCCCACTCCTTTTCAGGGGTCATCACTATTTTCTCTAGATATATTAAACTGAAGAGCCCAGCACAGGGTCCTCAGAGATCTGCAGCAATGCTGGACTGCAAAAGTCAGCATCCTAAAATGTAAGATCCCACCACCTCCTGCCCTGCTCAGCCCCAGCGTGCCAGTCACCAGGCTCGTGTTCCCAGACAGGAGGCAGCAAGATCCATGCCAGGAGAAACAGAATGTACAGAGAGAGAACCTTTGGAGGACTGCAGAACCCTCCATCCCCTAGAGGGAAGCCCACCCATGTACACACCTCCTCTGTGCTCATAAACCTTCCATATGACTCTCTGTGCCTGGCTTCAAAACATGGCTGTCAATTCAGGGGTCTGCAATGTGAAAGTCAGAGAACACAAGCAAACATTTAAAAAACATCCTCACAAACATGAGAAAATCCAGAGCATTGGGGGAAAAATACAGTTAGAGATACTATTAATCTATTAACCTTAGAGCAAATTTGGACAAACTGTGGCCCACAGGCCAAATCTAGCTGGGCCTCTGAGCTAAGAACCGTTTTTAGTTTGTTAAATGATTGGGAAAAATCAGATGAAGAATAACATTTTGTGACACATGAAAATTATACGGAAATTCATATTTCAGGATTGATAAATAAAGTTTTATTGGCACATAGCCACAGCCATTCACTTACGTGTGGCCCTGGGCTGCTTTTACACTGCAGTGGCAGATGGGAGTCAATGCAACAGAGACCATACGGCACACAGAGATGAAAATATTTACTATCCAGACCTTCACAAAAGGTTTGCCAACCCTTGCCTTAGAAAAAAGAGAAGCTATAGTATCTATCAAACAAAGACAGCAAGAATAGAATGCTACTTTTAAGGCTCACTTAGAATGAAAATAGATTTTTAGAAACAAGTATGACAGCATAAATTAAAAATTCAATAAGTGTTGAAAAATAAAGGAGAGAAAATGCTCCCAGAAAGTAAGTGGAGGGATTTGGGGATAGTAATCAGAAGGATAATGGGAGAGAAAATTCAAAATTTAGAGAATCAGTCCTTGAGGTCCAATATTCTACTACTAGGCATTCCAGAAAGACAGAACAAGAGAACTATAAAAAAATAGTCAAAGAAGACAAGAAAAGTTCCTATAATCCAAGAACATGCATCTCCAGAATGAAAGGGGTACTCGTGTCCCAGCACAGGAGAAAACACCACAGCAAACAAGTCAAACATTAACAAAAAAAAAAAAAAAAAAAAAAAAGAGGATCCCTGTTGCTACATCCCCTACTTCCATCATACATTGCTCTCAAGACAACCACTTTAATTCTCTTAGCTCTCTCTTCTAATATGTGTGTATTACTGTTTCTTGATTCATCAGTTTCAGGACTTAACTACTGACTTTTATTAAAGGAAATGAGGATTTTAGTTCATGTATCCACCTCTCTTCCCCACACTCTCCTAATAGAATTATATTGTAATTTTCCATAAAATTGGCATTCAGTATTTTCCTTCTTATGACCATAAAAATACTATTCAATCTGAGACAAGTAGTGTACTATCATTTATTTCCTTTTTGTATAATTTCTTTTTCTTTTTCTGGACCTAATAGTTAGTTGTACCTAGTTCTTTTATTCCTTTTTTCTTTCTTTCTTCCTTTTTTACTTTTCTTTTTTAAAAACTATTTTTATAAACCAAAATGTTAATACTATTTAACATGTGTAATTTTGATTTTTACTTTTTAAAAGTAAAATAGGCTGGGCACAGTGGCTCACGCCTGTAATCCCAGCACTTTGGGAGGCTAAGGTGGGCAGATCACTTGAAGTCATGAGTTTGAGACCAGCCCGGCCAACATAGTGAAATCCTGTCTCTACTAAAAATACAAAAATTAGCCAGACATGGTGGTGGGCATCTGTAATCCCAGCTACTCAGGAGGCTGAGGCAAGAGAATCGCTTGAACCTGGGAGAAGGAGGTTGCAATGAGCCAAGATCATGCCACAGCACTCCAGCCTGGGCAACAGAGTGACACTCCATCTCCAAAAAAAATAAAAATAAAAAAGTGAAAATATCTTTTCTTAAAGATATTAAAATTTTCTTTAGGGAAAAATGTAGATTTAATGAAAAATAATAAGTAAATAAGAGTACAAGTAACATGACTATATTAGTCCATTTTCACACTGCTATAAAGAACTACTTAAGACTGGGTAATTTTTGAAGAAAAAAAACGTTTAACTGACTCACAGTTCCACATGGCTGGGGAGGCCTCAGGAAACATCAATCACAGGAGAAGGCAATCAGGAAGCAAGAACCTTCTTCATGGGGCGATAGGAGAGAGAGAAAAAGTAAGAGGGGAACTGCCAAACACTTTTAAACCACTGGATCTGGTGAGAACTCACGCACTATCCCAAGAACAGCATGGGGAAACCGTCCCCATGATTCATCACCTCCTACGAGATGCCCCCTCGACACGTGGGGATTACAACTTGAGATGAGATTTGGGTGGGGACACAGAGCTACGCCGTATCAATGACCACATGGGAAAGTTTGGGAAAAGTCCTACATGAGTGACGAATGTGTGAGAACAGATGGGTGGCAGTGATGGCAGCGGGTGTTCTGGGCAAAGGGGCGAGCTGTGCAAAATGTTCGAGGTTAGGGCAGGGCCAGAAGTGTGAGGGGCAGAATGAAAGTCAGTCTGGCCACAGCTTACATTTCTCAAAAGCAGGTGGAGGCAGGGAGCAGCAAGGCAGCTTTCCTCTCACCTGTAAATGGGCTCCCCTGGTTCATACCCTAGTAACCAGTGCATCGCGTGAGTGAAGAAAAGAGTTTTTGGCTTCTGACTCACAGGAGGGAGCTGGATAAGAAGGAAAGATGATTGGGGCTCCCCTCTGACCAGGGGCGAGGGCGTCCCTGGAAAAGCATCTCCCTCCCTGGCTGTTCTTGCCCCTCCTTCCTGCCGTGGCTTGGTCACGATGAAACCGGCTCCCCGCCCTGCAACATCTGTTCCTTGTAACCGTGGATCCAGACAGAAAATGCATGTGGGTATCAGGTATGCACAGAGAATGGAGTTATGTTCAGGGCTGAGAGGATGTATTCTAAGGTAGGAAAAAGGGAGATATTAAGCCTATCAAAATTTAAAATAAATTGTTCTAATAGACTTGATTGTATGAAATATTTTTCCTACATAAGCCTTAAGAATTCATATTTTGTAGGGCAAGAACTTGTTAAATGCAAGAATGCAGTCAGAAAAATTCAAAGTATGGGCTACGCCACATGATAAATGGCTTGTTTCCTTAATAAATAAATTGCAATGAGAGAGAGAGCGAGGTTGGGGAGCCGTGTGGAGAAGAAGAAAAGAAAACAGAGGAAGGAGAGGGATGGGAAGGAAGAGGAGGGAAGGAGAGGAGAGGAACCACGGATTAAAAGCAACCTCCTCCCAGCCTCCATCTTTCTCCTGTGCTGGATGCTTCCTGCCCTCGAACATCAGACTCCAAGTTCTTCAGGTTTGGGAGTGGGGAGTCTAGTCCTCAAAAACTTTTTCCAGGCTCCAATTCTCTGGACAGAGTCAAATTGGTTCCATGTAAAGGAACTCCCTAAGTCCTGTCTCACCCAGCCAATGAGATGGCTCCTGGCTGGAAGGCTTTTCACCCAGCCAATGAGATGGCTCCTGGCCCCAAATGCTGTTCACCCAGCCAGTGAGATGGCTCCTTGCCCCAAAGGCTGTGGTCCTGATTTGGGGGCGTGCCCTGACAGGTCTTCAAAACAGAGCAGGTCTCGCCCATATCACAGCCCACTGAGAATTCACATTTCTCTAATTGTGAACCAAACATGAACCTCTTTTCGACTTGGGAGCTCATTTATGCTTGGCAAAAGGCAACATCTCGTTTCAAAGCCGGGAAGGGAAGACTTTAAAAGATTTAAAACCCAACTCCAAAAACTCGTTGGACACCAAATAGCTTTTGAAATAAGGTTCTGATGAGTTAAGAGCACATGGATCAGAAACATATGGATTAAATTCCCCCTAAAATCCACATGGGTTTAAAAATGAAGGAGAAAGGGGCTTGGCAAATATCTTTCCAGTTTTATCAAACCCCAAGCATGTTAAAAACAGTCTGAGATGGTCAGTGAGTCCAAAAAGCAGATGAATTCATCCCGTGCTAATCGCAGGGCTAAGGAAAAGACCCAACTGAAAAAGTTTGGAACAGCAGGCCTGGATGGGTATTAGTTTCTCACTCCATCCAATAAGCACAGGTCTCTCTCCAACATGCCAAAAGCCAGGAACTGAAAACTACACACGGTGCCGTGAAGTCGTTCTGGTCTTTGCAGCCACCGTTGTTCTTCTTGGAGGCACGTAACTGCATTACAGGAAATCCCAAAAGGCAGCATTTCCACGTAGCTCTGGCCTCCACCTGCAATTAGAGACTCCCTCCAGAATTCTTCCGGTCGCCGGGTATGGGAAACCAAAATGGCTTCCACCAAAAGAAAGTAACATCTTCATGCTCTGCGCACCGGAGATGAGGCCCCGACTCAGCCTCTGAAGAAAGCAAAGCATGTGCCCTTTTAGAATCAAAGTTTGGACTCTTGAAGAGGTGTGTGGTCAGGCATGTTTCAGTGGTACTGTCTCTAAGTCCAAATGGCAGAGATCCACAGCATGTAGTGACCAAACGGCTTTTGGCCATCACTGAAGCCAACTCCCATTGAGTAAGTGAGGAAATAAAGCCCAGAGAACATGGGGACCTGCTGGGAGTCACCCAGCCAGATGAATGACAGCCATGCCAGTGACTGGATTCATGACTCCCATTTCCCAGGCCACACATAGGCTGGATCTCAAGAGCACATGCTACACAACTCCAGTGCGACATTCTAGAGCATGACTCCGAGAATCGCTGTGGATGGTACCCCTGGGGTTGTACAAAAAAATGCACCAGTGGCCAACGCTTTTACAGAATCCAATGCCAACTCTCACCTCTGTCTTGTCTGTGCTATCTGAATGGCAGCAGCCTTCTAACCCTATTGCTGAGGACCTGCCACTGAGAAAGATGAGAATGGTGCCTTGAAAATGGACTCTGGTGCCAAACTGCCTGGGTCTGCCTGCCAGCTCTACCACTTAGAGCTGCGTGAGGTTGGGCAAACTACTCCACCTCTCTGTGGCCCAGATGCCCCACCTGTAAAATTAGGTTGGTAGCAGTTCCCGCCAGAGGCTTGCAGGAAGAATTGCAGGAGTTTGTACGTGTCAGGCTCTGAGGGCTCAATCGGTGCTTGCTGTTTTTCCAGTGATGTGCCAGGCACTGCAGATACATGACCTCATCCCATTTAACCCTCACCACCACCTCGGTGTTATTAGCTCATTTAAGGGATGAGAAATCTGAGACTCCAAGAGACTGAATAACTTACTAGCAAGTAGCAAAGCAGGACTGCCAGATAGGGCTGGCTCCAGGGCCACTTCGAACCCCAAAGGCATATCTTCTTCAAGGCACACAGCTTGGCAAGGAGGAGTGAAGTTTTCAGCTCAGCCCTTCTGCTGGTTCTCAGAGCAGTGAGCAAACAACACAGCCAAACGCTATCCCCTGTCCCACTCCAGAGCCTTGGGCTCCTCTTAGCTGACCACAGGCACAGGGACGAGAGGAGGGGCGAGTCCCCACCTGGCACACAGGCAAGAGCCCTGTTTCTGTGTCCTCCCAGCCATGCACCCTTGAGCCGTTGACTTCACTGAGCCTCAGTTCCCTCATCTGTAGAATGGGCCTACTGTTAGCGCTTACCTCACAGGCTTGGGAAAAATAAATGACAGAAGATCTGTCAGCTCTCACTGGGCAGGGTTCCCAGCACATGTTAATTGCTGGGTAATTGTGAATGCTCATGACTATGTGGTCTCCTGGGCATGCTCCAGCCTCCATCCCCAGAAGTACAAAATATCTCCATAACACGGAGTCCGGCAAACTTGGTGTTCTTTCTGCAAACCATCTCCACTGCATCCCTTCGTAACCAGCTTCCTGTGCACCAGAACAGGTCCAGGATTGGGGCACGGAGATGCAAAGAAATGCCAGTGTCCCTGTTGCCCGGGGATCTCCAAAGACATCTTTGGGTGTGTCTTCATGGGCGTGTCAGGGGTCTGGCGGTTTTTATGTCTGTGAAGGTGCGGGTGGCTGCAGCTAGTCACACATCAAGATCTGAGACCAAATGAATCACTGCTATTCTAAGGTGTCACCAAGGTTGGGGCCACATTGATGGGTCATGTTTTCTGTCCGGCCTGATGGATACACTTAGCCCACCTCAACCTCAGTTTTTTTCATCTGCAAAGCAGAGCCAATAATACCTGCTTCTAAAGGGTGGCACCAAAAAATCCAGCAAGTACCCAGTCCCTTCCATTGCCACGGTTGGACACTCTCCCTCAATCCGCAATGCAGCCTCCCACGAAAAGCCAAGAACACGGCAGGTTCAGACCATGAGCACTAGGATGAGTCCATCCCCTGGGCTCGCCGAAGATGAAAAGAATCGCTTTGCTACATCAAGATCACAAACCTATTACATGTTTAAACCCAAAGAGGGGTCCCGGGCCCTTTGAAGCCAAGGTAAATACAACTGCTTAACAGCTTCTTTTAACTCTCCAATGGGAACCGAGTTGTTTAAATGGATTCACGTTTGCTGGCAATCTCTTTTTGCAACATGGTATTTGTTAGAAATCAGGATTTTACTTAACTAAATGTCTTGCGGTTGCCTCCACTTTGTTTCTTAACGGGGTTCTCTTTATGTGAGTTTTCTTTGGCTTCTCAGTAGAAGAATAACAGATTCCTTTTGAAGTTTTTTATTGATGAATGAGCCGCTATAAATAACCCTTCATGGCAGCCGCCCGATCTCTGAAGTTTACTCTGGAATAATAGTAGCAGTGGGAATGCAGGGCAATTTACAGCAGCGTGTCATGAAATAGTTTAATGGGCTTCATACTGTTTAACTTAATCTTTACAGATGTAAAAACAGAAATACAATTATTTTAACAACTATTATTACATATTGCTTTGCTAATGAAAACAAAGGCTTGGGAAGCACTCAGAGACACTGATTCAAGAACTCAGAGGATAGCTTTAAAATGGAGAGGAGGGGAGGGTGCCGGGAGGCTGGCAGGGATCTCCCTCCATTTGAGGATAGACTGAGTCAAAGGTAGAGGTTCTAAATCCCCCCAAAAGCCTCTTTCTGCCCCCTAGTTTTGCCACACACAGACACGCAGACACAGACACACACACACACACACACAGACACACCGCATCATAATCATGTACCCATGCAGAGCACAGCATCTCTGGCCTGACTTCAAGCTCAGCTCTGTGACATAAATGAGGAGCCCCATGGAGAATTTCTGTTGCCGGGAAAGACAGCCACTTGCTCTTAATGGAGCTCGAAGGACTTTTGCTGTTTCTCCCAGTCCGCGGTGGCCACCTCCCCTCCTTGTTCCTATCCCATTCCCCAACCCCCTTCATCACAACTCCAGCTCCCCGAGGGCATCCTTCTCACCAAAGGGGAAGGGGACACAACTCTCTGGAAATCCTATAAATCCGGAGTTTGAATCTGCAGTTTGAAAGTTTTCCCTGTCCCTCCGAGAAGTTGTGGAGATAAAAAACCAAGCCCCTGGGTCTTGTCCATGGTGGTGTAAATACTGCCCTGCTCTTTTATTCTTCAGGGTGGTCCTCCAGAGTTGAGAATTCCCATCCAATTAGCATTTTCATATGAGGTAAGCTGAAACCCGCTGCACCCCAGACTGGGCACTGGGAACCCCCCGTCGGCCCTGACTGTAAGATTTTGTATCTTGGGGAAGTTCATTTCCCCCCGCTGCCCTTCAGTGAGGTTCTCTCCAGTAAAACCAGGAGGTTGCCTGAATTCTAAACCGCTTGAGGAATGACAGACTTGGGCAAAGAGAAGCCAAAACTTTTGCTATGAAAGCTCAGCTGGGAGCCGGTGGCTTAGATTGACAGTGAGCAACAGACTCACCCGTGCAGCTACAGCAGCCTGGGGCCACTGAAGCCCCCACACTTCATTAGGGTGGATGTGGGCAGCCCCTTCTGAAAGCCAGTGCACAAAGGAACAACATAAAATTTCACCACTGCCAGGGGGAAGAAGAGCCAGGCTGGGTCGCAATATCCCATTAATTCTACTGTTGTTTATGAATCAGATCAGCCCTCCCACCCACTCCTCTCCAGAGCTGAGTGAGTAAAGGGGTGGGGGCGCCCCTGCACGGAAGGAGCCTTCAGAAGCAGGAAGGAAACGTGGAGAGGAAGAGGGCACCTTCACAAGATTTCACGTCCGTTCCACAAGCTTTTATTGTCTATTATGCTCCAAGCACTTGGTTGTAATGAGCTGGGGACTTTCACTCCAGCAAGAGAGTCAGCAGTAAGGGAAAAATTCATCCTTTAGCAAGTAGTTTTGGGGCACCCACTGTGTGACAGACACTAGGCTAGACGCTGTAGAAAAAAATGGGAGCAGCAAATAGAATAAACCTCTGCCTCCACAGAGCTTATGAGTAGCGGGGAGAGACAGATGCAAAACATATTCATGAGCAAATAATTACCTTATTGCCACTGTGACAAGTCCATAAAGAGCTGCAGAATTCTATAACAGCGCATGAAAGGCAATCCAAGGGAGACAGAAGCCTCACTGTCCCATGCAGGGACCACTGGACGTGCATCTTGGGCACATGACCTGCGGCCAGTCTAAGCCAAGATGTGCTGAGCACAAACAATGAACAGGATTTTGAAGACTTAAACCAAAAAAAGTAAAGTAGCCATTATTTATTCAATTAAATTACGATGAAATGGTAGAATTTTGTTGTTTGTTTGTTTGAGATGGAGTCTCACTCTGTCATCCAGGCTGGAGTGCAGTGGCGCAATCTTGGCTCACTGCAACCTCCACCTCCTGGATTCAAGCAATTCTCCTCTCTCAGCCTCCTGAGTAGCTGGGACTCCAGGCAACCGCCACCACGCCGGGCTAATTTTTGTATTTTTAGTAGAGACGGGGTTTCACCATATTGGTCAGGCTTGTCTCGAACGCCTGACCTTAGGTGATCCACCCACCGTGGCCTCCCAAAGTGCTGGGATTACAGGCGTGAGCCACCATGCCCGGCCAATAGTATTTTGGATATGTAGGGTTAAATAAAACATATTACTAAAATTTGTTCACTTGTTTCTTATTACTTTTTTTAATGTGGCAACTAAACATTGTTAAGTTACTCTTTTTTTGGTTCACTAGTCTAGAAGGTCATAAAAGGCAGCCCTGCTTAAGAGGTATTCTATGCCCTTTAGCTTCAAAATCCCAGAGCTCTGTGAACTTCTCACAGGGAGATGAGAACATAATAGAAACATGACTTATACCATTACTCCATTCTTCAGAGTCAAGACCTCACAAAGAGGGATCATACAAGGTTTCTCAAACCTCAGCACTGTTAACATTTTGAATCAGATAAGTTTCTGCTGTGAGGAGTGTCCTGTGCTTTGTAGGGTGACAGTGTCATCCCTCTGTCAGTCATGACAACCAAAACTGTCTTTAGACATTGCCAACTGCCCTCAATTGAGGACCACTGTACTAGACCTCTGCTGGATTCTATAAGATTAATGGCTCCCACCCATAAATGTGCACAAAGATCACCAGGTAAGTGTGCACCAACCTCAAGCCAAATACATCAGAATCTCTGCGGGCCGGGTCCACGTATCACATTTTGCTAAGTTCCCTAGATGGTTGTGATGTGCCATGCAGACCAAGGACTTCTGTGTAGGATGCTGTTTGCTAAGAGGGTGTTTCCTTGCCTGTCTCTTTCACTTTATGAGGTGAGCCCGCAAGCACTGGCCGTGTATTCCTAATACTTTCATGCCCGGTTAGATGATACCGAAAAGTGGCTAAGAACTTTAAAGATAGGTGCACCTACCCGGTATGATACTTTGCCAAGGACTGGCTTTTCCACCTGGAGAAACTATCAGTAGAACACCACTAGTAAAGTAGACACAATAGTACTCACCCTCTAGGTTTGCTTGAAAATTAAAGAGAACATGCATATAAAGACCTCAGCACAGAGCTTGACACATGACCATCGTCATCACCACCATCACCATCACCACCCTCTCATCACCATCATTATCATCACCACCACCATCATCATCATTATCATCACCACCATCACCATTATTATCACCACCATTATCATCCTCTATCATCATCATCAGCTTCATCATCACCTATCATCATCATCACTATTATCATTATCATCACCATCATCACCTTCGGCAGCATCACCATTACCATCATCTCATCACCGTCATTATCATCCCTATCCTCATCACCATCATCATCATCATCATCTTCGGCATCAGCATCCTCATCATCACCATCATCATCCCATTATTGACTGTCTTCCCTACTGAAAGCCCTATGTGGGCAAAGGCCTGTGTGTCATTCACAGATGTATCCTCCATACTCATTTGGGTTCCTGGCATCTGGTCATCATTCAGTAAGAATAAACTACATTGTTTTTCACATCTTGGGTGTAGCGATGTTCAATACAAGTTTTGCTTCATCTCCTCACTCAACAACTATACATTGAGCACCTGGCAGAGAACATGCCCTGGTCATGTGCTGGGGATAAAAAGAGGAAGAAGCTCCAGTCCCTGCTCAGCTCCTCCTGGAGGAAATAAATGTACAAGTGGCTTCTACTAATCCTTTAGGATTGGGTTAGAAACCCTTCTCCATAGTGTGACTATGGAGTAATTCTCCATAGGGTGAGTAACCATCCCAGCTTACCCAGGACAAAAGGGTTTCCTGGGACCCAGGCTTTCAATAATAACTTGGGAAAGTCCCCGGCAAACTGGGATGAGTTTGTTGCTCTACTTCTTTGGCTCCTAAGCTTAGGGGCAAGGAGCCCTCATGCCATAGAAGGCTGCTTCAAACAATGGGAGGTGCGGAGTACAGTGGTTAAAGGCATTGCTCCAAAGCCAGTGAGTCTGAATCCAGACTCCAGCCTGCCACTTACTAGCTACGTGAACTTGGGCAAATGACTAAGCTCTTTAAACCTCTGTTACCTCATCCATCTGTAAATAAGGGAAAACAATAGTTCTTAACTGAAAGGGAAAAGTAAATGAGTTAATACTGTGTACATGTGAAGTGCTTACGACAATCCAAGTGGAGGCCAAGTAATCAGAAAATATTAAAATTACTATTAGCCCCTCATATATCTTATCATTCTTATCGGCCTTAGTTTTACTTCAAACTCTCCTTCATTTACACAGAAAGTGTTTATATTAAGGGATGCACACTTATAGAATATTTGCAAAACTTACAAAACAGATTTGAGGCTGAGCTTCCAGGGGCGACTCCCTGCACTATACTGCAGAAATGAGCACCAAGGAAACTGCTGCCTCTTCTAGGATCAGAAGCCTTCAAATCACACAGAAAGGGGCTGCCACAGCTGTTGGCTCCAGAACCACCTCCATGGTCCACAGCAGCAAAGCCAGCACACCATGCCCTCTCCTTTGCTCACCTGCCTCCCTGAGAAATCCAGGGTTCGCCCCTGCATGTCTCGGTGGTTGACTCCAGATGGCTAGCACACAGAGACAAGCAGGGCTTTCTTCCTGTTTTATGTTGGGAAGGTAGGATTTGAAGTACGTGAACCTATCAGAAACTGAAGAGTGTTTAAAAGATTTTGAGTAACCATAAATGTCCAAATTGCCTTAGATGGCTGGCGCATGTCAATTTGCTTCTCTAGTTTTTCCCACCAGAATATGAGCCCTTGAAGGTCAGGACCTGGGTCTGGTTCATTGACATATTCCTAAGGCATATCACAGCCTGGCAGTTAATGGCAATCACTATTTGTTAGATGAGAAATGATAAACTATGCTGATTACAAAGACCACTAGGTACAAGGCATGTTCTTCATCATGGAAAAATGTAAGCCACCCTCTTCCTCTATGGATATTCCTAAAGGCATGCACTTCCTTTACACGGCACTGAAATGTGTTTTAACATTTGTGAAACTCTAGTATGGGCAGCGTAGAAGATGGTGTGAAGGACAGCAAGGGTTCTAGAAGAAATTGACCTCAATTTTTGACTCAGCCTCTTCCTGTGTGCTACTCATGAAGTCCCACACCCCAGCCTCAGTTTCTTATCTGTCTAATGGAGAGACTCTAGCCAACCTCCTGGAGTTGTTGAAATGATTAAATGATATGATATAGGGCAAAGATTGTGTGCTCAATCTTTCTCCCAAGAGCGTGGACAAAGAGATGAGGGTACAGGGCTTGTGTAATACCAAACAGTTGGGCTGTTTCTTTCAGCCCTGAACCCACTTTTTTGTTCCTTCATGCCAAGTGGTTTTTCTGAATAATCTGGGCACTTGATGTCAAGCCTTCCCTTAATGATGTCAAAACCACTGGTTCCCAAAATCTGTTACACTAGAATCATTTGGGAAGGTTTCTGAAATACCATTTGGGGTTGCCACACTGCTGCCAGCACCTTTAAAGCTGCTCCCCCTGCCACACACACACACACACACACACACACACACACACACAGAGTGATTTCAGTGCTTAGCCCAGATTGAGATTCACTGGTTTACACAGACAACAGAAGTCACAGTTCTAACCAACAGTTATTCCTGTAATTTCAGGAAGGATAAAAATCAACCTGAAAAAAGAAATAGATCCTGACAAGGCTTAGAGAGAGAAGCCAGCATGGTTCCCCCATGAGAATGATGGAGAGGACAGCAAAGTCACTGACTGGACCTGCCAACCAGGGGTCACTTGGCAGAAGTCTTTGTTCCCAATCCCTGGTGCCAGATGCTACAGCAGGAGGTCAGAATGAACCAGAGGGCTGGGAGTGCTGGACTCTCAATTGCAGGACTAATTCTGAAACTGACTAGCCATGTGCCTTAAGAAAAGCCACCTAACCCTCTCTGAGTGTCCCTGTGTTAGTGTGTATGTAAGTGGAGAAAATGGTAATGCCTACCTCACATGAAGGTGGTTAAAAAAGAATGAGAAAGTGGATATGAAAATTCTTGTACAAAATAAGTCTCTTTCACCTCCCCGTACATTTCTTTGCACCTTCCTGTGAATCTTCAATTATATCAAAATTAAAACTTTTAATAAATAAATATTTTTCACTCACCTGCCTCCATTACCAAGCTGTCAGCAATTAAAGTAAAAGAAGCATGACTTGCAGAGTTCTCTGTCCCCAGTAATCTGCATGTGCACTGCACAGGCAATGTTGAAATGCAACTTAGTGACAGTAATGATGACAATGGTGGCAAGGGCGGTGGTGATGATGATGAAGATAATAATGATGGTAATGGTGATGATGGTGGTGGTGGTGATGATTGTTATAATAATGGTGGCGGTGGTGATGATGATGATAGTGATGGTAATGATAATGGTGAAGATGATGATGATGGTGGTGATGATGATGGTGATGGTGGTGAGGGTGATGATGGTGATGATGATGATGGTGATGATGATGGTGGTGATAATGATCGTGATGGTGATGATTATGATGATGATGGTGGTGAGGATGGTGGTGATGATGGTGATGGTGGTGAGGGTGATGATGATGGTGATGATAATGATCGTGATGGTGATGATTATGATGATGATGGTGGTGAGGATGGTGGTGATGATGGTGGTGAGGGTGATGATGATGGTGATGATGATGGTGATGGTGGTGAGGGTGATGATGGTGATGATGATGATGATGATGATGGTGGTGGTGGTAATGATGATAATGATGTTAATAGTGATGGTGGTGGTGATGGTGATGATGGTGATGGTGATGATGATGGTGATAGTGATGGTGATGATGATGGTGGTGTTGATGGTGGAGGTGATGGTGATGATGATGATGGTGATGATGATGATGGTGATAGTGATGGTGAGGGTGATGATGGTGGTGGTGGTGGTGATGATAATGACGGTGATAATGATGGTGGTGATGATGGTGGTGGTGGTGATGGTGGTGGTGGTGATGATAGTGATGTTAATAGTGATGGTGGTGGTCATGATGGTGATGGTTATGATGATGATGGTGGCGATGATGATGGTGATAATGATGGTGGTGGTGGTGATGATGATAGTGATGACGGTGAGGGTGGTGATGGTGGTGGTGGTGATGGTGGTGGTGATGATAATGGTGATGGTGGTGATAATGGTGGTGGTGATGATAATGGTGATGGTGGTGATAATGGTGATGATGGTGATGATAATGGTGATGGTGGTGATAATGGTGATGATGGTGATGATAATGATGGTGGTGGTGGCGATAGTGATGATGATGATGATGGTGATGATTGTGGTGGTGGAGGTAATTGTCGTGGTGGAGGTAATTGTGGTAGCATTAATGAAATACAAACAACTTAGAGAAAGATGATATACCAAAAGTAACACCAAAATACATTGGAAATACCAAGCATACACTCTTGGAGGCAGGATTATTACAAGTAATTGTGGGGCTACAGGTTTGTTCCCTTTTTACCACCTTTCTGAATATTACACATTTCCTGTATGAACACATATAACTTCTACAGTGGTATTTTATTGAAAGACAAATCTACACAGAATAAAGAAAAAGGGTAGTTGAGGTCATAGAAAGATGCTGAGAGTCTACTCTGAACAAACAAAACTTGTATATAAATATGCATAGGTGAAAAGAGAGAAATGATAGCTAATGCTGAGTACGTCTTCTCTCTACCCCTACAAATGCACCCAGTGGCATATATACCTCACTGCAGGGGCTCTCAGCTCTGGTTGCAGAATCAATAGAATTGCCTGAGGATCTTATAAAAATACACCTGTCTGGTTTCACCAGAGGCCAAGTGAACCAGGGTCTGAGGTTAGGACACAGATGCTGGGCGAATCCAAAATTCCCAGGTCATCCTTGGTGCAGAGCAGGTGGGAACCACAGCCTCATGGGTTTCTTCTCATCACATTCGGATGCCGCAGTGAACACCTCCCAAAATGGCTGAGTCAGAAATGCAACACACTGGAGATACATTCGTTTCTCTTCCTTATGCCACTGAGTGGCCCTTATGGAGACAGGGGGCTGCCCTTCCCCTGAGAGTGTCTCCCTGCATGTCCATCCTTGTCCCACAACTTCAGTAAATGCAGAATGTCCAGTACACTCATGGTTCCAGAAAGAGCCCTGGGCAGTGCCAGTGATGAATTATTCATCATTTCCCCACCAGTCATGCTCTCAAGATGGAGGCTGCAGGACCGACTCAAAGTCCAAAAATGTGGGAAAGTTTATTTATTTCTCCAAAACATTCCTGATTTGTAATGTGCTTACTAAAAATGTTCTAGCTGACCAAGCCCTGCTATATTTAGCTACAGCATTGAAAAGAAATACTCTTTACACTTTATAAGGCGGGCTATGAAATGCATGAGTTTAGGGAAAACTGCTCCTCCAGGCTAGGCCCTTTCTCCCCAGGAGAGGGGTGGAGCCTCGGTTTTGGCTTATAGGAATGGTCTCAGTGCTGGGGGGCAGAAATAAAGAGTTGTATTCATTCCCAAGGCCCTTGAGTTCACAATGGCTAGACAGTCAGCCCTGGGAAGTCTCCTCTAGGCTCCTTGTACCACCTGGGCAAAGCAAAGAAGCACCAAAGGAATGTTGCTCTCCTCCAGCCTGTGAAAATCATCTCTCCTATGGTTTTCCTAAGATCCCCTGCCGTGTGTAGCAGCTTATTTTGCTTTTGGTTTCGTGTTCAAACGGTTGGATCATCTCAAGAGAGGAAACACGGCAACAAAAAGATGAAATGGATCCCAGCCTGCCCGGGCAGGAGGACTGCAGAAATCAGCCCCAGGAGCCTTCTGTTCTCGACAGAATTCTCTAACATGAGCAGCACTGTTTGTTCGTGTTTTTGTTGCTGCACAGAGAAGTCATGAGTGGAGACTAGAGGTTATGTCTGTATACAGCCATAAGACTTAGCATGTATTGAGTGTTTTCTGTATGCCAGACATTTTACAAACATCAACTCATTTAACTCTGATGAGGTCTCATGCAGGAGGAGAGATTATGCTTCCTGCTTTACAGATGAGAACCAGGGCAGGCTGTGGTCATGAATGTATAACCATCATTTAATTTATGCCCATTACAGCTCTATGAAGTAGTTACTAATGTTATTTGTACCCATGCCAGGAGTTAAGGGACAAAAGAGTTAGGTCACTGCCAATGTCAACAGCAAGTGAAGGCTCAGCTGCATTATTAGCCTCTGTCTCATGGGCTCCGAGGCCACACTCTTATCCAGGTTAAGGAACCCTCTTCCGGGGCCACCTCACCCTGACTAGATCAATTACTGAGGGGTAAGGAATCAATAAGATGCAATTACAGCAATTGTTCCCATTGTTGGGTGTGTTGGAGTGGACCTGGAAGAGGTGGATAGGAGATGGTGACCAGCTACCTGGGAGAGATGAGAAGCCGAGAGATGAGAAGCCAAGAGCTCTGGGTGGCGTGAGGTTCATAATACTTTCCGCTGCACATTGCAAAGGCATGAGCTGTTCCTTAAAGTTCATGCTGTCGAAGTCCATGTGACCTCGCAAACTCCAGGGTGTTGTTCCTCACCCTTCCAAGTGGGCTTAACACGGACACTGCCCTGGGGTGGAGACCCTTTTATCGTCCCAACTTCTTCTGGATTGGGCTTGAGGATGCCCTCACCAACATGTGGTCCACACATTCTAAAAGGGCAGGACAGCGTCAGCCACACAACCCAGTGAAGGCTGAGCCCTGTGGCTCACCCCTGTAATCCCAGTGCTTTGGGAGGCTGAGGTGGGAGAGTCACTTGAGGTCAAGAGTTCGAGACCAGCCTGGGCAACATGCCAGACCCCTCTCTGCAAACATAAAAATTTGTGAAATAAGCCAAGTGTAATAGTGTGCACGTATGGTCCCAGCTACTCAGGAGGCTGAGGCAGGAGGCTGGCTTGAGCCCAGGAGTTTGAGGCTAGTGAGCTATGACTACAACACTGCATGGCAATCCAGCCTGGGCAACAGAGTAAGACTCAGCCTCAAAAAAAAAAAAAAAAAAGAAAAAAGAAAAAAGAAAAGAAAAGAAAAAGAAAAACCATTACTACTGTGCACAGTCAAAGGCAGTCCAGCAACTTCTCAGACTCCAAGACATCCAGGCAGAGATGCATGGCCAGGGCAGGCCCTCTCTGGAACTCAGTTGAAGCCGAGGCCCTGCCCACCTAAGAGGGACCCAGATTAGTATCTACAGCCTGCTTCTCTTGGAAGCTTGCCAGATGGGAGATTCCAATCTTCTGGAATTCCAGATGCAGCCATAGGCATTGTCTGGGACATCCCAGCCTTGGCTTTTGTACATCAAGGTGTGGTCAGGGCAGCGGCAACTTCCTGGTCCCCGCAGAAGGACCCCCAGTGTGCTGGTCACAGTCAGCTTGCCCAGCCCTTCCCTGGTCCACTCGCAGCCCCTCTTCACCTCCTCTGCAGGTTGACCCCTATGGACAGCATTACCTGGGCTACCTTGCAGGCTGGGTTTCTTGCAGGTTTCAGCCCATCGGAAGCATCAGATGAGGCTGGAAGGCGGAAGAGGAGAGGTGGGATATTTCCCTTCCCTCCTGTCTGCTCCAGCACTGTGGCTCCTTTCCACTCCAGCTCTGAAGGTGGTACCTGCTGCAGGCTGAGGGGGCAGAGGCAGGATGGAGCTGTTCTCACCCTTGCTAATCACTGGCGGTTTCGTTCATCCAGCCCACTCCTCCATAAATAGTCCTTCCACCCTGATCCTTTCCATGGAGCCATCTAAGTGGGTTTCTATTTCCTGCCAGGACGCTGATTCTTGTACCTAATGGAAAAAACAGGTTGGGACCAAATCTTTGTTCCATTGCTTCCCTCCACCCCCACTGCTACTGTAAAGATACCTGAGTTGACTGTGACCCCCCCAGATTTCATTTGCACCCCAAGGTGGAGAGCCTGAGCTTGACTCTACATCTGGCCTATAAGCCACACATTTGATTTGCCTAGTGCAATTGGCATTTGGATGCCATCTGAAGGGACAGAACTTCCCTCACCCCAATTCAGCCCAAGCCCCACCACTGCCCGCTCCAGTGATCAGGCCCCACTCCAGGTCACTGTAAACACCTGTGGCCCCTGCCTAGCCCTGAAGAACTCAGCACTGGGGCCTCTGGATAAGGACCAGCAGAGGAGAGAGCTTGTCATGTGGCTATTCAGGTGTATTTAAAAAACTGCTTTAAATGTGAGTCAAAAGAATCTTACTTTTCCACAAACTCACGCTTTTTATTTTTAATGGACAAACTTTGCTTTTTATCATTTATGTTTTTCATTCTATGAAACAACCTTTATTTCATGGAAACAAGACTCCATCCACCATGAAGCCAGGAAGTGCACAAAATCATGGCTCTCCCCTTATTTTCTCACTCCTGGGTGCAGCTGGTTACTGGAAACGTCACCTACCTTTGTGATGTTAACATTAACCTGCCAGGGTCTGGGCAGGCTGGCTCTGGCTTTCAGCTGTAACAATAATTATATGTGGCTAATTCTTTAACATACACACGGGCATACACTCACCACTTTGAGTGAAATGGTGAAGACCACCATTCAAACGGGCACAATTAAATCTGAAAATGGCTAAGAAGGTCCTATTCAGGTTCTCAAAACTCTTATGGTTCACTGGAGGCCCAGGAGGCCGTTTGTTTCTAGAAAAGCCAGCAACTAGATGAGGCCAGGCAGAGCAAGAGTCCTTTGTAAAGTTCTCTGTCCTTGTGAACGGAGGGAAAAGTTCTCAAAGCGGGTGTCTTCCGCGATGTTTAAATAAAATCTGTCAGTTTCACTATACTAACACAGAACAATAAAGTTATCCCTGGTTCATACTACATAGAGAAACAAAACTATTAAAGCTATATAGAAATTATTATCTATTTTTAAAAACTATATAGAAAAACAAAATCTTTCAAATAGTATCAATACTTGGGTTAAAGTGAAAGGACTCAGTACTTGATCTGAGTCTCAGGTATATTCAAAAAAGATACATTTATGAGCATTCATGTACACAGAACAAATACACACACACACCCCTACACATTCATGTATATATATGTATATACATATATATAAACGTGTACATATGTATACACACTTTGTTATCAAACATGTGCCTGCCATATCCTCATTATGATCAGTGCACTCATATGTGTGTGGGTATTTGTTTGTGTGTGTGTGTAATCAGGGCTTGAACCAAAGATCATTTACAGAAGACAGATCTGTTCCCTTTGTTTAGATGAGAGCAGAGAGGTATTCCTTCAGATTGCCTAAGAGTACAATGATAAGCTTGCTTCTGGCTCACCCTAATTATAGCTGAGATTTTGTTTTAATTAAGAGCAGAAACTATTGACCTTATTGAGCCATAATTTTGAGCCAACGATTAAATATGGATCAATAGAACAGCTATTCGGATTGGTAAGACCCAAACCTCCTCTTTTTGGTTCAGGAGGAAGGAATACACATGCAATTATATAGATTACATAAAAACGACCTCAGTATCCACTTGTCTTAGCTTTTCTAAACCAGACAAAAGTTGGGATTAAATAGAATTTCTCTTTATGCATGTATAAACACACAAAGTGGATACATCTGCATTTTTTCTGTGTCATAAAAGTAACATTCGTACAATACTTTTTGGAATAGTAACTTTAAAATACGACCCTTTTAAAACTGCAGTATCAAATTATTTGCTTCTTCAAAACATAGCCATCACAAATTAACAAAACCTCCCAAGATAACATACAAACACAAAAAAGAAAAAGGAAAGATTAAAAACCGATTCAATACGGCAGAATTAACTCATCGTGCTTTCTGATATGGAGGCAGCTTCCTGGGCCCGGCATCCTCTCCACTCCTTCCCCTCCATCTGTGTGTTTACCCCTCAGAAGCCAGAGCCTCCTGAGATGCTAACACGACTCCCAGATATAATCCCAGTCTCCTCTTTCTTATTACACTGTTTGTTTATTTCCCTCCAGTAATCCACTGAACCAGTCACTGAGAGGTTAATGAAAAAACAACTTTATTCACAGAGGCTGAGAGTTTGGGATAGCAAAATATCCAGTGACAGCCCTTTCGCTACATTTTCAGTGAATCACAGTGAGCCTGGATCTCAGCAATGGCTCCTCCTGGAAGTTCTTCCAATCAAGGCTGGCCTGAAGTTTCCCAGAGTCTTCCCACTGGCCTGGGTAGAACCCAGTCGTGGAAGCCTGGTTCAGCATGGATAGGAGAATGAATTTTCCAAAAGTCACCTCTATGCCTGTGAATTATCCAATTACTCTGCCGGCCTGAAATGTCCTTTCCAACACATTGACCAACAGGCCCTCTGGATTCAAAGTTTGTCATCATTTTTAGACAAGTCCTGGAAACTATTTTAAAAGCGATCTTAAAGACCTCCCTCCCAACCTATTTCCAATAGTGCGTGACTACTTGTGTCTTTATCACATGACATAAAATAAAAGTGACTTAGAGGTTCAGAAAATTGCATTTCAGGGCCTCGAAGATTACCCAGCTAGAGATGGCATAGAGGTCGGTTGCATTTCCCCGGAAGCTGCAAGCTGAACTTGGTTGTGAACATCTCAATGTTCTTAATTAGATTTTCGTTGCAGACCTCTTCTCCCCTCCCCAGACTGCCAGTCACCTCTTTAAGGTTTTGATTTAGTATCAGCCTCCAGGCCTGCCTGGCAGGGCTGGGAGGGAAGAGCGGGCGGCTGCAGGGGGTGCGGGGGCCAGGAGTGTCTGGGAGATTCCTGCCATCAAACCTCAGGTCCTCTGGGGCCCAGAGAGGCCCCTTCCAGCGGACACCAGCACGTCCCCTTATTCTTCCCCCGCATTCATCCCTCTCTCTCTCTGCATCTGCTTTTGGTTGTTTCACCCAACTTTTTAAATTAAATGTAGTCTTTCATTATCTGTTTCTGAAAAATATAGCGACCACCAAGCCTGGATCTTGAAAAAACATGGAAATCAAAACTCTGACATTGTCCAAGGCATATCCCCTTCCCCTCACACCCTTCCTCATGGTATCCCTTGAAATATTTTGATCCCTTAAAAACAAAAGCAAAAGGATAGGACGTCTGCTGTTGTGGCTTACATAGCTGCATGTGTATTGGCTAATGAGCTATCGTAATGCAAGAAGATGTTATATAGAGTGCACTTTCTTAATAAAAATTGTTAATACAAGCGTTTTCAAAGGTCAATGCTTAGAGTCAAGTATTTATGCAAAGAATGAAACATGTTCTTTTTACTACCCAGAAAGAAATTAAGAGAAAAAGTCTCTGTTTAAAATAAAAGTGTTATTGCTCTGGGTGGTTATCAGCTTCTATAGCTGAACATTGGTCATAAATCCTCATCGGGCCCTACATCTCTCAGAAAACCTGAAAACCCGGGGTCACCCCCGGCACCTCCACAACTTCAAGTCAGGAACAAACCCAGCTGTGACCACCCACCACCCAGATGGGCTCAAAACCAAGGCCTGAGCCACACGGCAACAGCGAAGCAGGCGACGGTCATACGGGGGTCCCCGGTCGAAAGGACCTCAACTGCACCTGTAAGGCCTGCCTTGGGTGGTCTGCGGGCCCTTGCATGCCCGGGACTCGCAGGACCTGCGGTGGGCGGCTGAAGACCACACTCCATTAGACAGGTCAAACGTCAAGGAATCTCCCGCGGTGGAGGTCCCTGCAGGGCCCACGTGCGGTGCCCACGACCCCGCGGGGATCTTTTAAGTCTCCGTAGCTGCTCCCAGTTGCTGGGAAAAGTTTGCTTCGGAGAAGGCAGGCGAGCGCGCCCACCTGCGCGCAATGGTTGGTAACACTTCCCTGAACCCACAGGCCGACCCAGGCAAAGATCATTTTAAAATCCTCCGCCGGTGGGAGCTGTGGCCTTTCGCTCAGCGGAGGCTCAGGCTGGGCCGGGAGAAGAACCGTGCCATTGTTTGCTTTACTGGAAGTGGAGTACCGTGTCGGGAACCTGCAGGGGGAAATAAGAGAGGAAGGGGATCCCGAGCTGGTAAAAGCCGCCCTGGACATGCGGGTCGAGCATCAGGGAAGCGTTGAAAGGCGGACGGAGGCTGGAGGAGGCGGCCAGGAGCGAGGCACCCAGACGGCCGCCGGGCCCAGGCTTGGCACCCCCTAGGAGTTCGTCCCCTGAAGGCGGCTTCTGGCCCTGCTTTCCCGCCAGGATGCTGTCTATGCTGAAGCTCTTGGACTTGTCGGAGCTCTTCGGAGAGCTGCGGGAGGCGGGGCGCAGAGGGGACCCCGGGCCGTCCCCTGTGCGCGCTGCCTGGCCGACCGCCACGGCCGCTGCGCCCTGGGCAGCGTCACCAGCGTCCTCGTTCGGGGACGCGGTCCCCGGCCAGTGGAGGGGCGCCGGCGGAGAGGGGCCGTCCAGGAGGGGCGAGGGGCCCGCGGGCGCTGCCTGCAGGCGGGAGATTGCGGGGCCCGAGCCCCCTGCCCCGCTCCCCGCCTCCGGCTGCGCCTCCGCGCTGCGCTGGTGCGTCTCGGCGCGGGGCCTCTTGGCCTCCGGGGCCCCGGGGCCCGGCTTGGGCTTCCTCTTCCGGCGCCGGTAGTTGCCGTTCTCAAACATGTCCAGGCAGCGGGGGTCCAGCGTCCAGTAGCTGCCCTTGCCCGGCCGCCCTTTCTCGCGGGGCACCTTGACGAAGCAGTCGTTGAGCGAGAGGTTGTGGCGGATGCTGTTCTGCCAGCCCTGCCGGTTGTCGTGGTAGAAGGGGAAGCGGTCCATGATGAACTGGTAGATGCCGTTGAGCGTGACCCTCTGCTCGGGCGCGTCCTGGATCGCCATGGCGATGAGCGCGATGTAGCTGTAGGGAGGCTTCTGCGGGGTCTCGGCCCGGCCCGAGGCAGCTAGAGCAGCCGCGGGGGCGAAGGCCAGAGGGAGGCCGGGTCTCTCGGGACCGTACAGATACAGCATGGGCGAGGCGGCCAGGGCAGGCAGCCGGGGATCGAAGAGGTGACTCATGGCAAGCGAGAGCCTGCGCTGCGCTCCCCGCAACGCAGGAGACCCGGGCGGCCTAGGCACTGCGCCCCGCGCCGCAAGGGCCCTCCCGGGGAGCCAGCCGTGCCTCTGCCTCTGGCTCTGCCGCTCTCCCCGGCCGCTCCGTGCTCTGTCCCTTCTTCATGGCTTTAAAAATGTTAAATAATTGTTGTAAGTTTGCTGTTATATGTTGACTTAGCCCTGGAAAATAAATTGTCTATGATAAACAGTCCTTGTGTTCTCAGCCCACCCACATTAATTAAAATTTCATTGCTGAAAAACTCCAAGCTTTTCCCTCCACGTGTCTTTTTGATACCAGCCAATCGGTTTTGGGGCTATTCCTTCATTTGTTTATAGAATTAGTCTGTTGATAAGTCCGCCCACCCAAGTTGAATCAAGCTGTGTTTATTTGGAAAAATTTCCGGGCACCCAATATATAAACGCACTGATCTGATGTTTGAAATATCACGTCCACCCCTTGACGCTGTAAGCACACACAGTCAGTGAGGCAGGATGTAGACTGCGGTGGCTCAGAGCAGGGTCTGCTGAGCCAGGAAGGAGAGGTGGAGATGGGGGTGGGTGTGCAGGGATGAGTTTTACGCTGGCCTGGGGGAGCCCCATAACGCCAGGGCCTCCCACAAAAGGTCTTTTCTTCTCCCAGGCTTAACCGGAGATATCGAGATGCCACAGTCTAGTAAAACACTTTCTGAGGTCCTAGGAACCTTTTAGATTGGGGCAGGGAGAGTATCTAAGAAGCCTGAGTGTCTGCTGAGAAGGGGATGCGGCCCTCCCTGGAAAAACAGGTGGCAGACCCAGTAGGAGGTGGCACTCTCTAGGGACCTGCTCTCCCACACCCTCCCTTCCAGGGCTCTCCGGAAATCGGAGGGAAAGTGGACTCTGGGAGCCCAGTCTCTCTGGAAGGGAAGGCCTAAGGCACTGGGGGCCTGGGGAAGAGCTCATGGTCCACAGCTCCATTGAGGAAGGTTTCAAAATAAACCCATTTAGAGAACCGGGGGCAAAAGTAAGGTCCTCCTGATGGGGCCAAGGTTGCAAGAGAGGAACACCATAAAAGGAGGCCGTGGCAGCTGGCGCGGGAGGCCTGGTATTTGTGAATGTGGGTCTCCAGCTTTATATTCTGGGCTTTCCTGTTTATAACAAGGAGGGGGTTATAACAACTTTACAAGTGCATGCAGCTGGCCCGTGATTACATTAGGCATTTGGGAAGCCTGCTTGCTCTCCCTGTATCCACCCACCCTGGGGTGTACGCGGCCCTCCACCCCCATCTCATTTTACATTTTCCCACATCACTGTTTGAATAAAAAATCCTGAATCATGCTGATTTCGAAGGGGGCCTCTCCTCCCCACTCCACCGGTTAGGGTAAGGGTAGAGGCACCTAGTGTGACTACTTCCTGTTTATGACCACCCCCTGAATATTAAAACACACACACACTGTCACACACACACCCACACACACACACACACATTCGGATAACTGGCGTCTCATTGAGCAAATCGTGTGAGCATGTCAAAGAGATGAGGGAAGGGGGAGGATGGCAGGTGGGTGTAGAAATGGCCCACTGCCAGTGGGCCAGGAAGGAGGGAGAGGCACCGAGGGCACTTACAGGGGTAGGGGGAGTGTCTGCCGCTGCCACACCCGGCTGAGGATGTGAGTGCCCAGGTAGCCTCTGAACACGGAAACGTGGCGGGCATCCTTTTTCAAAATGAGAAAATCAGAAATAACCCGTGTGTTTGGGGTTCCTGGGTATCCAGCCCATGGAATAAGTAGACCGCAGGGGAGCGGGTAAATTTAAAATACCAAAAAGGAAGTCGCAGGAAGGGTGGAAAAACCGGCCTGGGTACCGGCACTGCCTGCGGGAGCGACAGGCCAGTCCCTGGGACACCTCGGGCCTCCCTCCGCGGCCCTGCTCCTCTAACGTGGGTCCAGCGAGCAGCCCGGCCGCGCCCGCCTAGGTCCTGGGGGTGAACCTCTGGCCAGGAGGGGCGAGGCTTTGTCTTTTCGTTACCACTCGCTCTCACCCGCGTACCCCTTTCAAACTTGGGGTGAAGAAACCTCAATGCCAGCGCCTTTGCAACCCGCAGGCCCCACAGTCTCTGGGGTCACCCAACCTCTCCGGGGCCGCGCGCCCCCAGCAAGCTCAAGTTTGGATCCAGTTCCTTCTCCAGCCTCGGCGCTCGCTCCAACACACCCAGACCGAGAGATAAACCGGTGTCACTATGCAACCCTTTCCCCACCTTCCTATCCCACAGCCCCTCCTGGAGCTCCCCACGCGGCACCCGAAGTCCAGCACGCACATCCCTGCCTCTACCGAAACTCCCGCCGTCCCGGCGCGTCTTCTAAACTCTAAGGCAAATCCGAGCTTGAATTTGTACGGTGATAAATACTGCCCGATTTGGTAATGGGCGGGACGTGGGCGGAGACACGGGAGGCTGGTGGGCGGGGCACCGATAGTAAAGCAAAAAAAAAAAAAAAAAAAAGAGAGCGAGAAAGAGACAGAGAGAGATTAGGAGAGAGAGAGAAAAACCAAAAAACAAAAAACAAATGCCCACGCTCTAGTCGCGGTTTGGAGACGCACACCCAGCCCCGCGCGTTTGCAGAAGTGTGCAAAGTCTCCGGGAGGTTTCAGCTGTAGAACTCCGGCTTTGCGCCCCAGCCCCGCTCCAGAGCGGGTTTGAATCCCGGGCTCCCGGGTGATTGATGAGTTTGTAACCTGAGCCTAGGAGGGGCCTCTGTTAGAAGGAACCCCGCGCTGGGGCAATTTCCATATTTCCGGGGAGTGCAGGCTCAAGCCCTAGGAGTCCGAGAGCGGATGCGCCCTCGTGCGGAGGCTCTGTTGGCTGAGGCCAGAGCGAAGGGCCTGCGGGGGGCAGCCGAGCTGGGAGACGGCCGGGCGGGCCTCTAGAACGAGTGTCCTAGAGAGCCAGATGGGGACACTGAATGTTCCCTGTAGATTCATAAGCCTCGGATCCCAGAAAAGCGCGTCATCTGAGAAGTCACTTGGTGAGGGCTCACCTCCCAGCCTGCAAGAAAAGCCTGAGATCTCTGGCCTGCCCGGATGCTCCAGAAGGACTGGAGTTTCCAACTCTGAGGCTTGAGCAGAAACGGGGTTCAGCGTGGGATGAGGGTAGTCAGCCTCCTTCCCAGTCCTGGGACAAAGCGCATGTGCGTTCCTCAGGGAGGCAGATCAGAGACCAGGCATTGGTGATGAAAACGGCCTCAGATAAAAAGGCTGACGGGTGAGAGACAAGAGCTCCTCCCACTGCGCCCCAAGCCATCCACTCAACCTTCCTCACTGGAAAGCAAAAAGCAGAAACCTGAGTTAACAGTAATCTGTGTCGCTTTCCAAACATCTGCATCACTTTTCCAAACGTAAAGACAGTTACCGCATGTACGACTTGTGTGTGTGTTACATACGTATGCATGATTCAACCGCGTGTAGCATGTTTGAGAAGAGCTGCGGTGGAAAGATGAAGGGTTTAGCCCCTCACCTTACTGACAACCTAAAAACATTGGAGACAGATGATAATAATATGAATAACTAGAATGTACTGAGCCATTTCATCCTCACAGCAGCCCTAATAGAAACCTTTGTCGCTCCCATTTTGCAAACCAGGAAACTGAACAACGCCCTGTAAGTTAACCTGCCTCAGGTGTCCCATGAGGAAGTGCTCCAAAGACAGAAAATAATCTTACAATAGCACCAGGTGTGGACACTCAGGGCTCCATGGAAGTTCTCTTGCCAACTCTTACTAAATCTGTGAAAGGCAGGCGTGGCAGATTCACCCATTTGACAGATGATGAAACTGAGGCTCGGCACATAACACCCCAAGACCCTGAAAGTAGGAAATGGCCGCACAGGGACCACAGCCCACGTGAGTGTCCTCCAAAAGTGGGTGCTCTGGGGTCTGACATGCTCAGGTATCTGGAAGGACTCAGAGGCAGAGATTGTCTGGAGTAGACAGTGGGAGAGGGGCCCTCCAGAGAGGAGAGGGTGTGCAGCACCCCTGGAGCTGGGAGATTCAGGACATTATAAGAAAATCCCAGAGTCCTTGCTTATGTTCCACCAAAACCCAGAAGACCTCTTCCTCCTTCCCTCCCCGCCCACTTTGAAAAGAGTGGAAGATTTCCAGAGCTGGAGTAGCAGGGCCCAGGGCCTCCCTTCTCTTGGGAGGCAGTGAGCAGGACATGAAGGTAATGGTGGTCCCACTGAATCAGCAAATGCAGAAGGAGACCCAAAAGCTGGGCGGGACTTCCCAAATGATGCACTTATTTATAGCACACCTTGTTCCCAGAAATGATCGAAAGGCTCTAAACAGAGGCAGTTGGTGCACATGCTCTCACTGCGTTTTTGAAAAGCCCAACCCTCTGCTTTCCCTGTAGAGCAGGAAGGTTGAAAAAGGAAGGAAAAGCCTGGCAGAATTAAAGGTGAGTGGCATCTTCCCAGACACAGTGGCATTCCCTGCCGGGGCTGCATGGCACGGTATGATAAATGCAGGTCACTCAGACCAAAGATTCCTTTCTCTTCCTCTTTTTCTCTTCTGTGTTCCACGTAAACCTTAATGGCTGGTCATGACAGTTTACTATGAACACGACACTATGGAAGCACCTTGCCAACCTGTGTGACGTTCATGAATCCCGGAGATAACCCTCTCAATGCTATGACTGTTTTCAGCCGAGAGACTGTCCCAGAGTGCTTAAGGTGATCTGTCTGATGTCACCTGAATCTTAGTAAGGGCCTGAGTTGGTGCACATGGATTCAGCCTTAGAGAGAGGGACTCCACTAGGAAGGCCACCTGTGAAAATAACACAAGACAGATGGAGACCCAGGGCCAGAGGGCCGCTGAGACAGGTGAGGCCCAGGGTCTCCACGACCTCGCAGCCTGGGTGGGCATAGACTGAGGTTCCAGAGCATGAAGCTGCACCTCAGGACACAAAGGGGGTGGAAGCCTCCCAGCTCCATCCCCTAAATGGGTCTGGGATGCCAGCAGCTTTACCAACCATGCCCCCTTCCCTCTTCACACACCCACCACCCAGGATGAAGTCCCCACAAGGCTGACACTCAGACAAACCTAGCCCTCTGCTTTTGCTCTACAGCAGGAAGGTTGAAAAGGGAAGAGAAAGCCTGGCACAAATTACAGGTGGGTGGTGTCTTCCCAGACCCAGTGGCTGTCCCTGAAGAGCGGCTGCCAGCCTTCCAATCTCCCCTGAAACCGTCCGCCCCCTTCCTTACATGCCTATGTCAAAAAGCAA
Organism: Homo sapiens; assembly: GCF_000001405.40. Taxonomy (NCBI): domain Eukaryota; kingdom Metazoa; phylum Chordata; class Mammalia; order Primates; family Hominidae; genus Homo; species Homo sapiens. Next base: position 86,573,438 of record NC_000016.10, on the reverse strand, counting down.
ACATTTCAAACGTCTTCGTGAGCTGAGGCCATGCAAGAGGCAGGCAGGGAACGCTTCTCAAAGTTTGGGAAAGCATTTCAAATATGTGCTGCAAGGAAGTGCTCACTGGGAGGCAAGGGGCGGGCTCTCTGGGTAGCTCTGACCCGGCCTGTCCCACTCACCTGGAACAAAGGCACTGGACTCCAGACCCCCAACCAGCCTCAGCCTACTGGCACCTAAGGCATAAAACCTCAGGTCTCTACTTACCCACCTTCATCCCACTGAGAGAGTCAGCCAGGGACCCAGGCAAACACACGTTCCCAAGGTGCCAACCACAGGCTCGGAGACCCCAGCACTTTCTCCAGACACGTGGCTCTGCCCACCCTTCAATGAGTGTCTTATCTTGGTGTCTCCAGCTCCACCCAGCTCATGTTTTCAGTTAACAATAAGTTCCCATCAACCAACCTTGCCCAACACCCCCACCCCCTTTTTTGGATGGGGGTGGGGAGGAGGAGTGAGGAGACCTTCACAAGCACACAGGGTTCATTTTCACCGGTGAGCTGGGAGCTCTGTTCACAAGCCTCTCCCTGCGCCAGCAGCAACCCCCATGCAGTCACTGGGTAAAGAGAAGGGGACGGACCCCCGAAAGATTTATGAGCCAAGCGCAGAAGTTCCCAGGACCCTGTGTTTTCTTCTGCGTCTGGTTTCTGATCTTCATGTCTTGGTGGCAGGAGGGTCAGCAGCATAAGTGAGGCCCCATGGCAGCAGCCCTGGCTATGCCCAGAAGGGGAGCGCAGCGCAGCCCTGGCCACCTGGTCATTTTACAGATAAAGAGACCAAGGCCAGGCAGGGGAAGTGGTTTGTTCACACAGAAAGATGTGGTCTTCTCATTCCTAGCCCAGTGCTCCAGCAATTCCCGGACAAAAGTCACAGCAAGATTTGCATCTTCAGGGATAGGTCACCTATTCCAGAGCAGTGATGGCCTTTTGACCACAGACCCAAGCCCAGCCTTCCAGAGGCCTGGGCACGGCCAGCAGGATGCAGGCAGTCCCTCTTCCTGAAAGCTGTGAACTTGGGGTGGAGCCTCAGAGGTTACACAAGATGGCCCATTCGAGGAGGCTACTCTGGCTATAGCCTCTCTGGGGCTGAGAATGTACGGGATGCTCAGAGGCCATGGGGGTCTCTCCGGGTGGCCCATATCTGTCATAACCGGACTGTGCTTAGAGTCAGAAGCCACCCAGCCAAAACCCGCCAGGGACGCAGCGTTAAATCAATGGGAAGGTCTCTGCCATGGTGTTCGGGCACTTTCATTTTATTTGCCACACCTTTGTGATTAGCCCTGCGATATCTTCTTACTGGGTCAGGAAGGCACAGGGTTATCAGACAGACTTCGTGCAAACTGCATTTGCGTGGTCTGCAGAGCCGCCCCAGCCCAGAGTCCCTGCAGCCTGTGGCAGACACTCTGACCCTACCATCCTCAACCTCCTTCCACCTTTCCTTGAAAGGCCCAGAACCTCCTGAGGACCAGAAGGCAACAGGAAAAGGTGGTAGATGAGTGAATCAAGAATAGCCAATGCCCCGGGCACGTACTTTTTGTACACTGGGCAGCAGACGAGCAGGGTGGCTGCCAAGATGCAAAACTGTTGGTGAGAACGTTGGCTATTCACAGCACGTGCTGTGGAATCTTCCCACTCTGCTGGGAGAGCAACAGATGCCCCAGAGGCCATTAAGCCCCCAGGCCTGAGGTCCACACAGGCACTGCAGGACGCAGGGGTTGCAGAAGACAGGGGCTGCACAGAGCTCTGAGCCAGCTCACAGCACAAGGGGCCACCGGCCTTCTAGCACTTACCGCACCTATCCCTGTCCCCACTGAAACGAGGAAACCTTGAGTGACAGGGCCCTCAGATGAGTCCCAAAATCCCCAGGCCGCTACACACTAAGGGCCTGGTTCTCCACTCTGCTGCCGCCGAAGACCTGAATAAAGCTTCAGATACAATCCCCCCGTTGCCCACGTTCCCCAAGGAGTGGAAAAAACCCCTCCCGATAACCTCCACAAGGGCCACTCACTTGGGCTTCCGGCCCCCACACAGCAGGACTTCTTTAAAAAGGCTTCCTAAAGGTGCAAAAGCCCAGCTTAGTTTCAACAGCAGAGCTGGGGGCTCTCAGCCACACCGTCGCTCTCCTTTATTTTCCGTGTGTCTCTCAGGCCTCGCCACTAACAGGACACCAACGGTTTCAAAGCTTACGATGAGGGCAAGCTTTCAGAAAGATTTCTTTAAAACGTCTAGGGAAGGGAAAAAGCCAGCTCGCTTACCGTCTGGAATACTCTCCTCTTCTCCTGGGGCAAATAGCATGAAGCGAGCAGAAGTAAAATGAAACCATCACGGCAGACGCAGGCAAGGAGCTTGGGCCACCTTCTTCTGCAGCTTGGAGAGGGTCTCTCCCCACCCCTACCTCCTTAACTTCCTCCTCCTGTTCACTCAACCAAAGCCCGTCTGGCCTGGGGCCTGCTGAAAGTCTAGCACCCGGACACCCGGGAACCCGCACATTATGAAAAAGAATGAGACAGCCGCCAAGTCTTAACTGTGTGCCACCTCTGGGGCCACAGATTGAAAGAGTCTGTGTTGCACATGTGGGGAAAATTATTATGCTTTAAGCTTCCCCTAATTCTATTTCAACATAGCGTGGAGATAAAGTGCCATGTTGAAAACAACAAGAAAAACACCCGGGTTACGTTCAGCGCCACTGCATCAAGCAAAATCACCTTTAGCAAAATCATCTGGTCTTGAAACGTTAAGCTCACAAAGAACTTCAGCATTAGCAAGGTACAGCTCACCTGCTGGGGTGGGAATTGATGAAGCTTTGGTCCCCAAATTCACACATAGAGGCCAGCAGGGGAGTGGTGGACTTCAGCCATTGAAATAGATAATAAAGCCATTTCGTCAGCTACATTTCACAAAAACTATGTTACTATTAAAAATGTAAAAGACGAGATATTAACATTGAAAACAAAAAATAATCTCTATTATTTAACATATTGAAAAACTTGAATTTAGAACTCTAAAAATATCATAAATTATTTTTGAAGGGTAATGAGGTTTTAAAATTTTTCACTGCGATGAGGGTGTAGATTTAGACATGACATTGAGAAGTAATAAAGTCTGAAATTCCCCTCTGATCTGGCCGCTAAGGGGGATGGATATCAAACGCTAGAAAATCCGTCCCCTTCAGACCTTCATTGGCCCAGTTCAAATTCTCTGGAAAACTATTAAAGCAGGCAAAGAGGCTCAAATTTTATAAAATCGGGGGAAAGCAGGACTCACCCTGGGTTGCAGTTAGCAAACGGGAAATGTTTATTCTTCCCTTCCTTCACCTCCTAAACTGGGGACGGCTGGACACTGAGATGGAGTGGCACTGTTTGTTTTGACAATTAGCATGTTTTTGTGCATTTAAGAAAATGCATCACGGCAAACTCATGGTCCGGTCCTTCAGGCAGCCCCCTCCAACTGGGCGGTTTCTCGAAAAGAAAAAATCCTAGAGTGGGATTTTAAAATTAATCAAAAGCCTTTTTCTGTCACTAAACAAGACAGCAGGTGTGTGCTCCTATTCTCTGGTCGTTTTTATGTGTCTACACATATACCCACCTGTGTAACAAAAATAATCAAAGCAGGTGGGTTTGCAAACACACCTCGTTTGTAAAAAATGCAACAACACAAACACACTGTCCAAACTTTGGGCAGAAAAAACAACATGGGTTTATTTTAAGGTAAGTACAACGATTAAGACCACGTAAGACAAACACAGATGAAGTTAGAGTTTTTAAGCTTTTTTTTTTTTTTTCTTTTAGGAATACTCAGGGTGGAACCTACTATACAAAACCATCACACTTTGTAAATAAAAAGTATCAGATACTTGACTTCTTTATCCACCAACAAAAAAATAAATTATTTTCTTGTTTTGTAAAAGACCTACAATGGGAAAAAGAATTATATCTCATAATTGTACAGGAAACAAAACCCACATCGGTTTCTTGAATTCAATTTGGCAGTTAGAAATGGTTGGGCAAGATGAAAAACTTATCCAGTGAACTCAACTTTAAATATTATATTAATGGCTCTGAACAACAACAACAACAACAAAATAGCCTGATTACAAATCCACACATTTGTACAGCACGGTTGGAGAAATTTAAAATTACACACAGCACATATATTATCTATAGAGACCCCCATACACCTATGGGGACCCCTACAGAAAGTCACTAGGGGCTCGCTATGGGATTTGGTCCATAACTTAACTTTTGAAAGCTCAGGTCGAGCACAGCACAGCCGTCCTGGTAGGGGAGGGGGATTTTAAGATCAATACTCATTTTGTTGGGCTGCGTCCCTTTGGAGGGGTTTCCTGGGATCCCAGAAACGGGGCGGCGAATTAAAGTTACCTGCGCTCTTCACAGACGGCTGGGGGCTAGCGTGCCCGCTCTCTGCTCCCGGGTCTGAGAAAAGGTTGGTGGACATGTTTTGTTTCTTTTTTGCGTCTCTGCAGCCCCTTAATTGTCTGGTTGGGTCGGGGCTGGGAAGCGAAGCCGGAGCGGGCCGGGGAGGGGAGGTCCCGGGACACGTCAGTATTTCGTGCAGTCGTAGGAGTAGGGGGCTGCGTGGCGATAGAGAGGCGGCGTGGATCTGTAGGGCAGCTGGCAGCTGGCATTGCCACTCACCTGGGACTCCCCGAGGGTCGAGTTCTCAATCCCCAGCCGGTGGGAGTTGAACATCTCCCGCACGTTGGGGAAAGTTTGCTGCTGGGCCGCGAACGTGTGGCCGGGGAGGTGGTTCAGGTCCCCGCTGTGGTTGAGATACCAGGAGGCCGCCTGCGCCGCGGCGGCCCCGGGCTGCGGCGTCGGCTGGGGCTGGGGAGCCGGCGGGGGCGGCGGCGCCTGCGGGTGGTGGTGGCCGTGGTGCTGGTGGTGGTGGCCCGTGGCGGCGAGCGCGCCCTCCTGGCCGGCGGCGAGGTTGAGAGCGCTCAGGGGCGACGTGGGGCCGCTCGGGTGGTCCGAGAGGGCCTCGTCCAGGGCGGGCGGGACGCACATGTGCGCCGGCCGCTCGGCCCCGGTGTACAGGCTCATCGCTCGCATGCTGCACTGGTAGCCCCCGGCGGCCCCGGCCTCCAGGCCCTGAGCGCACGGCTGGCCGTAGGCGGCGGGCGGCGCGGCGGCGTAGGGCAGCGCCAGCGGCGGCACCACCAGGCCCGCGCGTCCGGCCCCCGGGCTCAGCTCTCCGCCCGGCGGCGACGTTCGCAGGGTCATGATGTTCTCCACGCTGAAGCCAGGCAGCCCGTTGGGCGCCGCGGCGTGGTGCTCCGGCAGCGAGCCGTCGGGGGAGCCGGCGGGCGTGGAGGCCGCGCTGCGCGGGCTGCCCTGCAGCGCGCTCTCGGGGCTCAGCGTCTCCACCTTGGTGATGACCGGCAGCGCCGGGGACGCCGCCTCGCTCTTGATCACCACCTTCTTCTCGGCCTCCTTGGGGGCGTCCGCTAGGTGGGGGGTGGCCGGGGCGCCCTTGGACGCCGCCGGGGGCGGCTCCTTGAGGTGGGCCCGCTCCTCCTTCTCCTTGGACACGTCCTTCTTTTTGAAGCGCCGCCGGCGCCGCAGGAAGCTGCCGTTCTCGAACATGTTGTAGGAGTCCGGGTCCAGGGTCCAGTAACTGCCCTTGCCGGGCTTCTTGTCGTCGCGGGGCACCTTGACGAAGCACTCGTTGAGCGAGAGGTTGTGGCGGATGCTGTTCTGCCAGCCCTGCTTGTTCTCCCGGTAGAAGGGGAAGCGGTCCATGATGAACTGGTAGATGCCGTTCAAGGTGATCTTCTTCTCGGGCGCGTTCTGGATGGCCATGGTGATGAGCGCGATGTAGCTGTAGGGCGGCTTCACCAGGTCCTTAGGCGCCGCGGGCTGGTGGTGGTGGTAGGGCGCGTAGGAGCGGCCCATCCCCGCGCTGTACTGCTCCGGGTGGCCGGAATAGACGCCCATGGGGCTGGCCATGCCGCCGTAGCTGCCCGCAGCCCGGTAGTAATTCTGCTCGCTCAGGTAGGGCACCACTCCCAGGGCGTTGGGGTCGGACACGGAGTAGCGCGCCTGCATGCTGCTTCCGAGACGGCTCGCCGGCGCCCTCGCGCACGGACTGCGGCCGGGGGAGCGAGGGGGGCCCTGAGAGCGAGAGAGCGCGAGAGAGCCAGAGGGGGAGAGGAGGGGAGCGGGAGGGGCGGCCCCGGGCTCCTGGCAGCCTCCGGGGCGAGGGTGCGCGGGCGGCGGCGCTCGGGCCGAGCAGGGGCGCGCGCTTTCAGCGGACCGGGCGGATCGGCATCCTGGAGGGCGCGCCCCGGGCAAGCGCAGCGCCGGCCCCGCTCCTCGCTGGCTCCAGGACCCGGCGGCGGCAGCGCGGGCAGGCGGGCGGCCGCGGACCCAGCGGAGACGCCGCGGCCTGGGGACCCAGGTGGACCCTCGGCCCGCGCGAGGAGGGGCGCAGGAGGCTCTCCAAGCCCCCAGCGAATCGGCAGCCCCGAGGGTCAGCGCGCCGGGGTCCGAGCGGCTGCCCCGCTGAGCCCAGAAAAAGAGGCCAAGTCCCTTTTAGGGATTGGGAAAAGTTTCAAAAGTCTTCTTGCTGAAAGCGAGTTTTTACTTTCCTCGGGCCACGCCCCCTCCCGGAACTTTGAGCCAATCACCCGGCAGCTGAGAGGAGTCGGCGCCAATCGGGGCGAGGAGCGCAGGAATCCGTCGGCTCTAAGACCCCGCCGCCCCGGCCTCCGCGGCGACTCCGTCTTCACTTGAAAACTTTTTAAAAAGTTATATCTTATTAAAATTTATTTTATGATCACATTTTGGTGAATGGGCCCACATGCCCAAAACAAAAAGATAGCCACTTTCCTCTGTTAAAAAAAATCAATTTGAAATATAAAATAGAATGGATTAATAGAGTAAAATATCTCTCCCAAAGACCTTGTAAGTAGCAATGATCCTGGGACATTTTTCTTATTAATGAGTGATGAAGCGAATAATTAGATTTCCTAATTATGGGGGCCCAGGTGTAATGGATTCAAAGCAAACGCGCTGGATTGGAATGGCAGGGCCTCTCCTGGATGTTATACTTATTTAATCAAATAATTAATCATCAACAGGGAGTTTCCAGGCTCGGGGTCGTCAAGGATAACCTATCGAGGTTTTAGAGGTAAACCCTACAAACTGAGTTTCCCTCGCTCCCCGCCGAGGAGCCAGGCAGCGGAGTGCATAGAGGGGAAGGTAGCAACGTGCTGACTGACAACTTAATCCTCCGAATTCGCGGGGAATTCGGTAGATCATCCGCGTCGCTGCGAGCAGTTTTGTGGGGTTTGGGGAAAAGGGTGAAGTGACTCTGCTATTTCCCCCTTTCGTCTCCCGCGTGGACACTCGCAGCCTACCAACTTCAGCTTCGAAACTCGTCTCCCTTTTCCCAGGTAGAAATTCCCTCTAACAAGCTGACCCCGCACTCCCAGAAGACCGGGACAATGCAGCGACCCACCCGGGCCAGGCAGAGCCGAGTTCCTGGGCCCTGCGAGGAGAAACCCGAGCCTGTTTTCCGCGGGGGCTTGGCTCGAAGGCGCGCGCAATGAGCGCCGCGCACCGCGGGCACCAAGCGTGGACGTTTCCCGTGGCCCAGGCCGGCGCCGGCCGCTAACACCGACCCTAGGGCGCTGTCCCTGCCTCCTGCTCCTGGCAACGTCCCCCTGGGAGCCTCCAAGTTGCTTTTCTATATTTCAGCCTTTTTTTTGTTTTGTTGGGTGGGTAGGGTGAGTTAGGGAGCGCGCTCCGTGGGAAGACTGGGTGAGCGGTTGATTGCAAACGGTTCAAGATCCCTTCGGGATGATATTATTCGGCAGGCAGACCTGGAGCGACTTGGATCTCCTTCAAGGATTTCTCCTTCCCTCTAGGAATCCCGGACAGTTTGTTTATTTGTGGACTGATTATTTATTCCTTCCACACCTCAATAATCAGATCCCCTTTTCCCACTTTCCCTGAAGGAGTGAGACACCCCTTTAACAAGGCTAAACACGGGCAGAATTTTGGAAGTTGCTGGTCTGGTTGGGCAGGGAAGAGGGCTTCAGGGAGAACATTTGTATTTCAGGTTTCCTTGCACCCTTCCTGGCTGTTCATCGGCTGCGTATTCGATTCTCAGCAAAAGGATGTTGAGACAACCCACCAGGCCTCTTCGCTTCGGCCTCTTCGCTTCGGGGAGGCGACTAGAAGGCAATGGGGCGTGCCACTTATTTCCAATAAAAGAACAGAAGACGAAAATGTAGATGCATTATCTTTGTCTCCTGATCAATTCAAAGCCAAAGGGAAGCTACAAATCAGGTTCCTTTACCTTGAATATTCCACTTCTGAAACATTGTTTTTATGAGTATTCTGGGCTCTTTTTCTAACCTGATCCTTTTTCTTCTTTCTTTGAAACAAAGTAAAATAAAGCTGCCCAGTTCTCAGCTCACAGGCAAATGATTTGAGCTTTCTGCCCCAACCCTAAACTCCCACCATGACTTTATTATTTTTAATAAGCTAGTATTTCCGCATCTAGCTTAAAAAAAAAAAAGGACTAGCAAAAAGTGCCCTTCTCCTGCAGCGCATGACAGGCACACTGAGTTCGTGTCACGATTTTACTGGAAATGCAAACTATTGATCAAGAAACACTCCTCAGCCTGTAGGCTTCCTGGAGGAATATTATTTACTCTGCTTTTACGAGGGGTGTGTGTGTGTGTGTGAGAGAGAGAGAGAGAGAGAAACAGCTTTATCACAGCAAAACCTAAAATAGCTAAGGACTATGAAAAAATAAATTCCAAAATGGCAGTTGCTGCCTACGTTTGTATTCACAAGGGTGTCCCGGTTTAAACCAATGTCATCTGGGGAAACAAACAAACAAACAAACAAACACCTAAATCGAGTCGCCCAATATATTATCCACCCTCCCCCGCCCCAAAGAAAGGAAAAGGGGAGGGGAAAGAAATTCGTCTCATCAAGACAGAAAAGGTGAGAGAGACACTTCCCTTTACCCCTGGAATTAGGTTTCTTGTTTGCTCAGTGGGACTCCGGGAAAGATGTTTGTTCAGGTTATTAAAACAACGCCTTCCATACACCTGGACTTTGCAAAAACCGTATTTCCCAGCTTTTCTTTAACCTGCCAGGGTATTTCGGATGGGGGGCTGCTACTTTCTGGCTGATTTTCCCCCTTCTTGACCTTGTAAGTCAGTGAGCCGAACGCGGAATCGGGTCCCAGAGGGCCTCGCGTGTTCCTGGAATAATAAGCGGCGATAAAGCCTAAAGGTATTTAATTCGCCTTCCGCCCCCACCGCGCTGCGCTCCTCCCGGCCCGTGGCCGCTGCACCTGGAGCGGCTGGGCGGACTCCGTGGGTGTTGGCGTCATCTTGAGGCCAACCAGGGAACTACTACGAGAAAAGGAAAAAGAAAAAGACCGCCCGGCCCGCCCTGCTTATCATGAAGGTGCTGACACCTTGTGGATACTCCTGGGCATTGCACGGCTGGAATGGAGCCTTCAGAAATCTGTAAAAGCAGAGAAAGGAGATAAACTGCATCGCGTCGATTAAAAAACATTTCCCGTAACTTCGCAACGTGTCAAGAACATGATCTGTTGGGAAACAAAAATGTCTTTGAAACTGCTCGGGGAGCAAGAAATTTTCTCTAGGGAAACTTGCTGGGGTTTTCCCCAAATAAAATCTATGCCTCTTAGGTGGCTAGAAGTCTGCATTTTCTTCCCCCGGAGTTGTTGAACAAATTGCCTCGTCCATGTTTTCCCGCTGCAGCTGTCTTTCTGCCCGAGGTGTGGCGTGAGCTTCAGGGAATTCATCAGAAAGCTGTTTGTGCTGGTCGTGTGTTTAGAGGGTTGGCTTGAACAAGAGGCAGACTTTGAAACTGGGCAGCAGCCACTTCTACTTTTGAGGTACAACAGAGAACTCAAAGAGGGGACAAGTGAAAGGAGTTTTGTTTCTTGTCTCACTATTTCCCATTCATTCATTTCAATATCCTTCAAACATTTCTTTTCTGGGGTCACGAGGTGCCTTGGTTTTGAGGAAAGGGATCGGGTGGCAGAGGAGTCCCAGGCTTCCAGAAGCTGCCTGAGAACCGAGGAGCCCTTGGGTTACACAAAGTCGGCGCCACCTCCTAAAAATCCATTGTAATCCGGCTTCTAAACTTTTGTGGGACAAAAAAAGTGTCTTTTCTAAAACTCAGTTCAAGCTCATTTTACTGTGTGTGAGTTTTCCGGTGAGTGAAAGCCATGCTGCGCCATCGACAAAGGGCAGGGCCAGAAAGGACTACAGAAGCGGGTGGGTAGTGAGAACTGCTGTTGGTCACAAGGATTAAAGAAACTCAACAAGTAAACGCAACCCTCAATCCTAGGCGGAAGAAATTTTTTTTTCTTTTTTCTTTTTTTCCTGTTGTTGTTGAGACGGAGTCTTGCTCTGTCGCCCACGCTGGAGTGCAGTGGCACGATCTCCGCTCACTGCAGGCTCCGCCTCCCGGGTTCACGCCATTCTCCTGCCTCAGCCTCCCGAGTAGCTGGGACTACAGGCGTGCGCCACCACACCCGGCTAATTTTTTGTATTTTTAGTAGAGACGGGGTTTCACCGTGTTAGCCAGGATGGTCTGGATCTCCTGACCTCGTGATTCGCCCGCCTCGGCCTCCCAAAGTGCTGGGATATTTTAAACAGCAACCAAGGACAGGTTTGAGGAGACTTGGGAAGATTTGCATCTGGGATGTGTATGAGATAATAACCTTGAATCAAGGGTAAGATTCTTGCGTGCGATAATTATACATGGTCAAGTAAGAGCATGTCCTTGCTTTTAGAAGGTACGTGTCAAAATGTTTGGGGCTGATATTCATCATCTCTGCAACCTTTAAAAAATTCACCCTGCCGGGCATGGTGGCTCATGCCTGTAATCCCAGCAGTTTGGGAGGCTGAGGTGGGAGGATCGCTTGAGCTCAGGGTTTCAAGACCAGCCTGGGCAACACAGTGAGACCCTATCTCTATAAAAAATACAAAAAAAAAAAAAAAAAAAAAAAAGCCGGGTGTGGTGCTGAGCACCTGTAGTGCCAGCTATGTGGGAGGCAGAGGCAGAGAATTACTTGGGCCTGGGAGGTTGAGGCTGCAGTAAGCCATGATTGCACCACTACATTCCTGCCTGGGTGACAGAGCAAGACCCTGTCTCAAAAAGAAGAAGAAGAAGGAGAAGATTCAAAAGATTCAACCAAGGTGGGGTCAGAGGGGAGAAGGAGGGCAGAAGGTCGTGCAAAGGTAGTAAGATGAGAACAGTTGTTGAACCCGTGGTGCCTGGGTATTGATTGTATTGTTCTTGCAATTCTGTAAATTTGAAATTTTTCAAAATAAAAAATGGGAGTAAAACACTTTTGTTACTGTGAAAATTTGAAAAGAAATGTGACAGTAAAGGAAGGTATTTCCATGGAAGGAATTTGCAAAATGTTTAGCGAGGGCCTAACTTAGTCCAGCGTCTGCTCTCCTCCTTTACTGGAAGTTTCTGGAAAACTACCATCAATAGCTATGGAGTTCATCACAATAATTCATGGTAAAAAAAAAAAAAAAGGCACATTCTCTGAGGAGCTTATCTGTTTTATAATTCAGGCATTGCCACAATTAACCAAAGATGCCAGACATTCCATATTATAGATGTTGTGGGATTTTATTTTTTTTTAGACAGAGCCTCACTCTGTCACCTACGCTGGAGTGTAATGGCTCATGGCTCATGGCTCACAGTAGCCTGGAACTCTTAGCCTCAAGCAATCATAATATTAAAGATACATGTATGTTTCTTTTTAAAGAAACTTAGTCTCAGTGACCACCCTGAGCCAACCCCAGCTTAGCAGAGGGCTCTGTTCATCAAAGTCACTCAGGAGCCTGAGTTTTCAAAGACCACCTCTCATCATATCTGTTCCTGTCATCTAGGCAGGGGAGAGAGGTGATCCGGCCCTGGGAATTAAGTCTTCCAGCCTGGAAGTGACATGTATCACCTCTATTCACAGCTCATAGGCCAGAGCTGGTCATAAGTCCCCAACGCGCCCAGGGGACAGGAAGATCAGTCTTCCCTGGGCCCAGGCATCTGCTCGGCAGCCTCATACTGTCTTTCCAGGTAAGTAATGACTGTCCTCTGTTCTCTGCAGCCCCAGTGCACTGCCCAGTACCTCAGCACAAGATGTGTGTGCAAGTAGTGCTTGAGTGAGTGTACGACTGTTTCCGAGATTTCTCTCCTTAGTAGATAAGGGGAAAAGTGATGTGTACATACCCTGTGCCATGCACCGTGCTAAGCGTTTTGGCCACGACCTCTCACTTACTCCTCTTTTAGGGTAGGTACTATTAATACCACCATTTTGCAGGTGAGGAAACTGAGATCTTAAATAACTAAACTAAGTGTTGCTGCTGCCAAGTGATGAAATTGGGATCTCTTAACCCACTCCTTTGCTGCCTCTTTGAGATTAAGAGTTACGGACTTGGGGCTGGGCATGGTGGCTCACGCCTGTAATCCCAGCACTTTGGGAGGCCAAGGCGGGCGGATCACCTGAGGTCGGGAGTTCAAGACCAGACTGACCAACATGGAGAAACCCCGTCTCTACTAAAAATACAAAATTAGCTGGGCATGGTGGTGCACGCCTGTAGTCCCAGCTACTCGGGAGGCTGAGGCAAGAGAATCGCTTGAACCCGGGAGGTGGAGGTTGCGCTGAGCTGAGATCGCTCCATTGCACTCCAGCCTGGGCAACAAGAGCAAAACTCCATCCCCCCTACCGCCCCCCCCAAAAAAAAAGAATTAGGGACTTGGAAATTAGAGGAGATTTAAAAAGTTAAATGAAAAACATCCATAATGGTGTATCCATGAAGCCATGACTTCTGACCACACACAACTTAATGTGTATGAGATTTGAGTTTTTTATATCACTAACTTGAACCCCTGTGATTAACCCTGTGGGGTACATGGACTCACCGTAATGGCCTGTGGAAAGCAGGCTGCCCCTGGGGAGGTCAGAGAGGACTTCAGTGTTTGGACAATGACAGGTTGAGAAAGAGGCGAGGGGGACGATTTAATTTTCATCAAATGCGCAGCCTGTAGGATGGGTGTTCTGAGCCCCAAGGAATAAGCCAGGCTCAAAAGCCACAGTCTGGGAGCAGCTTCAGCCAGTGCTTCCAGTAACCACTGGGACTAGGGCTGGCGCCCACAGTGGCATAACTGAGTGGGACCCCAGTGGGTCTCACTGAATAAGACCAAGAGTGCAGAGCGCTCTCCCAGGGGAGTCCGACCACCACTGTCACTGGGTGCTGTCCACCTCTAGGAGTCCGTAAAAGCCAAGAACACTCCCTGGCCCTGGCCCCCACCTCTGCCTGTGTGCATCCCGACATGGGGCTTGCATGGCCAGCCCAGCCTGGACCCACCGCATGGCCTTTGGGCCTGCTGTGCCCCGGGCCTGGTCCCTCATCTCAATTCTTTGCCCCCTTGCCCCCTCCTCCGAGGCCTCCCCCAGCCATCCGCTTACCTTGCCCCCCCCACCTCCCCCTTTCTCCTCACTCATGTTCTCAGTGGCACAGGCTCCCCTGCCTGGTGTGGTCTCATTCAGTCTTCTATCTGTTGTTTGCCTCACCACCCCCATACAGGGAAGACAGGCAGGGGCCTGGTCCGCCCTGTGCACAGCTCTGCTTGACACAGACTCCATGAGACTCCATGTTCTTTTTTTTTTTTTTGAGACAGAGTTTCGCTCTTGTTGCCCAGGCTGCAGTGCAACGGTGCAATCTCGGCTCACCGCAACCTATGCCTCCCAGGTTCAAGTGATTCTCCTGCCTCAGCCTCCTGAGTAGCTAGGATTACAGGCATGTGCCACCACGCCCAGCTAATTTTGTATTTTTAGTAGAGACGGGGTCTCTCCATGTTGGTCAGGCTGGTCTCGAACTCCCGACCTCAGGTGATCCTCCCGCCTCGGCCTCCCAAAGTGCTGGGATTACAGGCATGAGCCACCGTGCCCGGCCACAGACTCCATGTTCTTAACTATACATTGAACAAATGGGGCTTCAGAGATACGCAGCCCTCCCCCACTTCACTGCCTGCCCAACCGTAACTCACAGGCCTTGCCTCCCATTTGTGGCTCAAGCCCAGGATTTGTTTCAAACATTTACTAGCACTTATTTTAGGCAGACACTGCATAAGAAATGGGGACTCATCGTCAAGTGCTCCCTGGCTCCCAAGCTGTGGCAGGCGCATGGATGATGACAGGCTGAAACTTTATTTTAGGTCAATGCTCGTAGAGAGCTCTCCCTGCATTCTAGGTGCTGTTCTCCGGGCCGCATGGATCCGGCACTTCACCGTCACCAGCGTGGAGAGGCGGATGCCAACGGTGCTCCTATCTCCACTCCGCAAATGAAAAGCAAGGCACAGAGACGTTCAGTGACGCCCCCGGCCTCACGCAGCTAGAGAGCTGCAGACCTGGGATTTGAACCAGCCAGGGAGCAGGCTCAAACCTCCACCGCGGTGCCGTCCCTGCCGCAGGATGGTGCAGGGAGGGAGGGGCCAGGCTGAGCAAGCTCAGAAGAATGAGTAAGGGGGGACGAGGCCGTGTGAGTTTCTTGGAGAAGTTGGCAACAGACTGGGGGCCCTTTCGGCTTGCCAGCTTGAACAAATGAAAATAACAATGCCCACAGACTGCATGGAACGTGCTTATACTAAAAATGAAAAAAAAAATCGCTTTATCTGAAGTTCAAGTTTAACTGGGAAACCTGTATTTAATCTGGCAACCTCTAATGTGAGGGAAAGAATTCTTCAAATACCTTTTCAGTTATTAGCTTATTAAACAATCTTACATTTTGTTAAGTTGGTTGGTGCAAAAGTAATTGCGGTTTTTGCCATTACTTTGAATGTAGATTGAAAGTATAACTGAAGCTACTGGATGTAGTTTCGGAGAACTATGATGTTTAAAGTTCACCGTAAAAGGGAACACAGCTTGGAGATTCAGAGCCACGCTCTTCATGCCTAGGCAGACTCACCATTTCTACGCTATTCCTTCCAGCCAGGTTCTAAAAGATGCCTGTGACAAGCTTTGCAATCCTCCGTGAACCCGCACAGGAATAGTTATAGCAGGTTTCTGTGTATTTGCTAAAACGTAGGGGCAACTGAGGGGTCCTGCAGTGCGTGAATGGATAAACCGTGGGACACCAACACGATGGAATATTACTCAGCACTAAAAAGAGAGGACCCTCCGGCCATGGAAAGACATGGAAGAACCTTAAATGCATATTACTAAGCGCGAGAAGCCTGTTTGAAAAGGCTACATAGTGTATGATTCCAATTATTGACTTTCTGGAAAAGAAAAAGCCATGGAGAAAGAAAAGAGACCAGTAACTGCCAGGGGTTAGCAGGCAGGCAGGGAGGGAGGAAGAGGCAGAGCACACAGGATCTGTAGGGCAGTAAAAATATTCTGCCTGATACTCCAGGGATGGGCACATGCCATTATGCATTTGTCAAAACCCCAGAACATACAGAAAGCCTGAGCTCTAATGTAAACCATGGCTGTTGGATGATAACAATGTATCAGTGTAAGTTCATTGTAACAAATGTACCATTCCACAGCAGGATGTTGATAGTGGGGGAGGCTGTGTATAAATGCAGCCGCAGGGGTTGTATATGGGAACTCTCTGTACTTTCTGCTCAATTTTGCTGTGAAGTAAAACTTTTCTTTTTTCTTTACTTTGAAACAGTCTCGCTCTGTCGCTCAGGTTGGAGTGCAGTGGCGTAATCTTGGCTCACTGTAACCTCTGCCTCTTGGGTTCAAGTGATTCTCCTGCCTCAGCCTCCTGAGTAGCTGGGATTACAGGCGCGAGCCACCACCCCCAGCTAATTTTTTGTATTTTTAGTAGAGATGGGATTTCACCATGTTGTCCAGGCTGGTCACAAACTCCTGACCTCAATTGATCTGCCCACCTCAGCCTCCCAAAGTGCTGGGATTACAGGTGTGAACCACCACTCTTGGCCAAACCAAAACTTTTCTAAATGATAAAATCTACCAAAACAAAAAAAAATCCTGAAGTGCCCAAATGCAAATTTACACATATGATTGAGTTTTAAGTATTTGAGTTAAGGTTCAATAGCATCTTCTTTTTTTAAAATTTTATTTTAAGTTCCAGGATACATGTGCAGGATGTGCAGGTTTGTTACATAGGTAGTAAATGTGTGCCATGGTGGTTTGCTGCTCCTGTCAACCCATCACCTAGGTATTAAACCCCACATGCATTAGCTATTCATTCTGAAAGCATCTTCCTTTCATAAAAGAGCCAGTTGATTTTTTCTAAGGGGTCTCTTATTACTACTATTTATTATTTTTATTTATTATTATGTTTTTCAAAGAGGAGTTCTGGCTGTGTCGCCCAAGTGGAGTACAGTGGTGCCATTATAGTTCACTGCAGCCTCAAACTCCTGGGCTCAAGTGATCCTCTGCCTCACCCCCTCAAGGAGCTGGGGGTAAATGCTCTGAGGCACTTCTAACTTGAAAACATGGAACTGAAGAGAATGCCCTTCCTAGCACCACCTGCTTTCTAAAATTGCCACTGGCAGATTGTCCCTGGCGTCTCGTTACCATCTGGGGGCCGTGCCAGGCTGACCATCGGAGAGACTTGGGCTCTGTTTTGAGCACAGCTGGGTAACAGAATCCTGCACACACTTCCACTACTGGCACCAAGTCTACTTGCATAAAACACTCTGCAGATCTACTGTGCTTCCATGAAAGGCGGAAAGGACATCCAACCTCTGTGAGAGATTTTATTTTATCACCTCCAAAATGATGTTTGCACTGCTTTTGCCAGCCTGGTGAAAGACAGGCCCGCCCACAAGCAGAACTGAGGCTCCTCGGTGTCTCTATGTATTAATGTTGCGGACACCACATAGGAAGAGAGAGTTGTGATGGGACCCACAGGAGTTGCAATTAAGCACGTTGTCAGGGCTACACGCTCTGCCCTTTCTCTGCTGGGAGACTCAGGCCAAGCTTCTTTAACATGTCTGAGCCTCTGTTGCCTCCTGCGTAGGAGGCGGGTCACATTTGCCTCTGAGGGTTTGCTGTGAAACATAGTTAGCTATGACTTTTAAGGCGCTAAGCTCAATGCCTGGCATATCGTAGCACTGTTAATTACCATTATTAATTATGTCCTAAGGAGGTCAAACGGCACATTATGAGTTACCAGCAGACATGAGTAAGTCGCTTGTACACGGAACACCATTTTCTGTATCTGTTAAGTAGGCGGGCATTCAAACTCTTTTGTCTGTTTCCCAAGTGTGTTGTGAGGATCTCATAAAGTTTTGGGCATGCAATTTCGAAAGGTGGCAGCCACGTTTTGAGTGCTTGTGATGTACCAGGCACGTGGCTACGGGGATGCCTTCATTCGCTCAGGGAGTGGTTCCTAGTGGCTGGTCCCTGACATCTGTGTGTGTGCTGGGTGGGGGTGTGGGATGTCTTCTTCCTAATAAGTGAATGAACTGCCAGGCTGAACGCCCTCGTTTTCTTCCCGCGGGGCTGGGGCCAGAGAGGGAATGGACGTGACGGTCTGTGCAGCCTGGTCTCCTCGAGCCGCTTCTCGACCCTTAGGTTAGCAAACATGAAAGACATAGACAAGCAGACGCAGGCTGCCACGTTCGTTCTTTCTCAGGGTATGCAGAGGTCAGGGTAAGAATCCACGGGTGTTTCTCAAAGGATGGCCTCTGGCCGTCCGCAGCGCAGTCGCCGGGGCTGGGCTGGCCTCGAATTTCCATCTGCCTGCCGCTTTAAAGAGCTGCCGGCTGAATCCGCTGCACACCCACGTGTGAGCACCTGAGAGTCTGCAGGATCTCAGAGGAGGGAACCGCGTCCTACATGAGGAGCAATCAAGGCCGGCTTTCCGGAGGAGGCGGCCTCTAGGACTGGAAGAGGAGGCGGGATGTGTTTCAACCGGCAATGGGTCCCGAGAGACCAGGGACTTGTTCACTTCAGTAACTCCAGGGCTTGGCAAAACGCCTGTCACGGGCGGCGCTCGACAATGACTAGCTGAAAGCAAGAGCGAAGGGCCTGGGAGCATCCCTGACTGTCCCCGGCGCGGATTTTACCCGCCCGAGCATGCGCGCCTGGGCCTCGCCCGCTCAGCCTCCGCCCCTCCTACCATCGCGCAGGCGCGGAGCGGGTGACGTCACTACGCGCCA
The DNA here is from genome assembly GCF_000001405.40 of Homo sapiens. Classification (NCBI taxonomy): domain Eukaryota; kingdom Metazoa; phylum Chordata; class Mammalia; order Primates; family Hominidae; genus Homo; species Homo sapiens. Next base: position 86,555,224 of record NC_000016.10, on the reverse strand, counting down.
GAACCTGCGCCGGGAAGCGTCGCACAGCGACTGCATCACCATGGAGCCGAGGGCAGGTGGGGGGCCTGGCGGGGCTCCGGGGCGGCTGGGAATGGGGAGGGACAGCCGGGACCGGTGAGGGTCGAGGCGGGGCCACCGGGGCTGGCAGAGGATGGGGCAGAATCACCGGAAGCGGCCGAGGAGGTCAGAGGGGGTCTGTGCTGGGTTCGGGTCGAACCAGCGGCTCTCTCGCCCGGAATCCCGAGAAAGATGTCAGGAAAAATAAAGATAACGAGAAGACGAGGCGGGAGGGACACCTGCCGTGCACGTGGGGGAGCCCGTGGGCCCCTTGAGGTCGGGGAAACTGAGGCTCAGGAACAGGATCGGAAGCCGGTTTGACCTACACGCGGGGGTCGCTTAACTACTGTTAAGCGGTTTCAGCATGGGCTCTGGAATTCCTTTGTATGTTATTAAGTGGGAATCTTTTGTTGCAGTAGGTGTCTCCAAACAGGACATACGTGAACAAATTTGGGGCTACATGGAATCACAAAATTTAGCTGACTTTCCCCGACCTGTTCATCACAGGATACCCAACTTTAAGGTACTGACATATTTCTGGAGTCCAGAAAAGGAAAACAAAATATTCTTAAATGAATAACACTAGTAATAAAATTCTCTTACTGCGTCATGGTGGATGAGAATGTGGCGAGCAGTGAGCAGTGGTGTGAAATCAAAGCCATTTGGCCAGGGCGTCCTTAGCATTTAGAGACGTCATTTACTCTTCACCTGGGGCCTCTTGCGTCTCTGTGCAGGGTGGTTTGGTTGTCTCTAGGTGAGGTTGTGTCCAGAATTGGTGGGTTCTTGGTCTCACTGACTTCAAGAATGAAGCCTCGCAGTGAGTGTTACAGTTTTTAAAGGCAGCGTGTCTGGAGTTTGTTCCTTCTGATGTTTGGATGTGTTCAGAGTTTCTTCCTTCTGGTGGGTTCACGGTCTTTGCTGGCTTCAGGAGTGAAGCTGCAGACCTTAGCAGAGAGTGTTGCAGCTCACAAAGGCAGGGTGGACTCAAAGAATGAGCAGCAGCAAGATTTATTGCAAAGAACAAACCTTCCACAATGTGGAAGGGGATTGGAGAGGGTTGTTGCTGCTGGTTCAGGCAGCCTGCTTTTAATCTCTTATCTGGCCCCACCCACATCCTGCTGATTGGTCCATTTTACAGAGAGCCGATTGGTCCGTTTTGACAGGATGCTGATTGGTGCGTTTACAATCCCTGAGCTAGACACAAAAGTTCTCCACCTCCCCACTAGATTAGCTACATACAGAGTGCCCATTGGTGCATTCACAAACTCTGAGCTAGACACAGGGTGCTGATTGGTGTGTTTACAATCCCTTAGCTAGACATAAAGATTCTCCAAGTCCCCACCAGCCTCAGGAGCCCAGCTGACTTCACCCAGCAGATCCCGCACTGGGGCTGCAGGTGGAGCTGCCTGCCAGTCCCGTGCAGTGCACCCGCACTCCTCAGCCGTTGGGCAGTGGATGGCACCAGGCACCGTGGAGCAGGAGCGTCGCTCCTCGGGGAGGCTCTAGCTGCACAGGAGCCCGCCGGTGGGGGTGGGGAGGCTCAGGCATGGCAGGCTGCAGGTCTTGGGGAGGCAGCTAAGGCCCGGCGAGAAATAGAGCACAGCAGCTGGTGGCCCAGGTGCTAAGCCCCTCACTGCCCAGGGCCAGCCGCTGTGAGTGCGGGGCTCCCCACGCCTACATGGAACTCGCGCTGGCCCACAAGCACCATGCACAGCAGCAGTTCCCGCCCGCGCCTCTCCCTCCACACCGCCCAGCAAGCTGAGGGAGCCGGCCTGGGCCAGTCCAGAAAGGGGCTCCCACAGTGCAGCTGCGGGATGAAGGGCTCCTCAAGCACGGCCAGAGTAGGCGCCAAGGCCGAGGAGGCGCCGAGAGGGACCGAGGGCTGCCAGCACGCTGTCACCTTTCAAGGTGGTGCTAGTTGCTGTTTTCTGTTTGATACAAAGTAAAATATTTATCCTGGCCGGAAGCATGTTATTGTCGTAATGGCTTTTCACAAAATTGACCCTGCTAAGAGCGTTAGGGAATGAAGGGGTACTGAACTGGAAGTTCAGGCTCTAGGCCTTTGGAAAGAAATGAATGCCTTGCCAGCCTAAGGATGCTGGGCCTCAGTTTCCCAGCTGATCAAAATGTAAGACAATCAAAGATGGCTGTTCCTAACAGTGTTGACAGAAAAAAAAAAGGTTACTCGGAAGAGGCAATGCAGCAGTTCATCATCTTTGACATGCCTATTTTCCAAGAGCAAAAGAAAGCGCTTTTCAAAAATGCTCTCTGCCCTGAAGGACTTAGCTGTTGGCTTGCTTCACCCCATTTTGTCAGGACTGCCTCTCCCCAAGCCTGGCTTCTCCACAACAAGCTCCACCTTCCCTGGTCCTCAGCTGAGGTGGTTCCAAGACTGTCCTGTCCCTTTGAAAAACTGATCTTTTGATGGTTTTTTGTTGTTACTGTGTTTTGTTTTAATGCTTCTGACCCCAGAGAGAGAAATGTATCTTAACAGAGGTAAAGATGAAGGATGTAGAGAATCATGTAGAAATCTTTAAAAAACGAATCAAACAGGAGAGAGGTGGGGGCTTCCAGGTCATGCTACTGCTTGATTTTGGTGGTGGTTACACAGCAGCCTTCATTTTGTGAAAAATCATCAAATTTTGCCCTTGGGATTTGTATTCTTTTTGGAATGCATGTTTCATTTCAGTTAAAGCTCAAGTGGGATTAGGCTACTTTTCTCAAATCCCTTTCCTTACTTAGACTGCTTCCTTAGATGTTTCTTTGGGTGACTGTTAGTGCCTGTCTGGGTGAGATTCTGGGCCGAGCTGCTTGGGCTGCAGTTGGCCTGAGAGCGTGCTGTCCTTTCAGTAACGTGCGATTGCATTGGAAACAGGGCGCTTCTCATGCTGCCGAGCAACTCCCACGCTTGCAGGCGTTCAAAACGGCCAGGACCATTAAAGTAAATCCTGATGCCCCCCAGAAAAGTGCTCGCTTCTTCGTCCTTGAAGTAAGTGCAACTCTGTCTATTTGCCTAACTAGGGGTCTTATCTGGCTTGCCAAAACATCAAAGACCTAGACGTTTTTGCCAGAACACAGGAAGTTAAAGTGGACCCTGATAAACCACTGGAAGGCGTTCGGCTGCTGGTGCTGCAGGTAATTCCACTTCCCTGAGCCGAGCCGAGACCTGGCCGCCAAGGGGGACACCTTTTCCAGGTAGCTGGTCAGTGCACACGTCTGTCTTGCATTTAGAAAGTCGGTGCTTCCGATTCCCTCCAATACAGAAAGTGCCCTTGGTGGTGATTTTTCCAAGAATAGTTCAGAAGCCCTTCAGCTGTTTAGCAATTCAGTCAATCAGGAGTCCCGAATGCTTCTAAATTCAGAGATAAAGGATGTTCAAAACAATGGCTTCCAGGCCCAGTTGGCACAGGAGAGGGAACCCAGGCAGAACCTGTGGTGTTCCAGAATTGAGGAGCTGGAGCTGAAATAGATGACACCACTTTGCCATTTGAAATGAGCATGCTAACAAGCTTGCTGAACACAGAATCATTTGCTTCTGGATGACAGACGGTCACTTGTCATGTTCTGATACTATAAAGACCACGGTTAAGAACTGGAAAGGTTTCTTCTCAACACTGCTGAACTTTTTAAATTCAGGCATGCTTTTGTAATTTTTATTTTTTAACTTCCTAACCAAACAAACACAAAAACTATGGCGTTGAAGCATTCTCAGTTTTGATGTGCTTCATCAGAGGAGGAAGATTACAAGGAAGATTTAGTTCTTTTTGCCACAGTTGTGGTATTATGATGCTTTGAAACATGATAAATCACGAGTAAGAAGTCTGATGTACCCTCAAAAGGTATCGGTTAGAGCACTTGTTCCTCAACTGAAAACATACAGGCCCCTTTTCAAGGAAAACCAGAAAACTCCCCCAGGGTTGATTTAAATTAGTTTATTATAAACTAATTCAATATGATAAACATAAAACTTGGTATAAATTTTAATGCAGATAGCTTTTATGTAACTATAAAACCAAAATAAGCATATAAGTTAAATACAAACAAAACTATAAAATCAGTAACATTCAAATGGCCCCATTAATTTAACGTAATGGTTGATATGGTTTTGCTGGAGCAAATCGCAGCTGATAACATGAGTATAGTACTGGCCATCTCAGGGCAGAATCGTTGTCATTCTGCCTTAACGCTGCCATGCGTTGTGTGCTGACTCCATTCTCCCACCCAAGTTGCCAAGTCAGACTCCTGAGAAGCCCTGGTGAGAGGGGCACTTTCCACACCTCTTGCCGGAGCTGAGAGGAGGGGTCCAGGCTCGTGTGGGAGATCATTTTGTCTGCTGATGGTGGTTCAGCCCCAAGAGAGACTTCCATGTAGGCTCTTCCAGAAGCATAGCTTCCTGTCAGCCTTATTTTCCCAGTTAATGAATCATTTTAATAAGCTAGAAGTAGTAATAGCAGCAGTAGCAAGGAAGGACGGCAGTCGGCAGTCACTGCATTCGAGGCGCAGTTCTGTCTAAATGTTTTCCCTGTATTATGTGGTTTGGTTCTCTACTACTATGGGAGCCATCTCTGCTCCTCTGTGACACTTGAAACCAGAGACAGAGAGGCTCCACCTCAGGTTACCGCACATCAGTCTCAGTACAGCCAGGATTCTGACTCAGCCACCTGACTCCAGAGCCAGTCCTTGCAAGTGTGAAGTTCAGGGTGTTCTCAGCTGTCAGCCCCTCAGAGCAAAAATCAGAAACCTTGACCGTGTGGTCAGCCTTAGCCAAGATGGCCTGGAAGAGGGGTGCAGCCCTGAGCAAATCCCTGTTGCTTCATGCCATCATTTATTCAGGCTGAAGAAACAACTGCATAAGTAACTGAGCTATCTCCCAGGCTGCGTGCTGGGCATAGGATGTAGTGGTGCAAGACTACACACATGTGGTCCCTGAGTTCTGGTGCTTTCAGGGTCCTCAGTGGTTTTTGGAAACTTTAAGGGACTTAAGGATCAGCTGGGATGCAGGTAAAGATGCAAGTTCCTGAGCCCCAGCTGCATGTGGGCAGGCAATGGTGACATGCACAGCCTCAGGCCACACCTACAGGCACAGCAGCCAGTGTCTGACTGGACAGTCCGCAGTGCTGGGGGCACGCACAACCTCAAGCCACAGCTACAGGCACAGTGGCCAGTGTCTGACCGGACAGTCCGCAGTGCTGGGGGCATGCACAACCTCAAGCCACAGCTACAGGCACAGTGGCCAGTGTCTGACCGGACAGTCCGCAGTGCCGGGGGCATGCACAGCTTCCCAGGCCCAACCCCAGACCTGTGAGTCTCTAAAGTGGCATCAGATTCTGTTCAATCAGTACTCCGAGGGTGCTCCAAGTACACAGGCTTAAGCCCCACTGGCTTAGGTGCCACTTGCCAGCTCTGGCCACATGGTGGTATCACTCAAGGAGGTTTGAAGACTGTTGGCCATGCCAGGTTCCAGTCTCTGGAGTGAGGTCTAGACCTCGGTAATTCTTAAAGCTTGCTGGTGATTCTAATGCACACTAAAGGCTGAGATCCACTGAGCCAGAGGATGAGCAGCTTCTAGAAAAGAGAGAGTGATCCCCATATGTGGGGCACAGGACTCCAACACTGCCCATGAGGGAGCCACACTCCACCACTCCCAGAAAAGCAGCAGGCCGCAGTCACAGCTGCCTGTGTTGAAGTACTTCACTCTTGTGGTTGACAAGCCTTTGTTGAAATAGGCCAAACAGATGTCATGGGTCTTTTATTGGTCTTGGGTTGTCATCTCCTGCTCAAAAACTAAAATATACTATTATTTACATGAAAGATTTCACAGATCTTATGATTGCCTTGTGGCTTACCCTTGCATAATCTACAGAGACATCTCAGCCAGTGGTTTTCAAACTTTCGTGTGCATCAGAGTCACTGGAAGGCTCATCGAAGCTCCCCACCCCCAGAGGGGCTGATTCATTTCTAACAGGTGCCAGGAGCGCTGATGCGCTGGCCCAGGGCCCTCACTTTGAGAAGCCCTGTTCTAGAGGTTCTCACAATAGGCATTTGAGAACTAAGTAGAAGTCAAGGGCTATTGGCACGTATCAGTGTATTGATTATCATGATTACTGATCTCTTTGACTGTGATTTGCTGAACAGTCAAACTAGATAGAAATGTTTGAGTAACTAAGGTAGCTATGCCATGCCAGTTTCTAATGACAGCATTATTGTAACTGTGTCGCACTTGGTGCTGAGAGCAGAGGGGGCACAGGAAAGTTGAGGTTGGGATTTTGTCAGAACTGACCTTAGTTTGGATTTCTGTTGTCAGTTTTTACCTGTAACAATTTTGAATGGCAAGTGAAATCAAATTAGCAAGTTTAGTAAACCCTCTGGCTCTTCAGGGTAAGGAGGTGCCGAGTGGTGATTCTAAGAAAAATCGACCCCACACATTATTTAATTAGGTTTTCAAATAAGTAATTTCCTTGGCACACACCAAAAAAAACCATGCGGATAATAGTAATTTGCCTCTTCTCCTGAAATGGTAAAAATACATATAAGAAAGTCCTATGGAATAATTTGATTTTGTAATTTATTGATTGTCTTTTCTTTAAAAGAGCAAAAAAACATTGTTGGTTCCAACACCACGACTGAGAACGGGATTGTTTAATAAGATCACACCACCCCCTGGGGCAACTAAAGACATCTTGAGAAAATGTGCCACCTCTCAGGTAAGTACCAGAAGCAATGTCCCCACCTAGGAAAGAACTGTACCCTGTGAAGGCTTCTGACGACTTAGCATAAGATAGCAGCACACAGTTGGAATTCATTTTTAACAGAGCCAAAAGAACAGAGATATTAAAGTATTCAAGAATTCTGTCCTTAATGGAGCCACGTGGGAAAACTGAGTAAACAGATTCTATTTCTGTAACTCAGTTTCTATTTTGCACGAAATTGGCAAATTATAAATTCCTTATTGTAAGAAAAGGGAAGACGGGTGATCTGGTTCTCTGGCACTGCCCGGTGTTAACCTGCGATGTTCAGTATTGTGGAGCTTTTTCTTATTCCCGGCCTGTTCATCAGGTGCCACCAGAGCGACTGGGGAGACAGGATAGAATTTCCAAAACATGCTCCATTGGAAATTGCCTCACCAGTTCTAAGTGAGTAATTGCTGATAATTACATATTTAAGATTTTCTTGAATGCCTCACAATTTAGTAAAACCAAGTGTACAAATATGACTTTAGGGTGCATTATAATAAAATTGGTCATGTATTTTACAGTTAAGTCGAATTTGGTGACTTTTTTAAGAATCTTAAGGTAAACTCCAAGTCATTTAATTTTTAATCTACTGAGAAGAAAAAATAAGACAATTGAAGATACGCTTTTTTATGGGATTTGCCACTTAAGCCTAATGTATAAAACTGGAACGTTTCATTGTTTACTTATTAGCACCCTGCTTATTCCAAAAATAGAATTTGATATGGTTTCTAAAAATACATACAATAAAGTAAAAAATATATATATAGAGAGAGAAAGGAGCAAAGGAAAAAGAAAGATAGAAAACTGAGACGAAAGCATGGTGATGGTCAGCATTCACAAATGCAAGCCGTCTCTTCCTTTGCAGTTGGTCAGTGCCTGCCCCCGTGGACCCTGCGAGATGATGAGAACACAGGGTTTCCTGCAGTGCAGGGTTTCCTGGACTAAGCCCCCTTCTGTGACTGTCGGGAGACCCCCAAGCCACCCGTATGCACTGATCCATACGGAACTTGTCATAGCACTGCAGGCAGATCCCACCGCCACATCGAATGATCAGTTACTGCTGGATACGGGACTGAAAATGGCTTTTTCCTGAGTCTTACATAAACCGTGTTATGAGAACCATGAACATATTCAGCTTCCCTATTCTTTATATGCATGCCTGCATTAGTATAAAGCGGTACACTTTTGGGACATTTTGGTTGAAGGGATAATTTTTTAGAAGCGAGTATATTGTACATAAAGATAGTGGCCTTCAGGATTTTATATTGAATAAATATGTCATACAGTGTTTACTGACCATGTCTTATGTGCTAAATGCATACGTTTTGTTATTTAATTCCAACACTGGTCCGACGAGGCAGAGGGTGGTGTCCCTGTCTTACAGCTGAAGAAACTGAGGCTCAGAGAGCTCCAGCCTGCTGGGGACCTGTGGCTCAGAGGCTCTGAACCCAGTTCCCTGGGACTCTGCCCCTGTGTTTTCACCACTGTGCTCTTCTGCCTTATGGGGAAAAACGATTTGTTAAATGTTATGAAGTTGGCAGCCTATGAATTTGTGCTGTGAGTTCCTCTTGGCCGCCTTTCTGGGAAAGAGACTGGGGAAACTGTGCCCTAAAGCGGTTTCTGGAATGCGGCTTCTCCTGAAACGCCACATCTCCGGTGTTGCGTGTGCCTGCATCTGTTTTGTCCAAGAGGTTGATTCAAACCCTGAGTGCACTTTGATCATGAATTATAAAATGAGGAAGCAGCTGGAGTTGAAGTTTTCCAATCCGTATCTCTGTGTGCAGGGTGTGAGGAACTACAGTGTCCCCATAGGCTTGGACTCCAGAGTCCTCGTGGATTTAGTTGTGGTGGGATCCGTCGCCGTTTCTGAAAAAGGTAAGACTAGCAGATGGGAACCCTTGAGTGTGACAGCTCTGCCTGAAGGCGGCTGCGTGCCAGGCTGTTTGTCTTTCAAAAGTCGCCAGTGGTGTCTGCTTTCTGGATGCGCTTACCTGGTCTCCGAAGCCGCTGCATTTTTCAGAGGTGAAGAATTGGCTCAGCCCACCCGCTTCTGGCCCCAGCCCAACATGTGTACAGCATTTTCACTTTTCTTAGCAGGAAAAACAAAGTGAGATAACTCTCTGTTCAGGTGGTGAAAGGTTTTCTCTCTGTTCTTGAGTGAGCTGGAGCTTAATTTCTTTTCAGTATGTCAGTAAATAGTTGGTTTTGGAGGGACTCCAGCAAATGGAAAAACAGTAGGTTCCAAGCTTTGTTTTTATTATGAAGCAGCAGACTCTTGAACAACACGGTGTGTCCGAGACTCCTGAACAACGTGGTGTGTCCGAGACTCCTGAACAACGTGGTGTGTCCGAGACTTCTTCTCAGGCCTGGTGCTTTGCCACGCTGCATGTGAGGCAGGCTGCTCTCGGTCCACAAGGCCAGGGGGCCCTTGCTAAGAGGGCAGGGTCACCACACCACCTCTTGCTGTCTCCAGCTTCAGGGTGCCCTCTTTTCCCAGCCACCACTGGAGCTGATGTGGGGACATTGTTCTTTATTCTTTGCTTTCAGTGCATTCCCAGTTTCTGGTGCTTCGTCTGTGTCATCGGGGCTGGGGACTCAGGAGCGCACTGTTCTGGTATACCTGCTACACCTGCTGTGTGCCAGGCAGGCACTGGGTGGTCTTTAAGTGCATGGTGTGTGGGTGGGCCAGACACGAGAGCTGGACCAGGACAGGACGTGACGTGCTCAGTGCTGGACACAAGTCAGGACCGACGGGAGGGGGAAGGGGAGTCTGAGGAGGGACGTGCCAGCCTGGAGGGGGCATCTCCTCAGTAGCGGCCTCAGGGCTGGCTCCTGCATGCCGGCCACAGTCCAGGCAGAGGGGACTGAAGGGTCCTCAGGCAGCAGGCCCTTTACTAGGTTGCGGCCCCTTCTCAGCAGCCTTGAGGCCAGATGATGGGACTTGGGCTCTTGGTGGTGGGAAATCAGCAAAGGTCCCCTCTTGGAAAATATCATCAGGTTCAGGGATGTATAAAGAAGAAAGTAACACTTCGTAAGTTTCATCGTTTAGCTAACCCCCTGTGTAAAGTAGTAAAGTAACCATGTGTCTGCTTAGAAAATTGAACAGCACAGAAAGCTGCACCATAAGTCTTCCCTGTTCCTTCCCAGCTGCCCCATTAGGAGTTCCTAGTGTAGACGTTGTACATAGTAGCATGCGTGTGAGACACAGATATCTTTTTTTTTTAAGTTCCGGGATACATGTGTAGGATGTGCAGGTTTGTTACATAGGTAAACGTGTTCCATGGTGATTTGCTGCACCTACCAACCCATCACCTAAGTATTAAGCCCAGCATGCATTAGCTATTTTACCTGATGTTCTCCCTCCCACTGCCCCTGCCCTGACAGGCCCCAGTATGTGTTGTTCCCCTCCCTGTGTCCATATGTTCTCATTGTTCAGCTCCCACTTACGAGTGAGAACATGCAGTGCTAGGTTTTCTGTTCCTGCGTTCGTTTGCTGAGGATAATGTTTTCCAGCTCCATCCATGTCCCTGCAAAGGACATGCTCTCATTCCTTTTTATGGCTGCATAGTATTCCATAGTGTATATGTACCACATTTTCTTTATCCAGCCTATCGTTGATGAGCATTTGGGTTGATTCCATGTCATTGTTATTGTGAATAGTGCTACAGTGAACCTACATGTGCACGTGTCTTTAGAGTAGAATGATTTATAATCCTTTGGGTATATACCCAGTAATGGGATTGCTAGGTCAAATGGTATTTCTGGTTCTAGGTCCTCTAGAAATCAGCACACTGTCTTCCATAATGGTTGAATTAATTTACCTTCCCACCAACAGTGTAAAAGTGTTCCTATCTCTCCACAGCCTTGCCAGCATCTGTGGCCATTCTGACTGGCATGAGGTGGTGTCTCATTGTGGTTTTGATTTGCATTCCTCTAATGATCAGTGATGTTGAGCTTTTTTCCATGTTTGTTGGCTGTATAAATGTCTTCTTTCGAGGAGTGTCTGTTCATGCCCTTTGCCCACTTTTTATTGGGGTTGTTTGGGTTTTTTTCTTGTAAATTTGTTTCAGTTTCTTACAGACTCTGGATATTAGACCTTTGTCAGACAGATAGTTTGCAAAATTGTCTCCTATTTTGTAGGTTCTCTGTTCACTCTGATGATAGTTTCTTTTGCCGAGACACAGATATGTTATAGCAGTGGTCCCCAACTTTTTGGCACCAGGGACCGGTTTCATGGAAGACAATTTTTCCATGGACCAGGGAGGGGACGGTTTCAGGATAATTTAAGCACATTACATTTATTGTGTACTTTAGTTCTGTTATTCCTACATCATAATAAATCACAGAGTAATTATACAACTCATAATAAAGAATCAGTGGGAGCCCTCAGCTTGTTTTCCTGCAACTAGACGGTCCCATCTCAGGGTGATAAGAGACAGTGACAGATCAGCAGGCATTAGATTCTCATCAGGAGCACGCAACCTAGATCCCTGGCATGCACCATTCATACGAGGGTTTGCACGCCTGTGAGAATCTAATGCCGCAGCTGATCGGACAGGAGGCGGAGCTCAGACAGTAATGAGAGTGATGGGGAGCGGCTGTAAATACAGATGAAGCTTCACTCTCTCACTGCCCACCTCGTGCTGTGTGGCCCGGTTCCTCACAGGCCATGGACTAGTACTGGTCTGTGGCCCAGGAGTTGGGAACCCCTGTCTTATAGTTTTTAGGTATAGATGTATAGATATCCCTTTTCTGCATTCACAGAAGGGACGGTGGCACACACAGAGCTCCGTGCCTTGCTGGAGACTGTGTCTTAGAGCCCCTTCCTGTCAGCACTGCGGGCTGGCCTCCTGGGCCCGTGTTGAGGAACTGCACGGTGTTCTCACGTGACTGCACCTCAGTAACTGAAGCCCACCCCCGCCGATGGATGCATACGTTATGAGTTATTTCCAGATTTGGCTTTGGTCTTTTCTCTTACAGACCATGTTGGAGTGAAGTATGTTCTGTGGGATAGTCTAGGTGCACCTTTGGGGCTATCCATGGGGGCCAATGCCTCGGAGGGGAGTTGCTGAACTGAAGGGTGGATTGTCAGCCTTGATGTTGCCACCAGAAGGGCCGCTCACTTTCGGCCCTCAACAGTGGTGCCTGGCCTCTTTTCCCGCTTCCTTGTTCCTAGCTGGAGTGAGCCAGCTTTGACTTTGAGCAGTCCGCTAGTGAGCAGTGACTAGCATCTCCTTTGCCTTTGATTTGCACCTAATTAGGAGGCAGTCAAGCATTTTTCATGTTTGCGGCTTATCTGCCTGTCATTTTCTGTGAACTGTTCATATCCTTTGCTATTTTTCTGTTGAATTTTCTTTCTCTTGTTTCTCTGCATGCACAGTTGAAGGTTTTGAATTGTCAAAGTAGCTTGATCAGATGTGAGTCTTAGACACGGCAGCAGTGATGCGGGTGCTCTGCGGGTGATGCTGCTGGTGGCACTCGCTGGCCTCAGTTTCTGAAGTGCCTCAGGCTTCTCATAAGCGGAATTGTAGCTTCTCCATGGGGGCCAGAAGGCATTTGATGTATCCTGTCTTCCTGCATTTTTGTCTCTGAATAGCTGATTTGGCTAGAGAGGCTGTTAAACCTCGATTTCATCTTAGCTACTCTTTTAGGCTCAGATAATCCTTTTGTTGTGCCACTAATTACAAATTTGCAAAACGCTTTAGTACTGCTTAAACCGTCCCTCAGGACCTGGTATCTAGTGGTGAGTATTCAGTGCTTTTGAAGAAACAAGGCCATGCCCTCACACACTCCTGACTTCAGAGCAGCGATTTTCCCTCCGAGGTAAGTTGATTAAACATGTTTTGCTTTCAGTGGGAATTTGTTTTTAGTCTTTTTGAGAACTGCTCTTTTCATTCTTTTTAAGTATGAGTCTTGCTAACATAAAGCTGACATGAGTGTGATCTGTTTCCCTTTGTGACATGCTTGAACGGTCCAGTGTTCACGTCATTGTAGTTTCACCACCTGACATTGGCCGTGTTGTTATTCCTGTTGAATGCCCAAAAGTCCATCGTCAGTGTGGGCTGCTTGTGGGCATTTGGTGGGCATTTCTGTGAAAATTTCTATAGATTAGCTCGGGATATTGGGTTCAAGTTTCTTCTTCCACTGGACCTGATGGAAAATCCACTTCTCAGCGATGCCCCGGACCGCACAGCGATACTGATTCTCGGTTGTCTCTTAGGCTGGAGAATCGGGAAGGGAGAAGGCTACGCCGATCTGGAATATGCCATGATGGTATCCATGGGCGCCGTCAGCAAGGAGACGCCGGTGGTCACCATCGTCCACGACTGCCAGGTGCTCCTTATGAATGGGCTGAGCAGAGCCACTGCCATTCTCTTCTGAGGGAGCAGGGGGTGGGGAAGGAGACTCATCTGCTTCTGAACCATGCTGTGTGGCGAGTGGTGTGGATCAGCCAGGGCTGGACTTGCTAGTGGTACAGCGGCTAAGCCTTAGCCCCAGAGTGGATTTGGGGGTGCTTCTCTAGCCAGCCTCACGTTCCCACCGAGCGGGGCAGTGTGCACGACTGCAGTGGCATTCCCAGCAGCCCCTTTATCCCTCCTCTCTTCCCCCAGGTCGTGGACATCCCTGAAGAGCTTGTTGAGGAGCACGACATCACTGTGGACTACATCCTCACTCCAACCAGAGTCATCGCCACAGGCTGCAAGCGCCCAAAGCCAATGGGAATCACCTGGTTCAAGGTGGGTCACGGCAGTGGCCAGCTCTGGCCTGTAGCTTAGCGGCTCCTCCTCTTTTAAGTGTTTTCTGTCTGGCATGGGAGCTGTTGGCAATCCCAGCATGGCTGTATGTTAGAATCACCCAAGGAGCTTTTGAGCAATTTGGCTCCTGAATGACCATGTCCAGGCCCAGGCCTAAGAATCTGCGTATGGATCTCTGGGATTCGAAAAAGCAGCTAGGTTTAAAATCTGCCTCTGTAGATGGCAGAAATGGCCACATGGGCTGGGAGGGTGAATGCCTTGAAGCTTTACTTGCCCCCTGTTTTTCATTTTTAAGAGTTGTTTTCTGCCATCCCAGGCGCAGCAAGCTCTGCCTGGTGTTATCTCATTGGTCTTCCCTTTTTAAATCCAGATTTTTTTTTTTTTTTTACTGACGATCTGGATCTTCAAGCAGATCTAGCCTGAGTAGGAGGCAGTACCAAGCCTTTGTACATTTTATGCATTTGTGGTTTTTATCTCCAGATTAGGTAATGGCACAGGTTGCAAATTAGTCTGCAGTAGGAGTTTGACCCTGCAAATCAGCCTGTAGGTTATGATGCTGTCTCTGCTGGCAAACAGCCAGAATTACTGAGAAGACATTTGTGCTTCGTGTGGACAAAACTACTGGTCAAATAAGCATACGTGTCCACGTCTCCCATTCTTTAATCCCAAATCATTCACCGTTTGAATCCCTCCTTTGGGCATGGAAAATTAACAACATCACCTCTAAGGATGAACACAGAATACCTGCTGCTTTTGCCACAGCCCAGCCGGGACTTTCCCTGCAGGTGTCCTGGGCAGGCACTGCTGGGGACTCCCAGGTGTGCACTCCTCGGTTGGCCGCTGATGAACGCAGAGGGAACAGCCTTTGTAACCCAGAGTGTATGGGCGGCCCTCTAAGCGCACCAGGAGCACTGGGAAAGAAGGTGGTCACTGCTCTTCCAGGAAATGAAAATATCCCTTGATGTCTTTCTTAAGAGTCTTTCACTTGGGAACTCTGGTCCACAGCTTCCTTGTAAGTGGAAGCCAATGCACGAGACAGAGCATAAGGCTGGCGGCTCCTCAGAGCCGAGAACAGGGATGGTGGGAAGGTTGCACAAGGGCATTAGCCACAGCGAAGCTGCTGGCAGTCCCTCTAGGCCTGCGCGTCATAGAAGGGGCCCATTGCAGCCGTATTAGGGGGAGCCTGGACAGCCTCCTCTGGCAGAGAGCTAGGAACAGCCTGGTTACATTCTGAAGATTTTAACTAGAAAAGTAGCAACAAATGAAGTCATCGGACACGTTAGGTGAATATATCCTCCTACAGAAAAGCAAACCAAACTCAGCCAGGGTTCCTGAGGGTCAGCACTGTGGGGGAGGGAGGGCATCGGGGGCTTCGCTGTTTGTCGAGACCCTCTTCCAGGAAAGTCACTGTTTATGAGGCCTCAGCAAGAATCTCAGACTTTTCAAAGGCCATCTCTCATTTTGGGTCCTGTGTTCTCAGTTTCACCACCTGATAATCCCTTTGCATGGTCAGAGGAAATCAGTCACTTTCTACAGCTCCCAGTGTTTCTGTTTTAGTCTCGCTAGCCATGCAGCCAAAGTGAGTTTCATCAACATTTGTTGGGAGAAAAAAAAAATCTCTAAATTCCATTAAAGAGTTTGAATGTGGAAGGCGGACAGTTCAGTGCTAGGTTATAATATTGTTTCAAATTGACTTTGGCAAATATTTGGCATACCTCTCCATGATATTATAGTGATAGGTTTATAGGTTTATAGGTTTTAGAATCTAAGAATTTACCTCTTGGCTATCTTACTGGAATATCTGGGATGCATTATAGATCTCTTGATGAAGGATGTGAAGGAAGTACAAACTGCCTTTTCTTCACCCATTTTCAATACGCAAAGACAGTTCAGCATCTAATTCCCTGGCCTTTGTTCCACCTTTCCAGTAGTTGACGTCCTGCCCTGTCTTACAGACCAGTCTAATACACGCTCTGTTTGAGTGCAGTTACTGTAAACAGCGCATCTCCTTGATTGACCATCAACATCCGGTGGGCTCTTCTCAGCTTGTGTCTCATGATTTTAAAGAAAGGAAACCAGGTGGCCAGTGAGTGTATTGCTGAGTTTAGCAGTCAAGAGTTTCCCACTTCATAGCTCTATCTGTAACTTCCAACACACTCTCCAAGCCCTCTCGTTTGTCTTAGAAATAAAGGCAGTGCATGTAGAATGCCCAGGACGATGCTTGGGAGCATGGCCGCAGTCAACATCACTGTCGCAAATGCGAGGTAGGCTGTTAATAAAGTTGAGAAATCTTCCTGGACGCCATGCATGTTTCTTCTTTCTCTGTGCTGCTGGCAGAATTCTTAGGATGGTCCTTCTGGGTAGCTCACTGAGCCAAGATGGGGTCCTGCACGTGTCTCCCTATGGCCACGGGTTGTACCTCTCAGTGGAGGACAAGGAGAGAAAGGCACTGACCCCGGCTCTCCAGCCCTTTGGCTGCTCCATACCGCCTGTGACCATGCAGGTGCTTTGCAGAGACCCCCCACAAGTAGCCGTTGTTCTTCCTCCTCCATATCATCTTCAGCAAAGGAAGCCTGGTAGGGTTGGGTAAGGGGCTTAAAATGCATTCCAGCACTCTGCACCCTCATCAGAAACTTTCTGGCAGGAAGAGAGAGAGGTACAGAGACATTCCCCAGAAGGCTCTGCTTTTGCTCCTCCTTTCTAGAAGGCACATTGTCTGCTCTGTCCTCGTGTGCTCTTCTGTCTCTGGGGGCGATCGCCTCACCCACAGACCCGTGAAACTCAGGGTGACTTGGCCACATCCAAACCACAAGATGCATAGCCGCTGCTGCCCCATCTCCCAGTCACCGTACCCTGAAAACCCAGGACTCCCTGAACCCCTAGCTACACCAAGGATCTCTGCCAGGCTGGAGATGGTACCAGAGACCTGGGCCTGAAGCTGGAACGTGGTCCTGAACCTCTGGGCAGTTCGTCCAGCTCCATTGATCTTCTGATCCTTGGAGACAGTCGTGCGATGTCTCTCCCTGTGACAGCCGTGTGTCAGGTAGTCTGTAGTGGGCTGAGAGCCATTTGGCTGCCTCAGCTCTGTGCCGTAGCAAACCGAAAATGGCTGAAGCCCTGGACCCGCTAGTGTCGAGCAGCCCTGGCCACTGACCAGTGCCTGCCCTTGTCGGGAGTGAAATGCAGAGTCCCAGCCAGCTCCCAGGGCTGAGTGGTGTCCTATGAGTCACTGACAACAGAAGAACGGAACTTCCTGTTGAGACCCGTGGTCACCTGCTGGACCCGAGTGAGCACCTGGACAGCAGCAGCAGGTGAAGCCTCTGTGGGGAGACCCGGGTCTGCCACTGCCGCCGCCACCCTGGAAGCTCTGTTCTGCCCAAGCTGCACCTGGACCGTGGAGACCCACCACACCATTGTAGTGTTTCCCTAGAGCTGGCCTGAGCTGGGGGCAGGAATGATATATGTTAAGAATACCTTGGAGACAGAGAGGAATGGTAGGACATGGCTACAGACTCCAGAACCTCAACTGTGCCGAAGGCAAGGCCAGCCTGAGTGGGAGACTGAGGGCTCAGGAGAAGCCACTCGGGCACCCACAAGCCTGTGGTCCCCGTCACCAGACCCACAAACCAGAGGGCCTTTTGGCCTTTGCCCAGTGGAAGGACTGTCAGTCACACACATCTTCTCACCCGTCCTGTGCTCCTCACCATCAGCACATGGCTCCTGATTACCACGGGGTTGGCGAGGACACCATAGACCAAGGCCCGTGCATCTGACTTTCCTGGGTCAACTCATTTGCTCCTTAATGAGGGAAACTGGATTCTTCCAGAGCCACGCTCGTGCTTATACTCAAGGAAACAATTCTGTAGCTTTCAAAGCATGGCCCGCTCTTCCCCACACAGCCTGCTGGGGAGTGTGGTTCTCAGATGGCCACAGTATGCTGCATGATCTACAGATACCTCAAGAAAAAGGATTTGAGAACAGGGCTCCTCTGTGAGCAGCAGTCCTGGGACAGCAAAGCCCAATTTCAGATCCCGCATAAAACACAATTGTTCTCTGCAAATAATGCAGCTAACTGTGAACCAACCCCTACCCACAACTGGGCCAGTATGTTTAGAGAGCTGAGAGAGGCTTTCATTGAAAAAGAATTACTGTATTTGACCTGATAATTTACCTTCTAGGAATCAGTCCTAGAGAAATATGTAGAAATTCAGATAAGGACTTATCTGAATCTCTATAGAAGACATGCAGTGCCTTAAAATGGGGGTGGGGGGAGTCCATTTAAGTGCATACAGCTTTTTAAAGAATATTTTGTGGCAGGAGAAAGTGCATGTGGTATAAAGTAGAAAAGGCACGATATGATATTATACATGCTTGATATGGAATTTCATATTCTGCTCATGTTAAAGGGCAGAGAGAAAAGACGGCGAGGAAATACAGCAGAATATTAACAGTAGTTGTCTCTGGGAGATAGGATTTCAAACGTTTCTACCTTCTTCCCAAATTTCCCACAACAAGCATATACTAATTTTATAATCAACAATATTTAGGAAAAAAATAGTAAATTTGTTCAATATTTTCCAAGGTAGACATTGCGCCCGGGTGCATTTGAACCCAGTCACACAGCAGCAAGGTAGCTATCTCTGTTCCCAGGGTACCCAGTTAGTAGAAATGAGAATTCAGAAATGAAAATAGTTAAATATGCGCCAGTTCTTAAAACTCACGCACAGACGTGTGTAGGGTGACACCGGAACAGCCAACACGGAAAGCTCAAGCATGTCTGCGTGAGGGGAACCACGCGGCTGCTCTTCTCCGAGGGCTGAAACCCCAAGTGCGGAAGTGAGACAGGAGCTGCTGGTCCCATGCAGGACTCTGTGCGGAGCAGGGGGAGGGAGGCAGCCACTCCCGCGGGCCTCGCAATGAGGGCCAGGCAGGAGCCAAGGCGTGCAGATGGAAGCTGGCATTTCGCAGCGTCAGTTTTAAGGTGATCATGTATACCAGGAAACAGAAATGTTTTTTACTAAATAGTTCTTAGTGACTTCCAGACCCCTCCCAGGTTGAGCCATCCCTTCCTGATGTTGGGGTACAGTCGAACGCAGCGCTGCCTGTGGTCAGGCCCCCTGTTGGGAGATGCAGGCCTTGCCCCTGCTGTCCGTCAGCACTCCCAGTCGAAGCGTGATTGTAAAGGGGTGGCCCTATTGAGCCTTTTTCTACCAACTGACACCTTTGATCAACTATGAACAAAAGGGTTTTCCATGAGCCACGTTGAAGAGATTCTGCCCTTAGAGAGCCAGCAGAGGCTTCGAGGCCTGCCTGGCGTTTATGTTTACGGAAGGCAGCACGGTCCCTTGGCCTTCCCTGTGCTCTCCTCTGAGCATACCTACTCCCTATGGTTATTTCACTGTGGCTATTTGGAAGTGTCTTAAAGCATTTTCCTCAGTGAACAACCAAATTTAGTCTCAGGCAAGAGAACTCATTATTTATGGAGGTTGAACTTAGTATTAGAAATACTTCTGATGTCTGCTCATCTTCACCAGCACGGCTCACGCCTATCATCCCAGCAGTTTGGGGGGCCATGGCAAGAGGATCACTTGAGCCCAGGAGTTCAAGACCAGCCTGAGAAACATAGCAAGATCCCGTCTTTACTGAAAATACAGAACTTAGCTGGGTGTGGTGGTGAGTGCCCACATGTAGTGCCAGCTACTTGGGAGGCTAAGCCAGAAGGATTACTTGGAGCTGGGTATTCAAGGCTGCAGTGAGCTATGAGTTGTGCCACTGTACTCCAGCCTGGGTGACACAGTGAGACCCTGTCTCTTAAAAAAAAAATGAGGGGGATTCAAAGATCATCCTCCCAGTTTCCTTATCTTCAGGTCAGGTAATGCAAGAGTGAGAAAGAAAAGCAGTTTATCCAAAATGGTAAGAGCAGCATGTAGCTGCCTTAAGATTGGAGCCCAGGTGTCTGCTTTTTTGAGCAGTTTCTGACTCTCAATCGGAAATCTTGAAAGTCAGATTTCGGATTCGTATTTGACTTAGCATGTCTAGGGGACAGGTTTTTAAACTTAAAGTTTATTCTATTTTTTTTTTTTAGAATAGAATTAGTTATAAAAAGGCAAAAATGTTTTCTCATGTTTGAGTAACAAGCATAATTTTTCACTTCACATGCCAGATTGACAGAATGTAACAACTATTCCTCATTGCCAGCCAGGAAACAGTAGCACTGCCATGCACTCATCCCAACCATGACGTCCAGACACCCTGCTGGCTGGCACACAGGAGGCTTTCTTGTCAGCTGTGGCAGGGATCGGCGTGGTCATCCAGCTGCTGGCAGAGTGGCAAAGCCGCCCCACAGCCATTAGAGCTTGAGGAGGAGGGAGCTGATGTGAAGCCTTGTCATCCTTTACCCACAAACACTGCTCATGAAAAGAGCGATTTTCCTGCAGTGGAACACACTTCCACATTTCCATTCTAACGGCCCCTGCGGATGCCAGTGTGCCAGTGCCCTGGCCGCCAGTTAGCTCATAATGTGTGGTTAAGATGTTTTCATTATTCTTCAGCCGATTGTATATTTGCTGGCTCAGAATAAAGGAGCTCCCTGTGATGTGCACGGAAGGATATATTTGTCTTTCCCACGGCATGTTTCAAAACAGATTTCTGCCGCAGAACCCCAAGTGTGAAGCCTCGCCTGAGAATGCTCGCTTCTGCCATAGGGAACCTTGAGGTGCTACTGGACACAGATGGGAGGGGAAATAACTCAGGAGGCAGGAGACTGGGCTGGCGCAGCTCCCGATGGACCCCATCAGAAGAGCAGTGCTTACCCGGAGGGTGCATCCTGCCCCCAAACCCCTACCCCTTACTGCACCCCTTACCTTGCCCCCACCCCACCCCACGGGATGCTCTCACCTCAAGGCTTCTGGTGCTGTACTCAGAGCCAAGTAACTTTCAGTTCTTCCAGATAAATGCATAGCCACACTTTTTCTGTCATTGCAATTGCATTTTTAAATTGTATCATCTGTTTCAATACTAAATCTGGTAATTTAAAAGATCCTTCAAAATCAAATGATGACCAGTTTATATCTGTTTTTACATGTTTCAAAAAAAACACAAAAGCCTGAACTTTCTGAGAAGGTGGAATAGAGGTGTAGAAAGAGGTTGGGGTGGTTGGGCTTAGGTCGTTCTCATTCTTCCCCTCCCATCTGTGTCCAGTAGCACCTCAAGCTTCCCTATGGCAGAAGCAAGCATTCTCAGGCGAGGCTTCACACTTGGGGTTTTGCGGCAGAAATCTGTTTTGAAACATGCCGTGGGAAAGACAAATATATCCTTCCGTGCACATCACAGGGAGCTCCTTTATTCTGAGCCAGCAAATATACAATCGGCTGAAGATTCCTTGGGCCTCAGAGCTGGTATGATACTGCTCTGTGAGTTTAGTCTCCTCACAGTGAATCAGTTGAGAAGGATGGCCGAGGGCCCAGTGGAAGAGAAATGCCTTGTGATTAGAAAAGAGCGCATCGTGGATATGTTCATGGCATAGACATGAGTTGTTTTCCTTTGTATCTGAACAATGGGAAATGTTGGCGCAAGTCTTTCTTTGCAGAGTCTTTCTATGACAGCCAAGAGTCTGTTTGCCATTCAAGACCAAAATGAGGCCATGTGCCTGCTACCTGCCAAGGCTTCTGACGTGGCAGTGCCAGGGAGCAGAGTGGCATCCCACCACAGAGGACTCTGACCAAAGCAAAAGCTTCGCCGGGAGGGGAGGTTACTTTCCACCCAGCACTGGGAGACAGAGCCAGGTATTAGATGAGAGAAGACTGAGAGCCTCTAGGTTTGCAGGAATGCACTTGGCTGTTCTTAGGTTTTTGTGTATCTTTAACTGTTACTCTAATTTATTGATGCTTAACTTGGGGCCTGTGTACTTCTTGTAGTTTGGAGGCCCATGAATAGTCTTTATCGACCCTGGGAAATTGTACAGAAAATTGTGGGTGAGTCATTCTTGGGAGGGAACCCCAGCTCCTCACAAAGGCTCCTCTCTCACCCTGCCAAGGATAAGGACCATTGCTCTAAATTACATATTATTCTGAATGTAATGAGAGCATTGATACTAGTTGAACTATTTCATCTTGTAGAACAATTTACAGTTGTCTAGCTCATGTGCTGCCCTGTACTGCGACATATTCACTTCTGTTGGAGGCCTGCAGGTGACCATGGCTTGCCTCTTGATGACCATGCTCATGTGAAAGCTTGGTGCCCAAAAGAAAAATAAAAAGCATCTCTAAAGAATGAGAATTGTCAAAAAGGACTACACAGTGTCTGTCTGTTTCTTTTTTGCACAGGGCACGGTGGTCCAGGCGTCACCTGACTTGTCCTGACCCATAGGCAGCCCCCAGTGCAAACTGCCCCACAGGACAGAGCCATCAGGCCTTCACCATTTAGGCTGCATCAAGCCAGTTCCAGTCTGTTCCAAGGGGCCCGCTGCCGTAGCTAATTGATTAGAAAAATCCAGATAAAGCCAAAGATGTCCTTTGTCTGCAAGTCGCATACAATTGAGACTTAAGTTTCGCATAGCGTTACTGATTTCATAGTTTGATGACCCATCGCTAGGAAGTGTTTTCAAAGCTGTGTTTCAGACTTGCCTTGCTTCTGCATTTTTGGCTGTGCATTGAAGGGGGTGACCCCTGAGAGACGTTCCTTCAGGGGAGAGGAGACCCCTGTGGTCTTATTAAAGTCCTCATCCCACCCAAAGGTACAGGTAGGGGGCAGATGCGGAGGCAGCTCCCCATTATTCTGGGGGGGTCATTAGGGGAGCTGCCTTTTGTGACCCTATAATCCCAATAGTAGCAATCTTAGGTGCCTCTTCTGGGTAGGAGGCCTGAGCAGAGAGCCCCAGCTTTACTTTCCTGCTTCTGGGCCTGGAGGAAAATGGAGGCCCAACCCTGCAGCCTCCACAGCTCGTGGCAAACGCTCCAGAGCCCCCGTGAGTGCTGACTTCCCTTAAGCCAGGGGCGAGGGGCAGAGCTACAGACTGGTGACATCGTCTGTGTGAGATAGTGGGTGGGACAGTGGGAGTCCCATGTCCCTGGGGCTCAGACCACTTGGCATCCAGTCCACGTGTGCAGCACAGCCAGTAGTCAGAGGTGTGGATGCGTGTGTGGCAGGTGCCCCTGCGATTCTGTCCCTGAAAGAGCTGCAACTGCTTTGCTTTTCAGATCAGCCTGGAGATGATGGAGAAAATCCCCATACTGAGGAGCCTCCGCGCCCGAGAGCAGCAGGCTGGGAAGGATGTCACCCTCCAGGGTGAGCACCAGCACCTTCCGGAACCAGGCTGCCAGCAGACAGTGCCCCTGAGTGTTGGCAGGAGGCCCCCGGACACACCCGGACCAGAAACCAATTCCATGGAGGCAGCCCCTGGCTCCCCACCAGGGGAGGGTGCCCCGCTTGCAGCCGATGTTTACGTTGGGAACCTCCCCGGGGACGCCCGTGTGAGTGACCTGAAGAGAGCCCTGCGGGAACTCGGCTCCGTGCCCCTGCGGCTCACCTGGCAGGGCCCGCGGCGCAGAGCCTTCCTCCATTACCCGGACTCTGCCGCAGCCCAGCAGGCCGTCTCCTGCTTGCAGGGCCTGCGCCTGGGCACCGACACCCTGAGGGTGGCGCTGGCCAGGCAGCAGAGGGACAAGTGACCTCGTGGACAGCCACGGAGCTCACTGCAGACTCGCCATCCCCGTCCCCTGCCGCTCCGGTTCCGATGGCACTCGAGAGGCCTGCGTGGCAAGACGTGTCGGAGCCACCGCCTGAGCTGCTCGGGTCTCAATTCTTCTCAGAAGTCACCGCTCAGTGAACGCCCAGGCCCTCCTGTGAGTGGGGAAGCCGCCCTGCGGTTCATCTCACAGCGCGCAGAGACTGCAGCCTCCCAATCGTGCAGGCTCGGGCCTTGAGTCGGTTTCTGTTTCTCTGGAGGGACAGAGCAGAGGGGCCAGGGACTGAGTGAGTGGCTAAGCAGGGGAGGGTGATGTGAAGGTGATCTCGAGTTTGCCAGGGGTGGGCTGAACAGGAGAAGATGAACAAAGGATCCGGCTCTCAAAAGGCCCTGGCAGGGACTGGATGCTGGGTACAGAAGCGCGCCCTTGGGCTTCAGGCTCCTGAGCTGGCAGCACGGCAGGGAGAGCTCCATCCATGTCGCAGGAGCCCAGGAAGCTCAGCCCCTGGGTAAAAAGTGCTCACTGCAGCTCAGATCAGTCCTCAGGTCACATTTCGGGGAGCCAGCCTCCCCTCTTCCCCTCCCCAGCCCCGCTCCTCCCTCTGTGGACACACTCCGGGCCCTCAGCCAGCTGGCTGCATGAGGAGCAGCTTTGTGCTGTGGGAGAGACCGGCTCTGGGAGAATGGGTTTCATCCCAGCCTACGTCACATTTGCCCAGTGCCTTATGTTTTCTGGGTTTTTTTCCTCCAGTTCTGTTTCTAAAAACCAGCTTGAGTTTGGCTGAACTGTCCTTTCTCAACAGAAGCGCTTTTGCAATTGATCCCGGGCAACAAGTCAAAATAAGCTTTTAAGTGGAGATTTTGTTTTTTTCAAATGTATATGCTTTGGAAATTTTGATTTTTTAGCCAGAGGGTTTTACCAAGTGTTCTTTGAAGCACATTACGATGCCTCGAGAGGGCGGCCCGTGCACGCGCTTTCAAGAAAATGTTCTCGGGACACTCGGTCTTCTCTTTGAAAGGACATTTTCTCATTGGTTTTGCCGTGAAAATCCTGTGGAGACTTCGCAAAGAAAACGCAGCCTTACATTTGCTCATTAAAGACAGATTTCCTTCCCAAGTCGCCATGAATAAAATGAGAGAGTAGAAACGTCTGGAAGCGCCACACCTGGCCCTGGGCCCTCGGCCCTCTGTGTCCTTGGCCTTGCCCCCGCCCGCACGGCTGGTCACGTTTGTCATTGGGCATTCAGCTCAGCGTCAGAGGCTGACTCAGTCCCCAGTTCAGAGTAGTCACCTGGTTACACTGAACTCCTCACCTTCTTTTCTCTCTTTTTTTAAAAAATACTTCTTTTTCTGAAAGATTCTTATTTTTTTTTTTTTGTTTACCTTTTTCCTGTGGATTTGCTGCCGTTAGAATAGCAACTCCAGGAGAAGAGCAAGTGAGTCAGCCCCCCTTCTCCACTCCCTGCCCCACCGGCAGTGGGCACAGCCCTGCAGACAGGAGCAAGGACTTCGGGGAATAGACCCACTGGGGCCGGGAGAGGGAGAAGCTGGATTCTGACCCCACCACTGGCACTCCTGTGTCCAGCCATGCCTGACGCCCACCCCACCCTCAGACGGCGGGATTAAACCAGGCAGTACAGGGTTACTCGGGGAAGCCAGACTGCTGGGATTTCCTGTCGCTTTAGCCAGAATAATCCAGGTATATGGATATACAGATAATCTGAAAGAGTTTCTCATTTTTATATTTGTGGAACATCGTGTAAGAAAAACTGAAGAGCAAGTGCCTGAAATAAAATCCCCCACATGTATCAGCCTGCACACCTTTCACTGCCCTGTCCTTCCCAGGGAGGCCTGTGGGGACAGTTCCCAAGGAGCGTGGTGAGCAGGCAGCAGTGAGGCAGGTGCTCAACAACCCAACTTCTTGTTCCCACGGCTCAGCATCGGGATTGTGTCACTCACACGTGATAAGGGGAGAATGGAAGACAACCACTTGACAACTGCTGAGACCATCCCTCTTATTTTTATATCTGTTATTATTATTTTTTGAGACAGGGTCTTACTCTGTCACCCAGGCTGGAGTGCAGTGGTGTGATCACAGCTCACTGCAGCCTTGAACCCCCAGGCTCGAGCCATCCTCCCTCCTCAGCCTCCACGTAGCTAGGACGACAGGTGTGCACCACCATGCCCAGCTAATATTTTTTAGTAGAGATAGGGTCTCCCTATGTTGCCCAGGCTGGTCTCAAACGTCTGGCCTCAAGCAATCCTCCCACCTTGGCCTCCGAAAGTGCCGGGATTACAGGCATGAGTCACTGTACCTGGCCTGTACCCTTCTTTCTGAGACAATCTCACTCTTGCCCAGGGTGGAGCGCAGGGGTGCAAACTCAGCTCACTGCAACCTCCACCTCCTGGATTCAAGCTATTCTCTTGTCTCAGCCTCCTGAGTAGCTGGGACTACAGGTGCGCACCACCACGCCTGGCCAATTTTTTTTTTTTAAGTAGAGATGGAGTTTCATCATGTTGGCCAGGCTGCTCTCCAACTCCTGACCTCAAGTGATCTGCCTGCCCTGGCCTCCCAAAGTGCTGGAATTACAGGCATGAGTCACTGTACCCGGCCTGTACCCTTTTAAATGAAGCCGTCGTGATTCATGGGTCCTATCTTGGTATCTTCCTAAATGGTGGCGTGGTTTTGCCAGTGGATGAGAAAGACTTGTGCAGAATCTGCAGCTGCAGTTTCCAGAACACATACCTTTGGCTCTGCAACAGTGAGCGCTGGACTCTGGAGCCCAGTAGCCCAGCTCTCACTGCGGGGTGTGGTCCTAGGTGGGTGCTGTGGGCAGGTCACCTACCTGTGCAGGTTTTGGCTTAAGGGGTTGAACTCCTTGGTTTCTAAAGTTCTTACCAGTTCTAATATTCTGAGTTTATTTTGAGACTAACTAGTCCCCATCCCTTAGGTTTTTTGGTTGTCTAATTCCTTCTAGAAATTTTAGAATATGAGAAGGATAAAGAAGGAGCACCACTTGGGCAACCTTGACATTGCCCCTTATTTATTTCCAGGCTTTCTTCTCTGCAGTTTTGAAACATAGCCACGATTAACAACAGGAGCTTCGGAAGCCAGCAGACGTGGCTTTCAGCGTCAGTGCTGCCGCCGTGTGGTGCGGTGGGTGTGCGGTGGCAGCTGCTTCATCCCTCTGAGCCTCCCATTGCTCATCTGTAAGGGGGTGCGGTAGGAGCACACACTGCGGGTTGTGTGAACGTTAGCCGAAACGATGTGCCTGAGGTGCACGGTCACAGCTCAGCGGTGCGCCCGCTGCTGAGGCCAGTCGGCCTGGCCGCCCCAGACCCACTGATTGCCCCCCAGACGGAGGACTTCACTCTCCAAAGGGGTGAGACTGAGGACTCAGCCAGAGGTCCTGCCTGGTGCCCTTGTGTCAAGAGTGGACCCTGGGGCAGAAGTGGTGGTGATGGCCCTGGAGCCATTTCCCAGGTGACAGGGCTGACACGGGAGCCGAGCCCTGGGGAACGTGGGCTGAGAAGCTGGAGCACTGGGCGAGCTCTAGGAGGCTCCTTTGGGCACAGCAGGTGGGAAACGCAGGAAGGAGCCTCCGTTCCTGCTCCAGGAGGGAGGTCAGGTGTCATCTGGCCCCAGCTCACTGGCTTCACCCAAACAGGTGGAGGCGTGTGTGACCTGAGTTCCCCATCTGGGTGAGCCTGGCCACACCCCTCCCCAGCCCTCAGATGGCCGGTCACTGAACTGGAAACGGGCCCCTCCGGGTTGAGCTCTGAAAGCCTGCACCACACGCAAGTCGGAACGCGAGACCTAGGAAGCACCCGTGGGCCTCGTTCCTGGGCAAATATGAAATCGATACAATTGAATAAATAGAAAACAGATCAACATGGGGCCTTTGAGAGACTCAAAGTGAAGGAACTACATCGTGAAAAAGCTTCACTGCAGGAATCGAGAAAATCTCAGGCATCATCCGCTCCTTACTCCTGAGACATGTGAGACGGTTTTCCATGAAAAAAAGTTGTGTTGATGAAGTGTCCTCGAAACTTTATTTAAAAAAAGGTTTTTTAAAAAGGAAAATGTGTCATTTTTTGCTCGTGTCTGCTCTGATCTTAAAATACACAGGAAAACATGAGCTCTAAAAATAGAAGTCCTGTGAGGTGGGTGAGGATCCTAAACAGAGCCTGCAGACAGCAGAAATAAAAAGCTCAGCAGGAGGGGTGGTGATGTTTTTAAAAATACAAATGCATACTCACAACATCAACATTTGTATTAGAAGACGTGATGTGTAGGGAGAAAGAAAATCTGTGAGCAGTAAGACGAGAGTTCTGGAGACCAGGCGGTGGCAAGCCACAGCCAAGCCCGGTGTGGAAGGCAAGACCGCACCAGCATTCAGAAACACGACAGGAGGACGTCCCTGGGCTGCGGAGGCAGCATCTGAGCCAGGGCTTCTCCACACACCTGTGGCAGGAGTCTGGGCCTCGTCTACAGATACGAGCAGGCAACAAGGAGCTGCCGAACATCAGCATCTTGAGACACGTGCTAGCCGTGGTGGACATGTTCATACAGGAGTCACAAAGGGACTCGGAGGCCATCGTTTCCATTAAAAAGGGAATAGACTGGTAAGAAAAAACTCCTTAGAAATTGAAAGCACAGGCCAGGCGTGGTGACTCACACCTGTAATCCCAGCACTTTGGGAGGCCGAGGTGGATGGATCACTTGAGGTCAGGAGTTCAAGACCAGACTGGCCAACATGGTGGAACCCTGTCTCTACTAAAAATACAAAAATTAGCCAGGCATGTTGGCGCATGCCTGTAATCCCAGCTACTCGGGAGGCTGAGGCCCAAGAATTGCTTGAACCCGGGAGGCAGAGGTTGCAGTGAGCCAAGATCACACCACTGCACTCCAGCCTGGGCAATAGAGTGAGACTCAGAAAAAAAAAAAAAAGTTGAAATCACAAAATACAGAGACTTAGTAGTGGGCTGAAGGCACAATGACACAGACACAGAGTGCAGAGATGGAGCCACGTGATTCTTCCCCACAGCCGTGCAAAATGGGATAGGGGTGGAAAAAGCATGAAATGGAAACAGTCAACAGTAAAACTTTGCACCAGCTAAAGAAAGATGTGACTTCACAGTGAAAAGGTGTGGAGGGCCAGAGCAAGTCACACGCAGTTCCACGACTCACTAGCAGACGTTTAAGCCAATAACAACAAAAACTCATATGGATAAAATGGTCTCATATGCATAAAATGGTCACACTTTCCTGAGAGAAAGGAAAGATCTGAATCAAGAAACACGTTGTGTTCCAGAGGGAAGGGTTTGGTACTGGAAAGATGCTACTTCTCCCTACGCGAAGGCATTCCATACCGAACAGCAAAATCTCACCAGGCATTGCTCATGGAAATTGACAAGGTGGACAGGAAATACTCAAGAACAGTCCCAGGTAAGGAAAAGGGATTGGCCTCTGGATGCAGGTCTGATGATGGAGCTTCCCGCCTGCAAGCAGCAGAGTGTCTGCAGATCAGGAGAACGGAAGACAGGGTCTCCAAGCAGGTGGGAACCTGGGACATGACAGTGATTTCAAATGGGGGAAGGATTTGCCTCTTCAGAGATAGACTCAGAGCTACTGGCTGTTGTTTTGAAGGATGAAAAAAGCAACTTGTATTTTTTTTTGAAGGAAAATTTGTATTATTTTAATTATTTTTATGTACGGAAAACTCAACAGTGTACATATAACCCAGTTTAGTGGCAAGTTCTTTAGCCTTTGCCTTTTTGCGTTTGGCAATGTGAGCCACAGACTTGGGACCCAGGACATTGCTGCCCCGGTGACGGCGGATCTCATCATATCTGTCATTATAATCGGTCCTGATAGCTGCTACCAGCTTAGCCAAAGCACCTTTGTCTTCCGAGTTCACCTGTGTGAAGGCGACAGTCGTACAGATCTCCCTGTGGACTAGACGGCCCAGTCTTGCCTTCCCCTTGATAATGCAGTAAGGGACTCCCATTTTACGACACAAGGCAGGCAGGAAGACAACTGGCTCAATGGGCTCCACGTCGTGTGCAATCAGCACCAGCTGAGCTTTCTTGTTCTCCACCGAGGTGGTGACACTGTTAACTCCTGCTCAAAGGACAGGTGGTCTCTTAGTGGGGACGTCCCCTTTGCTGGTAGCTTTCTTCTCGGCCCGGGCCAACAGCCTCTGCTTCTTCTCTTGCTTTGTCTCTGGTCTGTACTTGTGGGCCAGCCTAAGCAGCTGAGGAGCTATTTGGTGGTCCGGGGCCTGGGTGAACTGGTTAATGGCAGGAGGCACTTTCAGCTGCTTATAGAGGATGGCTCTCTGCCACTGCAACCTGATATAACGGGGCCATTTCACAAAGCAGGTGAGGTCCCTTTTGGGCTGGATGTCCTGTCCAATACCAAAATCCTTAGGCCTTTTCTCAAACGGGATTCACCACTTTCTTGGCCTCCTGCTTCTTCACGACAGCAGGGGCTGGAGCCACCTTCTTCCCCTTAGCCTTCTTTCCTTTCAGCATCTTGGGCAGTGGGAGGAGAGAGTGCAACTTGGATTTCTAAATTGTGCCACACATAAAAATAAATCCCAGGCCAATTCAATATTCAAACAGAAAATATAAGAGGCAGCCGGGCACAGTGGCTCATGCCTGTAATCTCAGCACTTTGGGAGGCCAAGGCAGGCGGATCACGAGGTCAGGAGTTCAGGACCAGCCTGGCCAACATGGTGAAACCCATCTCTACTAAAAATACAAAAATTAGCCAGGCATGGTGGCGGGCACCTGTAATCCCAGCTACTCGGAGGCTAAGGCAGGAGAATCGCTTGAACCCGGGAGGGGGAGGTTGCAGTGAGTGGAGACCACACCATTGCTTTGGAGAGAAGTAGGAGAGAAGGCTTTATAATGTTGGGATAGGAAAGGGCTTCATAAGCAAGACCTTGAATTTCAAGAGGAATCTATTCCTTTGTCCCCCTTAGAAAATCAGATTTTGACTGGTGCAGAAACCAAATGAACCCACCAAGATGAATTATCTGAAGAAGACTTCTCCAAGCCGCAGAATTAACCAGGCCAGGTTATATAGTTATTCCATGTCAGCCTTTTTTTGGTTTTTGAGACGGAGTCTCGCTCTGTCACTCAAGCTGGAGTGCAGTGGCACAATCTCTGCTCACTGCAACCTCCGCCTCCCGGGTTCAAGTGATTCCCCTGCCTCAGCCTCCCGAGTAGTTGGGATTACAGGTGCATGCCACCATGCCTGGCTCATTTTTGTATTTTTATTAGAGACGAGGTTTCACCATGTTAGCCAGGCTGGTCTCGAACTCCTGACCTCAAGTGATAAACCTGCCTCAGCCTCCCAAAGTGCGGGGATTACAGGCATAAACCAATGCGGCCAGCCCCATGTCAGCCTTTCTGATGCTGCCAGGTACAACAGATAAAGCACCTTTAAGCGTCAGCCATTTAAAAATACGGCCAGTGAACCCAGCGCTCCCCAAGTGTGAGTTGAGAAGGTATGAAAGCGTGTGTCTCTCCCAATTCACATCTTGTTTCTATTAATACTAAAAAGGAGGAAGAAGTCCATAGGAGAGCCCAGTTCTAACTTCTGGAAAAGCATTCTCAGCTTCAAGATGAAGCCCCAACCCCTGGCTCTTTTCCTCTCCCACCTTTCTCAGCTCCTCCCTGCAATCCCACCACACTGCTCAGGAAAACAGATGGGACTCACCTGGCTGCTGGCCCCTGGCATGTTCTTACCATGGCTCTGCACCCTCAGCTGAGCGGCAGGGCTGTGACACAGGTGCCGGCGTTCCCGGAGTCTGTATTGACATTCACAGGGTTTTTTCACATATGGTTTCTATGTGAAGTCACGTCTGAGTGATGTAAATAGTTCCTAATTATTTTTCAGTAAGATAACAGAGAAGAGCAGTGATGGGTGCGGGAAGAAGCACCTGGGAAACCTTCTGCTCTTCATTCAAAGTGTTTGACAAGTCTAGTTCTGCAGTTTGTTGAAACTGATGTTTGCACAGGGTTCCCTCCATGCTGCAGGATGACCGCAGGCAGGCAAAGGTGCAGTGGGACTCCAAAAGCCAGCAGTGTGGGCTGGCCAGAAGACAGCAGCAGAAGAATCGTCACGCCCCCTTAACTAAAGCACCGCTGGGATTTCCACGGGCTCTTTTCTCCGGCTTGTCATTGTGCACAGGTGATTTTTTTTAATTTAATTTTTTTTTTTAGTATTAAATCATTTTTGGAACAATAGGATAAAAACCTTGTATAACATTTGTCTACTCCTAAAAGCAATTTCTAGAATGCACAGGGCAAAGGCTTGGTGTTCCACTTACACAGGCAAATGTGTCTGTTCTTGAGTCTGGCTGCACAGGTTGGATCAGCACCCAGGTTGCCCCGGGGGCCGGCCCCCGGCACACACTCCCAACTCTGTAAGGAGGAAAAATCCTCTCCCCAGTTTTGCCAGTGAAAAGACTGAGGTCCCAAAGGAGGAAGTGACTTTCCCCCTGCCTGGTCCCACAGCCAGTTTTGGCAGAGCTAAGCCAGTAAAGGTAACCTCCCCAAGCCAGTGCCCAGCTGCCTCTGCCATTCTTATTGCTCACAGGGCCACACATCCCAGGCATGGCCTGCCCAGCCTTGGGAGAAGGATTCCGTGACTGTGGCAAAAGGAAAAGGCTTCGCTCAGAAGGCCTAAGGGACTTAGGGCCAGGGTCCCAGACCTAGGCCAGGGTAAAGCCAAGACTTGGGCCCCAGTCTCTCTGCCCCCAGAGCTGTGCCTGCCTCTTTCATTACTTCTTTCTCAACCAGCCAGATGGGCAAGACTGGCGCCTGTCCTCCCAACCCACTGCAGCCCCTCAGCTCTGGCAGAAGCTGCCCCCTGCACTCAGAGGAAGTGTCCTCTGGGCATTTTTGCCCCCGGCCCAGCTCTCAGCCAGTGATCCCGACATACCTCACCCCAGATACCCATGTAGAGAAGGAAATGGATGGAGACACAAGACAGCAAATCAGAAAGGCCGAGAACAGCGGTGGAACAGCATCACCGAGAAATCAGAAAGGCTGAGAACAGCAGCGGAACAGAATCACTGAGAAATCAGAAAGGCCGAGAACAGCTGTGGAACAGAATCACCGAGAAATCAGAAAGGCCGAGAACAGCGGTGGAACAGAATCACCGAGAAATCAGAAAGGCCGAGAACAGCGGCGGAACAGAATCACCGAGAAATCAGAAAGGCCGAGAACAGCGGTGGAACAGAATTACGAAGAAAGGGCCAGTGCAGAGACCACCACAAAGAGTTACATTTTAGCAAAGTGATGGTGGAGAGGATGAAATGTCAGATGAGAACAGCATTTAGAACAGGAATCAGTAACCAGGTGTAGGAATGGTGGTAAATTTAGGGTAAACATATGGGCCCCCCTCTGGCACCCACCACAGACATCAGTAATGATCCCTGTGCTCTTGCTGGCTGATCCGAAGTACCTTCCGCAGCATGTTCAGCCCCAAGACCTGCTGATATGGACAGGAGATGTGAAGCTTTCTGCCTTTTTACCAAAGGAGCAAAAATGAGGATTCCCTCCCCTCCCCTCTTCCTGTCCTCCTGGGAAGGGCTGGGCAGTATCCTCTCCCTGTCCCGCAGGCCCCCAGGAAGCACCTGGCTTGCAGCCGACTCAGTTTCCAAAATTTTAATTGTCACATCCCCTCCCCCCCAGCAAAAATAACCAATCGAGGCTTGCTAAGCCCACTTCCCTCCATCCCGTTCCCTTTATAGATTTATAAAATACATGCTGTATATGTATAAAATATATTAAAGAGGAAATATTAACTATATACATAGATGCACACATTTATATCATTTCCCGTAGTCCTTGCAGTCACTTTTGAGAGGCCTCCTATTTCACAGCCGAGGTTACTGAAATGCAGAGGAGTCAGTTTGCCCACCGTGCCCCTGTGGGCAGGGAGTGAAGCCGCGATTGCAGCGACAGCTGACCACAGGTTGAGCCATCAATCCCACTGTACCTTCCTTCGCTGGGGATTGTCCCCTACTTGCCACCTGAGGTAGGAAGAGGCAGACAAAGCCAGAGGTGTTTCCTGGAAGAGAAAAGCAGTGCCCTGTGGAACGGTGGGGGGCTTCTACCCGATCACACGGCGCACAGTGCAGAGGCGCGTTGGGGCCCAGGGCTGTTCCGACAGAAGCCAGCAGGAGTCCCTATCTTGCACGTACTGAACCCTTCAACTCTGATCCGCACATCACCACCCCGTGACCTGCGGCCAGCCCATCATGCGACAGCCCCACACAACCCTGGTCCTGTTGCTGGAAATAGCCCCATATTTGATTGCATTTGTAGATGGAGAAACTGGGGCATAGAGTATTGGCGGCTTGTTTCCTGGTGCATTGCAGAGCCGCAGGTTGGGGGGATCTGGGCGCCCCTCTTCTGTCCCCCTCTCCCGGCCACCCACCGCCCCAGCAAGTCCCCATGACTTTGCCAATGTCAGTGATCATCCCGTGTTTTTACCAGAGACCATCTGGGCACTTATTCAAGCAAGCAGAGACGCTTAGGGAACCCACACTCCCATTCCCGCGAACACGGCAGCACTTCTTCATGTGAATGGAACCTTTTCTTTTTGATGTCCATAAATCGCAGAGGTCGGAATGGAGCTGACGTGTGACCATGCGGTTTGCGCGTTTTGCACTCTGGATGGTTTGGAAGCAATGAGCTCAGGCCCTGAGTACTGAATTGTGAGCAAATTAAACATCCCTACCCACCTTGCAGGGTGAATTAGCTCACTTAAGCCTTAGAAGAGTCCCAGGAAGCGTGTACTACTGTTTCCCTTTTCCAGATAAGACAGATGTGGCTCAGAAGGGCTCTGTGACTCCCTGCGGTCTCATAGCAGAGTCGGCCACAGCGTCAAGCCCCTCCCTGCTGGGCGGGAGAAGGCTGTCCCCCGGAGAAACACCACGTGCTCATCTCTTGACCACAAGCAGGGCCTCAGGGGTCACGAAGCCACCGCAGCTTGTCGGAACAGAGAGACCATTTAATGGTCGAAGAGTGCCGTGCTGGAGCCAGGCACACCAGGGTTTGCACCGTGTCCTGGCTGTGTGGCCTCTAAGTGCTTGCCCTCTCTGTGCCTGGTTTATTCACTGTAAGCCTTTCACAGGTTATTATTTATTTAAGCCTCACAGCAATGCTATGGGAGCCCTACTCTTACCATCATCCCCACTGTAACGATGGGGAAGCCGAGGTGAGCAGAAGAGAGACACCTGTGCAGGCTCACGAAGTTGAGAAGAGAGGGAGTCGGGACTCGAACCCAGGCCCTGTGACTCCCGTGCTCTGACCCGCTACATCCCTTATCTGCTCCTCCTAGAACGGCGGGGTCCCTGAGGGTGCAGGGAGATGTCTCCTGTGGCCAACGGAGCACAGCTGCCTCACTCAGGAATGGGGTTGGAAGTCATTTTTACTTTCTTCGTTTCACTTTTCTAAAGTTTTTTTTTTTTTATTTGGAATAAGCCACGTCATTTGTGTAATTAGAAAAACACTGCATTAACTGACCCCCGACCAAATAAAATAAAATAAAAAGCCAGCTACGCCTTGACAAAGGTCAAAGGGTCTGAAATAGAGCAATCAGGTTCATTCCTCGCATCCGCGGCTGCCCATCCTGGGGAAGATCAATTTTCCTGATGGGACGGATTTTAAGGGCCCAATAGCATCTGCACGAAGTGGACAGCAGGTGGCGCTGCCGCCGTGTAGAGAAACAGCCGAGCGGGAAATCCCCAGGGTGGGTCAGAGGCTGCCCCGCAGGAAGGACCCTGGTGTCCTGGGTCCTCTTGTTTCCCAAGAGGTTTCCTGACCCTGAGCTCTCTCCCTGGGGCGGGCATCGCAGCGAAGGCCCCTGGGAAGTGAGCCGGGACAGCTGCCCTCCTGTCCCTCCTGTCCTCATGACCTACATTTGCTGTGGCCTCGCCCAGCCTCCCCTGGCTGCCTCCCCTTGCCCTGCCCACTTTGCTGGCCCACCTCCCGCACCTGGACAGAGGCGGCGCAGTCCTCTCTGCTCAGTCAGGCTGGCGACCCTGCCGAGGAGTCACAGCAGAAAGCCAGGGTTGGCCAGTGCTTCCTGCCTCACAGAAACGCCATGCACTAATAGATCACAGCCTGTTTGGGGGGAAGTGTCCGGAACGGAAATGTTGCTCTCCTCTTCCAGGGACATTTGCAGACTCAGCACGCTTCCCCGTGGCCCAGACCCCAGACCTGCCGGGGAACACGGGGTGGGGGGAACCCGGCGTCCGTGCCTGCTCCCTGGAGTGCTGGCGGCAGTTTCCATAAAATGCCTGCGGCGGCTGGTCACAGCACTACAGCACTCTCAAGGGCCCTGCGTGTGGCACTGCTCCTCCCTAGGCTGCCACCCCACAGGCATAGAACATTGTCCAAAATAAGTCAGAGAGGATGCCTGCACCTGGTCCCAGCGACCCTCCGCCCCTGCTCTGCCAGGCTTCCTCTTGGTTGTGTCCCCAGCAAACATCCTGCACTGTGGGATGGGAGAAAGACCACCATAGGGACCATGTAGACACTGCATCTGGGCAGCTTTCTCCCTCTGCTAAGGACATTTGTGGTCATCCTGCCCTTGCTGTCGTTGTTGCTTCAGAGTGTCCACATGACCCCAGGTGTCCTGATGCTGGAAGCAGCTGGATGGTACTGCAGGACATGGCCCTGTGTATTCAGCTGCTGGGTAGTGCATGGCCTGGGCATCTACTCCAATGGGGACCGCACACCTTCCCACCTCAATGCCAGTTGCTGTGCGACCACCACACCCTTGCTCCCTTGCCACTGGGCTGGGACAACACGGCACTGGGCGGTCCGTCTGTGACAACAGGTGTGCATCAACATGTCCGTCGCAAATCTAGTCTAGTGCAGTGGTGGACACGTAGCCAGGGCCCCGTGTGGAGCGGATAGTTCCACGACGGTTCCCCTCTGTCCATCTGTCATTTCATGCTGACAATGTTTTATTTTAAGAGTTTAATTGAGCAATGAACAGTTTGCAAATTGGACAGCCTTCCAGCCAGAATCAGCTCAGAGACCCCCAACTCCCACGATGTTTTATGCTTGCAGACAGCAGGCGTTCCTCTGCCCCTGCGCACCCCCAAAGCACACGAAGACAGAATTGTCAAAGGCCTGGGATTCCTCTCGGCCCCACAACAAGTCAGCGTCCCTTCATGGATGGATGCGACCCCGTCCCTTGTTGTCCCACCCTGCTGGCCACATGGCCCAGGACACTGCCCCTGGGCTCAGCTGCAGAAGACGCCGGAAAAGGGCCTTCCTCCTTAACACAGAGCCCAGAACTCTGACGTACTGGTGCCCAGAAGTTTCCATAGAGTGTGGAGGTGGCCACAGTGCTGTGCAGGCAGCCGCGTCTGAGCACCCACTTTCATCTGAAGTTTTTCTCAGCTGGTCTAAGGGGACCCCAGGAAGCAAAGGAAGCTTCCATGGCAGGCCATGGTGGAACCCGTGAATCACACTTGGAACCCTGAGAGGGGGTAAAGGTCAGGGTCTGAGCTGCGCTGGCTGCTAGGCCAGCTCCCGCCCCACCTGCAAGCGCCCTCCTAGCTCAGCTGGAAGGTAAGAGGGGGTCTGAGAGCATGTGTTTGGAGACCCCGACTCTCTGTGGTCCTGCCCATTGCCAGCTCTCCTCTGGAGGCCGGAAGCCAGCAGAGGCTAGATCATGGATCCCACGTCAACTTTCCTTTTACCACTAGGCCCTGTGGATGGAGGCAAACGGGTGTCCAGGAGCCTTGCGGTGTAGTGGCAAGTGACACAGGATTCAGGGTCAGAAAGTACTGGGTCTGAGTCCAAATTCCACATCTTACCGATCATGTCGGGAGCAGTCAGTGACCCTCCCTGAGCTCAGGTTCTGCCCCCGAAACAAGCAGAGTAACAAGGACAGAGCTGGGGCAGGAGCAAGCGAGGGTGAGCTGGGGTGGACTGGGATGCCCATGTGGGAAGAAGGCCTGCCCCGGCCCGGCGTTCACATGGTATGCCTGCAAATGTGGCCGTGGTGCTTGTTTGCCTGGCCTCCAAGTTCTCTCAACCAGCTGCTGCTACAGACACGTGGGCCTGATCCAGCAGGCGGGCAGGAGGGGGCAGCAGAGGCCGCTCAGAGCAGCCTTGACCAGCGTGGGAGAACAGACCCAAACTAGCGCTCACCCAGGACCACCCAGCTTATCCTTGAACACCGTGGACTGCTGGGTCTCCCCTCCAGAGATTCTAACCAATAGCTGTCAGGGACCCCTCGAATCTGCTGTTTAAACTGACACCCCAAATATTTCTGATGAGGCTGGACTCTGATAGTTACCATCAGAGGTGAAGCCACTGGGCTCAGGGGGCTTCTGATCTCCCACTTCCCCATGGGGTCATCCGCAGGACTCGGATGCCTAGGAGGGGTCAGTGAGGTTGGGGGAGATTCTGGTGGCTGGTGTATGTTGGCATCCCAAGCCCTAACCCACTGTGAAAAGTCTCTCTCCAGCTATGTGAGCCATCTTCCTTATCCCTGGGAAGGGAGGGAAAGTCTGTGAAGATGGGAATTTAGCTGTCCCCACACTGGGATCAGAAGTCCCTGAGCAGAGGGCCTCGTAAAATATGGATATTTGTACCTCTTATGGTTCCCACACCCCCCACGAGACACACACACCACCACCACTCCACACTGGCCCCACTAAATGTCGCGGCGAGAAAAGCCAGGTCTGACTTGGCCACTCCTGTCTGGGTACCAAGGAACCAGGCCACCCCTTTACTCCTTAGAAGCATCTGCCTCATTAACCACGGCCCCCAAAAGCTCCACCAGGACTGTACTATTAGAGATGAGGAAACCAAGGCTCAGAGGTGACTTGTCTTGCTCGGGCTGGGGTGGCCGCAGAGGAGGAACCCCAGCTCCTTTTGAGCTCCTTTGAGCGAAAGCTGCCTGCTGGTGGGTGGCTGGAAGGTCTGGAGCCATGCCTTTGTGGCCACCAACCCCCTCGAGCCCCAAAGAGAAAAGAGAACAGAAAGAGCACACCTCTGTGGCCCAGGCGCCTTCCCATCAGAAGCCCACACCCCAGGCGCCTTCCGGCCGGGCGACTGGCGCTGCTGGCCTGGACGGGCCCTGGGGGTGAGCTCCAGGCGGCGAAGTCCCCCTTGCCTGGGGCTGAGGAGCTCGGAGGCCGCGCCCAGGCGCTTCTGCTGCCCGGGGCTGCAACTAGAAACCCGCTGAGGCTCGGGTGCGTCCAAGGCGTCGGCCCCGCGCGGAGAACCGCGGCGTCCGCTGATGTGTAATCCACACGCAGAAGCCCTGCTCCAAGCAGCTCCTGCTCCAAGCAGCTCCTGCCCCTGCTCCGGGGCTTTATTACAGGGAGGATTTCATGTCAAGGGGCATCTTGACTTCCCTGTTCCAGCGCAAAATCCTTAAAATAGATGAAGACATTGTGAATTAATTCTACGTTATTCCAGGACAAAAACCCCTAAGATAATCGGAGCGATTATGAATTAATTCTACCTAGGACGCCTCTGTGTTAGCTGATCCTAGGGGTCCTTCATGCACGCAGGGCGCATAATTTCGCACCAGACTCAGGAGCCCTTTGCGTTTTAAGCTTGTGACTTGCACATGCTGGGCGCGCTTTTGCGGCGTCCCGCAGCCGTGGGAGCTTCACTCGCGACCCCTGTGCGAGCCCAGGACGCAATGGACCCCGAGGAAGACACAGCCCAGCCGAGCGCAGTCTCGGCGCTGCAGCAGCGGCAGCGCGAAATCTCGGACGCGGGCGCAGAGGCCGTTTCGCTGCGTTATCTGGCCCTTCCGGGCTTGCCTGGAGCCAGGATCTCCTTGCGGGAAGGCTGGACTTTCCCTCTCATTCCCAGGCCGCAAGTCAGGCCGGAAGACCGAGGCCGGTCACCGTCCTCGGGCAATCCGGACCGGTTTTCCTGCACAAGCCCCCCTGGGTGCCTCCCGCCCCGCTAGACCTGGACATGGGTGCGCTGGGAGATCCCGCTGAAGCGAAGGCAAGGAGATGAACAGGAAACCGGGCTTTGCCGCCGCCCTGGACGCTAGTCCAGCGGCGCCAAAGCCACGCGCAACCACGGCGCACGGGGGCCTCTGGCCAGCCAGGGCGCCAAGTGAGTGGGTGCAGGGGCTGGAGACTCCGCAGAAGAAAACCTGGGAGCGCGCAGTTGGGTTTCTCCTAATCAGCCCCTCTTCCCCGGAGCCTCTGCCCTAACTGGGCCGCAGCCTCTGCGGGAGAGAGGAGGGGCTCCCGGCTCCTCTGGCCTGCAGAGGCTGACCGGACGCGAGCGCAGCGTTCCCGCGCTAGGAGGCCTGGGGGCTCTTCTCAGGACTGGTTTTCCGGGCTCTGGTGGGAGGCGGAGAGTGCAGAGAAGACCCTTCGCCCCAGGAGGACCGCCTTCTCCGCCTGCTGCGAACCTGCTCTCGGAGCGCAGGGCCAGGCGCGTGCGCCCGGCAGAGCCTGGCCTGACGCTTCGGCCCCCCGGAGACCCCAAGGGATGGAGTCGCCGGCCTTTTCCTGTCCCCTTTATCTCGATTTTATAGACAGCTGTTAGTTGGGGACACTAATTGCCCAGGCGAGTTTATTGATAATTTTGATGTAACAGAGCACCGGAGAAATTACCCCCACGTCCAAAATGTCAACTCTGAGAAGAACCAGGTTCAGAGACTCACGACCCCACGACGCAAGACACTGCGGTGGGTCTGGAAGGACCGCACCAACAATGTGACTTACTGTGTTTGTTTTTCTCGGTAGCCGGGAACTGGAATAGAAAGAGGGTGGTCAGTGGAAGGTACAAGTGTTAAAAAATATTTTTCCCCCAGAGAGGACGAACTGTGACTTAGGAGATAAATGTTACAGGATTGGAAAGGTGCCTGTCACCTGGCCCACCAAGCGCCCTTTTGCCTCATTTAGATTTTGCTTGATTTTCTATCGGGGAAAACCAAGAACAAGGCACCAAAAAGCCAAAACAAAACAAGACAAACCAACAACTACAAAAAAACCTTAAAGTTGATTCACGATTTATAACAGCTACAGCAAGAGAACAAGAAAGTCGGAAACCCAAAGTAAAACTCTCATTGGTCTTGTAGTGGCAAAAAAATATATATTATGTACATGGACACGTATACATATATGTACATATATGTATATACATATATATGTATATCCATATGTATGTGCACATATATGGTTTAATTGGTGTTCCCTAGGGGAAGGAGGTCTATAGTGTTCTTTAAAAGTTTATTTCTTTAAAACGATCAATGACATTTAGAGGGGCAAAGGGCTCTTCTTAAAAAACAGAAGCCAAGAAAAATAGTTCCTCTTGTCCAGCGTTTACTTCAAAGTGGAATGAAGAGTGAAAAGAGGAGGATTTGCCAAAAAAGAAAAAAGTACTCAGAATCACCCAGATTGTAAATTTTTAAGCGTCTAGAGATCCAAAGCCTGTTTTTTCTTTTTTCCCCCCTCTATCTTTGGGAGTCTGGAAGGTATTCTACAATCTCAGTCCCAATAAAATACTCATGCAATTTTATTTCTAGTTGATACAATTTTAAAGGCCATGTACAAATGTTATACATTTTTATTTTTGTTCTTTTTTTAGGAAAAAATACACAAAAGGCAAAACATCCTCAAATGGTCCTTTTATACAGTGCAGAAGGAAATTTCAAATTTCAAATACGTGTCACAAATGCTGCACTCTAGCAGCCAAAATACAAAAAAAAAAAAGGAGGGTAGTCCTTCATATTATATATATATTTATATAAAACATATGGAAATTTGTTTTTACACAGATCGGTCTTTGTTTCAAATTTACAATGGATATCTAAAAAAAATTCTACACGGCAAATATTGCCAACAAAGTTACACCATTAAT
This sequence comes from Homo sapiens, assembly GCF_000001405.40. Classification (NCBI taxonomy): domain Eukaryota; kingdom Metazoa; phylum Chordata; class Mammalia; order Primates; family Hominidae; genus Homo; species Homo sapiens. Next base: position 86,514,101 of record NC_000016.10, on the reverse strand, counting down.
ACTGATAAACGGAGGAGCCTACGCGGTGTTTTGATTATTAGGGAAAGAAAGTAGAATAAATAAACAGGAGCCTTGCTATAGTTTTTAAAAGTGCCTTAACCTTTCTGCGTCCCCGCAATCCTGAATCCGCGCGGTCACCGGGCCGTCCTAGTCCCTGCGTCGCGCTGTGTTCGGCTCGTTCTCGGACCAGAAAGTTTACAGTAGAGGTTGGGAGACAGAAAAATACCCACTGAAAAAGTCTAAATAAAATTCAAGACAAAACATAACAGAAGAGGCTGAAGCGAAGGAAGAGGAGGAACATGGAAGGGGACGGAGGCGGACGCCCGGACGGCCGCTTGCTTCGTGGCTCCTTTGACTTTCTGTTTAAAGACGGACAGTGGCTTCCGAAATGCAAGTTGTTCGCACAAAGATCCACCTGTGGTCCACGGAGGAGACTTCGGAGGTGGGGAGGGAGATCGGGAGGGAGATCTGAGCTCTTGTCACTTCCCGCTCCCTGCAAAAGACGGCTCTAAAGGGAGACTTGCGCATTCCAAGACATTCTTTCAAAAAAAAAATAAAAAATAAAAAGATAAATACTCAACCAAAAAATAAAAGTATTTGATAATGATTGGTCTCACATGTTTGCTTTTCTTCTAAAAATTTTCCCCCACTTCTGCCATTGGCCGGAAGGAGGGGGGACCTCAGCAGAATTCCTGTGTGGGTGCGGGGGCTTTCCCCTGCACAGCACCGTCTCAGGCGGGTTCAACAGGATCAAAAACTTTTATTTACCGATGGCTGCAGTCAGATCAGACCCACCACTAACATTTCTTAACAATTTTGAAGGAGTGAGGAAGGAGGTGCCAACCGCAGCGCTGTGTCTTTGCATTGGGGACTCCTTGCCAAAAACTCCGGTTGGGGAGAGGTGGAACCCTTTTCTTCTGCCGACGGTTATACCTCGAGAAGAAAGCAGTTTCTTGTGCCGGTCCAGGGTCCCTGTGACCCGCCTGCCTGCACCAGGAGGGCCTGCGGCGGCAGCCTCACATCACGCAAGGCTTGATGTCTTGGTAGGTGACCTGCTGGTGGTAGTAGGAGCCCCCGCCGGCCGAGTGCATGGAAGAGGACGCCATGGCGTTGAAAGAGAAGACAAACTCCTTTCGGTCACACATGCTGGGCGACTGCGAGTGATACCGCGGGATGCCTGCAAGGCGAGGCGACAGGAGGGGTTGGGGGAGCAGAAGAGTTAGCCACGGTGGCTCAGAGTTCAGGCAGAGGAGCAGTGCTCCCGTGGGGCGCACAGGGCCTGTCAGCCTGGCTCCAGAGCACGGCCGCCTCCCCGCTCTCCTCCCCGAGTCCCGGCCTTCCAGCTGCGCACCCAAGGAAAAGACTCCAGAACACTTGCCACGGCCTGCCTGCCTGCCTGCCTGCCTGCCTGCTGCGTGCCTGTCCAGCCTCGGACACCGTGCAGGGGCCCAGGGCTTCCAGAGCCATAGGGGAAGTGGTGAGGGAGACCAAGTGGAGGGCCCCTAACGCCCATGGCCGTCACCGCCAGGGCAGCCACCACCACCCCCAACCTCAGAGGCTACGACTGCCGGCGGGGTTGAAGGAGAGGCCAGTGCAGGGCCAGCGCCGGGCCAGCAGCAGGGGTGAGAAGAAGCTTCTCCAGAGAACAGGCCCCGGAGCCGGGGAGTCCCCCGCAGAGAGGCTGCCTAAGGCCTCCAGGCCTGGCTCCTGCCTCCTGGGGCTGCTGACAGCTGACCCTGGACTGGCCCTGGCAAGCTCACTCCAGCTTTTTCCAGAGCTGGGCCTGCAGGCTGCGGGGGGCCTGGGGCAGAATCAGGAGGCGAGGCTGCTGCATCTCCCTTGGCAGATGCTTCTGCATGTTCGGGGTATTGGGGTATCAGGGGTGTTGGGGGTGTGGGGACCTGAAAACTTGGATCCTAAAAAACAAGGAGCCCCCATGGCCCGGTCTGCAGCTCTGACCCTCCGGGGCCTGGCCACGGCACCCTCCTGCCTCAGTCACCACAAAATGCCCCTGGACTCAGCTGTGGGTCTGCCAGGTCTGGTCCCCTGAAAGGCCGGGGCTGAGCCTCTGAGCGCTGGCCCAGCGGCTTTGGGCCTAACACCTTCCGTTCCGCCCAGCCCCAGGCAGAGGCAGCCCTCCAGGCAGCCTGAGGGCCACCACCAGGGAGGGACAGCCATCTGGCCAGCGCTGGGAGCCTTGGGTCCATCCCAGGATCTTTCCAAGCTGTGAGGGGACTTAAGGGACACAAAAGGACTTAGGGCACTGGGGTCTGGGACATCTGGCTCAGGACCAGCCTACCTGGTCAGGCCTGGAGCAGCTGGCAGCTGGAGTTCGAACAGAAAGAGAAACAGATTGGCCCAAACTAGGGTCAAGAGCGGTAGTCACTCTTCGAAGGGGGAGAGGTGGGGCCAAGAGACACCTTGGGGAGCTGGTGCCTCCCCTCAGCCTTGGGGTTCCGACCACAGAAGTGGAGGGGCTCGCCCCAGCTGGGTCCCGCTGCCACTCAGACTCGACTTCCCGGGGACCAGGGCGCCCTCGGCCTCCCCACTCACCTTGCAGCTCGGCTGGGGCGTTGTGGCTGTTCTGGTGCAGATACGGCTGCTCCAGGGAGTGCGTGGAGAGGCTGCCGGACAGGGGGTTGGCCGCGGGGTTACAGGGGGACAGGGGCTGCTGCTTGATATAAGAGGCGCCGCTGTTGAGCGCCGCGGACGCCGAGGGCGGCCAGGCCGCCGCCGAGCCCGAGTAGACGGCGTGCGGCTCCATGACCCCACCGGCGCCGGTGGGCAGCAGCGGGGAGGCGGGCACCGAGCTGTCGTGGTGCGGGTACTCGCCGGCCGCCGCGCCGCCGCAGCCGCCCATGTACGAGTGGCCGCCGTTGGAAGGCAGGTGGGGCACCGAGTGGCTGGGCAGGGCCATGCCGTCCACGTTGCCCGGCAAGTGGCCGTTCATCATGCCCAGGCCGCCCTCCAGCGCCAGGCTGTTGGGCGGGCACGAGAGGCCGCCGGCCGAGCCCTGGAAGCCGTAGGTGTCCGGGAGGTGGTTGAAGCCGAGCCCGTTCATCATGCTGTACATGGGCTTGAGCGCCTGGCATTTCCTTCGGAAGCCGCGCGGCCGCCGCCGAAAGGAGCCCTCCTCGAACATGAACTCGCTGGCCGGGTCGATGGTCCAGTAGTGGCCCTTGCCGGGCCGCCCAAGGCCCTTGGGTAGCTTGATGAAGCACTCGTTGAGCGAGAGGTTGTGGCGCACGGAGTTCTTCCAGCCCTGGTAGGAGCCCCGGAAGAAGGGGAAGCGGCTCTGCAGGAACTGGTAGATCTCGCTCAGCGTCAGGCGCTTGGTGGGTGAACTCTGGATGGCCATGACGATGAGCGCGATGTAGGAATAGGGCGGCTTCTCCGGGCGCCGGATGCCGGCGTTGGTCTTCTTGGCCTTGGACGGGCCGGACGACGCGGGGTCCATGGCCGCGCCGCCTCCCCCGCCGCCGCCGCCGCCGCCGCCGTGCGGTGGCTGCTGCTTCTCGGGCGCCGAAGACATCGGGTGGCTGCTGCCGCCGCCGCCGCTGCCGCCGCTGCTCTGCGCCGCGGACGGGCCGGGAGGAGGAGGAGGAGGAGGAGGAAGAGGACGACGGGGGGGAGGAGGGCGAAGGGGAGGGGGCTGCGCGCGCGGGGCTGGCTGCACCTCTGCCGTCATCGGCGGCCACTTCTCCCGAGCGAGCCGCGGCGCGCCCGCCCCCGCGCTCCCGCCCGCCCTCCCCGAGGAGCTGCTGGATCCGCCGGCGGTTGGCTCAGAGCCCCTCTCTCTCCAACTCCCGCCTCCCCCACCTCTCTCCTCCCTCTTTCTTTCTCGCCCTCCCACAAGGAAAGGAGCCGAGCTGAGGCCGAGGGCAGCCCGGGCGAAGGCCGTGAGGAAGCTACCCCCGCCGGTATTTTTTGGGGGGAGGCACCACCTCCAGGTCTTACGGCCGTGCGCCCCAGCCGGGAGCAGCCCTGAGTCCCCGCCGCCCGCGGCGCTCGGCTCCGAGATTCCGGGCGAGGCAGCCTTCACTCCATCTCCGCTCGGCTGCGTCTCGCGGGTCGGCCTAAGACCCTCCCGGAGTTCCCTCCCTCCGTCCCTGCCCCCCTCGGGCCCCCGCGTTGGTGGGCGCTTAAAGAGCCCCCACTCTCGCCGCCCCGCGGCCGCCAGCAGAATCCGCCCCGCCTCCACCAACCTGGCGAGCAAGTGTTAATGCGCCCTCCGCCCGCGGTTCAGCCCCGGTGCGCGCTGGACCCCGCCTTCCCCGCCCGGGCGGCGCGGCGGGAAACGCTCCCTGGGCCGGGGCCTTCCCCGACGCGCACAGCCCTGTAGCAAATCGCAAGTGCGGCGGCCTCCCGGTCGTGACCATCGCAGGCACAGCCGGCTCGACTCCGGTCCTCGCGGCCGGCCGGCTAAGTTCCCGCGAGGGACCGCCTACCCACTCTCCCCGCCCCGGGAAGAACTGCGCCGCTCCCGGGATTTTTCGGACTCGCCCAGCAGCTTGCGAGCGGGCGGGCAGCCGCCGGGGCAGAGCGCAGGCGGAAAACGAAAGCGCAGCACGAGTCGCGGCCGCTTTGTCTCGGGCGCCGCGGGCCTGACGGGGGCGAGTGAGAACCCGCTGGCCCAGAGGCGACCCAGACCGCACAGGCCCCTGAATAAGCGGCGTGCTCAGTCACTCACCCGTGCGCGCACACCCTCGCGCTCTTGTCCACACATTAGCACACACATACATGTCTTGATGCACATGCAAACCCGGTAAATTACGCAAACAGACGTGTAAACACACCCATGCGTGTGTGCACACTCATATGCAGAGGGCGCTCAGGCATGTGCGCACCCACTAATGCACTCGTTGACACGGAAGCTTAAGGCCCACAGGAGCTTAAGTTCGCACTCACTCCCACTCACGCGTACACACGCCACGCTCGGATCTGAACTCACACGTAGTTCAGTTGCCCTCCCCCACCCCCAACACACACTGAAAACCCGCCTATTTGGCCCCGCGGCCCCGTTTTCAAAGCGCAGGTTCCGATTTCCCGAGAGATGGCAAAGGCCCTGGCAGGAAGTTTACAGGGTTTAACGTAAACAAGTTCTGGGGGATTCTTTAATAATAATAATAGAGAATTCCGCGTGCGCAGGGCGGGAGGGGGGAGTTGGCCTAATGCCCCTGTGGGCTCGGCCTGCCGCCGCCGCGGGGCCTCTGACACTGCGCGCCAGGCCAGGTTCCTGAGAGCAGACAGCGCGGGCTGGGAGCGCCGGCAAGGGCGGCCCTCGCGCACCTGGCTGCCAGCCCGCAGGGGGCTCGCACGCAGACCTGCCCTTGCCACCTCAGCGCTCGGGTGCGGGCTGGGGGCGGTGGAGCCACGAAAGGTGGTGCCGAGAGCGGAGCGCAGGACAGCGCAGGAGCCCCGGCGCATCGCGGCGCGCACAGACCCAGGTGAGTGCTGCTCTCGCAGCGACTGCTGGCCGGGCGCGGCCTCTCCCTCCAGGGTTCCGAGTTGAGAAGAGGGGGGCGAGGGGTGTTTTCGCGGGTCATCGCGAAGAGCCTAGAGGCCAAGCCCCAGCGCGAGCTGGGGCGAGAGGCGTGTGCCGGGCTCGCAGCACGGCCCGCGGCGCGGCGCGTTCAAAGCCTACCCGCCTCTCGGTTTTCTCCGGACTCCTTGTCTCCCGCTAACTACCCGCCCCCACCTTCCTGGCTCGGACGCCTTCATTTTCGGCGGGAGACGCCTGTCGCCTTCGGGGCGCCTGGCACGTCGGTGAGAGGAGCTGGGGGGCTCGCCGGCGCAGCCTGCCGGGCAGTCGCCGCCTCCTCCGCCAGATCTGCGCTCGCGGGAGAAGAGAGCCGCCTTCCCGCGCTGCCCTTCCGCTGGCCTCTCTGGGTCTCCGCGTGCAGACAGCCTGGCCCGCCTAGGGAAAGAATGAGTGTGGGACGTGACCCGTAGTGTGTGGTTGTGCATTCACGCAGGTAAACGCTCTCTGGCAGACCCGCTACCACTTCACACAACCAGCTCAGCCTCCGCGCACACAGACACGCTCCGCACCGCCCACGGCCTCAAACACCCTTCCCAGCGACCCTCACACAGCTCAGGCGCTCCCAACCCTTGGACCAACACACAGGCCTGCCCAACGGGGAGGGCACACTTTGGTTTAAGTGCACACTTCATGCACGCCCACATGTTCTCCACTGCGCGTTCGCCCACGCATAGCCAGGCGCCACGCGCAAATAATCATAGGTACCGCCGCTCCATACGTGCGCACGCGTCCACGAACACAAGCATTCTCACATTCTCTCCCAACTTTTGTGTGTGTGTGTGTGGCAAATGGCAGTTGCAGATGAGGAGACCCTGGCCTCCGGAGGAAAGTTCTGTTCCCAGGAAGGGGTCGCTACTGCCGACTGCCAGAGCACATCTGGCCCTTAGCAGAGGTGAGCAGAGAAGGCTGCACAGCTCTTAAGCCAGCTAGGGGTGCAGGGCGCACGCTGCGGCTCGCTGAAAGTGGAAATAGCATCTCCCTTCCCCTCGCCCCTCCCCCACTCATGGGGCGCCTTCAAAGTGAGCGGGTCCCTAGAGCATGAAGTTGGGGAGCCCTTTCCCAGCAGACTCCTTCACTCCTGGGCCCTCTTCAGTTGGGGAAGGGAAGCCGCAGGTCCCATCGTTGGCTAACCCGGAGATCCATTTTTCCCTCCTTTCCACCCTTCTTTCTGCCCTTTCACCGGCTCTGATAGCAAACCAGACCTTACAGAACAGCCAGTCACGGAGCCCAGCGAAAGAGCCGGCCCAGTAGGCCTGGGAGTCTCAGGAAGGCCAAAGATGGAGGCTCTCCCCAACTGCTCATCTCTACTGCTGGGTGTGTGTAGAAGTGGGGGCGTGAGAGAGGAGGCGAATGAGCTCCCAGCTCTGTAATTTGGAGGGGACCCCCTGAATTCTGGGGAAAACCACAGCCGTAGCAAGAAGGGCTTTCCTTCATGCTCAGAGACTTCATTCTCAGCTCTTACAATGTCCCTGAGAGGTCTCCCTTGATCCTACATTTTTAGGGTGGAGAAACTGAGGCTCAGCATGGACTTGAATCTCTTATCAGCCAGCACTGAGAGGTGAACACTCTCCATCTCCCCTCTCTACGTCCAAGGACAAAATTTCCTGGCGTTTCACTCTCCCATGTGCCTCTGTGTAGGCGGGGAGTGGAGAGAATGGGGCTTAGAAATGCCTCTGCCATCATTACACAGCCCTGGCTTCCCAGGGCCAAGGGGACAGAGAGCCCCCGTTGGGGAACTGATGGTGATAAAATAGCAATGACAACTACGAATACTAGATAATAACAGGCTCATCCACTGCTGCCCAGGCACCAGGCGCTGCTCCTCACTCGATGAACTGCCCTTGTCTGCTCCTAACCTTCCTCTTGGCTGTCAATCCTTTGAAAATTAGTCCGACCTGCCCCCGCCCCCAGAAGGTGCATATTTGTGACATTCGTAGAATGATTTTGAAGGTTTCGCCAAATGTCTGGAGCCCATCTGTGAACCTGTGAGGCACCAACCATGAACTCAGGACACTGGTTAAGTGTCCCTAAGAGACTTGTGTAATATTCACCGATGCCCCTACCAAGTCAGTATAATTTCCCTCCTCATTCACAGTTGGAGCTCTGCGAGGTCACTCCAGGTCCTGGGTCACCCTGCAAAGCCAGTATCCAAACCTGGCCTGATTGCAGAACCAGGGCGTTAAGTGTCCTGACCACGGGGTGAGGCTCAGCGGTGCTCAGGGCAGAGGGGCCCCGCTGCCGCGAACCCCAAAGGCAGGGGGATTTGAACTCGCCCCACCATGTAAGGATGATGCATAAGCTCTTTGCACCTTAGTTTCTTTATCTGAAAAATGGAACTCATCATGGTTCCTATTTCTTGGGGTCGTACAGAGGGTTGGACAAGACCATGCAGGGAAGGCTTAGGTTGTACAAACAGAAACAAAAACCCCAGGGGCTCAGCTCCAGGGATGGAGGAGAAAATGCAGACAGGGACAGAGATCGCGGGCAGCCTTTTGCTCTTGGATTAAAATCCATGAAGACCGGCCCCCTCCCACCCCAAAACAAATCTGCGCCCCATCTCTGGCCCCAGGAATCCTGAAACTGGCCGAGCAGGGCGGGGGTGGGTGTGTAAAAACGGACACGACTGCAACGTCTCCCACTCCCCAGGCCCAAGGTATTTTTACTAGCTAATTGCTTAAGCGAAGCCGCCCGGGCCGAGAGCGCGCCGTAACCCGAGCGGGGAACCAGATCCCGCTCCGAGGGAGCCCAGGCCGGCCGCGCGGGCGGGGCAGGGGGCCGCCGACCACCCACCGCGAGGGCAGCCGCCCCGCCGGCCGCCGCCGCCCCCGCTCCGCATTAACGCCGGGCCCGCGCCCTCCTCGCCCGCCCCCGCTCCCTCCAACCCCCCGCGAGGCGAGGTTCAAACGACGCCTCAAGGTAGGGCGGCCAGCCAGGACCCGACGCGGGAGCTGGGCGGGAGGGAAGCGGCCTGTCCTCGGGGCTTCGGAAGGGAGGGAAGGAGGACCCGGCCGGGGGAAACGAAACTTCACGGCTGCCGGAGGAGCGCGGGAGGGATATTTGTGGGTGAAAGTGCAGCCCTGGGGACTAGGGGACTGTGGGGAAATATCAAGCCCAGCGGGTGGATTATAAGAAGATCTGTGTACGGATACCTGAGATACTTCTCGCACGCTCTAAGTGTGCACGCGTCATGCTGCTGGCGTGCAGAGGACTGTGGCCCGCACAGCCAGCACAGGGAAGGGGAGAACCAAAGTCTCCCTTGGCAGAAGAGTGTGAGGTGGGCGTCCAGTGTGAGGGGCTGGGCACGCAGAACAGTGAGAACTGTGCACATATATCAGCCTCTGTGCGGGACATTCCAGAAGGATGTCGGTACCATGCGGTGGTTTCACGTGTAATGAATATTTTAAGATGTGAGCAATGTAACTTGTTATGGAAGCCGAATATTTGAGTACAAAATGAGGTGCTCTCTACACAGAATATGAGGAAATGTGTGCACAGCATAATAGTGTTGTGTACACAGATTCTTTCAGATGTGTGCAGGATAGCATGTTACACAGACGTTACATGTTCCTCTGGGAGGTGTGCAGCAAATAACGTATTCCAGACACGGAGTATTGCAGGCTCTGTGAGCATAAAACCTGGGATACATGTAGACTGCGTGTGCCCTGCAATGGGTTCCATGCAGGGTGCATTTAGAGTTGTATACAGTGCAGTGCCTGAGGAAACAGAACTCCGTGGGAGACCGGTGGATGCAAAATGAATTCTGGCTACAGCACGTTGCAAGGACAGGGTCCACGTGGTGACCAGTACTCTCTCCGCCCAAGCGTCAGGCCATGTGTGTACAGTAGCGCACGGCTATGCGAAGGGAAGACTGTCCCAAGGTTTCCACGCCGCTTGACACGCAGTCATAGTAAGAAGGCAATAATGCAGTGACCACACAGAAATCGGTTTCGGAACCCTGCCTGTGCCCTGGCTAGGCGCCTCAAGGTCATCACCAGCTCACAAAATCCCACTGTAATGCTGATTCTCTTTTGATCTCAGGTGCCAGGGAAGCGAAATGACGCTCTGACTTTATTTTTGTAGCCATCGAGTGACATTTACCGGCTTTGTGGCTCTGTGAGGGGTGTGGTGGCAGCTCTTGGTGTGGTGTGGAGATGCGGGGACAGGTGTGTTGGGTTCCCAGTGGGCCTGTGAGAGGCTGTGTGCCCAGGGCACGGAGCCACCTATCTGCAGTGGGCAGAGGGAAGACGCCGGCTCAGGCGACACCTGCGGAACCTGCAGCAGAAGAGGCCCCAAATCCCGGGGTCCCCCAGTGTCTGGGGGCAATGGCACTATCAGGAGAGCTCCTGACCCAAGCCACACATATTAGGGGTGCTGTCTTCACTTGTGCCTGCTGCTGCCTGATCAATCTCAAACCAAGGTACTCAGTCAGGAGCAAGTAGCAAGCCAGGCTCTGGGCTCCTCCCCAGACTCTTCATGAAGGTACCACAAGGTGAGGAGGAGAGAAAGGTGGCACGCGCTGGTCTACCCAGCCCTGTCACACCCACTTAGCACAGATGGGACTGGGAGCCCACCTGTGGGGACCATCAAGGCCAACTTCGGGGAGCAGCTGTGACGAGGGCGATCCCTGGTCCCAGACCCTGGCAGTGAATCTCCTCTTAGCTGAACAATATAGAGACGTTCATTAGTTTGGTCATGAAAAAAAAAAAAGGAAAAAATAAAAGAAAAAAAAAAGAAAAAGGATAAAAAGAAAGGAAAAGAAAATAAAAGGAAAAAAGAAAATAAAAGGAAAAATGTAAAAGAAAAAAGTCTGGTGCATGTGCTGCCGCAGCCCGAGCTCACCCCTTCCACCGGCCCTTTTACCCAAATGTACGCATTTTCCATGATGTTCTTCAAGGAAGTATTTGACAACATTGCAGCCCAGGAATCTCCAGCCCTCTTCCCGGTGAGATTTTCAGAAGATTTCTTGCATCTGCAGTACACGTGGCTCTCAGAAACAGAAAGCGCCTGAGACAGTGAGCTTCCCGGCGCTCCCTTGCTGGACGCCCGGCCCATCTGCAGCTCTGTCTTCCCACAGGGGCAGTGCCTGAAGCATCCCGATAGATTTTTAATCTCTGCTGCATGGACAGTTCTGCCCGGAAAGATGGTGATACTATTTCCCTTACAGCATGAATGTGTGCGTATGGGGCATGTAAGTTGTGGGGGGGGTGTTGAAGGGGCTCCCAGAATTTGTTTCTGAGCAAAGTGTCCACATTAAAGGAAATTGATGCCAAAAAGGGGCAGCAGAGAAAGACAGGGAGCGGGCCTGTGACTCAGTTGCTCTCTGTGGAATTATAAGTCCTTCTGAGACCGGGAGGGAGCAAGGCAACAAAGAGAAAAGAGATGGGAATGTGAATAGGTTTCTAAAAGACCAACCAAAAGGAAAACAAATTAAATTTCAGTGGGCAGGTGTTGTGTAGTTTCCGATTTGAAAGAGAGAGGTGCGATAGGCGTGCATGTTCACCCCACAGGGAAGAGGGAATCAGAAGCCAGGGAGACCCCTGGAGATGGGGAGCATGGAAACAGAGGTGAAAGGGGAACGCGTTCAGGTTTGTTTCTTAATCAAAGGTAGCAATTTGCTCCCAGAAACCTGCTAATGTGGACACTCAACATGTGCCCATTGGTCTCCATTTATGACTTGTAATGCCCTGTTTATTCCCGCTTAGAGGATGTTGAAAATGATGCAAACAAGTTTTTGTTTTGTTTTATTTTGTTTTAAGGGAGAAAACAAAATCCACTCAACCAAGTGATGCCAGGCTTGGGAAGGGAGGAAGGGGCTTTACTGGCTCAAAGATGTTGCCCACAATCCAGGGTTCCCTGAGAAAATGAACGCGCCTCCCTCGTCTCACACCCTCCTCCAAGGCTAGTTTGGGTCCTTTTTGTCCCAGCCGGGTTGTAGTTCAGCCACTCCAGGAACCCCTTGAAGGATTTACACTTGGACGTGTGCAGACATGCACAGACCCACCGGCCTGTTTTGTTTGTTTGTTTTGCAAAATCGATTGGAGAGCCAGATCCTGCGTGCCTGGCGTGGGCAAAGGTAACACAGCCCCTGGCAAGTCAGTAAAGAAGAAAAGTTCAGGGTGGGAGCCAGGTGGGGTGCACGCAGAACAGAGGCACAGGGAGACAGAGGAACCCCGGCCCACCCCAGAGAGAGACCGAGGATATTCCCTCATCAGAATTCAGAGAATCTAGAGGCTCAGGGACAGGGGCGAGGCCCCAAGAGACATATACAAAGATTGTGGGAGAATCGGGGACTCAGCACAGTGAGGGAGGTGTGGATGGAAGGCAAAGACGTGCAGGGAGGCAGCAACACACACACATGCACAGGCACATACACACAACACGTGCACACACACACCTCACACAGACAGAGCACACAAATACACACAGAAAACAAATACACACACAGGCACACACAGAACACACACAGGACACACAAATGCACACACACGCACACACAGAGAACACACAAATGCACACACAGAGAGCGCACAATACAAGCACACGCATACACAGATTCCATTCACATGGATGGATTTCCTTGGTTGGCTGCAGGGAAGTACCCTGAGGAAGAAGTGGGGTTTGGGGTGGCCAGAGCCCCACTCCAGAGGCCCCCATTCTCAGCTCTGAGTTTAAAACCCCGCTAATGCAGGAAGGGTCCCAGAGGTGGAGAAGGGTTCCGTCCTGACCCTGGCATTAGCTCTGGCCTTGAGCAAATGATTTAAATCTCTCGGTGCCTCAGTCCCCATCCACAGAGCTGACATGAGGACCAGGGAAGGAACACCTGAAGTGCGTCCTGCAGGGTCTGGCAGGGGTGGGGGTGGGGGGATGGGCACCGTAAACTCAAACCATGGCCGAATTGTTAAACAAACAAATATAGCTATTAGTGATTGGGAGTGTGGGTCCCACCTGGCTAAGACTCCGCTCCACTGCTGTGTGACATGGGGACATGGGCTGGTGGCTTTGTCTCTCTGTGCTTCGTTTTCCTCATCTGCAAAACAAGAACAATGACAGCACCTCCTTTCTGGGTGGCTGAGCTGATTAAATTAGTTAGCAATTGTTAGCTGTGGTTGTTATTGTTGGGGGTGCAGAGCCCCTTCAAGCCTGGCAGTTTAGGGTCAGGGCCAGGCATGAGCAGAAGTGGGGAGTCTAAGCTCTTGCGTGCTGGTGAATGAGCACCTTCCCCTCTGGGCTCTGGGAGGAGCCTGGGGGTCAACCAGCGGCCTCCTTGAGCCCTTGGAGAACTCAGAATGACTTCTCAACATCCAGACGGTGACACAGTCTCAGATGTAGCCCCCATCCTCTCATGGCTGGGCTTGGTCCCCAGTCACCCTCTGCAGTCGACAGAGCCCCTCATTAAGGGGTCCCCACCGCATTGTAGTGGCTGCCCCAGAACTGGGTCAGAATCCCACCTCGCTGCCCCATCTGCTCTGTGGCCCCTGGGCAGCTTCTTGACCTCTCTGAGCCCCCTTTCTCTTTTGCAGGATGGCAAGAATAACAGTCCCTGTGCTCTAGGGCAGCCATGAAGACTAAATGGAAAGATAATGCTGTTACAATTAGAGAACGGCTGAGCACCCGCAGTGTGCAAGCACTGTGCTGAGGCATTGCTGTTATTTGTGCAGTTGCTGTTCTGAAGCCCATTTCACAGACAGGAAAGCAAGGTGCAGCACAGAGGCAAACAGTAAGGGCCCAATAAACGCTGGATCGATTTTAAGGCACTTCCCTCCCTTCTCCCAAAGTCGACAGTGCAGACCCCTGTGGCATCTGGACTCTGGGCTGCCATTGGCAAGCCCAGGAAAAGCACGGGGTTGGCGGGGAGGCTGGAAGCGGGGAGGGGAAATGTCCTCATCTACTTGGAGGCTCTGGCAACGTTAAGGCAGGTTTGAAAGCCCTTGCATCCCCCTTCCCCAGCTTCCCACAACACCTAATAACAAAACAACAGCTTCTAGCCTGGGGTCCTGCCTGGGACCACCTCCCCGGGGAAAGCAGGGGAAATCTGAGGCCTCCTGGGGAGGCCCCACCAGCTCCCACCCCCACTTCCCAGCCTTCAGCCCCCTACAGTCCAGTTTCTGAGAAATGACAGGGAGGGTGAGGGGTGGGGGTTTTGTCCTGAACATCCCCTCAACGTCAGCACTGTCTGTTGCTGTTTTGCTGCGGGGTTGGGGGAGGCGCTCATTCGCCCTTTGCCCCTCCCTGGGTGTTCAGGGAGAATCCTTATTGAAGGCTCTTTTCAAGTCAAGGAATTGGAGCAGGAGGACTTCGAGCAAAGCGGGGCCCTTAGAGCCGCTTGGACTTAGCTCCTTGGAGGTCAGAGGGGCCCCTGTCCCCCATTCTGCAAAGCAGACCTCCCAGGAGAATTCCTTGGAGTAGGGGGCCCTGACTGGCCCAGGCACTGTCTCTACCTGGGGTGTCATAGAGACTGCTCCTCTGCTCCTCAGCCTAAGGGTTGGAGCGCTCCTAGCAATGTAAATAACAAGCGCGTTATCCCCGTCTTAGCGATGATTATTTTTGCCTCTCACCTTGCCACTCAGTGCTCACCTTGTTACCAGCCAGCAAGCTTTCTACCCTCTAGAATTTAAAAATCAAATGGAGGCGAAAACATAAAGTAACCACTCAAAGTTCATAGTCCTTTTATTTTGAAACGTATTTTCTCAATGTTTGCAATACACCAAATCTTTAACCAATTTGATCACACAGAGATCCTAGCGCCTATTCCTTTTTAAAAGGAATTTCTGTGGTTCACTTGGTTTTCATATGTGCTCTGCATTTCTCTACCCCAGTGCCAATTAATTCTCATCCTGGGGATTTTTTCCTAATAGTTAGCAATTAATTACCTGCAAAAATTCTATCCCTGACATGGGTAGATGTATAAGACCCGCTATTTAAAAAAGCATAAACCGCAACATATTTTAAATATTTTGTTATATACCCAAGGTCAGCATTGATCCTTTTATCTGGCCTCTCCTCCCACCTCCCTTAGGGTTTGAAAACCACTTCGTTCCCACTGGCAGCTGCAGGCGAAGCTTTCTCTCAGTGGGGTCATTGTTTTTTTTCCCAAAATTGAGCTGAGATCCATTTAATGCACCATGAAAACTAACTTAATTAGGAATCAAATTCATTCTTTTGTGAGACCAGCGGTAAGCGTCCAACACTCCCTCCGCTGCCGCCCCCACGTTTTTCTGCGTTTTTTGCTAAGCCGCCTCTGCTGAAGTCCGTGACTCCAGGGCAGCCGCCCCTCCACCGCTGCCCACCTGCCCCTGACTTCTCTCTCTCTCTCTCTCTCTCCATTTTAAGCAACCGAGGCGCACTCTGGTTTTGCAAGTCTGACATTCTTTACGTCGCCTTCCCGGAAAAATTTGTCCAGGGCTGGCGTCCGGCCGAGGCGGTGCATCTGACGCCCGGGAGAAGCAGAGCGCGTTTCTTTTGGCGTGGACCTGGGACCCCCGCGGGTTCCAGGGGCGGCACGCCTTGGGGTCGGCATTGGGACCTGGCTGCGAGGCAGCTCGGCGGCCAGGAAGGCGCCGGCGGCGGCGGGAGGGTGCCAGGCAGCCCCGGCTGGTAACTGCTGTTCTAGCTCTGCAACCGAGCGCTCCTTTCCACCGCGGTTTGGGCTAATGATGGGTCCTGCCGGCGTGAACGCCGTGTTTATTATACCTTCACCAGCCCAGGGGAGGGGTGCGCGCCTGAGCGCCCGGGGTCCAGGAACGCCAGAGCTGCAACGCCGAAAACTTTTCAGGCTGGGAAAAGGTCTTGGGGCCCCTCATACACGCCTTTTTCGCACTCGCTTGGCCTCGACTTGGTCAAGGGCGGATTCGGCCTGCCTTCAGGCTGGGGGGCCTCGGGGCACCGGGGTGCACCCGGGGCCCGCCCCCTTGGGGAGGCACCTTCTGGAAACCCAGGCCCCGCGCGTCTCCCGCCGGGACTGCCCCTTGGGCGGTGGTAAAACTGCCCAGGCCCCGGGTATCAGGATCATACTCAAACCCCAACCCCTGCCCGCCCCAGCCAGGAGGGGAGACGGTTGGGAGTGGGAGGCCTCGGCGCTGTTCTCTGGATGCAACTGAGATTGCCGCTAGAGGGTGACGCCTGGGTCGGAATCCAAGGTAGACGAATCTGGGGTGCTGGAACCGTGCTTTTCCCCGGAAAACCCAAGAAATGCACTTACAGTGCGAGATTGGTTGGGGCGTGTCTATAGGGGCAACGGGAAACAGCGAATACTACGGATTATGTGCTAAGGGAGGGAAAGCAGATCGAAGGTCCATTACTTGCACATTTCTACCTACGATTTGGGGCCTGAATCATCCAGGAAGCCGGCTTTGTACTCCACCTGTCTGTGCCAGTGTAGACGGAGTCTGGGGCCGGGGCCAGCTGATTTTCCATTGCAGTCCCCAAAACCCTCCCAATTTTTAAAATTTGGTCGGGTGCGGGCCGAAATTGGGGTACAGGCGGTGCGGGGGTGGGCGGGTGGGGGACGCGCAGATGTGAGACTCCCGGGTTACTGTAGTAAGCTCTATTTGGGGCGGGGCGCGCCCGCGGAGACCCTGCGCGGCGGGAGGGACATGTGCACAGGCGCGTGGGGGTGGGGTGGTTGTGAACCAGGGAACGCAGACCCCCGAGAACCGCCAGATAGTCGCTGCGTCCACTTAACCCGGCGGCAGAGCCCTCCGCATGATTGCTCTTCCTCCACCAAAAGCCCACCCCAGCAAGCGTGGGCCTCCAACCCCAGGCCGGAGGTCCCAGGCTGCGTCTCACCTCCCGCCCCCTTCCCCCGTCCCCGCCTTGCGTCCGGCTTAACGAAGACCGCTCGGGTTCCAACTCAATTAGCTCGCTGCAGAGGCCGCCGCCGGCGTCGAGCTCCTCCAGCAATTAGGGGCGCGCCGGCTGGGGCCGGGGGCGGGGGCGGGGCGGGCAGGTAAAGACGGAACCAATTTGCCTAGAGGGTTTATCAACAAGTGGCTTAACTAGGAATTTGCGTTGACAACTCAGCACCTCCGTCGGGGCTCCGGAGGCGGCGGAGGGCCGAGATGACAGGCTGAATGGAGGGGCGGGGGCGGGGGGGGCGTCCTGGGAGCCGGGAAGACCGAGGCTTCAGAGCCACCCGAAGCCACCTCGGCCGAGCCCCGCGCGCGGCGTGTGCCGAGTGGACCGGAGCACCCGGGGCGCGTTGCCGGGACTCGGGGCTCGGCAGGCGGGCGAGCACGGGCCGGTGGGCGCTGGACTGTCTTTCCCGACGAAGTAGGTGGCCGTGTATATTTTTGTTCAAGTGGTGTTTATGTTAATGAAAAAAGGATGGAATTACAAACAGCCAGCCGATCGCGCCGCGGCCGCCGGAGACTCGCCGCGCTCTGGTCCCAGGCCCAATCAAAGGGAGCGCGCTCTGGGCCGCTCTGGGACCTCCAGCAGAAACCTTCTCCCCCCCACCTCCTCTAACTGGGTGAAATTGCCCTGCCCGCCTCTCTAACTTTCTCCAAATCGAGAACCCTCTGTTTGCAATCAGCCCCCTCACCTCGTTCCCCCCACCAACCCTCGGTAGCGCAATCAGGTTTGTGGATAAGAAAAACCCTAATTTAAGTCCCGCAGCTCCTTTTTTTTTAAGGAGCACTCAGATAACGCTTCCGGGACACTCGGATGCGGCTAGAACTCAGTCTCCCTTATCCCCTTCACCGCTCTGCTCCTTTTCATTTTCGTTTTTTTCTTTGTTTTTAATAATATAATTAGCCCGGATTTTGACATTATTTCCTGGCCGGCTGCCTTTTTTTTTTTTCTGGGGCTAAGCAATTAGATTTTCTAAAGGCCCTATCAAGTCCTTCCATCCCGAGAGAACTTTTTTTTCTCTCCCCCTTTTCCGGATCCCACTGCCGTCTTTTCCTCCGTGGATAGGCAAGGACCCTGGCGGTGCTGCCCTCCTTTGCTTTGGTTAGAGGAGAACGGCCAGCAGGAGAGACAGCCCGACTTGCAGCAGCGGGAGAGAGACTGACCCACGAGGCTGGTGACCTGGGCCGTGTCTGTGGCCCTGGGACAGGGTCGGTGTTTCCTGGGTCAGGGCAGCCAGGCTGATGCGGGCACCACGCCTTTGGGCGACCACAGCCCGGCGCTTCCAGGTCCGGTCCACTTATCAGACACCGCATAGCTGCGTCTCCACAGACAAGGTGAAACGGAGACTCGGCGGGCGTCTAGCCCAGTGGAACTTTCGGAGCCGTGTCTAATCTTTTCCTAGAGGAACTTTGACTGGGGAGATTTGGGTTGTCCGCCCTATTTTCTCTGGTGGTCGCCATAGTCTGCTTGTGTAGATGCTGTTCCCTCCCTTTCTGGCCAGTTCAGCCTGGGTGTGGGTTCATTGGACCCCCGCCCGCCTGCAGGTGGAAGGCAGGGCCCAGAGAACACCCGGCCTGGGTTTTCCACCTGGAGAGATGGACCTCCTGGCACCGCTGGGGCGCCATCCCCCAAGCCCTGTTGTGAATCTCTGCTTTCCCCGTTACTACAAAGAAGACCGACACTGCTTCACACACGCTTTGAAGGCCGAGCTCACCAGCCTGGTAATCAGATTAGCACCCCGGCGGTAAAGAAGTCAGTCGATCCCAGGAAACAACACTTCACAAGGAAGAGGGGACATCGAGAGATAGATAATTACTGGACCAAATTAAAGTTTTGCTTGTAAACTTTCTCCCCCATGGAAGGAGAGTTGTTCTGAGGGTGGTTCCTTCCAACTCCTCCAAAGTTGACGTAGCGATAATGCTCACAGCCTAGGGAGTGAGTTACTTGGGGATGAGGCATTTCTTTGAGGACTTTGTCCCACTTTCTCTCCTCTGCCACCTCAGAGGAGAGCAGCAGACCCCTTGATTGGGGGCCGGGAGGTTGCTGCCCCCCATCAAGGGTCAGCCTGGGGGCTGCTTCCAGGGCCTTGGGTAACAGAGTGGGTCAAGCATGGGGAAGGCGAAAGGCTGTGTTTTTATCTCCAGATCAAAGGATATTGAAGTGGAAGGTGCAAACTAGGTGTGTAGGTGCATTTTTGAGAATAGCAGCATCATAGTTTCCACCGGATACAGCAAGTCCCTAACACATCTCCCTCCCAAATAAAAACGACCAAGACAGAATAAAGTGCGCCTAAGTCACAGTTATCGGGCACCTCGTTCTTTCAGCGAACTATGATTTGTCAAACC
The DNA here is from genome assembly GCF_000001405.40 of Homo sapiens. Lineage (NCBI taxonomy): Eukaryota > Metazoa > Chordata > Mammalia > Primates > Hominidae > Homo > Homo sapiens. Next base: position 86,495,366 of record NC_000016.10, on the reverse strand, counting down.
CGTGCGCACCGCTGACACTCCCTTGACGGGTTGTGTAGCCTTGACGTTGAGCAGCCGAGGGAAAAATCTGAGAACAGACAGGGGCGGGAGCGCGAAAGGCCCGCGCTGCCACAGGCCTGAATCCGCCCCTCTTCTTCGGGCCGTGGAGGTCACAGGCTCCGGCTGGCCTGTGTTTTCCGAACAGAAGCTCTGGAGTTGCACACCCAGGGGTGGGAGGCCGGGTGCAATTGCCCCGCGGAGCCCCTCCTGCTGGGCCAGCCGCCCTGCTCAGCTGTGCGCTGCAATTTGTCCGCCAGCGCGGGTTCCATTCTCTGCATAACCTTCAGCAGGTGCCGGGACTGGTCCTCATCCCCGCTCCCTCCGCGCCCTCGGCGGAGGGATAGACACAGGAACCCTTCACACCGATGTTTAATCTGTCGTGATGGGTGGCCAGGCATGCGCCCAGGTAGCCGGCCTCGCGCTGGCTCACAGGGGTGGGGTTGGCCTTTTCTCCCGGTGCTTTGAAAGGAAGGGCGGCAAGCTAAAGAGGGAGCGAGATAGAAAGGGCCGCTCCCCAGGGGTAGGGGGCTCCCTAATGCGGCCACACCGGGGTGTTCCAGGGGCAGCCCTGGCCAAAGACTGCACCCGGCTGCTCTAGGGCGCCTGCGCCCTCGAGCGTCTCAGCGCCCCGGACGCTGCGGGAGCCGCTTTCTCCACCCGCGCCACTTTCTCTGGGGCTGGCAAATGCCAGATGCTGAGCCCTGAACTCGCCTGCGAGCTGGTAGGGCCCCTTCTGCGCTTCCCAGCCATTTATTCCATCCTGCAATTAAACCCGAGGTCAAATATCTCCTTAACGACGCTATCAGGCCAGTGGCTCATTATGGCGTATATTTAGCCATAAAATATGGGTTGTAGTGAGGAGGAGATGAAAATTATTGTGTTCTGGGAATGAATCCTTTTAGCAGAAACCAGAGCTGTTATTTACCACGGAGAGCTAAGTACAGGCTCAGTCTTCTAAGCGACCCCAGCAGGATCAGCTGCTCCTCCAGGCCCTTTCCGGCTGTGCCTGCGCCCCCGCCACAGGCCTGGCACCGGCGCGCTGCCTCCCCGCCGCTTGCTGCATCCCAGAAGGAGCCGCTCTGGTCGCGGGGGAGAAACATCCTTGTGGATTAGGGCGCTTATGGATGATGTTCTGTCTCAGTTCCCAAATTCAGAGCTCCCTGCAGCCCACTCGCCTGGTCTGTAGTGGGAAAGCCTTTGGCAGGATCGTAAGACGGTGGTGTGCTAGCCGTGGCTTGCTGTGGAACTATCTGGAGCTTGGTAGAGTCTGTATATCTGGCTTCTAGGGAGGCTCTACTTCTGGCTGCCATGGGTAGGTTAGTTAACCTCTCTTGACTTCAGTGACCTCATGTGTAAAGTGGGGGAAAGGCCATGCCTTCTCCCGGAAAGCTTAGGAGAATTTAATCCGACGTTAATGTGAAGCCTGTATAGCCCAGTGCCGGGTGCAGAGAAGTTTAGTTCATGGTGACCAAAGGACAAATCACGAGGAAGTGCATAAAAATAAGTCTTTGGGCTGCTGATATGAATGCATGAATGAAACCACTCATGCAAGGGGCTGTGAGTGATTTGGAGTCCAGGATTGGACAGCCTTAGGTTTCGGTGGGGCCCAGACCATCACCAGCCGTGCCCACCAGCTAGGGTAACTTTTTTCCCTTGCGCAGGATCCCCACCTGCCTGCAGGGTTGGACAGTCGCAGCTTTGGTGGGTGGGGGGGGGGGCAGACCATCACCCCGGGCAGTACCTGCCCTGGCAGCCTGTTCAGAGTTGCCGTGATTTGCTGAGATCATGTTCTCCGGTGATCAGCAGTGCTCGCCATAAGAGGAGTTGCTCACACATGATCCTGTTCCCTGCTGCCCGTCCTCCCAACCCCCGCCAACATCCTGGATGTCCAGGTGGCCCCAGTTGGAACCAGAAGCCTCCAGACACACCAACAATGCTCAGCTTCATCCTGGCAGTGCCGGGGAGATGGAAATTGTGTGGACAGGGACATCCCCAGATTTAGCCTCTCAGGAAGTGGCCGGGTGACCCACAAGCTACAAATATTTGGGCAAACCAGATGAGGTCGTCCCCAATCTAAATGTTTGCCCAAGGCCTCCAAGGGGGCAGATTAATTATAAGGTTAATGGGCCCCCCAGGCAGGGCAGTTGTGTCCTAGAGGAAAGTGGCCATGTCCCCCACCCCCACTGGCCAAGGCCCAACTTTCTTGGCTTCCAAGCTGAGCAAGACACCAGACCTTCCATCCCTTCCCTATGTATGTCCTGCTTAGAGATTCTGGGAGCTCCTGCCAGATAGATGCAGGCTGTGCTGGGACAAGAACAGAGTCTGCAGACACATCCTGTGGACACACACAAACACACAGACACACACACACCCAGCAAGTCCCCTGACACTATCTTCTTAGGGCAGCCTCCTCATATCCATTGGAATACAGAGTCAGCAGCAAGTCCTGGGCAGCTTTCTGAATTTCATCCTGGCAAGGAGAGGGATGCTCATGGCCCTTCCTGGAGTTTCCTGCCACTCTGAGAGGGAGGCACTGGGTGGCAGTGCTGTGTGACCGTGGCCACGTCCTGCTCCATCTCTGGCCCTCTGTTTCTTCTTCTGGGAAATGGGGATTCTTTGTTAACCCTCTGGAGACCAGGTCTTCTGCCTGTAGCATTTGATGGTGCCATCCTTTTTAGTTTAATCATTTTGTCTCTGCAGTGTTATCTTCATCACCACCACTGTCATCTTCATCACCACCACTGTCACCTTCATGAAGCACACATCAGTTGCTTCACAAGCATTTAATCATCACACCTCTCCAAGGCAGGTGGTATTATCCCCATTTTCCAAGTGAGGGAATTGAGGTTCAGAGAGGTTGAGTAACTACCCAGGGACACACAGCTAGTGAGTGATACCACACGTATTACCTCTCTGCATCATTTGTGCTCATTGATAGGTGATTAGGGATCTGTGTGGGATTTGTTCTAGTGACCCTGGCACCCATGGCTAAGGCAGCGGTTCAGGGGAAATGCAACAAGTTTAATTATGTAGATCCACCATTTAACTTAGAGTTTCTATTAAACAATGCTGCAAGATGTAACGTTTCATTGGGTTGCATCCTTTATTCCCCGGGAACTCCAAGGAGGGAAGATAGGCTACAGGCAGCCAAGGGCTGGACAGACTGCTGGGTGGCTCCTCTCATCTTCCTTACCCTCAGGTGTGTCTAAAAGCTCCAGCTCAGACCAAGAGGGGGCCATGTCCGAAACAGGCATCACTGCCTGGAACTGGCTTCCTTGCTACTGTTCAGGTTGTTTTGTGGCTGGGAGGGTCCCCCATCTGAGATGACAAATGTGACATATACTCTTGGAAGTACATGATCTATTAGTCACAGCAAGAGAATCTGCCATGCAAAGCCTTTATTTCATTGGAAGCTTGTTTACTGTCCGGCGAGCTGGCTGCTGTGACGAGAAGCCACAAGTACAATACCCCGATTGTGTCCTTCAGGACCTCAAAATTGCAGTTCTTACACAAACTCAGTTCTTGCTGTGAGAAAGGTTTTCTCTGTGCTTCTTCGCCTCCAAAAGTGAGATTGAATGCTTTCCTTGTGTCAGGCTTAATCAAGCAGTGGAGGCAATAACGGAAGATGCAGGAGGATTAGGCTCGCTCAGGCAATCTTTTCCCTTTGGGGATCATACTTGGGCTTGTTCTTTGGATTTAACACAGACGCTTATAGCTGACCTATAGAGAGACAGACACTGGGCACGGCCAGCCAGCAGCTGGCCATGGGGAACCCTTGCTCAGTTTGGAAGGCAGTGCCCGATGTTTATGAGGCACTCCCTGCGTGCCAGGCACCACGCAGAGTGCTGAGTCTATGATCTCACTCAATCCCCGGAGCAGTATAATGAAGGATGCTTCAGATGTGGACATGGAGGGAAGGAGAGGTTCTGACTCACCCAAGGGCACACATTAGTGAGTGGTGGAGCCAGGTCTCACACAGGCATTTGGTTCCAGAGCCCAAGTTTGCAGGACACCTGGCATGTGCTCATTGCCACCACTGACGTAGAACATGAGATGCAGAGCACGTGTGCAGGATGAAGGAGCATTGACAGTAGTGCAGGGGATTGAGGCCTGGACTGGGCAGTGTTAAATGAAATCATTAAAGTTATACACATCCCATTTGTGGTAACCAGTTGACTGCAAAGCACCCTAGAATCACTCTTGAAGTTCTAACAATTGCTTTCCAAACAAAAGAAAGGACGGGCGTGTCTGTTTGTATGTGTGTTTTAGGGCTTGTGACTCATCTGGAGCATCTGTTCCTCATAAGAGCACTTTTCCAAACAGGATTTGTGAAGAGGTGACCCAAATTTCAAGACAATGTTGGATGCAAACGGATTTGCCAGCAACTGCATCACTGTCAAAACCAGCTCTGCCCGTGTCTTCCGAAGATACCAAGTGAAATACATGTAGATGGGATTTACATCTGAAAAACCAAGGCAAGAGGCCATGGGAAGGGACGGAGGTGGAACAGGACTGGACAGAAGCTGATAAATGGTTGTTGCTGAGTACTGGGCAGATAGGGGTTGGTTATCCTATTGTCTTTACTTTCATATATTTTATTTTTTCTGTAATAAAACAAATTAAAATCACCTGTCGTGACCTCACAGGGGCCAGTGTGGGTTGTGGCGTGAGGCAGGAAGCTCTGCAGAGTTCCTTGGTCAAAAGGATTAATTACAAAAGAACTCCATGAACACCGAGAAGAAGAGAAGGGAATCCTGGCATTTAAAGCCACAAAGAAACTTGATATGGTCTTGTCTCCTTCTCTCAATTGACAGTGAGAAACTGAAGACCAGAGAGGGTGAGTGGTTTACTCAGTTTGGCACAACTGACCCCAACCTAGCCCTCCATGAGGACTGAGCGCATGAGAGATCCTGAGCCACAGCCGCCCAGCCCTGCTCCTCTCGAATTTCTGACCTACAGGAACTGCAAGAAGTAATGAAAGACTGCTGTTTAAAGCCACTGCATTTTGGCATGATTTGTTATGCAGTCGTAGATAACCAGAAAACATCGGATTTACATTTTAAGGTAAACTTTTTATTGAAACATCACATACACACAGAGACGTCCACCAATTGGCTCGATGAGCTTTCTCAAAGGAAACACATTCTCTGAGCAGTGTGCACATCCAGACACATCATCTCCATCCTCCAGAAGCCCCCTCCTGTTATCGCCACTCACAGGTCACCCGTCTCCTGACTTGCAGCCACAGAGATAGTCCTGCCTAATTCTGAACGTGGTACAAACGGAATCATACAGAATGGGCTTGGCTTCTTTCACTCTGGGCTGTGTTTATGAGCATCACCCAGATTGCTGCATGGAAGCCATCGTTTGTTCATTTTCACCACCATAGAGTATTCTACTGTTGATGGGACATAGGCTATTTATTCCTTCTACTGTTGAGGGACGCATAGTTATTTCCAGCTGGAGACTGGTATATGTCTCTTGGCTACCTTCTGCATGCATTTCTGTTGGAGGTTGTTTCAGGTATCTCTTAACGTATAACAGACCACCCTCAAATTGAGTCCTTGAAACAATTACCATTTTCTTCTTTCTCAGGATTTGGTGCATGGGATGGGCTCAGTTGGGCAGTTCTTCTGTTCCATGTGATGGTACTGGGGCTGCAGTCATTCAGAGGCTCAACTGGGCTGAACGTGCAAGGTTTCTTGCTCACGTGGCCATCAGTGGTGCTGGCTGCTGTTGGGAGCTCCACTGGACTTCTGTCCAGAGCTCCTCAGCTCACCTCTCTGTATCCTTGCCCTGTGGCTCAGGCTTCTAACAATACAGAGGCTGGATTCCAAGAGGAGGGAATTAGAAGCGTTCAGCCTTCTTAAGACCAGGATTCAGATGTCCCAGACTGTCACTGTATTGACCGGAGCATTTACAGGCCAGCCTAGTAATTTTTCCATCTTGGGCAGGAATGGGTGGCATATGCTGGGGGTAGGGGTAGCATTGTTGGGGATCATCTTTGGAGCTGTGTGCCAAGGAGTAAATTGCTGGGCTGCTTTCTACCTGAGGAAGTCCACTATGCTTGCTTGTGGAGAGTGGATTGTGTGCTCAGAGTCCACAAGGATTTAAGAATCCGAGCCCTGCTGCCCTTGCCTCAGCCTGTGCATTAGGGCCCGGTGGTGAGAGCACTGAGCCATTGTGAATCAAGGCCCCTCCCTCGACCTGCATACTAACAGGCCAGAAGAGCTTGCTTGATTTTGGTCCTAGGCTCCTGCCTGTGGGTTGGATTCCAGGGGCACTCTCTCCTCCACAAACCAGACGGTGGCAGGTACATCCCCTCAATGGAAATTGCCCACACTTCACCCTAAAGACAGATCCTGCTGTTCAGCAACAATGTGAGTGGCCCACACATTTGTCCAGCATGAAACCGTTTGCAGATTCCTTTCCAGTACACAGTCCCGTCAGCCGGTCACTTCACGATGACAGCTCCTCGAAGCACCTTTTGGTTTGCAGTTGTGTAGCTTAGAAGTAGGAGCCTGCACGGCTTCAGGAATTCACAGAAGGAGCACACTTTGTGCTTGGAGAAGTTAATTATAGGAATATCCTGCAACCTGCTGCTCTGAGCCTGTGCACCTGGGGTGTTTCCCTGGAGGTCCTGTGTATGAGGATACTCATCAGCATGGGGTTTGGGAAGCCTAGCAGTGGAGACAACCTAGGTGGTCCTCTCCAGGGGAGTAGGTAAGAGCCCTACAGCAGTGAAAAGCATTGAAGGAAAAGTGTGTTCAGCAGTGCTCTTAATCTGATCAGAGCAGCCTGAACACATTCTAAACACAGGGCATTTAGAACTAGGGTAGAGGCACTAGAGCACCATAGATACAAACTCAGATTCTGAAGGTAAATGCCCAGGTTCAAATCCAAGCCCCCTCGCCAAGTGACCATGACTCCCCCGAGTCACCTGACCTCTGTGTTTACATCCTCAAAGTTAAGTAGTCAGGAAAGGGGGCTTGGGGCTTGCCACATGGATGGTTGCCACTCTCCTTTGCAAAGTGTAGTCCCCAAAAACAGGTGGAAGAGGGAAGGGTCCAATTAGAAGGCCGAGTACCAGCTGCCATGAATATGCCAGAGCTGCTGGCTAGTGATAAATAACTGAAACCCAGGGGGACAGCAGAGCTTGGGTGACCATACATTCTAGGAAAGAAAACATGCCTGTTGTCCTGGCTTTTTATCCAGCTTAGACAAAGATGGGCAAAGAAAATAATTTAGAAAATGGTAGAGATGGGCACAGAGAAAGGGCACGGAGGGAGGCACAAACAGAAGGCCAAGTGATGGTGGAGGCAGACATTGGAGAAATGCCTTTACAAGCCGGGGAATGCCAAGGATGCTGGCAACCCTGGGAGTGGGAAGAACCTGGAACACACCCTCCGTCAGAGTCTCCAGAAGGAACTGGCCCTTCATCACCTTTCGGACTTCTGGCCTCCAGAACTGGGCAAGAAAATGTTTCTGCTGTTGGAGGCCATCCAGCTGGTGGTCATTTGTTATGGTTGCCACAGAAAACGAATATAGATTTAGACATCTAATTTGCATATATAGATATGCATGTGTATTTGTTAAATAAAAGATAAAGCATGACAACTCGATGGACAACGTTACAACTCATTAAATTGTGTTGGTTAAAAAAAATGATAGATATCACCCACACATTTTTATGTGCTGGCAAACAGAAAAAAATCTAAGACTACATAGGGTTCCTCTTATTTTAATTATTTTATTCTTTTAAACAACAAACAATGTGACTAAAGCAAACAGAAATTATTTTTTCATGAAACAAACAGAAAGGGTTCAATGCACTTAAATGATCAACCATCCCCACCAGCGTGGAAACAGGGCTGGGCTTGCAGACAGTGATGTGTGTGGTGTGCATCTGTGGGGTTTGGGGTTTTGCTTACTTTGAGGGATGGGAATAGAAGCCTTTCCGAGAAATGCACACCCAGGAGCGAGTTCCTGGGCCACAGTGCTGGCTCCCTGCTTACTGGCTCATGGTGCAATCTGGGTTTGGGGGCAGCTTTGCTACAGGCAGGAGCCTCGACCCTTCGGAAAAGGATTCCACTCCTGAGAGCCCATCTGTCTCTGAGTCTCAGGACACGCCAGCCAGAAACTGCAACCCTTCTGTGTCAAGCAAACAGCACTCATGCCTTTGAAATTCCCCAGTGTTCCCAGCACACCTGCAGCATTTGGGAACATTGTTCTCAGTATTCTCTGTGCTCATCTACTTGGATGCCAGACTATTATCATCATCCCCATTCGACAGGGGAAACTGAGGCACAGAGAGGTTAAAGTCACTTTCCCACTGTAGGACAACAGGACTAGAACCGCAGAGCTCCACCATCCAGCTGAAGGAGGAAGGGGGCTTAGCTGCGTGGAAAGGGGGCGCCCCACGGAACTCACCCTTGGCTTCACCTTCACCTGTCCTTGGCCGGCTCCGTTTCCCCTTTCTATCTTCCTGGGTCTCAGTTCAAGGGCCACCTCCTCAGAGGGGCCATCCCCACACCAGGGCACCCTCCCCCAACTCACTCCTCCCCAGTTTGCTCTGTGCGTGCTACCTTACTTGTCACTGTCTGAAGTTATCCTGCTTTTGTCAGGGTCCCGCGGGCAGGGAATATTCTCTCTTGTTCCTGGAGGTCGTTGCCTCCCCAGCACTTAGCGGAGTGCTGGTTCCCAACTCCTGGGTCTGCATCCTCGTGGACCGAGCACACAGTGCTGTTGGAGACACGGGGGGCTTGGGCCCTGACCTCAGCCTCTGACATTTATATCCACGTGTGGAGTGCCCGGCACATCATGTTTAACCCTCGATGGGAACAAGACAGTTGCCCCATTTTGATGTAAGAAGAGGCCAAGTCACCTGGCCCAGGTCACGCAGCAACAGGTGAATTGAGAGCCAGGCACCCCTGACTCCTGAGTCCCAGGCTGCAGCCTGGTCTGAGGGCTGGGAAGACTTAAGGAAATTCCAAGGGAACAGTTACTCTTTTTGTTAGGAGTCAATAGCCGTGAGACCAGGATGCTGGATGCCCAGGGTCTCGCCATCTGGAGGTTTAGACAGAGGCTCCAGAAATGAGGCAACAGGCATGAAGTCACCCCACAAAGGCAAGGCCATCCAAGCAGGACACCCCATGAGAGGGAAGTGGGTTCTGCCCCGGCCTCAGCCTGCAAGAACAGGACAGCAGCAGGGCAGAGGAATGAAGAGCCCCATTCAAGGGCCTCCACGGAGCTTCCACAGCATCCCTGAACCATCTCTCTAGGGCCTCTGGTGAGCATGTGTGCATGGGACACTAGGGCCCTATTTTTTTAAGCCACTGTGGTCAAGTCTCTCCTACAGCAGCTGTACGTGCTTGGTAACTAACATACGCTTGAATGTCTGACTCCTTTTGCATTTCTTTGAGAGACAGGAGTTCACCCCAGGAAGGATTATGATGTTATGGTTGGAATGCAGAGAGAAAGCTTTTGATTTCCAAAACAGGCTGTTTGAGTCTGTGTCATCCCAATAGCCCTGATGTCTTGATGAGAAAGTCCTGCATGATGACCACCTGCCCTTTCTATAGCAGGAGTCAAGATCTCTGAAACAGGTTGTGGAGTTTCACAGGACCCACAAGTAGAGGAATCCCTGCCTGCATCTGCAATGGGAATCCTTCAGAAGGAAAGGCTGAGAGGAGCGAGGTGAGGCTGGGTGGGTGTGGCTGGGTGGGGTGAGGCTGGTGTTCTCAGGGTTGAACCTCATGGGGTAGATGCAATCAGAACCCAGGAGGTCTGAGGACTGTGGGACCTCCAAGCAACTACCCTGGACTACTCGTCCATGATTTTCAGATAGAGCCACACTCTCTTCTGCAGGAAGGAGACAAAAATTTCCGAGATGGCAGAGAAAAATAGTCACCCTGGTGTGGGAGTGCCCTGAGGCTGCCAGAGAAAATCACCACCACAAACTTGGTGACTTAAAACATCAGAAAGTTATTTTCTCATAATCCTGGGGGCCAGAGCCTGAAATCAAGCTGTCAGCAGGGCTCTGTTTTCCCTGGAGGCTCCAGGGGCAGCTCCTTCCTGCCTCTGCCAGCTCCTGGTGGCTCCAGGCACTCCTGGGCTTGGGCAACTTCACTCCAATCTCTGTCTCTGTGTCTTCCTCTTCTGTCTCTTATAAGGGCACTGTCATAGGACTCAGGAACCTCTCCAAACAGGATGATCTCATGTTGAGATGCCTAACTGATAATATCTACAAAGACCCCTTTTGCAAAGAAGACCTCATTCACAGGCTCAGGGGTTAGGATGTGACCATCTCTTCTTGGTGAAGAGTAGTGAGGGCTACCATTCAGCCCACTACACCCAGCAGTAGCCATTCCATGCCCTGCAGCTGCACTGAGATGACAGAAGTTGTTGTAGGAAATTCTTCCATTTTCTCTTCCTGGAAAGCAAAACTAATGCAGGAAGACGGGAGGGGAGAGTAGGAGATGTGTGTGGAGTATGGGTTTGGCTGCTGCAGTGCAGATCCAGAATAGCACAGGTCTGAATGAGAGGGAAATTAAGTCTTGCTCATTCACTGCACTCCAGGTGTGTCGTGTGCAGGGCTGAGTGGTAGTCCCCTGTGCCAGAGATCCGGAATCTCTTGCTGGTTCCTCTGCCAACCATAGGCTGCTGTACCCGTCTGCATGGCTCACCTCCAAGTCCTCTTTCTGGCCGAGGGGAGGGCTGTCCACGACTAATGGTGAGGTTGGTGCACGTTGTCATGGCTGAGAGCCTCCTCCTGGTGCTGTGTATCCTAACTGCCTGTACTCTATTGGTTGTTCAATGTTTGGGCTGCCACCCCTGGTATATCCCTCCCCTTGAAGGCATGACCCAGAAGTTATACCCGTCTTTTCCTCTTCCACTCACACCCTATTGGCCAGTATTTGGTCCTATGACCACAGCTAGCTGCAAGGGAGTCTGGGAAATGTATTCTTTATTGGAGATGGCCATTTGCCTGGCAGAAAATTCTAATAATGGATATTGGGGAAATGGATAACTGGGTGATAGCTAACATTCTCTGCAAAGGAGGGGTCTGGCTTTCTGGGACCACGCTCAGCATCTCCTGGCTCTTCCACTGACCGGGAGATTGCTGGAGAAAGGCTGATGGGTCTTTGCCTGGAAAAGCCCTAGATCTTATGGTGGCCTGGTTCCTTGAGGATAGCAGTTATGGGACATTGCTGGCTTCACTGCTTGTTTTTACACCAGCTGATGCCCACTGCCCCAGCATGACAAGGGTTCAGCTTTCTGTCCTTTGAGATGATAGCCCACTCTCTGCCCGTATAGGCGAAGAGAAATGCATTGACTATACACTTTGGTGCTAGGTACTGTAGCAAGCATTTCTCCATGAATTATTGCTGTTTGAGAAGCTGCAGGAACTCTCTGGCAAACTGCCCTCTGCAAAATAGGATGTAAACAATCCCCCAGAGTAGCCTGCTCAAGGCCTTTGGGGACCTGGGGGCAGCCCCCAGCATGACTTGGCTCTGGGGTGGTATGTTGCCCAGCAGGCTGTGTGAGGTTACCAGCCATAGGAAGGCAAAACCACCGCCTTTCCTTGGCAATATCCTACTTGCATTGTGTGTTTCAAAGCCTCCTGCCAGATCCCAAACCAAGCACGCCCCCTGTCCTGTTCTCTTTGTGGCTCAGTGGCAATAGGGAGTGGACCTGCTCTAACCTACTCATTCATTTACTTTTTCAGCAGTCATTCATTTATTCAGCAAATAAGAGTACATTCTAAGGGCCAGACCATGTGCTAAATGCACCAGGCATCATCTCTGCAGCTAAGCAGTGTGTGATATTATGGATAGACAGACACAGACACGATGATATCATGCTAAACTGTTATGCTAAAGTAATGTGAATTGGCCAATAAGGATATGGAAATAGGTCCAGTCTCACTAGAACTGTTCAGGAAATGTGAATACTAATCCCCTAGATACCTACTTCTGGGTATATATCTAAAGGAACTGAAAATGGGGCTGAGCTTGGTGGCTTGCACCTGTAGTCTCACCCACTCAGGAGGTGGAGGAGTGAGGATCTTTTGAGCCCAGGAGTTCATTGCTGTAGTGAGCTATGATCACACCACTTCATTCCAGCCTGGGCGATAGAGCTAACCCATCGCTTAAAAAAACAAGAAGCAAAAAAAAAAAAAACAGCAACTGGATCTCAAAGAGATATTTGCACACTCATATTCACAGCAGCACTGTTCACAACAGCCAAGAGGTGGTGGCAACCCAAATATCCACTGACAGATGAATGGAGAAACAAAATGAAGTAACATTTTTCACCCACTGGATTAAATCTGTTATTGGTGGGAGTATCAGCAGCTGAACTCTTCGGTTAAGTAATTTAGAAATAACCTTATAATTTTAAATGCATGAATCCTGTGATACAGCAGTGTCTCATTTGGAAGTTTTGAGAAATGAAAGGAGGTGACAGGTTGGCTTAAGTGAGACAGTGGAACCCCTTAGCACTCTGCCCAGCAACCAGCTAGCACTCAAGAAGTGGCATAGAAACTTATCATTCCAGCACTGATGAGAAGACATCCCTCCCCTCACACCTCCCAACCAGCTTAGTCATACGAGCGGTATTAGCAATCAGGGTTTCCAGAGAAAAAGAACACACGCATACACACACACGCATACACACACACGCATACACACACAAACAGAACACCCCCCACCACGCGCACACAGACACACACACACACACACACACACACACACACACACACACACACAGAGGTTTACATGGCTGTGGAGGTTGGTAAGTCTGAAATCCACAGGGCAGGCCAGCAGGCTGGAATCCCAGGCAGGAGCTGATGCTGTGTTCTTCAAGCAGAATTCCTCCATCCCAGGAAAACCTCATATTTGGTTCATAAGGCCTTCACCTGATTGGATGAGGCCCACCCTCGCTGTCACAGGTAATCTGCTTCTCTTAAAGCCGGCTGATGGTAGAGGTTAAACACATCCACCGCATACCTTTGCAGCAACATTTAGATGAGTGTTTGAATCTCTGGGCACTACAGCCTGGCCACACTGATGCATAAACCTGCCCATGGCAGGGGCCAAGGTCAGATCACACTGTCCCTGACTGGGTCCCTCTTCCCTGCAGGCCCAGGCTCTGCCTGTATCTGACGTTGGGCCCAGCCTTGTAGCACCACCACTTAGGATTATTCTGAGGTGCTGACTGACACTTTAAGGTTTTTGTCATTCTCCACTTCTGAGCTTATCAATGGGACAAAAAGTCAGCGCCTCGGCCCTTTGCTGGCCTTTCAGCCACCTGGCAAGCCCACAGTTGGACAGCTCCCTCCAGAGAGCGGCACCTTGCCATGGGTGAAGGAAGGGCAGGAAGAGAGGATGAGCACAGCAACACTGAGCATTTTTTATGCACCAAGGGCCTATAACCCGCTTCTGAGTATTAACTTCTTTAATTATACAGTTAGATACTATGATATTGTTACACCCATTTTACAGATGAGGAAACTAAGGCCTCCAAAGGTCAGGCAACTTGCTCAGGTTTTCATGGCTAGAACAGGGAGGGTCAGGATTTGAACACAGGCCCTCTGGCTCTATCTACACTCTGTTCTCTTGATCAGATGTCACTGTCTGTCCCCATGGCAACCTTGGGGCTGACAGCTGGGAGCAGGACGCACACCCAGGAGTCTTAGCCTCAACCCTGAATTCCTCTTTTGACAAATGGAAACCTCATTCCACTCTTGCCGATGCATCTTCTAATCCAGAGCAGAACATAATCCCCATCTCTTTTCTCTGGAACGTTGGGAGAATTTGTGTCTGTCAAATGCTTTGGAGAAATGTGAAAAGAATGTTTAAAATGCCAGATCATTTTTTCAAAAAAATCAATTATAGGTTTGCCTTTGGGGTAACCCTAAGACAACACAAAATCTCAAACTTTCATCCCACTGGAGTGAAGGAAAATAATTACTCCGTTAGGTTTTCAGCGATCACGCAATTGCCTTGGATTTTACATTCAAATTCCAACCAGGAGGGAACTGCGATCTTGGAGCGAATTCTAAAGAAATGCTGCGAAGGCACAGGTCTCTTCCACAGGGCCCAGGCCTCAGAGCCAGCAGAAACTTTGCAAGTGGCATTTGCAGCCAAAACAATTCTGACAGCTCCTCTGGAGGGGTCTGGTAACTAGACTCTGCAAACTGGAAGAAATTAGCTCTGACCACAGACCATCCAACAGACCCGTATTTAATAATACTTCCCAAACGTGTGAAGCACTTAGTTTTAGAATAACAGGAAGAATGGAATCACCTGGAACTACAGATTTGAGTTTCATTCTGGCCATCATACCCTCCCAGGAGCCTTGCTCCTCTGGTGGCCAAGAGGGGTGGCCGAAGCCCGGTGCCGCTCCCCTATGGCCCCCACCCCAGGGCTAGCCTGTCTTGGAGAAGGGTGACATTGAGGCTCTGTACCCTGCACCCTGGCCTTCTCGAGGCAGAGGTCAGGTCTGCCGGGGGAAGGAGCCCACGTGCCAGCTCGGGCCTGGAAACGTGAGTCTCCACAGATTCCACCAGCCTGCGGGAACGGCTAAAAAATTGCTCCCTTCCTTCTCAGCTGCTCCTGGACAGCTCCAGGAGGCCTTTCCGACAAGAGAGCATTGTGTCCCATTGGAGCCCTCCCCTGTCACAAAGGGGGCCTTTCACGGCTGCAACTGGGGAGGGTGGGGACCTCAAGGCCGGCTCGTTAACCAGCTCTGGGCACAGTGGCTGTGGCTCGAGCTACCGCTACCTGGAACGGGCCCTCCTTGGAGACGAACCCTTTATTTGACTTCTAACAGGGAGCTATCCTGAAGGAGGCCAGCTTGTTTGCTGGGAAGAGAAGTGGTTGGCTACTTACTGCAAACAGATGATACAAAAATTCACATATCCCTTCCGGAATAAGGGCTGTGGAGGGATAGATGGGCTTGTGGTGGGAATGATTTTCAGAAAGATTTGCAAGAGATTGATGGCGCTGGTTGTATCTGGGTAGCTGGGTAGTATGCAGAAGGGACAGGAGGGGAAGAAACTTACACTCTATCCCTGTGGACTTAGGCATATTGGACTATGTGAACAAATATCTAATTCAAAAATATCCTCACCTTGCAAAAGGCTAAATATATACTCCCATCTCAGAGAGGGAGGGAGGGTGGGGATGGGAAGTCCTGCTGGCTGCCCCCGGAGGCTGGGCAGGGTGTGTGTGTGTGTGTGTGTGTGCGCGCCTGGATGTGTGTGAGAGAGAAGATCTAAAATGTAATGGTTTCAGCAGAATACGGCCCCGCTGTGTAATTAAACCAAGGGGGCTGTCGGCTCCCAGAGTTTAAGCAATTTCATGTGCATTTGGTGATTATGCCTCTCTCCTTGGATAAAAGTGCTGCTTCTATTTTCACCACACAAAATCATTCCCAGACCAGGATGAAGGATCACCTTCCCTGCCCACCTCAGCATGAGGCTCCCTCCAGCTGGCAATCCCAGAAGGGTGGGCTTCTAGTGGGTGCTGGGAGGGGAGTTCAAAACTCCAGGAACCTCTGCCACTGCCTCGGCAAGAGACAGCATGGCAGCTCCGGGTTCTCTGGACTGATGGGGCCACTGTGTTCTGCGTCATCCAAGGACACACAGGCTCAGCTGAGCCAGTCTTTTATTGCTGGAGGCGTGAGTGTCCGTGCTCTTTGATCCACCGCTCCTCTGCGGTTTCTTCTGTGACCCATGGGTTATTTGGAAGAGTGTTCCTTAATTTCCAAGTCTCTCGGGATTTTTTCCAGATATTTTCTTGTTGATTTCTAACTTAATTCCATTGTGGTCGGGGAACATATTCTGGACATTTAGTCTTTTGCAATGTATTACAACTGTTTTATGTTCCAGCATATGGTCTGTCTTGACGAATGTTTCACATACAGTCACAAAGAGTGAGTTTTCTACACTTGCTGAGTGAGTATTCTATATGTTCTATTAGGTCAAGTGGTCGCTAGTGTTGTTCCAATCTTTTATATTTTTACTGATTTCTTTTGCCTACTTCGATCAACTACTGAGAGGATTTTAACATCTCCAATTATGATGGTTGATTTCTTGGTTTCTCCTTTTTTACTATAAAATTTTGCTTTATGATATTTTCAAGCTCTGTTATTAAGTATATACACATTTAACTATTCACATGGGTTAATATACATACACATGTATATTTATTAATTATAACATTAACAAATATTAATGTTTTATTAATTAATGTGCAATTTTAATGTATTAATTATAACATTATAATAATATATAATTATACAAGTATATAATATAAATAGAAATATATAATACTATATTGATTATGACATTAATAAATATTAATGTTTTATTAATATTAATTAATAATGTATATGTGGATGAAATTATGTATACAGCATATATATACAATATACAATATATGTACATACAGTACACAGACACACATGTAGAGAGAGCTTGCTCCCATCTCTGTGCCCCATTTGCTCAGTTTCTAGCATCTCCTCCTCTCTGCACCCTTCCTGGATAACCAGTTTTATTCTTCTAGGATTACTTCATGCACATAAAAGAAAACGCAACTACAGTGGACCCTGAACAACGTAGGTATGAACTGGTTCAACACGGGTTTGAGTCCACGTATCCATTTATATGTGAATTTTTTTCAACCAAACAAGGATGGAAATACGATGTTCGTGGATGTGAAACCTGCACACACAGAGGGCTGACTGTTGGTATCGTGGGTTCCACAGGGCTGGCTGCAGGACTAGAATATGCACAGATTTGATATATTGAGGGGTCCTGGAACCAAGTCTGCGAGTATAGCAAGGAAAGAGTGTGTATATCTTATTCCTCCTACACAAAAGTTAGTGCGTCATACACACCATTTTGCAGTTTGGCTCTCCCCCTAACAATATACCTTGGTGCTCCTTCCCTGTCAGCCCCCACAGAGCTTCCTCCATCTTGGTGGCAGCTGTGTGATATTTAGTCTACTACCATTTATTTAACCAAGCTCCATTGATGGACATTTGGCTGGTCACACACCCTGGCTGTTACATCCTGTGGCCTCTCTCTGTCCCATCTTCTAGATCGCCTCCACCCTGCTTCCCTTGTCCTCACACCACACTCCAGCCCAGGAACCAGCCAAGTAAAGGGAGTACCCTTTCTCTTTTAGAAGGTGGGGCAAGAGGATGGTGGTGAACATTTTCCTTCTTTCACACACACATGCCTTGGCATTGCGTTTGCCTGCATGCAGCTATGGCCTGCAGCCACTGAAGAATGCTTGCATAAGGAGCTCTTCTCTGCACATACCCCGACACAGTGATGGTATCTTGCAGCTGCTGCTTCTGTCCAAGGCACTGCAGCCTACTCGTCAAAAGCCCGAAGCCCAGCTCTGCCAGCAGTGCACTGTGTGCTCTTAGGTAATCGCCTGGCTTCAGGACAATGGGACAGTAACAGCTAACACTGGGACGGAGGTGCTTATCATGTACCCAGAACTACTCTTAAGAGCATTGCATATTTAGCCTTATTTGCTTAAAACAACATTTTGAGGTCAGTCACATACTTTCTCCACTGTGTCTTTCTGAGTCACAGAGAGGTTAAGTAACTTGTGCAAGGTCACACTGCTCAGCAGAACTAAGACTCAATCTTAGCAATCCAGATCTAGGTTATTATGAGGGTTAAAGGTATCAGTGAGCAGAACGCACTTGGACCCAGTACACAGCAGGTGCTCATTGAAGCTTAGCTCTTGTCATCATGACTTGCCTAAGGAATTGGGATATGGCTGGTCTTGCTTAGGTGGGGAGGAAGGAGAACTGAAAAATACAACCCACACTTAGAAAAGTCTAAGATTCCAATTTACTCTGCCAAATTTTTGAAAGCTCTGGATTCATGGAAGAGGAGGAGGGAGAGCAGCTAAGAGCAGCTCCTGCTGGGATCAGGTGGGAAGTGCTGGGTGGGGTGAGTGAGCCCGGGTCACTCTGTTATTACAAGCCCCGCCCGAGAAGCCTGGCTTCCCGTCTGACCTCCGATCGTGCTAGCACAGGGCTCCGTCAACGTGAAATGTGCAAATGATTTGGCGTCCCCCCTCCCTTGCTTTTCTTTGCAGGAAACAGAGAAGCAAAGAAGTTAGCAAGCTTGTTTTGGCAGAAGAAAAAACACAAAATACCCAACCACAGATCCTCAAAAATATTGCTAAGCACTAATTTTGCTAACATGTTAGACAGCCTTCGGATCTAGGCAATCTTGTTCCTCAGCTGGAAAGAGTTCCTGCCAGCCATGTGATTCCAAATCCACCCTGGACATATGGGGATAATGAGAAAATCAGCTCCGGCCTTCCCTGGCCTTCCAGCCAAGTGAATGGGGGCATCCCCTGGTGCTTCAGCCCGGGGCCCACCCAGAGGATGCTAGCTGGCCTGCAGAGGCCTCAACCATGCCCTCCTGGACTCAGGTAAGACTGAGGTTTCCATGCCCTCAAAACAATTGTTCAGACAAAAACTCACTGCCCAGGTCAAAGTCACAGCACCAGAAAGCCAACCTGAGGATGAAGACAAAGCTCTTTGTTGGCACAGTCCCCTGATCATTCGAGGTCAGCATCTCCATCAAAATGGACCCAATGCTGAGGCAAGAAGGAGAACATCACTGTTAAGAAGGTAATGAGTCACAAATGCTATTTCGATGGTTTTCTTTGAAAGAAATACACAGAACCAAACCAATTTTAATTAAAGATCTTGTCTTTGTAATCAGGCAGCCACAAATGAAGGCAAAACTGCTTTCATGTGGCATAATATACACAGAGCTGAACTAGTTTTCCCATAAAAGGGCAGGTTCTTTTCTTCAAATAAGAAAAGAGTTTGTTCCTAACAATATGGGGGATGCAACAGAAAGCTGTCTTTTGCAAAGTATAAAATTGCAGATCCTCCCGTGGAAGCCATTTCTTGATGCTAAACCAATGCGAACGTTTGCCAAACGCACATGCGAGCCGGGATTATCCTACCCTTTGAGATTAGACATGTGATCCTGATTTTTAAGTGAAAAACGCAGCCAGAGGCCAAATAAACATACCTACAAGTACATCGAAAGCTCAAATGGTTGAGAAATGATTGTAACACACCCCGGTGTGTATTTCTGAGGAAGAATCAACATGCACATGGAAATTGATGTTTTGATTTTTAATTTTAAAACGACGACAGAACTGAAATACCTCCCCTAACTAGGTCCACTGAAACCAGTGAGGAGATAATCATTTTCAGTTAAATATGCATGTAATTTAATAATCCACAGATGGAAAATGCATTTGAGGTGGACTGAACACAGCCAGGAGTTTTTGCTTATCGACAGCACTGAATCCTGCCTTGACTAGAGAGACTCGTCATGTGATCAACTGTGGCCAGAGGGCATCCTGCAGACAGCTCCTGTCACACCACACTGACCAGACTCTTATGAGTATTTAAGCATCTTCAGGGAAGCGATTGACTGTCTTATAATGGTCTTACAAGTACGGAACTTTATTACCTGCTAATAATCAGAGCACATGATGGCACAATAGAATATACGAGTGAAGTTCTAAATGCAAGGTTGTTCTTATTCTGTGAGTGGCAAAACTCATGCAGTGAGCAGATAAAGCTGGCAGGAGGCATTGGCGCCCTAATGCTGGGCACTAACCACCTGCCCGGACTGCGAATATCTGTTGGGTCCTTTCTATATCTGGTCTATTCTCGTGTTTGATTATATCCTGGTGGCAAGAATAGCAAAATCAACTCTCCTTCCTATCCCATGTGGAGAGGCATGATTTGAGTCAGAGAGCATTATCCTCTCTGCGTTATCCAACCCCATGTCCCATGATGCACTTTGTAGACAAGCAAGTGTCCCTGGTGGAGAATCCACAGCCACACATCCTCATTGGTTGCAAGGATCAGTGTCCAATATCTACTGCCATGATCATTCTCAGTTTTACATCCACAGAGCTTCATAGAATTCTAACACCACAGGTCCAAGTAGAGGTTTTGGCCTCAGAGTGGGCTAGATTCCACCTCTGACAGCAGCTGTGGGACTGTTTTTCCATCTGTAAAATGGAGACAAGAGTATCACCTACCTCATGGTGTTGGTGGGATCGTTAAACAGAATTCCGATCATGAAACCCTTAGCCTGCTCCCTGCATAGGCTGCATGCGCTCAGTGAGCTATGGCTCTGTTTCATGCTGACTTTACCATCATGTAAGCAGTTTTAAAAATGCTAGAAGCTTTAGTCATAGAATTACCATATGATACAGCCTACTGCAGAGTCCAGAGGCTGAGGCAGGAGAGTTACTTGAACCTGGGAGGCGGAGGTTGCAGTGAGCCAAGATCGCGCCACTGCACTCCAGCCTGGGCAACAGAGTGAGATTCTGTCTCAACACAAAAAAGAAGACATGTGTCCCCATCACAGTATCATACAGAGTGCTTCCACTGCCCTAAAATACCCTGTGCTCTTCCTATTCATCCCTCTCTTCAACCCCAGCAACCACTGATCCTTTTACCATCTCCATGGTTTTGCCTTTCCCAGAATGTCATATTGTTGGAATCATACGCTATGTAGCCTTTGCAAATGGGCTTCTTTCACCGAGCAATGTGCATTGAAGGTGCCTCTATGACTTTTCAAGGGTTGATAGCTCATTCCTTTTTATTGCTAAATAATATTCCATTGTCTGAATGTACCACATTTTGTTTATCCATTCACCTACTAAAGGACATCTTGGTTGCTTCCAAGTTTGGGCAATTATAAATAAAACTGCTATAAACATTGTGTGCAGGTTTTTTTTTCTAGATGTCAGTTTTTAACTCATTTGGACTATAGAGCACTATTGCTGGATCATATGATACGTGTGTGTTTAGTTTTATGAGAAACTGCCAAACTGTCTTCCAAAGTGGCTGCACCATTTTGCATTCCCACCGTCAATGAATGAGAGCTCCGGTTGTTCCACATCCTCACCAGCATTTGGTGTTGTCATTGTTTTGGATTTTAGCCATTTCATAGGTGTGTAGAGGTAGCTCATTGTTTTAATCTAATAAACATCTTATTGAAGAATAACACACAAGCAGAAAATTTCAGAGATACAAACGAACAGCTTTTTCAACCATCACCCACTGGATACAGTTCTGTATCCAGCACCCAGGCCAAGAAACTGACACTAACGGTGCCCTGTGCCCCCCTCAGGACCTAGATCCACTTCCAATAATTCAGGCTTGTCTTAGGAAATTTGCCTCAGAAAAATAGAGAGAGAGAGAAGTCAAAAGACAGACAATCTCACAGAACAAACGAATGAAGAAATGAATGAAGAATAACAATGTAGAAATTTAAGCTCTTTATGTGTGCACTTATTACTACAAATTCTAGTAATTCTGGAAGCAGATGTTATTTACACAGAAATAAAAACAGAGGCATGCTGATTCCGTTTGACAACAATGGGACCCTCTGAGGCAATGGATTCATTTATTTGTATGAAGGCTGATCTGATAAAATGATTCCCCAGAGCCACGCACAGGATAAGAATTTGGAGTTGCTGGTGCTCCTTTGGCATCTGGCCAGGACTTCCTTGCCCTATGTCACTGGATGGGGGCAGCCATCCAGCCCAACACCCAGCCCGCCATGGGATGGTCTTGTCCTGGCCCCTCGCCTTCATCTGTTCTTTTGGGACTTGCTGGCATTTTGAAAGGGGAGAGTCTGAACCTAAGGAGAGGAGGGGGCTTAACATCTGGCTGAGGATGTCAACCACCGGGGCAGGAAGACAGGACAAGTCATCCAGCCCTGAACCCAGCTGAGAAGCGTCTCTCCGAGGCCAAAATGACAGTGATGAATTTCTGCAGGTGCAGATTTTCAAAGAGCATAGAATCAGGTTTTTACTAGTCTTTAAAGTCAGAAGTCTAGGCCAGGCATGGTGGCTCACGTCTATAATCCCAGCACTTTGGGAGGCCGAGGCTGGTGGATACTTGAGGTCGGGGGTTCGAGACCAGCCTGGCCAACATGGTGAAACCCCATTTCTACTAAAAATACAAAAATTAGCCAGGTGTGGTGGCAGGTGCCTGCAATCCCAGCTACTGGGCAGGCTGAGGCAGGAGAATCACTTGAACCTGGGAGGCAGAGGTTGCAGTGAGCAGAGATGGCGCCACTGCACTCCAGCCAGTAGCCTCTCCCTTTGAATCACAGGTCACATATTTTAAGGCCTGGTGTATTTTATAGATGCAAAGCAGGGGTCCCCACCACCCTGAAGAGTCCAGAGCTTCTCCAAACACACTGAACTTCTTCCCACCTCCAGCCCTGAAATGCCTCCCTACCCGTCTTCCCTTGGCCAACACACCTGACAGGGCACAGCCAAGACACAGACCCCTCGGGACGCCTCTCCAATCCCCTGAGACCAGGCCAGTGGGCTTTCTGTGCTGCCAACAGCCCTGCACCAGGATGTGGCACCATGACCTGCTGTGTAGGTTTCAATTATCCTCAGCTGGAAAACCCTAAGTCACAGTAGCTTAAAGAAGGTAGATTTTGTGTTTTTCTCTTTCACACTAAAGTCTAGAGGAAGGCAGGCCAGGGTGGAGAGATGCGTTTCCCTCCAGCCGTCCAGAGAAGTGGCTTCTTTGTCTGTTGCTCTACCATGTGGGTCCTCTGTCCCCAGGCACCTTCTCAAGACTGGCCACTTCAGCTTCAGCCCTCCCATCTGCATTCCAGCCAGCAGGAGAGAGGACCACTGAGAGGAAAGGACCCAGGGGCTTGGGCCCACTGTGTTTCTTTTGTTTGTTTTTGAAGGAAGGGCCCCCCACACCCTGCATAGTTTTGTTAACCAGGGTGCAATCACATGGCCACAGCTAGCTGCAAGGGAGGCAGGAAGTGCAGTTTCATGCCTGGGTGGCCACACCCCCGACTAAACACGGGGCTTTATTAATGTGGAGGTGACAGCAGACAAGACGGAAAGCCACGGTCCTGGCCACACCATTCATGCACTCCTAGGGTGCAGCTCAGTGCCAGAATTGTCAGAGGTACTCGGTAAACGAGTGATGCTCGAATGAGTGAATGAATGAATGAACTGCCAGGTGGAGCCACTCAGACGTGGGGCTTCTTTCTGGACGGGGTCTCGCGGGACTGTGGGCCTTTGCGAAGCAGCCCCAGGGGGCCATGTTCTGACTGGAGTGCGTGAGGAGGGCTTTGGCCGCTTTAACAGAAGCCTGGGGGGTCAGAGGCATGAGGAGGCCTCCAGGGAGGGATGATTCATCCCCCAGTCTTTGCCTCTCCCATCCTGAGCATCCAGTCACCCTCTGACTTCTGCAGTCCTGGCTCTGCCCAGAGTGTCAGCAGGTAAGCCCACCCTGTGGTCTGCATTTCATTGATCCTGTGTCACGGGGGCCCCGCTTTGCAGACAGCTATGCATTTCATTGATCCTGTGTCACGGGGGCCCCGCTTTGCAGACAGCTATGCAGTAGGATCATCTTTTACGACCCAATTAGCAGCAGAGCCCCCAGACGATGGGGAGACTTGAGGCCGTTACAGTGGAGGTCAAGCGGCTTGGTATCTGGAAAGAAGGAAAGAAAGAGACAAGGGGAGAAGGGAGGGGAGGGTGACTCGATGCCCTTGCAGGGCGAGAGGAGGGATGCTCCTGAACTTGGCCAGACCAAGAATGGAAGAGGCAGGAAAGTTGGGAGCCACCCACACACTTCCTCCATATGCCATTGCAGCTCTGGCTCCTTAAGCTCTCCTTGGGGCCTCAACATGCTAAGGACTCACATTCCTCTTCCCCTGACAAGAAAATGGGAAGGGGTCTTTGTCTACATCCTCCATCCCCAGCAAGGGCAGCAGGGAAGGAAGTCTCCTGAGAGCTGAAAGGGACTTTGAAGCTCCCATGCCCAACCTTCTCTTTTGACAGAAGGGGAAACTGAGGCACACAGTGAGGTCCCAGGAGAGGTGGGGTTAGATGCACGACCTCTTAACTTCCTAGTCACTGATGGAAATTATTCGGTCCCCCTAGAAGGGCCTGTTTTGAAGGACTTGTCATCTTGCCTCCGTGACGTTTGGACCATGAACAGCATGCAGTACTGGATGTCAGGAATCCACCCCATCGGGAGCTCCATGTACTTTGCTTTATTGTTTCCTCCACCCTGTTTATATCATCACAGGGAATCCTGCGAGGAACCAATCATTCCTCCTTGGGATGAGGAAACGGAAGTACCAATTAGTTGATAAGTAACTTCTCGGAAAAATACCTCCCAACCCTGGGATATCTCACCCTGGCCCACTCTGGAGGCTGGTCTGGCTCCCTAGAGGCACTGGCCACCTACAACATGGTGTTTTTCGTGGCTTTTGCACCCCAGGCAGCTCTTCTTCAGCTGACTACAAGCATTAAGGTCACCAGGAAGGCATCGCCAAGAAAATAAGCTCCTCTGAGTCTCAAAGAACTGAGTGACCTGCCTCCCCCAAAATCATACAGAGAGAGCTGGACTGAGGGAAGTTAGTCAGCCTGGGGTGACACTGTGACTGCAGATACTCCAAACTTCATGTTTTTTTTTTTTTTTTTTTTTTTTTTGAGACCGAGTCTCGCTCTTGTCACCCAGGCTGGATTGCAGTGGCACAGTCTTGGCTCACTGCAACCTCTGCCTCCCAGGCTCAAGCGATTCTCCTGCCTCAGCCTCCGGAATAGCTGGGATTACAGGTGCCCACCATCACACCTCGCCAATTTTTGTATTTTTAGTAGAGACGAGGTTTCACCATCTTGGGCAGGCTCGTCTCAAACTCCTAACCTCACGTGATCCGCCCGCCTCATCCTCCCAAAATGCTGGGATTACAGGCGCGAGCCACCACGCCTGGCCTGATCTTCATATTTAAAATGAAGTGCAGGATTACATGCTGACCACCTTCCTGTGTCCCAAAACCATTATTTTAAAAATTCTAAGTCAAATGCAAAACCTGCTCCAGACCTACAGGTCCAATGTAGCCTCTTCCATCAGTAGCTGATCTGAGACCCCCAGCCCAACACCCCCCATGCTGTTCTCCCCACCGGGGCTGGGGTAGGTCTCCCAGCAAGTCTCCTGGTTTAGGGGGACAGGCTTGTGAACTTGGTCTCTTGCTAATTATCCCTCCCGGTGACTCGGCCTGATAACTGTTACATTTGGAAATAAATGACAAACTTTTCCTACATCTGCTCCAAATTTGCATTTCAGAAATGAGAGCCCCAAGTTATGTGGTATTATATGGCAATCTGGGCCGGGCCTCGGAGTATGCAACTGATTGGATATTTTGCCTAAATCAGAGGAGTTTCAACCTCTTTCCAGGAAATTGAGTGGAACACCAAAACTGACATCCAGTATTAAATATTATATTGGTAGAGCTGTTATGTAGAGTTCTCTGGCATCCAACATCTGGGAGCAAAATTTATAAATGGGGAAACTGAATACCTGGTTGGAATGATGCTCATCAGAGCTGAGAAATTAAAATATTACCGTATACACTCCGAGTCAGGCCGCTTGTAAAGGTAGAGCTATTAAAATATGATTAGCTGAGCTGTATTTTGTCTCAGAAATGTCATACACCTTTAAAGTTGAGAAGACTTTGATGCAAATACCCTGGCAAAGGCTCTGCCCAGTCAGCAGCCATGGCGTCGAGAATGTTCTCTGCAAATATACAGTCTCACCAAGTGAGAAGAGAGCCCGCGGGAACCGCCTTGAGCGGCAGGACTCCTGTGGCTGCTGGGATACCCAGCACCTGTGATTTAGTCCGGCCGGGCTTACCAGCGTCTCACTGTGGGACATTTCAGGCCAGAGCAGGTTCACTGAATTGTGGGACCAGGGAGGACTTGCTGCAAAATTTAACTGTGCACCAAAAATCTTGAGAAATGATACTTTAGAATAATATTTTAAAAAACCAAACCGGCAAACTGCTGCTTGCTGCCACTGGCTAGCCTGTTATGAGGAAGAAAGTTTTATTGAAACCAGGGCCAGGATTAGAGGATGGCCAGCAAGGCAGGGTTCTACAAGGCCAGGGTCAGATTCTGTCTTTATTTACAATTTTAATATTTTTAAATATTTTGTTCATTAGCGTTCTCTGGTATTAACGTTATCTTTAAAAAGTGTCACATTCAAGACCAGCCTGGCCAACATGTCGAAACCCCTTCTCTACTAAAACAGGCATGGTGGTGCACGCATTTACAGGCAGCTACTCTCAGCTACTCAGGAGGCTGAGGCAGGAGAATCAGTTGAACCTCGAAGACAGGGGTTGTGGTGAGCCAAGATCATGCCACCGCACTCCAGTCTGGGTGACAGAGCAAGACTCTGTCTCAAAAAAAAAAGATATTATCTTGATCATTTGGTTTTTGGGCATCCATTATTCAATTTTGTGCCAGAGACAAATGCCTCTTGGGTCTCACCCTAGTCCTGGCTTTGGCCAGGGAGCAGTTTGCATCATGCATGCCCATCCCCATTCCCCAGCTGAGGTCTCCAGGTTCTCAAGCTCGACCCGTTGTTACTTACAGACCCTAACTCCCTCTCTGCTGCATTGAACAGAGCTGGGACCTCCCTCTCACTGCAGGTAGGAAAATAAGCTTTGCAGTGTGTGGGGCTGGGGCGGCAGCCTCTTGGCCAGGCCCCACTAGAATTCCCTGCCCCCCTCACGGTGACTGTGCTCAGAATCCCGCTCCCAGGGATGGTGCGGAGGGTGCACCAAAGGACACACACTCTCAAGGAGAACCTGGGCCCATCCTGGAGGCCATCTGCTCCCTTGTGATCCTGGCTTGAGCGGCTTTCTTGGTGTCCACTGCGGGGACCATTCTAGAGTGCAACTGTTGAAGCAATGCCCCCTTCTCTCCCAGGCCAGTGGAGGACTCTGGGTGCTGATCGCTGCTGGCTTTTGGGGACCCATAGCCCAAGGCCTTGGGAGTCGTGCTCTGCAGCCTATGGCATTCCTGGAAAGTCAGCATTGGTCTTGACAATGACCTAGGCTGACTCTGCAGGATGGGGAGGGTGTCCTAGACCTGGTGGACGGCAGAACAAGGCCCCGCCATCATACACTGCTGTGTCTGGGCAGGTTGCAGCACAGCTCCTCCAGCCTCCATTACCTTGTCTGCAACTGGGTGGGTGGTAAAACTTGCCCAGCCTATGTATGCCCTTGGGTTTCAGCTTGGTGAAGGTGCCCAGCTCCGAAGGATGTACACAAATCAAAGATCCACATTGTCTTGCAGAAATGGGGTCAAAGATGCTAAGCGTCTTCTCCAAGATCATACAGCTAGTGAGTGGGGGTGACTCCTCAAGAAATCCCAGCATAGGTCTCCTCCTTCTTCTAAGTTAGTGTTTCTCCAACTGGAGCCTCACTCGGGATACGCCAGGGGTCTTGCTAGAGCAAACGGTCAGGTCCTCCTCCCAAACTTCCTGGGTGGGTAAGTCTGGAATAGAACCCAGGAATTTGCTTTCCTAACAAGTTCCCGGGTGAGGCTGGATGATCCTGGGACCTCTCATTGGAAATGTTCTTCTAAGGGTGATTGGGGAGGGGCAGTAAGGGGGAGAAAGCCCAGGGTGAGAGCAGGGAAGGCAGTTACCAGACTGTGTCCCCTCCTTTGCAAGGGATACTTCTAAGGCCAGGGAGGGGCAACTGGCCAAGCAGTGTTTCCCCGGCGCTGGCCCTGCCTGCTGTGCAAGAAGCTGCTTTGAAAGGCTGATTCCCGGGCTCCTTCGCAGATCTGCTGACATGGAAGTGGGATGAGGGCATGAACACTCATCTGTGACCCCCTCCCAGGTAATGCTAATGCCCACAATCGCGAACTGGCCACAGTTCTCACCCAGGCTCCTCTCAGCAACACGAAGAGCAGGGCAGGGCCACTATAAGATACCAGTTCCTGAGCCCCCACCCCAGGGCCATTTGAACCTGTGCTCCTGGGGCTACCTTAGGCATCTCTAGCTTGTCGGGTGCTCTGGATCATTCTAACGCATCACCAGGATTGAGAAAGTTTAGGCTAGAGCGTTCTTTTTTTTTTTTTTCCCTGAGCAGCGATCCACTTAGAGAAAATGAACCACGCTGGGTTGAGCTTCCCAAGGACAAACTAAGGGAAGACAGTTGGTGATAGCTGGTGAACAGCAGCTGGGCGGACAGCCATGTGAAAGGCGGGCAGATTTAAAGAGTCATCGAAGAAAGTTATATCTGGGGACATGGGGCGAGGCACCGTTATTCTGCAGAGTTGGTTTTCTCTTCAAACCACTGAGGCCTGGAATGGGCCCAGATATAATAGAATTGACCATACTGCCCACTTATGATACAGACCACGCAGCCTCGTAAACTGCCTTAGAGACCTATAAACTGAAATAACAGCTCCTCACCCCCACCACCACCCCTTCCCTCCAGGCTATTTGTTTGGCTTGGCCGAAAGCGGAGTTCATGCCTGGCGCTGTTACTACTTCACTGAGTTTTTAGGGTGACTCACCTCTGCGTTGCAAGTTTCCCCTCGCTGCCTGCGAAAGAAACCTCTCTGACGTCTGCGCTGCCGCTGAGGTTCGTCAGGGCGGTCGGAGGCCTTGGGTCCGATGGAGGCTGCTGTCTCTGGGCTCAGGCCGCTCGGAGGGCAGTCTCGTCGTCCTGGGGGCCTTGGCCTTCTGTGTGAGGCACACAGTATCAGTTTCAGGGGTGGGTGTTGGGTCAGAGGGTGGGATCCTCAAGTTCTGGAGGGTCTGCAGTCACCCGGGGCACTGCTTCTGGCTGAACCTGAGCACGGCATTTGGCCAGGTCGTGAGTTTTGCTCAGCAGAGCACGAGGAGGAAGGAGAATGCTGTTAACCTCAACCACTGGGCAAAATGGGGCTCCTCAAGTGTGGGGCAAGACAGCCTTGGCTGAAATCTGAGCTCGCACAAAGACCTGCTGAGTGTCCTTGGATAAATTACTTAAAGGAAACAAAACAAAACAAACAAAAAAACTTTCACCGTGCCTCAGTTTCCCCATCTGTAAAATGGAAATGATAACCATAGTGCCACATAGGCTTGTTTTTAAGTATAAAATGAAGTCAGCCATGGAGAGCAGTCCTGCAACAGAAAGTATTCACTCTACCAGTACATCCTTCCATGCCTCTATCCACCCCTAAACCCATGTTTTATTTTTATCTTTTATTTCATTATTATGATGATGATGATTATTTGTTATTGTTTGCAGGCATCAGGTTTCACCTCTGGAGCCCAACTAATGTAACCCAAAAGCCTCTGTTTAAGGTTTCAACAGTGCACATTTGGAGCTCCCTGTGGAAATGCAACTGTCTCCTGGCAACACGATGGGGAGACTCAGAACCTGGCAATTTCTAGGTGGATAAAAAGAAGGAGGGATGAGAGGACACTCCAGGGAAAGGGAGCTGCACAGGCAGAGGTGCTTTCTTGAAGGTCTGAACTTGTTAAGGGCAGAGGCTGAATCACTAATCCATTTGTTCACCCATCCATACATTCACCCACCCATCTATCTACCCATCCATGCACTCACTCACCTGCCCATCCACCGTTTCATCTACCCATTCATTCATCCATTCACACACCCACCCACCCATTCATCCATTCACTCACCCACCCACCCACCTGCCCCCCACTATTCCATCTACCCTTTCATTCATCCATCCACACACCCACCCACCCATTTATCCATTCACTCATCCACCCACCCACCTGCCCATCCACCATTCCATCCACCCATCCATTCATCCATCCACACACCCACCCACTCATTTATCCATTCACTCACCCACCATCCACCCATTCATTCATCCATCTGTGCAAACAGCATTCATTCAGTGCATCATGATTAGAAGTCACCATATGCCCCTCATTTAATTCCCACAACGGTTCTCCAAGAACTATTATTACTTTCTTTGGATGTGTGCAGAAGCTGAGGCATAGCAACTCGTTGAGTGTCATATGACTCTGACTGGCAGTGCTAGGATTTGACCTATCAGGCTCATGGACGTCCCCACACCAATGCTTGTGGCTGTTCCCCTCCTCCTTTGAGAATGACTTGGCATTTCCAAATGGAGAACAGAAGTGGGTGATGCCTCCATCACTTGTGTGATAGTGTCCTCAGAGTGTGATATCATTGCCCCCTGAAGAGTGTTGGAGAGCCCCGCCACAAGCCCGGGAGTTTCCTTCCTAGGGAGGTGGGGTTTGGACTTAGGATGGCCTCAGGGGTCCCACCGGCATTGGGATCCAGGGAGGTCAATTTTGAGGCTGGGTTCAGGGCCTTTTCCTGGAAGGAGCATGTCCCACCCGTCAGTCTTGAGTAGTGATGTCTGGAAACAAAACCGCATTTCCTGTGTTTATCAAAGCTGTTATGTAGGATGAGCAAAGACCTAGGTCACCCTGGTCTGGGCATATTCCAAGCAACCAGCCATCCCAGGAAGTAATTTGGGGGTGGTAATGGAGGATTCGACGTGAAGGTGCTGGGGTAGGGGCTAAATCAGAGGCACCCTTGGGACCATTTGTGTTTGACTATCTAAAATGATGGAAGGCAGGTAAAGAATGATGCTGCCCTCTACTCCTTTAGGGAAGTGAGGAAGGAGGCTCACCCTTGATAGGACTGAGTGCAAAAGTGGAGTTCAGCTCCTGCAGGGCCTGCACATTATATAATGAGAGTGAGACCAACCACTATCATCATCACTGTCACTGTCAACACCACCATCATCATCATCATCATTGCCACCATCAACATCATCATCACCATCACTACCAACATCATCATCATCACCATCACCATTATCACCACCACCACCATCATCACCATCACTACCACCATTATCACCACCACCATCACCATCACCACGATCATTATCATTGTTACCACCAGCACCACCATCACCATCATCACCATCACCACCACCATCACCATCATCATCATCACCACCACCACCACCATCACCATCACCACCATCACCATCATTACCATCACCACCACCATCACCATCATTACCATCACCATCACCACCATCACCATCACCACCACCATCACCATCATTACCATCACCATCATCATTATCACCACCACCACAACCATCATCATCATCACCATCACCACTATCACCATCATCGTCATCACCAGCACCAGCACCATCACCATCATCACCATCACCACCGCCAGCACCATCACCACCATCACTATCACCATTTTCACCACCACCACCATCATCACCATCACCACCACCACCATCATCACCATCACCACCACCACCACCATCATCACCATCACCAACATTATCACCACCACCATTACTGTCATCTTTGTGGGGCAAGCTGCCCAGCAGTGGGTAAAGAGTCTGTATCCCTTTAAGAATCTGCCTCTGCCCTCTCTGGGGCTGCCCCTCTAAGCCATCCTTGGCGGTCCAGTCTGGCCCTCCCACTGTAGCCATGCAGGCCACCAGAACGACGGTCCCAGTATTAACCCTGGGCCAGCCCTGTACCTTCAGGGTGCACACATGGGGGCCCTGAGCCCCATCCACATTGCCCTCTTGGTTTAACCAAAGCCCAAGAGAAGTCTTAAAACATGTCTTGACCATTTTCTGGGTCTGGGCAGGGTCCAAACTAAATCCCAAAGACCCACAGGGCGAAGGAGGAGAGGAGGTGGGGAGCTCACCCTTCCAGCCCTCCCAGCTGCTGCCTGGAGCCACTCTGTGGGAAAGGCAGCCCAATCCTCCATGGACTGATGCTGCTGGCCCCTGCGTCTGTGGGTTGAGGGTGACCGATCTCAGCCTAAGGCAGCAAATGACAAACGTGACTGCGTCAGCAGCACCAGAGGATGCTGGCAAACACAGATGCTGGGCCTTCCTCCACTTCACCCCCCACATCCCTCACCCCTGGGGTTTCATGATGTCTGGGGTGACAACTGAGGGTCTGAGTTCCCAGCAAGTTCCCAAGTGACGCCATTGCTGCAGGTCTGGACCCTGAGAGCCACCCTGCTAGTGACTTACCCAGCAGTCTTTCTTAATGGCATCTTGGCCCAGGGAGTCCTGCATATAGGTGTGTAGGTAACTCACTGGGGCCCCCAGTCACTGTAACAAACAAAGCCCTCCCTTATACATTTCTAAATGGGGAGCCACAGAAAGCTCTTTTGAGAATATAACCCAGGCTTCCAGCTTCCACCTGGGCTCAGCTCCTGGCTGACAGCCGGCCCTAACCCACCAGCATGTACTGAGCCATCTTGGAGGTGGGTCCTCCAGCCTCCATTAAAGCCGCCTCAGCTGACACCCAGTGGAGTAAAGACTAGTCTTCCTCGCTGAGCCCCAGCCTCAGCTTCTCATCTGTAAAATGGGCCCGCGAACACGATATCAAATGTGGGTAAAATGCCCTGCATGCACCACATTCTGGAGGTAAGCATGGACAGTGTTATGCGGACGGCAGCTGCCTGTTGGGCAGGCAGGCCCTCCCTCCCTCCTTTCCTTGAAACTTGCTGGCCCCTCACCGTGAGTTCTCAGCCCTGTTTCTGGCATCATAAAAGACAGTCTTTCCGTGAGCAAGCTTCTATCCATGGCAGCTGGTCAAGAAACTTCCTCTGCTCCCCACCCCCAGCCCTTCCTCACGGAGATCCAGCCAAAATGGCTGCTGAGCAGGGCATGGAACAGCATCATGGCTGCCAAGTTGGCCCTGAACCCCCATCACCAGGCCCTGCACACTGATGGCCTGGTGGAGAGGTTGGGCATGGGACCTCGTGGGGGACGTGGCAGCAGCCGGTGGGGGTGGGGAGGGCTAAGTGGGGAGGAGAGACGTGCATGAATAATCTGGTGACCTTTCGTCTTCTGTGTTTGGGCGAACCTAAGACTGTTTACAATAAACCTCAGGGAGATTTTTCATCCATCCAAATGGAACAAAGGTTATGTAAGCAGAAAGACCTCAGGCTCAGCAAACACCTGCTCCAAGGGGCCAAACGGAGGGAGTGCAGGAGAGATGGAGGCCCTTGGTTGACTCATGATCAAGTTCATCATAACAGCGGTTTTATGGAGCTGGAAGGCTGCTGGGAAAGACCGTGAGCACTTCCTGGGGCTTAATCGACCAGGCCACACGCAAGGGAGGGGCCCCAGGGCCCCTGCATCCGCACACATTAAAAGGAGCACACAGCCTGGGACCCCCAAGGGGCTGCCCAACCCTAGCTTTTATTTCAAAGTTACTCTGGGTGTCTTCTCTTTAAAAGCCTGCCTTTGCCGTGGCTGTGAAACTCATGAGCACCCAACGCTTCAAGCCAGGGGCCTGCATATATTTTGGATGATAGCAAGCAGGAAAGCAGGTCTAATCAGGAATAAAAATCTGAGAGCAATTCATCCCCTTGTTATTGTCTTTCTGCTTTATGCCATCCTTGATGACTTCTAGGGAGCAATTCTGCACCCAGCAATGTTTACTTAAAGAGGTTGATCTTCCATCTTTGGGTTTTGGTGTATTTGGCTTATAAGATAGACCATTTCTGAAAATGTGAGATAAACAGTCCATGTGTTCATACAGTCTGTGGAATTATTTATTGAAGACCTTGGCTGGTTAGCAACTGTACCCACTAATGATTTGGTAAGTGTGGCTTAAGCCTACTTGCCAGGGGTTGGGGGGGATTGATTCTTCTTCACCATTTCCCAAATAGGGACACAGGCTTGGTTGTTTGGGAATTATCTTGACATCTAGCTTACACAGTATGAGGCCAGAAAGAAGAGAGGTTATGGTTTGTCCAAATGTCTGCCTCTCATTTTCAGATTCTCTGTTAGTATTTGACAGATTATATTTTCCAAAATAGCTGCAACAAGATCTTCCATCCCAAGGTCTTCTTAAAATGCCTCATCTGGAGGAGGAGCTGTATGTTTCCTTCTGCTTGAATCTCAGCGGGCCTATGACTACAGGCAAAAGTGCAGCTATGTGACTTCCCAGAGCAGGTACCAAAAGGACACACAACTTCTGCCTGGTCCTGTTGGAAACACTCATTCTGAAAACCTATCCTTCTTGTGGTGAGGAAGCCCTAGAGGAGCCAAGGCTCCCAGCTGACATTCAGCACCAACTGGCCAGCCATGTGCTGTGCCATTTTGGAAGTGGACCCTCCAGCCCCAGGCATTCTACCTCTGCTCATGCCCATTTGAGTAGAGATGAACCTTCTTGCTGAGCCCTGCCCACAGTACAGATTTGTGAGCTAAATAAGCAATGGCTGTTTTACATCACTAAGTTTGGGGCTCACTAAGGTCACTAAGATTTGTTACATGATACAGGTATTTCAAATGAAAGCATAAAAATAACAGCCCTAACTATCATTCAGAGAGCACTCCCTACCTACCAGTCACAAAGACACAAGCTTTGCATGCATGACCTCATTCATGCTCACTGACACCCAAAGGGGCAGATGCTGCTCTTTTCTCCACTTTTATAGAAGGAGGAAGCTGAGATTCAGAGACATTAATCCACTTGCCCAAGAGCACATGGCTAGGAAGTGGAAGAGCTAGGTCTGTAGCACAGGCAGTCCAAGTCAGAAACCAGTGGGCTTCCTCTCTCTACTCAGCCATCAGTTGGTGACCTGAGGGCTAAAATCTCCCTTAGTCTTCAGTTCTGCTCTCTCCCTGCAATATGGCTTCCACGGACCTTTCAGAAGGTCCCCTAAGTTGTTCACCATTACTCACAATCCAGTCACAGGCCAGGAGACTGCCCCCGCCAGATCCCACTCAGGCCCCCCGCCAAACCCTTGCTTCTGGTGTGTTCCCAGCCCAGAATAGCCTCCCTTTGTAGGAAAACTGCCCGTCCAAAGAGGCCCACTTCACAGGCCAACTGGTCTTCGAAGCCTCTCCTGGTGTTGGAAATGGTTACATCCCACAGAGCTCCGAAACTGGGGAAGACCTGAGATAGCTACCTTTGGGGGAACACCCTGGACTATAACCTGCCCGAAGGTCCCCTTACTTTGCTTCATCTGACTTCCCATCCTCCTGACTTACGCCTCTAGCAGGAGCCCTGTGGTTGGAAAGCTCTTTGATGGTCCTTCTACTAGTCCCAAAGCCCGTGTACTGCTTGCCGGTGTTGGCCTGCATGTCTCAGCATTGGCAAAGCCACACCCATGTAATGTCACCTGCAACCTGCTGGCCATTCCCACATCCATTTTCCCTGTCTTTCATTGCAATAGGACCCCCTGCCCCCAACGCCGTAGATTTAGCTGGCACATGACCTCTGAGAATAAACACGACATTTTTTTTTGAGATGGAATCTCACTCTGTCACCCAGGCTGGAGTGCAGTGGCGCGATCTTAGCTCACTGCAAGCTCTGCCTCCCAGGTTCATGCCATTCTCCTGCCTCAGCTGCCCGAGTAGCTGGGACTACAGGTGCTCACCACACCCGGCTAATTTTTTTTTTTTTTTTTTTTTTTGGATTTTTAGTAGAGACAGTGTTTCACTGTGTTAGCCAGGATGGTCTCGATCTCCTGACCTTGTGATCCTCCTGCCTCGGCCTCCCAAAGTGCTGGGCTATTGATATTATTGATTTAATTCTCACATCGACTCTATGAGGATACTGTCGCTATTTTTCCTATTTTTCAGATGATGAAACTGAGGCTCAGAGAGGTTAGGACACTTGTCAAATGTCACATAGCCGGGAGGAGACAGAGCCTGACCCAAACTCAGACACGTTGGAATCCACAACTCATGCTCTGAGCCCTGTTTTATCGGCTGGCGGAGGAGCCCAGGGGTGAGGACGGAGGGATAGGCTCACACCATTGAGCTGCTGCTTCCCAGCACAGGGACCTGCACAGGAGACTGCTCTGGTATCATATTCAAGGCACTGCTGGACTCTGAGTGTGATGTGCCAGGAAATGCCTGCATGTGAAAGCGGCTGCCCACGTGCCCCCTTCACTTCTTTGCCCACTCTGCTTTCTACTGTACCCTGGCACCAACCCCAAGGCTTAGCACGCTGGCGCTGAGCCAGGTGTTCTTGTGCCCAGCACGGGGGCTCCGTCCCTTACAGCTGCCATTTTCACTTCATCCCGACAGCCGCTTCCTCTTCCCGGCTGATTGAGCCCAGCACTACACTGCCCACGGAGCTAAAGCATCTGAGCGATGTGAGTGTTTATCCTCTCGGTTATCCAAGGATGCATATTCTTCATGTTCATACATAGCTAGAAAAATCAGATAAGCAAGTTGAAAAAGAGATTTTGAGTAATCCCAGCATTCAGAGGTACATGTTATAAATATTCAAACGTCCTTCATTCGTGTCTTTGACGTGCCTTTTTGTTTTTCTGTTTTGAGACAGGATTTCACTCTGTTGCCCAGGCTGGAGTACAGTGGCTCACTGCAGCCTTGACCTCCTAGGCTCAAGTGATCCTCCTGCCTCAGCCTCTCAAGTAGCTGGGGCTACAGGTGTGTACCGCCACGCTCAGCTAAGTTTGTATTTTTTCATTTTATTTTTACAGATGGGGTTTTGTCCTGTTGCCCAGGCTGGTCTGTAACTCCTGGTCTCAAATGATCCTCCTGCCCTGGCCTCCCAAAGTGCTGGGATCGCAGGTGTGAGCCACTGCGCCCGGCCTTGCTGTGTCTTTAGAAACATGTTTTGCTGCATTTATTTAGCCTTTACTCTCCTTAAAGCTTTATGTTTATTATCTTATTCTCTCTTTGCACAGTTCTATCAGGTTTGCATTGCCACATCCCCATTTTATTGAACCGAGGTGAAGTAACTTGTTCAAAGTCACATAGTGAGTGATCGGGTTGTAGTTTATACTTAGCTAGCCTGATTGCAGAATCTGTATTCTTACCCCACACTCTTTCTCACACACACACATGCACGTGCATGCATGCACACTGAAAAAGTGGTGAAGCTAGGCTCAACTTCGATAATTTTTTGTGTAGCAATAGAGCAGAAGTGTATTTCCATTTCACAAAGCAGAAGACACTTGCATTTCCAGTCTCTGACTAGGAGCTAGGATTGTGTTTGCTCAGTCCCTTAGCTTTGGATATCCAGATAAACATCACTGCATAAAACGTCTTAGAGTTGAATCTCTTTGCGCACATCTTTAATTATTTCCTTTCTATAAATCCCTAGCAGTGAGGAAGCCAAGTCACTGTTTATTCATACTTGCAGTTTTGGTAGATATTGCTAAATCAACTTCCAAAAAAGCTGAACAAATTTCCACTTTCACAGGTTACATTTGAGCAGGATCGATGGGGTTTTGAAAAATCTTTCTTAACTAGGACTCTGGTATCTTACAGGCTTTTTTGGCCACTGAGACCCTGATGATGTTCCAAGTGGAATATTCCAATTCTCCAGGAAGCCAAGCCAGCAGGCTGGGATGCCTGGAAAGGAAGGAAGGAGAAGGGAGGGGAGGGCGACGAGGCAGTTAAATGCTGCACAGACTTCTTGAGAAAGATTCTTCCCTAGGATTCATTTGCTGTGTGTTTGGTCTTCCAAATTATTCCTGCATGAGTCTAGCATTTATAAGGAAGAGAGAGAATTTACCCTGTCAGTGTTTGGAATTAATTATATCTGAGAGCACCAGAAGATCTGTCTTAAGGCTTTAAAGATGATTTCATAGAGGAGTGTCTAAGGGACGGAACATGAACTCACGCAATGTTCCCACTTAGTCAGAGCAGGGCAGGCAGAGGGGATTCATCAAAATGCCTGCCTCCTTTGGCTAGGACCCCATCGCACACCTCCCTGAGTCATTCTTATGTCGCCCCAGAGGCTCACCGACGATGTGGGCGCAAAATAAAAAGGGTTTCCAAATTGCTCCTTGGAACAGGCAAGTGGAAGACAATGTGGTACACAGAAAGAACCCGGGCTTGGGAGGAAACGCAGAATCCCATCTGTGTCTTTCTGGCTCAGGGACTGTGGGTGAGGTCCCACATGTCAGTTACCTACTTTGCAGGGCTGTAAAGATGAGCAGGAGCTGGCTGCAAGATGCCTGGGATGCTCACCATTGGTGCTCATGCTAATTTTTATCCTAAAATCAAGAAAGGAACAAATAAGTTCCCTAACTGATCTTCATCAGCTACAGATGAAGATATTAACTTCAGTGTTGCACGGCCCCTTTACTGTGTAATCCAGGATCTTCCCCCCAATCTCATAAAACCTCCCCATTTTACAGATGAGGCAACTCCAGACACAGACCTGCTAAAACCCCAAGCCCATACTCTGTCTGGAGAGACCCCGTCCCTGCAAAAAGCCATGTAACAAAATGAAAATTCGAGGCTGGGAGGAGTGGCTCCCGCCTGTAATCTCAGCAATTTGGGAGGCTAAGGCGGATGGATCACTTGAGGCCAAGAGTTTGAGACCAGCCTGGCCAACATGGTGAAACCCTGTCTCTACTAGAAATACAAAAATTTAGCTGTGTGTGGTGGTGGATGCCTGTAATTTTAGCTACGCAGGAGACTGAGGCAGGAGAATCATTTGAACCTGGGAGGTGGAGGTTGCAGTGAGCTGAGATTGAGCCACTGCACTCCAGCCTGGGTGAGAGACTCTGCCTCAAAAAGAAGAAAGAGAAGGAAAGAAAGAAAGAAAGGAGGGAGGGAAGGAAGGAAGGAGAGGGAGAGAGAGAGAGGAAAGAAGGAAGGAAGGAAGGAAAAGGAGGGAGGGAGGGAGGAAAGATGAGGGAAGGAAGACAGCAAGGAAGGAAGGAAGACAGAAAGAAAGAGAGAGACGAAGAAAGAAAGAAACGAAGAAAGAAAGAGGAAGGAAGGAAGAAAGAATGAGAGAGAGAAAGAAAAATAAGAAAGAAAGAAAGAAAGAAAAAGAAAGAAGGAAGGAAGGAAAGAAAGAAAGAAAGAAAGAAAGAAAGAAAGAAAGAAAGAAAGAAAGAAAGAAAGAAAGAAAATGAAAATTCACTTTCAGCTGAATTTTGTGGAGTGGAGGAATGAGTGGGGAGGCAGAGTGGGGGGCCAGCAGCTCTGCAGATCAGCCCCTGGAGATGCACCAGGACAGCCTGAGCCCTGCTGGAGGACAGCGTCTGACTGCAGGGGTTCCTTTTAAGAAAAGCAACCAGAGGGCACATTTCTTTGAGGCCGTATCGTGTTGGGCAAAACTATGAAATGCTTATTAACGTTTGAAATTTCATAATTATTTTTGATTAAAAAAGATGTTCTGCAAAGCGATGTCTGTTTCCCATAACTGGCGAGCGTTCCCCAGATGGCCATTCAGCCACCTCAAGAATTAATGTTTTCATGACCCACGACCGCTTTTTCGTGGAGGAGTGTCTCTCCTACAGGTTGCTCCCCAGGATGAGAACAATAAAAGCAAATCTATAACAGCAAAGGCCCGAGGTTAATGTCTTTAACAAGATAATGTTACTTAAGGGAACTGTAACGCAAATCATTCTGAAATTCCATATATTCGCTGCAGCTCCGAAACCAGCTGCACGTGCTGCCGGCGTGTCTGGCCATGGAAAGGCTTGCTTTGTAAGTTACTTATTTTGCTCATGTGTCAGCCTGTTAGTTTAATACTGTAATCACTCAAAATCCCCGTAAGATGTGCGGAAGGTCGTGGATGTGGCTGCGGAAGTTCTTGCACGTCAAGCTGTGTGCTGCCTGCTGTGTTTCCCAGATTCATTGATGCTGATGATCCAGTGGAAGTGAGGCCTTCCCAGGGTGGCTTTCCCCTGCACGAGTGTGAGGTGACACAGGCGCCCACTGAGCTCGCGTTATCATGGTAGGGAATCTGAGCATGACAACCAAAATATTCAGCTCACCAAGCAGATGTTTTGGCTATGCAGTGCCAAACATCTGGCCCTTTGGAAACGGGGAGGGTTGATGGAAATCTTCAGGTTTAATCTAGATTTTGGCATCAGGTAAACACAGGCTCACACTCTGGTAGGTAAATTCAACTTATCACGGATGTGATATTTCTTGAAATCATATGTACTCAACTCAAACCACGCTCATCAGAGCAAAATCTCAGTCACTGAGCAGAAGAGTACGGGAAAGGAGAGAGCTGTTTAAATGTTCGTGCTGTGAGCAGAAACACATCACCGTGCTTTCCTGGCACCCACGTCACCATGACTCAGACGTCATGGTAGGCCAAGACAAAAAAACCCACCTCATGTTGGAAAATGTAAATTCAAGCCATGTGGGATAGCGCTGCACACTCACCAGGACGGCTGTAATAAAAGAGATCAGCAAGTGTGCCGAGTAATGGCGGGGACCTGGGGCAGGAAGGACTTACAGCCACCAGGCCATTACAGTGCAGGGTGAGCAGGGCCATTGTGGAGCTGGCACTCAGGATTGGGAGAGGCATAGATGGCCCTAGAGCACAGCCCAGGATCTTTTGGATGCCCGGTTTCAATCGTTGTGTCGTCCCTTTTAAAAACAGTCCAGGGCCGGGCACAG
Organism: Homo sapiens; assembly: GCF_000001405.40. Taxonomy (NCBI): domain Eukaryota; kingdom Metazoa; phylum Chordata; class Mammalia; order Primates; family Hominidae; genus Homo; species Homo sapiens. The sequence goes on along the minus strand of NC_000016.10, from coordinate 86,455,032 downwards.
TGGCTCATGCCTGTAATCTCAGCACTTTGGGAGGCCGAGGTGTGTGGATCACCTAAGGTCAGGAGTTCAAGACCATCCTAGCCAGCATGGCGAAACCCCGTCTCTACTAAAAATACAAAAATTAGCTGGGTGTGGTGGCACGTGCCTGTAATCCCAGCTATTCTGGAGGCTGAAGTAGGAGAATCACTTGGACCCAGGAGGCGGAGGTTTCAGTGAGCCAAGATGGCACCACTGCACTCCAGCCTGGGTGACAGAGTGAGACTCCATCTCAAAACAAAACAAAACAAAACAAAAAACAGCCCAGCAAGCACTGTTGGCTGCCAAACGCATCACTCATGCTTAAGTGCCATCTTCTGTTCCCGCCTCTGCTATCAAGGCAGGGAAGGTGAATGCCCTTTCCCAGCCTTCCTCTTAGCTGGAAAGGCCACAGACTTTGGTTCTGAGTTCTGGCCACTGAGACTTAAGAGACACATGCTAGGGAAACCTCTAGAAAAGCTTCAGCTTTGTGTGTGTGTGTGAGAGAGAGATTGAGAGATTGCTAATGCTGGCCCTTTTTCTCTTTCTCCTTCTGGAATGCAGAGGTACTGTCTGGAGCTGTGGCTGCCATTTTGCAACAAGAGGAAAAGGCAGGAAAATGTTCAAGGTGCTGATTCTCACATCCCCAAGCCCCTGGACCAATGCCAGCAGCCATCTATTTCCAGGAGTCAAATATGAACATATCCTGGATGATTTGGCCCCTCCAAGCCTTGCAGCCTCATCCATTCAGTTTTTTCTCTGGCTCTCTGCCTTTTGGACACATTGACTATCCTAGCCTCTTCAGACACGCTGTTTTTTTCCTCCTCTGCTTTCAACTCCGCATGGGCAGTTTCCCTTCCTGCATAGCATGCTTTTTCTCCCTCCTCCTCTTATTTAAGCTCTCCTCTTTCTTCAGGCATCACCTCCTCCAGAAAACCTTCTCTGGTCTGGCAGATGAGGCCATTTCCTCCAATTGCACACCCTTGTAGCACAATGCACCTCCTGTTCCCTGCTGCAATATTTTGTGGAGTTATTTGGGCCAATGTCTGTCTCCTCTGCTAGATCATGAGTTCCACGGAGGCAAAGGCTGAGCCTGGTTCACTCAAATTGTAGCCTGGAGTGAAGAATAGTGACTGGCACAGAGTAGGCATTCAATACACAGTAGATGAATGAATGAATAAATAACATAAAGCATGTGAAAGACACATAGCAAAAGGTGATGGTAGAAAGTAGATAGAACCCAGGCTGTTCAGAGCCTTCTAGGTCCTGGTGTGGAGCCTGGATATTCCCCTGAGGGTGATGGGGAGGTGGGGGTGGGGGTTGTGAGCAGGGAGATGATGTAATGAGATTTTCCTAGCAATGAGGTTACTCCTTGTATTAGTCTGTTCTCATGCTGTGAATAAAGACATACCCAAGACTGGGTAATCTATAAAGAAATAGAGGTTTAATAGACTCATAGTTCCACGTGGCTGGGGAGGCCTCACAATCATGGTGGAAGGTGAAAGGCACGTCTTTCACCTTACATGGCGGCAGGCAAGAGAGAATGAAAACCAACTGAAAGGGGAAACCCCTTATCAAACCATTAGTTCTCACGAGACTTATACGCTACCATGAGAACAGTATGGGGGAACTGCCCCCATGATTCAATTGTCCCCACTGGATCCCTCCTACAAGACATGAGAATTATGGGAGCTACAATTCAAGATGAGATTTGGGTGGGGACAGAGCCAAACCATATCACCCCTTCTTGGGCCATTTTAGTAGGTGGCAGAACTGCTAAAAAGGCAGATAAGAAAATGTTCTAATTACCCGTGCTTTGTAACAAACCACCCCTAAACTTAGAGGCATAAAGCAGCAATTTTATTTTGCCTATGGATTCTGTGGGTCAAGAATTTGGGCAGGGATCAGCTGGGTGGTTCATTTGCTCTTTGTGGCATCCACTGAAGTCACTCAGAGGCACTCAGGGGGAGTATGGGCTAATCTGGATCCCAAGCAGTTCACTCACATGGCTGGAGCCAGGTGGGGATGAACTGGGACTGTGTACTGGAAGCACCCAGAGTGCCCTCCCCAGCTTGGTGGTCTCAGAGGAGTCAGACATCATACAGGGCACTTGAATTCCCCAAGAAGACCAGGTGGAAGTTCCATGGCTTCTATTCTATGTCCCATTCTATGGAATGAAGCAGTCACAAGCCTACCCAGATTGAATGGGCAGGGTGCAGAATCCATGTCTCAGGGGAGGGATGCAGTAGAATTTTGGAGTCACAATTGAAAACCACCACAGGGAGAAGTTTAGGCATGGGGGCTGCTGAAGTATGTTCTCTTCCCACAGAACCACAGGGCCATGCGGTCACTGGGCCAGCTGACTCAACACAGAGCATGTGTTCCAGCTGTCTCCTTGGCACAGGAGGTGTTCATGTCATCCTGGCTTGTGTTGAGTTTCAGGAGCCAACAATCAAATGGGAAATGAAGTCCCAGGTTTATAGATGGAAAAAGAACCCACAGCCATGCAAGTCTTGCGAGGGGCAGAATGAAGGCAGGAGCTGAATCCTGCACACACCAAGATGAGGTTTTTGTCCCACTTGACCCCGAATCTTGTATGTGCAATGTCTTTCACAAAGCCTCAGGAGCACTATCTGTAAAATGGATGTTTCTTTCACAATCCAGATGGATTTTCATTCTTCCTCGCAAGTGCTTTTGGAGCTGGCTGGGTTGGCCACTAAGTTGGTGGTTAGTCTGTATTTAATGAGGGCTACATTTATCACAACTACAGAGGAGTAGTAATAACAATGATAATAGTTAACATTTATTGAGCACTTCCTACAGGTCAGGTCCTAAGGTTTCTGGCACATATAAAGTCCTTAAATCCACAAGGGAGCCTGGTGGATTTAAGGACTTTCTACATGCAAGAAACTTAGGATGTAGACATAGATATGATTATAAATGATTGGTGAGTTCTCCAGTCATTTAATAGGTGATGTGCCAAGGAAAAGAGATGAAGTGGCTCACTTAAGGATATTGGGAGTAGCAGGGCTGGGCTCCTGCTCAGACATCAGGGCTCCAGAAACCCAGAGAGCTCATCTGTGTATCTCATTATAGACACACCCAAGGGAGAGATTAAACATATTTAATAACAGATGTGGGCGTAGACCAATTAGGATGAACATCAGCTGAAAACAATTGGTACTACGATTTACCGCTCTATGTTCATATCCAAATCCACTTGTGTCCATGAACTTATAACTCTATCTATGTCTATACCCAACTATACCTCTATCTCTCTCAGACTATATCATCCATCTATGCCTGTACCTAGATTCATATCCATCTACCCATATCTGTATCTGTCTATATTTATATCCCTACATGCCTCCATCTCTGTCTACATCATCCATATATGCCAGTACCTATATCCATCTCTAACTATCCATATCTGTATCTGTGTCTATATCTATATCCATCCATACCTGTACCTCTATCTCTGTCTACATCATCCATCTATGCCTGTACCTATATCCGTATCTATCTATCCATATCTGTATCTATGTCTATATCTTATCCATTGATAGCTGTGTCTGTATCCATAACCATCTTAGCATCTATATCCATCTATTTCTATTTATATAAATATCCATCTAAGTTTGAATTCCCCTCAGAGCAGATCCCACAGGGACTTGGTGCAGGGGGTTATTTGGGATATGATCCCAAGAGATGCAGTGGGGAAAGCGAGGCAGGAGAGGGGACAAGCTGAGTCAGGAGCATTGACAAGAGGACGAACACAGTGGGCCACATGGGCTTAGTCCCACTGGAAAGCTCTGGGGGGACCCTGGGAAACATGCCCCAGCCTTGCCTCACTACGGGTTTTTCTCTCAGTTTGGGGTCCCCCAGAAACTGGCCCTGAGATGCAGAGATAATATTTAGGAGGTGGTCCAGACACCAGGCTCATGGGCACAGCAGGGCAGCCCTGATGACAGAAGCAATGCATTTTGGAGATTGGTGTGCAAAACAGCAGGGACAGCAGCCCATAAAGGGTTTGTATTGAGCAGGTTATGTCTGTGGGTGGCTGTGGCTTAATCCTGCTAGGGAAACTCTGGGAGCCTCCCAGAACAGAATTATCCCACCTGGTGGGGAAGGGAGTTGAGGTATTGATACCCCAGCTCCTATGAATCAATGTTTGAGGTCACCTCCTTGGGGTGGGTGTTAGTTCCTTGCTATTTCTGGTCTGGCTCACAGGTGGGAATGGGGTCTCTGGAGGCAGAGAGAGCCCACAGGCCATGAAATGCAGGAGTCGGAATTGGAGTTTGGTTCCCCGTTCACAGAAGAGGTAAGGCTGAGAGGAATTGGGACAGGGAGTACTGACAGTGACTACCTCAGGTTTTTACTCACTGACTCCTCACTGCAGGAATGAGAGCTGCCCTCAGGGATATCCAGTCCCTGCTTCTGCTGGGCTGTCCTGTGTGTGCGCTGATCAGATTCCCCTGGTCAGGAGACACCCTTAGGTGAGGAGCAGAGGCATTTGGGGCCGGAGCTGGGTGGGGGACTGGGTACCTGGGCTGCAAGTATAGTCAGGTGTGTGCGAGCCATCGTGACAACCTCCATTCTGTGTCTAGTTCTGTATCATCAACTAGATCAGTCCAGGCCCAGAAAAAAGAGCAGACGTCAAACCCCATAGGGCTTGTCTGTAGATGCTGTGTCCCAGGCAGTTCTGATTTTCCTCTTTGGGCTCTTAGAAATATTCTGAATTTTCTCCAATCAACATGCATCACTTCTGTAATCAGCGCTGTGCTGCTGTGCCCACGAGCCTGGCTCTATTTTCTGGAGCCTTTGAGGAGAATCTCTAGATCTTCTTGTCTTGTCTGTGCCCAGCTGGTGGCCGAAGCCTGCCCTTCAGCATCTTGGGTCTTGTTTCTCTCATCTTTAAGATGAGGATGTCGATTATAAAGATCCATTATACATTTTAAATTTATTTTCATGCACATGATTCTCAATAACTCCCCAAATTAAAGTTTGAAGGCACCGAAGATTTTAGAACAACAAAAATACTAATGTCAGAAAGTGCAAAATGTCTTCCAAACATCCTAGGCAAACACAAAGCCGTTCTCCACCCGCCCTCCGAGACCAGCCCACGGGTTCTCCTCCCACAAGAAGGGTATTTATAGAGCATTTTCTACCAATTTTCACTAAATCTTGTTTTTGCCTCCCCAACCCACAAAGTACCTGAGGTGTAGAAGTGAATTTATAACAGGAAGCCTTTGATTCTTGAGCCTTTATGTTTTTGAAGGCCTCCAGAGCAGAGCTGTAAAACAGCTGGCTTGTCTTAAAGGAATGTCCCATTCTCCACGCGGGGGTTGGCACCCTGTCTTCCTTAGCAGAGGAGGGGGACGTCTGCGTGCTCAAAGAGAGGAAGCGCCTGCCCCGTGGAGGAAGCGGGTGTCTGGGTGTGAAGGCTCCTCGCAGCCCAGCATCCGTCCCTCCTCCTTGGCCACAGCCTGATCCTGAACTCTGACCACGGGGTGAAACAAGCACAGAGGGGCCTCAGGGCCTGGGGGCCTCTATCCTCAGCCAGCAACCACAGCCGGACAGCCCAGACGTGGGGCTACCTCGAGCATGATGTCCCTGTTAGATCTGGGGTCAGTATGCCTCCGTATCTCTGTTTTTCCATCAGTTTGATGACTGCTTTTATTGTGGTGAAAGTGAAGAAATGTGATCGCATCAAATGCAAGTATTGATGGGTAGAGGCACTTGGATTTCAAAAAGGTTAAAAGGTGCTCAATATGCATCTTAGAACCAAGGAAATTAGATAAACAGAGACTAAGTCCTCAAAGAATTATAGATCTACCCAGAGGGGTTGCCCAGAGAGTCCGAGCTCAACCCGCTGCACCCCCACTTAGGGAGGTGGCTCATACACCTTCCAATGGACTTCCCAGCACCTAGTTGACTCCCCCAAACAGGGCGTCCGCTGTGACCCCCATAAGTGGCCTCAGGGAATCATCCCCCAATAATCTGGGGCCGTGCACTCTCATTGAATCCTCCTACAACGTCATGTGGTCAATGTTCTCATTCCCATTTTATGCTAGAGGAGCCTGAGCCTCAGGGATGTGTAGCTCGAGGTCATAACTAGAAAGTGTGCACTGTCCCTAAAGTGTATGCACTTTAAAGCCAGGTCCGCATCTCGAAATCCTAGTGCTGCACAATGTTCACACTTTTCATCTCGTTTGCTCCCGCCCTGGGTGATGAAGGGGTTTAGTCCAACTCTACGATGGCAGAGTCGAGTAGCTGTGACAGAGACAGTATGGTGACTCACTAAACCCAAAATATTTTGCAGAAGAGGAAACAGCTTCAGAGAGCTTAAACGGCATGTTCAGAGTAAGTGGCAGAAGCAGGGACTCAAGTTCTCACCAGAACAAACTTCAGTCTAGACCAGGGACTGGCAAAATACAGGCCCAATCCAGCCTACCACCTGTTTCTGTAAATAAAGCTTTATTGGAACATAGCCATGTACATTTATTTACGTCTTGTCTCTGGCTGCTTTTCTGCTACAAAGAAGGAGTTGAGTAATTGTGTCAGTGACTGTGTGCCCCACAAGGGCTAAACTATTTACTATGTGGCCTTTTGCAGAAAAAGTTTATGGATCCATGATCTAGACACAGAGTCCATTTCAGGATAATGAGTTCCGTGGAATTACATGAACAAATCGAGGACCCCAGGGGCGGAAGTTACACAACTTACTAGTCTGGGTTCATTGCATAAAGTAGAAACGATTGTAGTTATTAAAGCTTGCAATGCAGTGGACTGGGAGCTTAAGAAACCTAAGATACTGTGGCGGAGGCTGGTTGGACTCTGTTGCCCTGGAATTTCAGCCTTTTGCAGAATGTGCACCCCTTCTCCCGCCTCCTGAGCGTGGCACGGATGGCTCCCTCTGCTGAGACTGCCCCCCAGGTCCCACCCTGTCCAGCCAACTGCTGCTTGCCCACCTTTCAGGTCCCTGCCTCACCTCCTCTGGGAAGACTTCCTAGGTTCCTCACTGGTCTAGGGGCCCAGTCTTTCTGTTTTCCTGGGAGCCATCCTTACCTGGACATTTGCAGCCATTGCACTGCAATGCAACATGTCTGCTTACTGCTCTGTCTCTTTATGGCCAATCTCATCTTCCAAAGATGGCTGCAACAATATTTCCCATCACACATGTGACTCTGACAGTCTTCATATTAACGGATGTGGTTGATGTCCCTGTTCCTGAAATTCAGCAAGTGTTTGTGACTGTTTGGACCACCAGAGGATGGCAGAAATGATGCTATGTGACTTCCCAAGCTAGGCCACAAAGGACAAGGCAGCTTCCCTGTGACTCCCTGTGAGACTGTCTCTCGAAGCTCTCAGCTGGCAGTGAGCAGCCTCAATGCTTGGAGACCACCATGATGCGAGGAGGCCCGAACAGCCCACACAGTGAGACCTCATGGAAAGGGCTTGGGGCTACATGAAGAGAGGAGCCCAGCACACCTCTAGATGCTGCAGCTGCACCCTTGTCCTTGTCCCTGTCTTGTTTCCAGCCACCATTGTCTGCAACCCTGAGATATGATGAGCCAGAACCACCCAGCTGAGCCCTTCCTGACCACAGAACCCATGGGACATGCCACGGGTTGAACTGTGTCCTCCCAGAAAAGATATGTTGGAGCCCTAACTCCTAGGACTGCAGAAGGTGACCATATTCAGTAATAGGGTTTTTACAGAGGCAACAAGGTTGAAATCAGGTCTTTAGGGTGGGCCCTAATCCAATATGACTGGTGTCCTTATAAAAAGAGGAAAATTGGGCACAGAGGCACAGGAAGACACGAGGAGAATGTCAGATGTAGGCTGAGATTGGGGGGATGCATCTGTAAGCCATGGAATGTCAAAGATTGCCCACAACCACCAAAGCCGGAGAGAGGCCTGGAGTGGAGCCTCCCTTGCAGCCCTGGAAGGAACCAGCCCTGCAGTCACCTTACTCTTGGACTTCTGGCCTCCAGAAATTGAGAGAATAAATTTCTGTTGTTTAAGCCACTCATTGTGCAGTACTTTGCTCCCGTACTTCTAGCAAACTAGTATAGGAGAGAATAAAATGACTGTTGTTTTAAGCACTCCGTTTTGGGGTGATTTGTTACACAGCACTAGTTGGCTGAAATACTCCCTCACAAAGCCTCCCCTCCTTGAAGGTACATGGCACACACTTAGTAGGTATTTGCTATTTGAGCACATGGGCCAAGGAATGGATGATTGGCTGCCATTGGCTTCGGATAATTGCCTGGACAGCTCCATTGTTTAAGACTCGTCTTCAGAGAGTAGAGTTCTGGGCAGCAGCAAGCCAGAGCTACAAACTCAGAAACGATGTGAGTTTCCATCATGCGCCTGGGAACCGGAGTGAAAACCAACGTGCTGATGCATTTCCTGAGTGAGCCAGTGCCTGGAAAACAGGAAAGCCAGGGCCTATGCATTTTTATGGGCACCCAACATGGGATTTTGGAGGATGGAGGCCTGAAAGCCAAACAATGCATGTGAGTTGTTAAAAGAGAAGAGGGAAGCCATGTGCTTTTACATTCAAGTGAGATATACAATTGATTGGAGACCAAAGGCATCTCACGCTGATGAAAAGCTAAAAGACAGCTCAACCTTGAGTTCCGGAATGCCTCCTACTCTGGGCAGAGCCGTGGCAAAGAGCAAGGATTGATTGCAGGGTTGTAGACTTTCAGGAGACTTGAGGGGTCCTGACAGCCACCTCCAGCCGCCACCTCTAGGCAAGTAGATACTCACCATCCAAAACTGAGGATTTTTTTTTTATATTTAACTTTTTCCCCAAAAGTATAGTAAAGTGTTAAGGTTGGGAGTTGCTAATGCACTTTTATTGGAAAGGCCTCAAGTCAGACATAGCACATATTTGAGTAATGGAATTAGCTATCACTTATAGGAACTTGGTGTGTTCTGGATGGAGGTTATCAATGACAGAGAGGGGCTGAGAGAGGAGATGGAAGCTAGATGAGATGGTCCTGTCCCAAGAGCATGCAGCTGGGAGGTGCTGGGTGGCGTTTGAGCTCAGGCACACTGGACCTTGGAGCTGCAATCTCACTGCTGAGTTGTGCATGTAGATGCTGCAGCCACTATGTGCAGGTCAACCTGGCATCGAACGCTTAGTAGGAGCACAAGGAATAAACTCTGGAGGTGCTGGGCTTGGCAAGCCATGAGGCACCTGGAGCTTGAGGGGCCCTTTCTTCCAACCATCCTCTACCTGTCCACTAGGCAGTGCTAGTTTTATTTAATTTATTCAGCATTGTAAATCACAGAAACAACCTTACCTTCCTTCCATAGGCCTCGAAATTTGAAAATGATAGTTGCCTCATAACCATGCTACCTCTGTGGGCCACCCTTTCCTGTAGAACTTCTCTATGTTTCCCTATATTCTTTGCAGATGCTCTTGGGATTCTTTTTTATTGTTCTAATGCAATCTGCTTCTTCACTTAGAAAATTATAAGCATGCGCTGGGTATGGTGGCTCATGCCTGTAATCCTGGCACTTTGGGAGGCTAAGGTGGGAGGATTGTTTGAGCCCAGGAGTTTGAGGCCAACCTGGGCAACATAGTGAGTGAGACCCCATCTCTACAAAAATTTAAACAATTAGCTGGGCATGGTGGCGGCACACACCTGTATTCTCATCTATTCGGGAGGCTGAGATGGGAGGATCTCTTGAGCCTGCAGTGAGCCATGATTGCACCATTGCATTCTAGTTCTGGGTGACAGAGTGAGACCCTGTCTCGACATATACATACATATGTATATGTATATATAAGCATGGCTTGGTTCTCTCATTTTCTATTTTAAAGGCCATGTAATATCTCACTACGTTGGTGTTGACGATGTAACACCCCAGTTTCTGGCTTCTGGGCGTCTCTCTTTTCTCTAACCTAAAGCCATTGGCAGGAACATTTTCATGCATAGAACTTTTAAATTCTTGTTTGCTCATTTCCTTTGACTAAAAGCGAGATTTTACTAAGTCAAGGTATATGACTTTTTTTATCGTTCTTAATACATATCTTTAAATCATTTCCCAAAGGACCATAAGAATTTACACCCCCACTGGTGATGTCGCAGGCTCCCAGATTCCCCATGGCAGCTGCCAGCTCTGGAGATCACTGCTGTCTTCAGCCCTGGCTGATTTAACAGGCAGAAAGGGCCCACGGGTCTGCAGAGTCAGACTCATATCTGTCCAGGGAAAATATGTTTTTCTTTTGCCTCTGTAAGGCGCTCATGTGAGGTGATGTTCACATCTTCTAATTTAAATCATACTAACTTATTAAAATCATTATTTTTATTTTTATTTTTTTTCTCTGTGTCAGAAATACTCAATAGGACATGGAAGTCTGAAAAAAACCTTGCCTTCTGCAAAGGATGTGAGCTGGCTGGCGGCCAACAGCCGGACTTCGCCCCCTCGTAAATACCTCCCCTTCCCGTTAGGAGCCACGGTTCTGCTGCGGAGAGGGTGGTACCCCTGCATCTGCGAGGAGCAGGGACCCTGAGGCTGGGTGCCCAGCCAGCCAGCCAGGGCCCCCGGCCATCGGAAGCTCTTTGAGTGGAATGATGGTATCTCATCTCCTCAGCATCACGGCCCCAGCACCGAATGCCCGGTCCAGGCTGCCTCCAAAGAATCTATGTTCACTCACTCGTAAAGCCACGGGCAGAATGAGCTCTGGCCAATCCTGCACGAGGCCAGGTGTTGGATCTGCCTGCTCTCTCCTTTCGGTGCCCACTGTTTCAGCCTCCCACTCCAGGCCTGAGCCCCCTGCCCACTGCCTCAGGCTCCCCACGTGGCCCACTGTTTTCAGGGGAGGAGGAGAGGGCGAGGCAGGGGATCCCGGCTGCCCTGTCTGGGAAGACAAACCCCTCCTCGTGTTGCGGCCAGTTCACGTGTGCGGGGTTTTTTTTACCAGTTACATCGATGTCGCGACACCAAGCTGACGTCCGCTGAGCGCCTACTGTGTACATCAACCCTGAGCTTCACAGCCTCCTGCCTGCCCCTCCAGCACTATGCGGAAGTCGAGGAGGTCGCGCTGGCTTCCAGGAGATTTATGGGGCAGGGAAGTGCAGGCTTGAGGCAAGCTTGAGTCTCTGGAGCAGAACGGTCAGAAATGAGATGGAAATACTCCCTGAAAGGGTGTGTGCCTGTGTGCGTGTGGGTGTGAGGGTGTGAGTGAGCATGTAATGTGTTGCTGTGAGTGCAGGTGTGTTAGTGTGTGTGTAGGTGTGAGTATATGTGAATGTGTGTGCCACCGAGTACATGTGTGTGTGTGACTGTGAGTGAGTGTGCCAGAATGTGTGTGATGGTGAATGCGAGCCAGTGTGTGAACATATGCATGAGGAAGTGTGAGTGCACGTTATGTGTGAGACTGTGTGAATATGTGTGTGAGTGTGAGATTGAGCATGAACGTGCAAGAGTGTATGTGAGTGTGCCAGTGAGTGTGTATATGTCTGAGTGTGAGAGAGGGAGAGTGTGTGTGCAAATATGTACGTGCTTGTGGGCGTGAGTGTGCAAGTATGCAAGGTGTATGTGTGAGTGTGTGAGTGTGCCCATGCCACAGCTTACAAGACGCCCCAGAATCTGGCCTGTATACCCCCTCTCCCTGGCTGGTCCTCCAACATCAGGGCCTCACTCTCCCTGGTTCCTGTGTCACTAGTCACCCTGGCCTCCACAGTGTCCCCCACACGCCATGCCCCCGACACACTGTGTCCCCAGCAGGGCCTCTTGCCCCCTGAGCCCTGCACATCTTCTCCAGGTCAGGGGCTTTGCTGCTGCTTTCTGGAGCACTGCCCGACCCTCAGGTGGGCACTCAAGAAACCCAGACTGACAACTGAATGAGTGACTTGTGTAGGTTTTAACTCAAACACAAACAATTAATTATGCCTTGAACCTTAAATTCCACTGTGCATTGACTCAGTCGGGATTTGTTATGAATTGAAGTAACCTCCGGACTAACTTTTCAACCCATGACAGTGGTTGGAGGACGTCTTTGTAGCCTGAGCCAACCTGCTCTGGGCACTGGCTGGGCTCGGCTATGGCTGGTCTGGCTCATTTCTGGCAAAACGTTGCTGTATTTAGAACAGGTTCAGCCGTAACTCGGCTGGTTTTGGATCTCCTGGCGGTGTGTTCTCATCATTTGGGACAAAAACATGGGATACTGGTTCCAGGAAGCTTTCATTCAACTGGAAATGTTCATTCCGAGAAGGAACACACTGCCCAGATAAAGGACAGCAGTTTTCAAAGGATTATGAGTTGGCTGGACCAGGATTAGGGTTTGTTGAGGGAATATGGTGGCTTCTAGTTCCTTGAGCTTGGCCAAGCCTCAGGTTTCCAGAGCTCGGCTCTGCCGTGGCTGGGCTGGTCCTCCCAGCCTCTCAACCCATCTTCTTGCCCAGGCCCTGTGACCTGACTCCTCCTGGAGTGGTGTGCCAGGAGGGAGGCAGCATGGGGGGTGGGGGGGTCATTGGCCTTGAATCACCCCAGACCACAAGGTTAGGTCTTAGAGTTTCACCTGCAGCCCTCGACGATGGCTGTGAAACCCTGATTCAGGCCTTCAGGAGCTCCTGCAGAGGAAGGAAAACCATACTCAGACAGTCACACTCAAAGTTCCACGTAGAACAGCTCACGGTAACATGAAAGGGAGGGTGCGGGGAACACGACCCCCCTTCCTGGAGGAGCAAGGCTGTGCTGCTCTGAGTGAACTGGCCATCTGGGCTGCTCCAGGGACATAGCTTTGTCCCGTCCTCCCTGCCCTGCCAGACCTGCCTTGGTTCTCCTGCGTCCAGGATGAAAAGCCCTCAGTGGCCTCCAGGAAGGCCCAGATTGCTCCTGTATAGAGGGAACTGCGCCTTCCCCTGCCTGCAGGACCTATAACCGGTGCTTGGGTCGAGCATCCATCATGTGCACGGACAGCAGCCTGCTCTGCAAGGCTGGGTGGGCCTTCTGGTGATACGAGGGCCTCAGGGACCACACAGCCAGCCCCGGCTTGCAGCTGCGACCACCTCCTTCAATGCCCAGTGCTCCCAGGCTCTGCTCAGGCCAACATCTGTGAGCATCACCAGGGGCCGAGGTCTAGATTTGCCAATGTGAGGAAACATTGTTGATTGTCACAACTTGGAGAGAGAGAGTGGGGTGTGCTACTGGCATCTGATGGGTAAAAAGCCAGGGATGCTGCATAACTTTCTACCAGGTGCAGGACAGGCCCCGTGACAAAGAATTACCCCACCAGACAGATCAGTCCTGAGGAGGTGGAGAAAAGCATTGACAGCATTCAGATGGGTTCAGGGAAACTGAGCCTTCACCCGCTTCAACCTCTTTATCCGGTGGACGTATAAACTGAGGCCCAGAGGGGGAGATCTGTATCCTGATGTCACACAGTGTGCAGGTGGCTGGGCTACGACTCGCCCCCAGACCGCCTGGCTCCCCTTCCTGAGCTCGAGCTGGCCCACACTGGCCCCGGGATTCTTTATAAGGAGAATTCCAGGACGCACCCGGGGCCTCCAGGGGCTTTGACTGAATCTGTCATTTGTGGGGATTGATCTGGCTTTTACTGTCTGCCATGGAAGCTGAGCCCAGGAACGGACCTTCTCTGAGCAAATTTCTTAACAATTCATCCCCATATGCGCTCCTCTAATGGAAGAGGAAAATCTCTGTGATTGCAGAAAATAGGGTGATTTGGGAGAAGAGGGGTCCTAATGGTTTGGAGAGAACACCCAAAGCCCGGCCTTCTGCCGCACAGGGGTGAGGACATGCGCTTTTCTTGTTTTCAAGTAAAAACTAGAAAAACCTTAAGGAGAATTTGGAAAAAATGCACCCAAATCTTAGCTCAGATGCTTTCGTTGTTTTTTGTGACAGAGAATGCATCCATGTCTATAGAAGGCTTCCACTAACATGAGGGTATTTACAAGCCCAGTTTTCCCTTTGATTGGTCAGGTGGATTTTTTTCTTTTTAGAGACAGGGTCTGGCTCTGTCACCCAGGCTGGAGTGGAGTGTTGTCATCATGGCTCACTGCAGCCTCGACCCCCTGGAGTTTGGTAATCCTACGGCCTCAGCCTCCCAAGTAGCTGGGACAACAGGTATGCACCACCACAGCCAGATGACGTTTTATTTATTTATTTATGTATTTATTTTTTCTAGAAATGGGGTCTTGCTATGATTCCCAGGCTGGCCTCCAACTCCTGAGCTCAAGAGATCGTCCTGCCTCGGCCTCCCACAGTGTTGAGTTTATAGGTATAAGTCACCACACCTGACCCACAGGTAGTTTATAAGAACAACTGTGAGCATGGTTATGGATCCTAAGGTGTAAGACTTTACGATCTATAATAAACTATAATAATCGTTTAAAAGTCTCAAGATAATTCAAGTTGCTTTAATTTAATTTCCCTAACACGTCCCATTGGTCAGGTGGATTTCTAGATGGGGCATCATGACTTCTTCTAGGTGCGGCATTATGACTTCTTCTAGGTCGGGGCATCATGATTTCTTCATGACCGCTGCACTGGCCACACAGGAGAGACACAGGCGTATTGTTGCATGGCAGTGCACGGCAGGGCGGGGGAGTTTCCCAGGTGGCTTCCCTAGGTCAGGCGATGCTGCCACCTTGGGCCAGGTGCCTTCTCCTCTCAGCAAGGCAGTAAGTGGGGGGCTGCACTGGACCCAGCCCCCACCCCCAGTAGGAGACGTCTTTCTAGGCGTCTCCAGTCCTGTCTACCATGTCCTCTGCAGCAACATCACTCTCAGCCCTTCTCCCTGCTCACCTGGGGAGGGGGACCTTTCCCACTGCACTTGTTCTCAATGCCGCTGCTTTGTCAAGGAACCCTGGAGAATGCTGCCTCGAGATCACAGCCAGGGCAGCCGGCAGGTGGTGTTGGCTGGGGAATCAGTTGACCTGGTGGAAAGTTCATTTCATCATGACTGGCACAAACTTAAAGCTACATTTTTGGCCAAGGGACAAATGCCAGGCTATAATCTACACATTAGGATGTTCACTGCGTTATAAATAAGACTAGGCATGTGCTGTAGTTTGCATGGACTTCACGGCTCCAGCTTCCTAAGGGCTATAAAGTGGTTTGCAAAGATTTGGGCACTGCAGCAGCAGAACATACCAGAAAGGGCCTGCATTTGGAATCACATACGCTGGGTTTAAAGCCCAGGTGTCCCTTGCTTACAGTGTGGCTTTGGGAGGTCACCTCATCTCACTGAGCTTCCACTTGTCATCTGATTAGAACAAGGATGGTAGTAACAGCCGCCTCCGGGCTACAGTGGCGATTGCAGAAGTGATGTAAGGATCTCAGCACGGTGCCCACTGGCAGTTTGCACAAATCTGCTTACAGTGATTACATCTGGTGAACATTAAGCCAAGACAGGTGAGGGTGGGGGTGACAAACGCCCCTGCAGTGAGGTTGCAGCAAGAAATGTCCAGCGTGGGGGTCTCAGGCGCTGGCCACAGATCGGCTCTGAGTTATCTCATCTCCCAAAGTCAGAGGTAAATAGGACGATATCGAAATTTACAGTGCCCATAAAATAAAAGCAAAGCCAGTACTCAGAGGATGCCAGCTGTTTCTGATATCAAGAAATTTCTCCATGAGGTTTTAAAAATTATGATTAAAAAAACTGGAAACAATTGAAATGTCAGGCAATGGGACATGTTAGGGAAATTAAATTAAAGCAACTTGAATTATCATGAGACTTTTCAACTATTATTATTAAAATTTAAAGGTTTCTATAAAAAATGTAAATAAAAATATGTAAAATGTATCCTGGGATGTTGGCATCAAACACTGTAATGGACTGGAAGGTAAAGATCACATTTTGCATTTTTTCGAATTAATCATAGCTGTCTGTGGAAGTTTATTCTTTCATGTGCATTTTAGAAAATCAGCGTGTCAAATCCTTCAAGGGTTCTGTTTGGATTTGGCAGCTGCTTCATGGGATGCGAAGGTTAAACTCAAAGGGAAATGGCAGCTCCATGCATTTCAGTCATCCCACCCACAAACCGGATTGCTTTTCATTGGTTCAGGTTTCTTTCACATCTTAATAACGTTTTCCATTTCTCCATGAAAGTTCTGCACTTTCCTTGTGAGAGTAATGCCCAGATGCTTTGTAAGTACTGTAATGCTGTGTTATTCTGTACCATGCTTTAATGAGTCTTCCAGTTGCTTTGTGCTTGCATTGGGCATGGCTGTTCACCTGTGTGTGTTGGGCTCATACACAGCAGCCTCACTGCACTTTGCCTTGTCTTTGCTCACCCTTTCAAAACATTTGTGTGCCTGCACAGACATGAAAAGATGTTAAAGGTCGTGTAAAATGTTAAGATGCTCACTCACTCTTTCCCCCTGTGTGTTGTCCCTGCCCCCATCCCATGCGCAGCTCCTTTGAATAGGGATCTGGCTCTGCTCCCCTGGGCCCCAGGGATGCTCAGGTACTGCTGAAGCATCCCTCAACCACTGGCGACCACAGTCAGAGAAGAGCTATCCCACCTCTCCCATCCATCAGCTGGGATGATTCTGAGGCATAGCCTCCTATAGTTTTCCAGCAGGATACAGCTCCAGGTACCCACGGCACGCAGTCTCTCGATAGTGAACCTTTTATTGACAGCCTTCCCTTTTTTGCCTCACTTCTTCACTCCCCTGTAAGTATTTCCTGGGATCATTTTCCAAACACCCTGCTTGCATTGCTTGCCTCAGGGTCTACTTTCTTTTCTTTTTTATTTTTTGAGATAGAATTTCGCTCCTGTTGCCAGGCTGGAGTGCAATGGCACGATCTCAGCTCACCACAACCTCCACCTCCTTGTTACAAGTGATTCTCCTGCCTCAGCCTCCTGAGTAGCTGGGATTACAGGCATGCACCACCACACCTGGCTAGTTTTGTATTTTTAGTAGAGGCAGAGTTTCTCCATGTTGGTCAGGCAGGTCTCAAACTCCCGACCTCAGGAGATCCACCCGCCTTGGCCTCCCAAAGTGCTGGGATTACAGACGTGAGCCACAGCATCCAGCCAAGGTCTCCTTTTAATGGAGCCTGGACAAGACAACAGCTGAATCATTATCTCTGTGAAAGCTTCATTGGCCAATGAGCTTGAGTTGGGGTAGGGGAGGCAGTCGGTGTCTTCCTGCTCAATATCATAGACTCAGTGCTTAGCATAGTGCTTGGCCCACATTTAACACCTTGATAATGATGTAGTCAACAAATAAATAGGTAGATGGTTGGGTGGGTGGAAGGAATGAAGGGAGGAAAGGTGGATGAATGGATGGAGGATGATAGAAGAAAGGAAGGATGGATGAATAGAAGGATGGAAGGATGGATAAATGGACAGATGGATGGATGATGACAGAAAAAAAGGATAGATGGGTAAATGGATGGATGAATAAAACGATGGAAGGGTGGATAAATGGATGGATGGATGAATAGAAGGATGGAATGGTGGACGGATGGATGGAAGGATGGTGATAGAAGAAAGGATGGATGGATAAATGGATGGATGAATAAAAGGATGAAAGGATGGATAAATGGATGGATGGATTGACGGATAGATGGATGAATGGATAGATAGATGGATGGATGGATGGATAGCTGTGTGAGTAAAAGGAAGAATTAATGGAATGAAGATTGGATGGGTGGATGAATGGATGAACAGTTGCTGTTGAGGAGGTGGGAGGAACCTAAGACTCCTCAGATCATGCTCTATTCGGAGGCCTTCTGCACTTTCTGGTAGAATGTTTTGTATTTCTCCCACACTCCCCCATTCCTTACAGTCCACATCCTTCTCTGGAAAAGTGTCTCTGGTGCTTCAAAGATAATTGCTTTCACCCCACCCTTCCCAGGAATCACACAGATCATCCTCTATCTGGAGGACCAGACCTCCATCCTCCGGAGGACCTTGTTTTGGGAATGAGCAAAACAGAAAACCACAAAGCCAAGCTGGGGTGGATATTATGAGCTTTCAGTTTGGCTCAGAGAGAAGGCTGAAGCCATCCCTGCCATCTGGTGACTCAGATCCAAGTGCCTAAATGATACATAGTCCAGGGCATCCGAGCAGGGAGTGGGAGAGGACATCCACCTGGGCACTGCCGCAGGGGTTCTCCATCCTCTGCATCTGCCCCACGCCTGCCAGCTCAGACTCCAAATCCCTGTCCCAGGAAGCTCTGTTGCTTGCACCTTCACTGAAAGCTTAGGCTGAACTAGCAAAGCTCCCCAGGCGAGGTATCTCGATGGTTTACATTATCTGACTGATATTAGATCTTTTCCTGAAAGCCTGGTTTAATGAGGGGGGAGGGGAGTCAGTGTGTGGCCATGGATTTGTGAGGCAGGAAAGTGAGATAAATACTTTGGAGGGACAAAAAAAAAAAGAGAGAGAGAGACTAGGCAGACATAGGATGAGCTGGCAAATGTGGGTAGCCTTGGACTGACCACATAGTGAAATAAAATAACAGCTAATGTTTGAGGGCTTAACATGTGCTAGCTACACGGGGTAGTGCAAAAAACTTTGTTAGAAACTATCCAACAATTGTTTTGGGCAGGTGACATTACTAGCTTCATTTTACAAATGAGGTCCTAGAGACAGAGAGAGGCTAAGTCACTTGTTCCAAGTCACATAGCTGGTTAGCAGAGGGGCCACTTCCAACCCTGTCTATTCCCTGCATTGCAACACGATTGCTTCTCTGCCCAGTGTCTATCAGACTCAACACCAAGTTATTGGATACGACTGATTTATTTCTTTGATCATTGCTTCCTCTAAATGGATAATTTGCCTCCTTCTCTGGGAAAGACAGCAAAGGACTATGAAGACACTTGTCAGTCCATGATGGCTTAGGAGATTGGGGGTCTAGAGAACTGCCCATTGGCATGCTAGCAAACTGAGTGGTACCTCAACTGGTCATTGGTCTTCTATGGACTTTAGTCTCTTCATCTATAAAGTGGAGGTGGACATGTTTCATGATGGCAAGAGTTCTAGTTAGCTTAAAATTTTGAGAGATCCCCTCCGTTTGCTAATTATGTGAGCTTCTAAGTACTGTGATCTCTTCGAGTCTCAATCTCAGCACCAGGCCAGTTGCAATGATAATTGTACTTTCTTTGTGAAGATTAAATGGGCCCTGATGCAACCATGGCTGAAGAACAACCACAGGTGAAATTGCTCTTGAAGGCTGGCAGTGATGGAGCCAAGACTGGGAACTGCCCCTTCTTTTTTTTTTTTTTTTTTTAATTGAGACAAAATTTCACTTTTGTTGCCCAGGCTGGAGTGCAATGGCACGATCTCGGTTCACTGCAACCTCTGCCTCCCGGGTTCAAACGATTCTCCTGCCTCAGCGTCTCGAGTAGCTGGGATTACAGGCACGCACCACCACGCCCAGCTAATTTTGTATTTTTAGTAGAGACGGGGTTTCTCCATGTTGGCGAGGCTGGTCTCGAACTCCCGACCTCAGGTGATCCACCCACCTCGGCCTCCCAAAGTGCTGGGATTATAGGCGTGAGCCACCGCGCTTGGCCAGGAACTGCCCCTTCTTCTAGAGACTGTTCATGGTGCTCTGGCTCAAAGGAGTCACTTTCAACATCACCACCATTGACACCAAGAGGTAGACCGTGACAGTGCAGAAGCTGTGCCCAGAAGGGCAGCTCCTGTTCCTGCTGCGTGGCATGGAAGCACACATAGACACCCAAAAGATTGAGGAATTTCTGGAGGCAGTGCTGTTCCCCTGCAGGTACCCCAAGCTAAGAGCTCTAAATCCTGAGTCAAACACAGCTGGGCTGGATGTATTTGCCGACTTTTCTGCCTACATCAAGTTCAAATGCAGGACTCAACGATACTCTGGACAAGGGGCTCCTGAGAGCCCTGAAGGTTTTAGACAGTTACTCAACATCCCCCTTCCCAGAAGAAGTGGATGACAGCAGTGCTGAAGATGAGGGCATCTCTCAGAAGAGGTTTCTCGATGGCAACGAGCTCTCCCTGGTTGAGTGCAGCCTGTTGTCAAAGCTCTGCATAGTCCAGGTGGACTGTGAGAAGTACCAGGGCTTCCCCATCCCTGAGACCTTCCGGGGATGGCATCGGTGCTTGGGCAGTGCCTATGCCTGGGAAGAATTCACCCCTACCTGTCCACATGATGAGGAGATCAAACTGGTCTGCAAGCAAGTGGCCAGGACCCTCAAATAAGCCCCTCCTAGGACTCCCTCGGCCCCCTCCATGTTCCCCACAAAGGCCCGGAGGGTTTTCACACCGGCCCTGGGGGTTTCCACATTGCTACCCAATGGACACACTCCAAATGGCCAGTGGTCAGGGACTCCTGGTGCACTTGTGCAGGGGTGTCGAGGGGGAAGGGGGAATGAGGGAAAAGGATGGGGATCCTGGGTGAGATTCGTATTGTGGGGTGGGGCAGGTAGAGCAACATACTTCACTAATAAAGTACAGAATTTAAAAAAGATTAGGGCAGGTGCAGTGGCTCACACCTGTAATCCGAACATTTTGGGAGGCCGGGGCGGGCGGATCACCTGAGTTCAGGAGTTCAAAACCAGCCTACCCAACATGGTGAAACCCTGTCTCTACTAAAAATACAAAAAATTAGCTGGGTGTGGTGGGAGGCACCTGTAATCCCAGCTACTCTGGAGGCTGAGGCAGGAGAACCACTTGAACCCACAAGGTAGAGGTTGCAGTGAGCCGAGATCACATCATTGCACTCCAGCTTGGGCAACAGAGTGAGACTCTGTCTAAAAAACAAACAAACAAAAAGATTAAATGAGGTAGTGCATAGAAGTCCACTGAGGCAAAACCAGGCAAGTCACACTTATGAGGATGGTTTTCTCATTGCAAACCCTAATCCCCACGTGTCAGAGGCTCCATACGCAGCAAGTTTTTTCTTCATTACATAACAGTGCAGCACTGATTTTCCCAGCTGGTTGGTTCTCATGGGAGGCTCTCCTCCTCCCAGGTATCGGGAGACCTCTTAATTCAGCAGGTGGAGAGGATGGAGGATGGGAGCTGGCATGCTAGATTTTGATGGATCAGGCCCGGAAGTGGTCAATATCACTTTTGTCACTTGTCATTGGCCACAACTCAATCACTCATTTCCCCCTAACTGCAAGGGAGGTTGGGAAATGTGGATGGCTGTGTTCCTCGGAGGAAAAGGAAAATGATTTGGAGAACGAGTTGCTGGTCTCTGCCACAGAGCTCTATAAATGATAGATAGTGATGACCATGACATTGTTGTTGTTAATCATTGTGTGGGAAGAAAAGAGAGATCCCATGACTTATTGGGATCAAGAAAGGATCAATCGCCATTTCCATACATGTGCAAGTGTGTGTGTACAGAGTGCGTATATGAGTGCATGTTCCCCAGAAAACCGAAGTCAAGGCAAACCTAATGTTCTGCCATTGGATTAGGGGGTGGAATCCCAGGGAGGGTTCAATACTGAACTGGCCAGCACTTGGTATTAGGAGCAATTGATTGCACAGTTTTAGGGGACTCTTCCAAAAATCCATATAGACAACTGCTTCTCAGGACAACCATCCAAGGAGGAGAGAAGAGAACAATTTGCCCACTGGTTCATGCTGCCCATCGGCCAATTATCTACTCTATGATGCATGAAGTCTTTCCTGTTGGTGCGTGGCTGGGCACTGGGCAGGTGCCACAGCATCCACGGCCTCCAAGGTGACAGGAAGTCCCCAGAGTGGGAGGAGGACTATGTCCAGCGTGGACACAGTAAGGTGCTTTGCAGAATGTGTTTGGAACCATGAAGGTCTGGCTGCCATAGTGGTGCCTAGAGTAAGGAGCCAAAGACCGCAGGTGAGACTGCGGTGATCTAGTAGTAGAGACGAGGTATCTGATACAGGTGTCACCTTTGCCAAGCTCACGGAAACCAGAACTGAAGAAACCCCTTGGCTCCAGGGCACTGGGTCAGCACACGGCCACATCCCTGCCTGCAGCTGAGCATGATTTCTGCCTTGCACTGTATCTGACCCTTGAGAGTTTGAGTGTTTGCTGGAAATAAAAAGCCCATGCACACATGATCCTCTGGGGCCGAGGCCCTGTCATCCTTCACGAAAATGAGCCCTTCAACAAATGTAAATACCCTCCGTGTTCTCCCGGAGGCCGGTCCTAACAAGGCCTCGCCAGGGCGCCTCGTAATCCCTGGGATTGCTGGAGCTTTTAGGTTTAACAGAGCAATTTGTAAGGCCGCCTGTCTTGCAGCCAGCTCTGCGGCGACTTGCCTGCGGTATGTTCCCTGGCGTCTCCTAGAAACTGTGGGCTGGACTCACGCAGGGCAGGCGAAGGGCTCTGCCTACCCCAAACTTGGAGCCCTCTGGATCCCAGAGTCTCACAGTGCTCCCGGGAAATTTCATAAGGGCAAGCATGATGCATTAGGCTTGGGGGAAGGGAATGAGATCCAAAGCCTGGAAGATGTGAGAGGTAGCAGACACCGTCTAGGAAAGCTGGGGTGATTTCCGAGCTTTCCGTGCAGGGTGCACGGTGTGGCGGAGGCAGAGCTCCAAGAGCTAAAATTCCCAGCTCGGCTTGGGGCCCCGGGTTGTGCCTAACTAGCTGAGGACCCTCAGGCAAGCTGACACCACTCCCTTCAATGGCTTCCAAAACCCTGGCCAAGGTTCTAAGGTGTGCACAGTGGGCACTGCTCCCCTCCCCACCCCGTCTCCCACCTCTGACCCTCACCCTTCCCAGCGACAGGGTTCTGTATTCCGTGCGGCCTGCCACGGGCCCGCCTCGGGGGTGCCCTGCAGAGCAGCCCGAGCACCTCCCTATGCACGTAGCTCCCTCCCTCGCGGCAACAGGCCGACTTCATCTCCCACCCCGGGAAGCCAGGCAGGACCCGAGACTGAGCTCTGGCCAGCGGACATGGGAAAGAGTGCCAGCTGCCCCTGAAACTTCTCCTGCCATTTGCTATGATTTCTTTTTTCTGTCTACTGGCCGGACACTGAGCTCCAGGGAAAGAAACTCCAAGACCTAGAAAACGGGTCCTGGACTCTCGAATGGCTCCATGGAGCCAACCACCCACCCTACTGCCCCACATTCTGTGCCGAGAGAGGAGCATGAGTCAGGTGAAGCTCCTGAAACCTGGGGTTGCTTGTTACAGCAGTGAGCCCCTGCGCATATATACATACTCAAGACACCAACTTAACCTCTTTGAGCCCATTTGCTTCATGGTGAAAACAGTAACAGTGCGTCTGCCCTGCTCAGCCAGCAGGGCTGCTGTGGGCTCAAGTGAGGTAGCTGCCACTCTGGTGCTGAGTCAGACCGGCCCCGGGGCTGCATCCCGTCAGCCCACCTCCAAGGCTGTTCAGCAGGGCCACCGTCAAGATTCAATGAGGTCGCGTGGAGAACGTGTCTCGATAGTGCCCAGGCCTGCAGTGGGCCCTGCGCCCATGCCCCTGGCCTTCCTTGGGGCTGGCTACCCTTCACTGTGCTCCCCAGCTCCAGTGCCAGTCTTCTCTGTCCACCTCTGAACTCTGGAGACGACAGAGCCTGAACCCCCTCATCCTCTCCCTGGCTTCCGGTTGGGTTCAGCTGCGGGAGGTGCCTTCAGCAGAGTGGTGTGCAGGACGAGAGATGTCAGGCCATTTCTTCCTCCTGCCGGTGGCCCTGTCCTTCTCTCACCACAGCTCCTCTCTTCCGTATCTCTGATGCTTCCAAGCTCCCCTTGCCCTCTCTAGTCTCAGGCTGGCCATGGCATCCCGCCGTGGCTTGTCTCTGGCTGTCTTCACCTGTGTGAGCCTCTGTAACTGGTCCCTTCATTAAAGGCTTGTCTCTGGCTGTCTTCACCTGTGTGAGCCTCTGTAACTGGTCCCTTCATTAAAGGCTTGTCTCTGGCTGTCTTCACCTGTGTGAGCCTCTGTAACTGGTCCCTTCATTAAAGGCTCTCCAGATCGCCAGCCAAGGGTGCTGCCTCTTTCCTTCCAGGACCCTGACTGCTGCCCCTGCTCAGTATCACAGAGGGCTCTTGGTTGGAGCAACAGACACTCATTCTGCCTTACTCAGCAGCAAAGGAATTTGGAAAGGGATACTGAAAAGCTTACAGAATTTCCAGAAGGCTTTAAGATGTGGAAATGAGAGCCTGGGAAATGAAAGCATAGAATCAGGCTGGTGGGGTGCAGCTTCCACCACCAGAGCTGGGCTCGGAGGCCACAGCATGAGCCCCAGCCCCCTGCGCTGCGGCCATTGGCACCCCAGGGAGCGGGTGCAGTGAAGCTGTCAGGAGCACCATCTCCAGAAGTGGTTCTCCTCTCTTCCAGCTTCTTGGCCACACGAGTCCAGACTCCAATGTCCAAGTGCACGCCAGTGGTTGTCACTTGCTACGCCCCCACTGCTGGGGAGCTTGCACACTGAGCATTTGGCACCACAGACGTTTGGGCAGGGTGTTTTGGGTGCTGGGTGGATGCACTGGACACTTTCCAGCTGCTCCCTGTGTCTGCCTCTCCTTCCTTTTCCCTCTGTGCCCTCAGAGATTGTAACGTGGACTCCCCTGCATCGTATTAATCAGGCTCCTTTGCCCTGGCATCTTGTTGAGTTCAGCCAAATCAAGATACAGCAAGAGATGCGAGGGAGGTGGGGAGAGAAGCTGGGTAGTCACTGGCCTTGCTACAGACTTGTACATAGGCTGGCTGTGTCCCTCTGAAGAAGGCCACAGCTCCTGTTGGACAGGCCCCTCTCCACTGGGCCTCTTTGTGTCTGGGGTTCCAGTAACTCCCCCACCAACCCCTCAGTCATGGTGGTGGTCTCTGCTCCCTGCTGTTTATGTTTTGCAGGGGGAGGAGAGCTGTACCACCCTTGTTGCTGTCTTCTGTAAATTGTCCTCATATGAAACTCTTTCCAAGTCACCATGTAAGAGGGACATCGATTTCTTGCTGGCGTCTTGATTGTTAGGGCAGGCAAAAATAAACAGGTAAGCAGGAAGGCCACAGTTGACCACACTCACGGCAGCTCTCCTGGGCTGCCGAGCACCTCCCTATGCACGTACCTATGCACCTCCCTTTGTTGTGGGCTGCTTGTGACCCCCAGAAGGGTAGATCCTAGTCGTAACCCTCTGTAGCTGGGGATGTGACCTTACTTTCCGAAAAGGTGTCATCGAGCAGCTGTCATCAAGTTAAGATGAGTTTGGACAGACACTCAGGGAGTAGGCTTGGGAAACAATGGAGACAGAGAGCAGAACGATGCGTCTACGAGCCAGAGAACACTAGGAACCGCTGGCAGCAACAGAAGCAGGGAGGGAGGAAGGAACGGATTCTCCTCCTGACTTCCCAAGAAGGGACCAGCTTTGCGGACTCCTTGATTTTGGACTTTTGGCCTCCAGAACCACGAGAGTCTCCAGAGAGACATACAGACGCCCGCTGTCCCCACGTGAGTTAGATGAGCTCTTAGAGCTCTGCAACTGTGTCACACGGGGCCCAAGTGTGGGCTCCCGAGACGGCCTGATTGGGATCCCAGCTCCACCTTCTACTGGCTGTGACCTTGGCAGATTCACCTCCGGGAGCCTCGGTAACAATGCTTAACTCTGCGTTTGCTTCGAGAACTCCAAGACTCCAAGTGTAAAGAGGCTTACGACAGTGCCTGCCACAGTGCAGACGCTCCAGAAAAGCTCCCAGAAGAACAGATTGGCTGGCAAGCCGGTCAGTTCGATCCAGGCTAGGGTGACAGGGCAGGACCATCTGACCCAGCTCAGGGATAAGGGCAGACTCTTGGCAGACTCCAGGCCTGAAATGGGGCTTGGCGTGGGAACAGGATGACAGCTGGCATCTGCTCCGAAACAAGCTCCGAGATGAAGAGAAGGGGAGAGCCCAGGGAGCCTGGCAGAGTGGAGGGACATGTGCTGTCCCTCTCCCCAGGGAGTGGCTCTGTGATCTTGAAGTAGTCACTTAACTGTCCTGGGCTGCAGTTGCTTCCACAAAATGCAGCTGTTGGGAGCATGTCAGCCTGCAGCAGACAGCCGACTGAAGTGGTCTCTTAAGACCCTGCTGTGGCAGTGCCTGTTCACTATTCCCAGAAACCATTCTCCACCTCTCCTTAGGTTCAGCTGGGCACATGGCTACCTGGAAAGGACTCATTTCCCAGCCTTCCTTGCAGCTATGTGCAACCATGTGACTAAGTTCTGGCCAATGAGCAGTAAGAGGAAGTGTCATGTGATACCTCCAGGACGTCTCCTTAAATTAAAAGGGAAGGGGATGAAGCCAAGAGGAGCCTAAGGAGGCATGACAACTAAATTCACCTGAGATCCTGGAACAGGAAACACACATTAGGCAAAAACTAGGGAAGCCTAGAGAAAGCGTAGACTTTAGTTAATGATAATGTGTCAGTATTTGTTCACTAATTATACCAAATGCACCATACTAACATAAGATGTTAATAATGGGCTGGGCACAGTAGCTCACGCCTGTAGTCCCAGCACTTTGGGAGGCTGAGGCAGGAGGATCACTTGAGGCCAGGAGTTCAAGACCAGCCTGGCCAAAGTGGTGAAGCCCTGTAGCTACTAAAAATGCAGAAAAAAAATTAGCCGGGCATGGTGGCATGCACCTGTAGTCCCAGCTACTTCAGAGGCTGAGGCAGGAGAATTGTTTGACCCTGGAAGGCGGAGGTTGCAGTGAGTTGACACGGCACCACTCCACTCCAACCTGGGTGACAGGGCAAGACTCTGTCTCAACAAAACAAAACAACAAAAAATATGCTAATAATGGGGGCAATTGCATATGGGGTATACACTCTGGGAACTCTGTGCTATATTCACAATTTTTTGGCAAATCTGAAACTGTTCTAAAAAATAGTCTTTTTTCTTTTTCTTAAAGGGAAGGACATGGCCTTTCTTCTTCCATCTTGCTGTCAGAAAGTTGGACATGTTGGCTGGAGCTCAGGCAGCCACCTGGGACCATAAAATGAAGGGCCACATTGCAGGGAGGCAGGAAGAGACTAGACCCCTGTCAACTTCATAGAAGCACCGTCCCAGCTCCAAGGCCCACTCTTTTATGCTGGAGGAGCAAATCTTGTCTGTTTAAGCCACGTTTCATTGCTTTTCGGGTTTTTTTCTTCCCATGAAGTGGAACCTAATCGCTATGGAGACGTCTTCTCTCTCTTTAAATGACTTCAGACCTCAGCGAGAGTCCATTTGAGATATTTTCCCAACCACGTGATCTTAGGAAACAAGTAGCATTTCTCTCCCTGCATCCTCCCAAAGTTCTGGTGTTAAGTGTTTGGTGGCGGGTCCTCCAGACGCTGATTCATGGCTCCCAACAAGAATGTTCCATTCCAACTCCTTAAAAAACAGCCAGACCAACTCGATGGCATTTTGGTACTTTTCCACTTTGCTGGAGTTACGATTTATGCCTAATTCATCAAGATAAGGCAAAGAACAACATTGGTGTTTGTGGCTGTTGGGTCTGTACATGAGGCTGCTATGGTTTCAGCAGCACACGGTAGAATTAAATACATATAATGAGTATAATGTGATTTACTCTCGTCCTGCTGTCCTGACGTTTAAACAGATGTCAGAGGAATAGAAGGCATGGTGGGAGGAACACATTAGTGTAAATTATTGCATCTGAAAAGAGGGAGTATCGTAAAAATGTTAAAAGAGAAAGTAAGTATTTATGACTTGAGTTGCTGGTATTTGTATCTTCCATTTGCCTCTTTGTGTGCAGTCATTAGAACCTCTTCCATCGGGAAAACTGCTTGTTCTAACAGGCTTGTGTGGGACTGATGAGATTCCAGGCCTGACAACCCCACACACTCACCTTGGGAAGGTCTTCTCTACTGTAGACAGCAAGAAGGCAAGGGCAGGCCCTAGAAATAAGGACCATTATGGGGGGACCTGCAGCACCCTGTTCCCTGCGCATGCAGGCACCACCACATCTATGGTACAGATAGAGAAACTGAGGCCCAAAGAAGCAGGGTGGGGTGAGATTGCAACCAGGAATGGTGGAGTCAGCCCTGCAGCTCCACCTCGGCCTCCTCAGCTCCCCTTCCGTCTCCCTTTCTGTCTGGCATCACTGTCTCTGCAAAGCCTAGTCATAAGACTAAATCCCACCTGCCTGCCCTTTTGGGAAATCCGAATTGTAGCTGAGGACCAGAGACCGTGGAAGAGAGGACAGGGGAGTAGGGGTGAGGGGCCTCACGCTGATCGCCTGGGCTGCTTGGGACAATGCAGAGTCTCATGCTGCACCCCAGACACTTAAGATCAGCACATCTGTGAGGCTGGGGCCCAGGACTCTGTGGTTTTTAGTGGCGTGATCTCGGCTCACTGCAACCTTTGCCTCCCAGGTTCAAGTGATTCTCCTGCCTCAGCCTCCCAAGTAGCTGGGACTACAGGCACGTGCCACCACTCCCAAATAAAAATTCTTGTATTTTTAGTAGAGATGAAGTTTCACTATGTTGGCCAGCATGGTCTTGATCTCTTCACCTCATGATCCGCCCGCCTGGGCCTCCGAAAGTGCTGGGATTACAGGCCTGAGCCACCGTGCCCGGCCGACTCTGCGTTTTAATGTCTGTCCCAAGCAATGTCATGCAAGTGAAGGCTTCAGACTCCCTGGAGGAAAGATCACGGACACTGATGGGGCGACAGCCCTGGCTCCACCACTCACTGGCCATGTGACCTCGGGCAAATGGCTTTCAGTCCTCAGCTGTGAAATGGGGCGATTGCCTTTGCCATTATGCAGAGTTTACATAATAATACAACACCAGCTGCCTGGCCTGTGTTAGGCAGGTGGACACATCCCAGGGGGAGGCTGCCCTGGAAGGTGCTACTCTGACTCACTCAGGGGAGAGCCACACTTCCCAGGGTCCCTCTCCCCTGGCCTGGTTAGAGTTGAGCCACACATGAGCAGGCAGAGGCTGGTGGCTCAGTGCGGCTGGAAGACATTGTGCTGGAGGGAGTGTGGGGTATCAGGGTGTCAGGGTGGGTGGGGCTGGATCTCCAGGACCTTGGGTGCTAGCCAGGAGTGCAGATTTATTTCCAAGGCAGCTGGGGAGGAACACCAGTGGGGTTTAGGCAGGAAAGAGACACAATTGGGATTACGTTTTAGGAAGGTCGTGTGGCAGCAGAGCAGAAGACAGGTTTGGAGTTCTATGTGGTCCTTGGGGAGTGGTGATAATACTTGTTTTTGTTTTTGTTTCTTGTTTTTTGTATTAGACGGAGTCTCTCTCTGTTGCCCAGGCTGGAGTACAGTGGCTTGATCTCTTCTAACTACAACTTCCTCCTCCCAGGCTCAAGCGATTCTTCCCCATCAACCTCCCAAGTAGCTGGGATTACAGGCCTGCACCAGTACACCTGGCAATTTTTTTTTTTGTACTTTTAGTAGAGATGGAGTTTTGCTATGTTGGCGAGGCTGGTCTTGAACACCTGACCTCAGGCGATCCATCCACCTTGGCCTCCCAAAGTGCTAGGAACATCTGCTTTTTCTAGCCAGGAGTCTGGGTCCCCGGATGGGAGGATACACGATTCTCCCAGATGACTGTGTCCTGTGGCAGACTGGCCTGCTCACTGCCCTGGAGGTGTCCTGGGCACCCCTGCCTCTGGCTTTGTCCATGTGGTTCTTCCAGCCCTTCCTTCTCCTTCTCACCCACCTGGTCAGAAATCCCTCTTTGGGCCTCCCTGCTTGGCACACTCTCTTGGCCTCTGTCCTCTCCCAGCAAATGCAGGCTTTCCCTCTTCTTTGAGGGGAGATGTGATGACGGGGGATGGGTGGGTGCCAATTACAGCTGCACCGGGTGAATGAAGGGCTAGGGGTGGGTCAAGTTAGGTTGTATTTCCTGGGTCAGGAGCACTTAACGAGGTGACTTATGGGCATGGGCATGTGCTCGAGTGTGTGACTCAGATGTCAGCAGCTGCTTCCCCGGGCTATCAGGAATCCAGGTGACCTCGGGTGGAACTGCCCATCCCACTGTTAGGAAGGCCTGGGTGCCACCCACACTTTCATCCCATTCGTGAGGCAGGGGCTCCGTGGGTCTTCTCTACCCTGGGGCTGAATGCACCCTCCTGCTGCTGTTCATCCTGTCCACTGAGACAGGAAGCTCGGCCCTTTCGCTCCCATTGCAGGAATGTGGGCCTGGAGAGGGCGGGGACTTTGTTTTGCTCCTGGTTGTATCCTTGTGCCTAGGACAGGGCTTGGCACCAGGTAGGTGCCCAAGAAATATTTATAGAAGGAATGAATAAATAGCTCACCACAAAACACCACTCACAAGAGGCTTTTTGTGAACACAGTGCCTTGTGTGGAAGATTTGATGCTCGTGGGAGGGGTCTCCTGCCACACCATCGTCCCCTTCTGCCCTCTCTGCCTCCGCCAAAGCAGCTTAACCCCTGAAGAATGTGCAGGCTCAGACCTTGAGGGAGGTGCAGAGGAGTGAGGAATCTTCCTTCAATAGGCTCCTCCCATGTTTGGAGACAGGCCGGGCTGGAGCTGGAAGAAAAATAACCTTTCCACTTTCTGTCACATGTTCGTGTCTCAGAGCCTGCTCGAAGGGCAATGCCAAAGAAAATCTGGAAATGGGCCTTAGGCAATAGTGTCAGTGTGGAAATTAAATCGTCTAGAAGAGGTCAGCAAACGACAGGCCGACAGCCAAAGGGGCTGTTTTCATACAGTCCGAGAGCCAAAAGTGGGTTTTTGCATTTTAAAATGGTTGAACAAATCAAAAGAGGAATTCTGTTTCATGACATATGAAAATTATGTGAAATTCAAATTTCACTGCCTGTAAAGTTTTATGGGGACACAGCCATGCCCGTTTGTTTGTGGATTGCCTAAGGTGGCTTTTATGCTACAATGGCAGGGTTGAATCATGGCAGCAAAGACCGTACGGCCCACAAATTCTAAAATATTTACCATCTGGCCGTTTACAGAAAATGTTTACTGACCCTGGGCTGAAGTGACAACGGTGGAACCTAAAACTCACATGCGTTTGTGTTTGTCTAGGGGCTGGTGGTGCGTACGTTAGCCCCTCTCGGCCGCAGAACTAGGGTTAGTCCAGATATTCCCGAGTCAGGTGTGGCTGTGGCGCTGCGTGGTCGTTGCCGTACCAGGGCGTTCTCTAGGCGGCCTTTCTGAGCATCCTTGCAGAACACATCGATTATTTTAAGTCCTCCAAACACAGCAGCAAAATTCTTGCTTGTGAAGTACCCTTCTTGCCTTAAAGGTGTGTTGAAACCTGACTTCTGCTCACAAGCCTCAGTTCTGCTGCCTAAAATAATACTCCAGGATGCTGGCAAGGGAATAGTACACTTCCTGCGAGTGTTCAGTTCACATTCTCCCAAAAATAACACCGAGACTGTTAACACCTGCGCTTTCCAACGTTTCCTCGCTCACAACAGGGAGATTAATGGGTTCCATTCAGAACGGACCTTTCTGACCTCATCTATGAAGTCGGGGAACTCAGGAAATTGCTTGCTAATCCAAATCTTGATAGTCCCAAGATCCTGACATTCTTCCTGCCCCTCCCCCTTTGCAGCCTGAAAATCCCCCCATCTGAACTGAGTTACAGCTTTGAAAGTTTTGATAAGATACCGGGCAGATTATTCCCCATGGATACATTCTAATATTTATTGAATGGGGAGATCACAGATGATGTGGTTCGACAGGATGAAAAGTGGCCCTATTAACCCCAAAGAGCTGGTCCATTAACAGAGAGAAGAAAACAGGAGCAAGCGGGAAAAAGGAAGAAGGTTGCAGTCTGTAAGACTTCATCTCTTTGTCACGTCGCGAACATCTCAAGGAAAGGTAGAAACCGTGCATGGTGTTTGCACATGCGAGATGTCTTGGGGGACCAACAGGTTCCTAGTCAATGAAGGTTTGTTCAGACCCTTGGTCATGCGGTATAGCCAATCCTCTCAGTAACCTTCTACAGTAGGTATTTCAGCCTCATTTTACAGGTGAAGTAAAATAAGTTTACTCAGGGAGAGATGGGATTTGAACCCAGGTCTCTTGGCTTCCAGGCAAATAGACTATGAACTCCTCAAGGGAAGGGACCAGGTCTTATTTAGCTGTGCGTTCCCATTACAGAGCACAGCTCTGGCACACAATAGGTTCTCCTGAAATGCACATTGACAGTGAAATGGTCTGTGTTTTCCTGACCTCCCCACTCCCTGCCTGCAGTGATTTCTCCTTCCTCTCACCTGGGGGGATGTATGGTCTCTACAAGTCACCTGGAGCTTATAACATGCTTATCTTAAACGCTACTTAACTCATCTAGAGTACTTAAAATTTTTTCATTTCATATATGGTTAATATATTCAGGAGTTTAAAAGGGTTTATGGAGGAAAGAAATTCTCCTTCCAACTTCTGTCCCCAGAGTGGTAGTCATTAACGCTGTTCACTAAATAGGTTCCACTCTCTACCTTCTAGGCACCCAGAGATTTGCAGTTCCTGCTCCCCCTGTGGCTGAGGGGATCATGTGACAAGCGCTACCAGTGACTGTGAGCAGCAGTCACATATGTCCCTTGAAGGTTGGCACAGTTTATTGTCAGCTCAAGGAAGACCTCCAGACCTCCAGAGATCCTCCAGACCTCTTTACCCTCAGGTGTGGCAACCAGCAGGCTTGATTCTTGAGTGATATATGAGCAGAGAATGCCCATTATCCCATGAGCATTTGTATAGATGAAAAGTCAACCTCTGTTGTTTAAGCCACTTTGATTTTGGGGGTCGTTTGCTACTGTAGCATCACCTGGCGTCTCCTGACTAACCCACCCAGCCTCTTGGTTCCCCTTCTAGGAAGCCGCCACTCTTACCATTTTCTTGGGTATCCTTCCAGATGTAACAACAACCCACACAAGAAAATACAGTCACCTGGTACTTAACAGCAAGATATATTTTGAGAACTTCATTGTTAGGCAACTTCATCATTGTATGAACATCATAGAGGGTACTTACACAAACGTAGATTGTATGGCCTACGGCACACCTAGGCTACATGGTACAGCCTGCTTCTCCTAGGCCACAAACCTATACAGCATGCTACTATAATGAATGGTGTAGGCAATTGCAGAACAATAGTAAGTAATTTTCTATCTAAACATAACTAAACATGGAAAAGATAATGCATTGCACTACAAGGATAGGAATTTTTTAGCTCCTTTATAATTTTTTAGCTCCATTATAAACTTATGGGATCGCTGTCATATATGTGGTCTTTTTTTTTTTTTTTTTTTTTTTTTTGAGACAGTCTCACTCTGTCGCCCAGGCTGGAGTGCAGTGGCATGATCTCAGCTCACTGCAAGCTCTGCCTCCCGGGTTGACGCCATTCTCCCGCCTCAGCCTCCCAAGTAGCTGGGACTACAGATGACCACCACCACGTCCAGCTAATTTTTTGTATTTTTTAGTAGAGACAGGGTTTCACCATGTTAGCCAGGATGGTCTGGATTTCCTGACCTCATGATCCGCCCGCCTCGGCCCCCCAGAGTGCTGGGATTACAGGTGTGAGCCACCGTGCCCAGCCATATGTGGTCTGCTTTTATGTGGTGCATTACTGCATATAATATACATTACCTACTATTCTCTGTTTTGCTGTTTTTTTTTCACTTAATATATCTTGGACATACCTCCACATCAATGTATAAATATCTGCCTCATTTTTTGACAGTTGAATTATATTCCACTCAACGTATGCATCATCAATTATTTAAACAGCACCCAGTTGTCAGGCCTTCAGTTTTCACATTTTTGCTATTACAAATCGTGCTGCAATGAATAACCTTGTAAGTAGGTTGATATGATTTGGATCTGTGTCCCCACCCAAATCTCATGTCGAATTGTAATCCCCAGTGTTGGGGGTGGGGCCTAGTGGGAGGTGACTGGATCATGGGGTGGTGTCTCATGGTTTAATACCATCCCCCTTAGTGCTATCATCATGATCATGAGTGAATTCTCATGACATCTGGTTGTTAAAAAGTATGTGGCACCTCCCCTCTCTCTTCCTCCTACTCTGGCCATGTGATTTGCCTGCTTCCCTTCACCTTCTGCCATGATTGCAAGTTTCCTGAGGCCTCTCCAGAAGCAGAAGGCGCTATGCTTCCAGTACATCCTGCAGAACTGTAAGCCAATTAAACCTCTTTTCTTTATAAATTACCCAGTCTCAAGTATGTTTTTTTAATAGCACTGCAAGAATGGACTAATACATATGTGATTTTGGACTCCTGAAATTCTATCTTTAGGGCAAATTAAGTACTTTATCTTTTTAATTTGTAAAATGAGAATAATTGTGATAACCTACCTGGACAGGGTTGTTGTGCGGATTAACGGCTTAGTACAGGTAAAATCCTCTAGCATGTAGTAAATGCCTATAAATAAATAATAAATATTTATACTATATAAAGAAATAAATATTATTTTACAATTAACTTTGGGGTAAGTTAGTGATATTAAAATAGGCAAAACAAAATTCCCAAACAAAATCACATTTAGTGAAGAAAGGGGCAGAAAAAGTTAGTGTCATGTTATTATTAATATATATGTTATTGTCAAATTTGCCATATACAGAAGAATTTCCTTCATCTATTCATCCACTTCACCATTCTTTCATCTGACAGACTTTAGTTTTTGAGAACCTACTGTGTGTTATGCTAGAAACAGGAAGTACTAATGTGAATCATACAGAAAAGCATGTGTTATTATTATCTCCACTTTACCCAAAGGTCAGAAATAAAAATAATGTTATTTTGTGTCTCACCCAAGAGTTTCTTTAATGTTGCTACTTTTTGTAAAGTAGATCAAAATTTCAAGATGATAGTTAATCTTTAAGGGGAAGTCTCATGAGTTTGCTACCTTGAGGAACTTTAAGAAATAGGTTTTTAAAAATTTTCCAAATGAGGTTGACTTGTTGGCTTCCATTAAGCTTATGTGGTGATAAGGAGAGTCACTTTTCCCACAGAGTGAGTGTCCCAGCTCCCAATTCTGCTCTTCCATTCTTCCTGCAGTTTTGGAGGGCCAGGCACTGATGCTTTCTAGAATTCCCAGAAAAAGAATTACAGCAAACTGTTCCTGCAGTAAGCTTATTATGTCTTATGTCTCAGTATTACAAAATATATTGTGGTTATTTGCTGATATTAGGCAAATGTTGATTGATTTTTATCTCAGGTCTCCTGAAGAGAAATGTTTGGACTGGATGGGTGGTCAGACTGCTTGAGATCTCCATCACCACTGCTCACACTGACACATTATCATCACCACCATAAGTATCATCATAATCATCACCACCATTATCACTGCCAATCATCATCATCGCCACCATCACCATCGTCATCATCACCATCAGCATCAGCACCATCATCATCACCATCACCATTATCATCACAACCATCACCATCATCATCATCACCATCAGCACCATCATCATCACCATCACTATCATCACAATCACCATCACCAGCATCATCACCATCATTATCACCATCATCATCACCATCACCACCACCACCATCATCACCATCACCATCACCACCACCACCATCATCACCATCACCATCACCACCATCATCATCATCACCATCACCATCACCACCACCACCATCATCATCACCATCACCATCACCACCATCATCACCATCATCATCACCATCACCACCACCACCATCACCATCACCACCATCATCACCATCACCACCACCACCATCATCATCACCATCACCACCACCACCATCACCATCACCACCATCATCACCATCACCACCACCACCACCCCCATCATCATCACCATCACCATCACCACCATCATCATCATCACCATCACCATCACCAGCACCACCATCATCATCACCATCACCATCACCACCATCATCACCATCACCATCACCACCACCACCATCATCATCACCATCACCACAACCACCATCATCATCATCACCATCATCACTACCATCATCATCACCATCACCATTATTATCACCATCATCACTACCATTATCACCACCATCATCATCATCACCATCATCACTAACATTATCACCATCACCATTGTCATCATCACAGCTACCATTTATTTTGCACCTACTATATTCTAGATACTGTACATACTGTATTTCCCTTAATTTTCACAACAACTCTAAGAACTGAAGTCAGTTATTTTCATTTTACAAAGAATGAAAACAATACTCAGAGAATTTAATAAACTTGCCCAAGGGAAAACAAGCAGTGAGTGGCAGGTCCAAGAATCTAAGTCCAGGACAACGTGATACCAAGCCCAGCGCTCTTTATGCTACACTTTGCTGTTTCTTTAAGAATCAACTCTAAGATTAAAGCACATGCAGTATGACTGAGGAGGACAATAGGATGATGATGATGTGATGATGAAAGCTACCAAGTACTGACGATGGTGGTGGTAGTGGTGGTGAAGATGATGAGTGTTGCTAGACACCACTCCAAGTGCACTACATATACTAACTCATATTAATTTTCATAAATATAATCATTATATCCAGTTTTCCAAAGAGAAAACTGAGGCTCAGAGAGAGTAAGCTACTCAATGGCAGCAAAGCCTGCCAACTCTGGGACTCATGAGGTTAGGTGACCTTGTAACGTTCTGTCTCCGTCATAAGCAGCACGATGGGAACTTGTTGTGAGAATTATAAAAACTCCCCCAACAAAATCTCCTGCATGGTATTTGTTTAGTGAAATCCTTATTATTACTGCGGTTACTAATATTATTGGTGCTGGTTTTGCTACTATTATCATAATCATCATTATTGAGCTTCTACCCATTCTGTAAATAAATTGTGAGAGGTTAATTGAAGTTCTTAGGAAGGACCAAATTTGGTCAATAGAAGACTTAAAATGCTGCGCCACTCTCTGTGTCTTCCAGTTTTTTTTACACAGAGTGTCTTAAAGGGTAGTGTCAGTATTACTTGGTCTTTGTGGGACATTTGTGTGTGCTGAGTATCCTGAGTGCGTATTTTAACTGATCCCCAGAAGCACAGAAACGGAAGAAAGTTTAGCAGTGACCCACATTCTGTATGTTTGATCTTGCCAGGGTGAAAACCAGGGCACAGCAGAGCCTATGATCTCTGCCTCTTCAAAAACCACTGTGCATAGAGAAAAATAAAACACCTACTGGGTGCCCAGGTCTTGCCCAAAAGTGAAAGACAATTCCTTCATTCTCAAAGAGCTGATTATCTGATTATGTTGACTACTCCAAGCCAAAATGGATGAGACTATGTTTTTTTTTTAAAATTTTAACAGTCTTTTAAATATAATTACAGGCTAAAAAAATGAGAAAGACCATGGTTTAACAGTTTGTTTGGCTTTGAAAATTGAGTGAGGATGCAGACAGAAGTAGAAACATATTTAATGTCCCCACCCTCCCTGATGGAGGTTTCCTGCCAAATGGGAAATATGAAAAGGGGCAGCAGCCTCCACGTGGTGCACCTCTTGGACTCAGGTCAGGGGCTCCCCGTGTACTGAGTCCCCATGCTGTGCCTGGCTGCATGGGTGGACACCGTTCCAGTGCTCAAGGAGCTGTCTGCTTGGAGGGGCGAGGCAGGTGAGCACACGTGATCACAGTCTACCTGCAACAGGTGCTGGGAGGAGCCAGGCAAGGCTGCAAGACAGCAAGGAGCATGCTCAGCACCTGCTGGGCCTAGGCTTGATTTGGCGATGAGGCAGAGATGGGTCTGGGACATCTCCCACGTCTTAGGAGGTGACTAGAGAAAGTCACTGCTGCACTGCCCAGCCTCACTGTATCCATAATTCATAGTAACTGTGAGGCTTGACCAGCAGAGCTCTACACCCATTCCAGCCCTTTCCAGTCAGCTTCCTACTGTGAGGAGGGAAAAGCTAAAACCCGCACTTCCCAGGCTCCCTGGCTGTAGATCTCAGATGCTGGCAGACTCCCACTGATGCAATTTAGAAAAAGAAAGTGAGGCCGAGACCATATTCTGCCTCTTGGTTGTTCCTGCAGAAAAGCATGGTCTGTGACCCTGTCCCTGCCTCTGATGGTGCAAAAAGGCAGTTGTGACAGCAGCTTCTCATTCCTGTGTCCCGACCCCTGAGTAGCAGCTATGTGCTACTATGAGTAGCAGACATGTGCCTGGGAACTCAATAGCTCCCATGTCCACCCTCCAACGTCTGGCCCTCTGGACAGGGGCAACGGCAGCAGCTTCCCGGTGAATCGGTTCTGGATTCCAGCCTAGTGCTTATTCCTCTAGACTTGCAAAGCCTAATTTCTTATACCAAATTTCTTTCTGCTTAAAGTAGCGAGTGTGACTTCTCTTTTTTAAACAACTTTATTTATTGAGATATAATTAGCATACAATACAATTCATCCATTTAAAGTATACAACGTAGTAGATTTTAGTATATTCACAGAGGTGTGCAACCATCACCACAGTCAATTTTAGAATGCTTTCATCACCTTCAAAAGAAACCCTTTTGTCATCACTTTCTTTACCCGCTTCCCCTGGTCCTGGTCACACACTAATCTACTTTCTGTCTCTATGGATTTTTCTATTCTGGACATTTCATCTAAATGGGCTCATACAACGTGTGGCCTTTTGTGTCTGGCCTCTTTCACTCAGCGTCATGTCTTCAAGGTTCATTGATGGTGTAGCGTGGATCAGCACTTCATTTGTATGGCCAATTATAATAATATTCCATGGTATGGATGGACTACGCTTCATTTATCCATCATCAGTTGATGGACATTTGGGTTGTTTCCACCTCTTGGCTACTATGAATAACACCACTTGGATTGTTTGTGTACAAGTGTTTGTTGGATGTATGTTTCAATTTTCTTGGGTGTGTACTTGGGAGTGGGATTGCTGGGTCTTATGCTATCTCTCAGTTTAATTGTTTGAGGACTTCCCAGATGGTTTTCCAGCAGCTGTACCATTTTACATTCCCACCAGCAGTGTAGGAAGGTTCCGATTCCCCCACATCCTCCCCAAAACTTGTGATTATCAGACTTTTTAAAGCAACTTCTCTTTCCTGCCCTGCACCCTGAGTAAAACAGCATCTAATTGAGGATAGAGGTTTTTACTTGATAAGCCTTCTCCTCAATGTAGTAGCCCCACCGGTCTCCATTTCTATTAATATAAGGTGGGGGTGGTTTGCAAAGTATCTTCAGGCAGTGACTCCTTTCTTCCACCCAGTGTCTCCGAGCTGGTGGGGAGGTGCTCTTGTCCTCATTGCCTTGGCAGGACATGGAGGCTTATGTAGGTTCAGTGAGGGACCTGAGTCCCCCAGCAGGACAAGAAACCCAGTTTTTCTGACCCCAGTCTCCTCTCTGCTGGATCCCCACGGAGCCCGTTTGCAGCATTTCATCCAGTATACCAACTAGGTCTACCAGTTCTCTGTAATTATTCAGAGGAAATAACCCCCACCTAAGGCAGCCATTTGAACACACTGGCTTAGTTGAAGTTTTGAAATCGTTCTGAATGATTTGGTTGAGAAAGCTGAGCTGAGTTTCTCTGTAGTGATTTCCAGCAGCCAGGAAAAAGGTCATGCCACTGAGACCTACGAGCAGCGTCTATTGTTTAGTGTCTCGGGGCCCCAGCTCGTCACAGGAAATCCACAGCAAGGTGAAGGCTGTGCTTGCCAAGTCTTTGAAAGCAGTTCCTCCTGCCAGAAAAGCTCCTTATAGAAGCCACCGTCCACCCAGACTTCCCGAGAACTTTCTGCAGTACAAAAGAAATAAATTTTTTTTTGAACCAAACATGGCCCTGAGGTTGATATTTCACAGTGGAGGTGAAGACTCAAGTGATGCTCTGACTTTGAAAACAAACTGAGTAAACTGGAAATCACTCAAACATCTAGCCAAAGACCTTTGGTTAATAAAATACGGCCCGTTGATTAGAGGCACTCCAAACATCTATTGAAAAATCCTATTTTAGAAGAGTGATTGATGGGCTGGAAAAACACTTATGACATATTAGTGAGTGAGACAAGCAGATTACCATAGAGCAGTGGTTCTCAACTGAGGTGACTTCACCAACTGGGTGAAATGCCATGAAGGCACTTGGCAATGACTGGAGACACTTCAGCTTATAATTTGGGTGTGCTACTGGCAGGTAGGGGCAGAAGGAAGCTGCCAGATAGCCTACAGTGCATGGGAGAGCCCCTCATATCAGTATTTTTTTTTTTACTCATTTATTTTTTGAGATGGAGTCTCGCTCTGTCACCCAGGCTGGAGTGCAGTGGTGCGATCTCTACTCACTGCAAGCTCCGCCTCCTGGGTTCACACCATTCTCCTGCCTCAGCCTCACAAGTAGCTGGGACTACAGGCACCTGCCACCATGCCCGGCTAATTTTTTGTATATTTAGTAGAGACAGGGTTTCACCATGTTAGCCAGGAGGGTCTTGATCTCCTGACCTTGTGATCC
The DNA here is from genome assembly GCF_000001405.40 of Homo sapiens. Classification (NCBI taxonomy): domain Eukaryota; kingdom Metazoa; phylum Chordata; class Mammalia; order Primates; family Hominidae; genus Homo; species Homo sapiens. Next base: position 86,414,711 of record NC_000016.10, on the reverse strand, counting down.
ACCTGCCTCAGCCTCCCAAAGTGCTGGGATTACAGGTGTGAGCCACCATGACCGGCCCTTTTTTTTTTGAGACAGAGTTTCACACTTGTTGCCCAGGCTGGAGTGCAATGGCACAGTATTGGCTCACTGCAACCATTACCTCCCAGGTTCAAGCGATCCTCCTGCCTCAGCCTCCCAAGTAGCTGGGATTACAGGTGCCTGCCACCACACCCAGCTGATTTTTGTATTTTTAGTAGAGATGGGGTTTCACCATGTTGGCCAAGATGGTCTGGAACTCCTGACCTCAGTTAATCCACCCACCTTGGCCTCCCAAAGTTGCTGAGATTACAGGTGTGAGCCACCATGCCTGGTCTCACATAAGTGATTATTTAGACCAAACTCCAATAGTGCCAAAGTAGAGAAACTCTGCTATATAATATAAATTATACACCTCCCCCTTTTTATTTTTTTGAGACAGGTCTTACTCTGTTGCCCAAGTTAGAGTGCAGTGACGTAATCACAGCTTACTATAGCCTCAAACTCTCAGCTCAGCCTCCAGAGTAGTTGGACTACAGGCATGCACCACCGCACCAAGATAATTTTTTGATTTTTCTGCAGAGATGGGGTCTCACTATGTTGCTGAGGCTGATCTCAAACTCCTGGGCTCAAGCAACCTTCCCGCCTTGGCCTCCCAAAGTGCTAGAATTACAGGCATGAGCCACTGTGCCTGACCTCATTTTGTTCAATGAAAATATTATACCTTATACATCATTAGAAGAATGTACACCAAAATAAACAGTTGTTGTCTTCTTGGATAAGGGAAATGGTAAATATGTGAATTTTTGGACTCTGCTGTAGTTTCCAGCCTGTTCAAACAAACAAACAAAATCCATGTATTTCTTTGCAATGAGTTAAAAAAGCAAAATGAAATTAAACAATGATAACAACAAAAACAGGAAGACTCCTGCGGACGAAGAGTTGTGTCTCCTCCTTCTCCTTTCTCAAGCTCAATCTGGCTGCTTCCAATCAGCCCGTGGTTTGTGCCCATCTTACAATCTCTCTGTGCCTCAGTGTCTCCGTCTGTAAAGCTGATTTCTCGTATTTGTATTTTGATTCTTCCCTCTTCTGATTCAATTCAGCAAACATCAATTATGCCTTTGAAATGCAGAAGACATACTCTAGGGCTCAGAGCTCTAGAGATGAAAGAGATCAATGCTCAGCCCTGTCCACAACCTGGAGAAGGGCTGCCATACGCACAGGAGAGCTGTGAGCGAGGGGTGAGCATGCCACATCTGTAAACTCAGTCTGAAAAGAGCTCATAATCACTGAGGATTGTTAGTGAGGATTAATGAACTAATCTAGGTAAACTTCTGCCACATAGTAGGCTAGCAACAAGTGGTATCTTATTTCTATTAAAGGTAATTGTAGAAAATTCCAAGATGGTTTTTATTTTTATCACTGTTAGTTTATGTACTCATCCATTCATTTGTTCAACAAATATTAATTTGAATGACTACTGTCAGATTAGCAGTGAGAAAAACTATATTTCTTCCTGTATTAGTTATCTGTTACTGTGTAATAAATTACTCCAAACTTAATGGCTTAAAACAGCAAACATTTATTATCTCATAGTTTCTGAAGGGCAGAAACTCAGAGCAGGGTGGCTCTGGCTCTGGGCATCTCATGAGGTTGCACTGCGAGTGTCAGCAGGAGCCGTAGTCTCATCTGAAGTCTTGACTGGGGCTTCAGGAATCACTCTGCAGGTGGTTCCTTCACAGAGCTGTGGGCTGGAGGCCTCAGTTCCTTGCTGCAATGGCCTCTCCATAGGGCTGCTTGAGTGTCCTCACAACATGGCAGCTGGATTCCCCTGAGTATGTGATCCAAGGTCATACATCAAGGTCACACAGTCACTTCTGTTGTTAGAAGTGAGTCACTAAGTCTGGCTCAAGGGGAGGAGCTTCCATCTCTTAAAAGGAGGAGTGTCAAATAATTTGTGGAAATGTTTTAAAACCACTGTTGTCCTTAGATAGGTGACAGTCTGGCCAGCATTTTTAAAACAACAGAAAACTTTGAAAATGCAGACAATCACAAAGAAAACAAATCACAAATGCCCCTCAGAATCCTACCACCAAAGATAATATATTCATGTGTTGATTTTTGGCTTCAATTTCCCCCAGCTTTATTGAAGAATAGTTTACATCCAGTAAAATCCAGTCACGTTAGGAATGTTTTAAAACCACTGTTGTCCTTAGACCCGGAGGGCCTAAGGAACCAAGTTATGAGGAGCAGAGCCACAGCTGGAACCCAGGATGCCTGGCCCTAGAGCCTGAGCCCTTTGCTACTCTTTGACATCAGAGTGCCCTGGAGCAAACCCTAGATCCGCTGTCAGGGAGTATGCCCAGATCTCCTTGGGACTTTTAAAGTCTCCGGGTCCAAAACTAGGATTTAAGTACATGCTTAATGAGTCCTGCACTCCATGGAACTCACCTCAAGAATTCTTGGAAATGCGTGCGATTTGCTGTCTTCTTTCCAAGCTATAAAAGTTCAGCTAATGGAAAGGGTGGATTCAAAGAATTGAAAAAAGCCCTGCAAATCCAGAGAAACTGACCAGCGTTGCTCTCTCGCCTTCCTGATGGAGGTTCCTGGAGTTTGTTACATGTCACCTGGGTGTCAAACAGCACACGTCAAACCCCAGGGGCCTTGGCCAAATGGAACAGTCCGGGAATGGAGTCAAGGAAGAGAAGGAAAGGTGCAAAAGTAGAAGACATCTGGTGCTGGAGTGCAAATCAGTCTGAATCAAAGGTCAGGAATCAGAGCAATTGACTGAGAACGATTCAAATGCCAGGGTCTCTGCTAAGCACTTAATATGATTTTCCCTTAATCTTTACACAAACTGAATTAAGAAGGAAATACCATTCCTATGTCCTCATGACATGGAGGGAGAAGAAACTGAGGCTCAGAGCAGCTGAGCAGCTCATGCAAGGTCATGTAGCTCATACGTCAGTCAGGATTGCCTAAGTTCTGCTGAGTAACAAACAGCTCCCAATCTCAATGGCTTGAAGGGACAAAGGTTTAATTACGCTCATGCTCTATGTTCACTGCAGGTTGTCAGGGACATTCAGACCACTCAGAGACCTGTGCTGACAAAGTAGGTGCCATATTGAACTCTGCTGGTTACTGGGGTGAAAAGAACAAGAGAACTCTTGAGGGTCTCACGCCAGAAATTGTCTGCCCAAAAAGTGTCACGCTCACAACTCTTTGGCCAGAATTAGTTTTGTGAACCATGTGCTCTGAAACTTGGAAAGGAACATGTGTATGGAGTAGGAGACTGGATAGAGAAATGAAGTGGCACCATTGTTTGCCACTGTTAGTGAAAAGGTGGAACCCAAATTTGCACCCATCTCTGTTTGACTCCAGGTCGCTTTGTGCCTTCTGAAAACATGGGCTCCCAGAAGCCACCTTTGTATATTTCCACGGGAACCCCTTTGCTGCCTTCTGCTCAAATTAACCCATGCTTCTTTAAGGGAAATGAATACATCTATGAGGACAGGTGGGTATAAGGTTGTCATTATATCAAGATAATAAGTGCACAGCAAACTCCCTCCCAAGATGAAAACAAAATTTCTGGAGATGAGAAGAGCAATTCTTCAAGGAGCAGATTTCTGATACGCTCCATGTATTACCAAGTCCAAGCAAAGCTTCTGTAATAAAGAAACCCACTGCAGTAGCCCACACACAGTGGAGGTTTGTTTTTCTTAGTAGATGGGCAGTTCAGTCCAGACCGGCTAGACAGCTGTGCTCCACAAGGTCATGCAGGGATCTAGCTTCCTCCAGTCATCCCCTTGCTCTGTCGTCTCCTAGGGTGATATTCTTGTTCACATGATTGAAGTTCATCCATCAGAACCATGTCTTCACCCAGGGCAGGGAAAGGAGGGGTGAGAGCAAGCAATTTCTTAAGAAGTGAGGGTAAATTGCACATCTCCCTTAGTGAGAACTTGGTCACGTGACCACATCCAGCTAAAAAGGAGGCAGAGAAATAGAGTCTCTCCCTTGGTGTGTCTTACTAAAACCTAGGGGAAGGACTTGCGTTACTAAAAGGGCAAAGGAGGAACCCTGCCACCTACTCACCATCTCCACTCGATCAACCTCTTTGGCTGATTTCTCACCAGCCTGGGTTTCCATTCCCAGTTTGCCGCCTGGTGAGACCTCTCCCAGCCCTCTGTGCTGCACTCTGTAAGACTCTAGGAACATCCCAGTGGAAGATCCTAATCCCATCCCATCCCAATGTGCTAAATTCCTGAACACACAACATGACTCCATAGTTCTTTACAGATTAGTTTCTATTCACATGATTGATTACATGGGCAGGGAGAGGAATGGAAGCCAGTAACCCTGGGGACCAAATTCCACCATGGTTGATGAATAAACCTCCTTTTCAAGTTCAGCCCCTGGAGGAGCTGATGTATAGGAATGCAAATTTGTCCTAAGCCAGTTATTATCTCCTCCACAGCCCTTCCAACATCCCGCTGCCAAATTAAACACACCCTTCCACTTGGTGAATGCGCACCCAGACATTCAAGGGTGCAAAAATAGAAGAGAATCTAACCAAGGCCTGCTCTCACAGAACAGGCTCAGCCTCTCCCAGGCAGCCAAGAGCGTGTGGGCTAAGGAAGAAGCCCGGGGCCGTGTGAAATATTATTCATGGGTTCAACTTCTGACAAGCCTTGGGAACATACCTTGGGGACTGGGGGATAAATGGCTGCTCAGAAAGGTTCCCACCCCCTCTGTATAAATGTGATTTCACACTCTGCTTAAAATGCCCCAGGAACTGGAAATTAAAAATGGGCGCTCAGATGGGCTCCCCCAGTGAACAGCTCCTTGTGCCTTGCAGTTGGGCCACTTGGACAAATTCCTTTTCTTGTCCTTTCAAGAGCTTATCTGACCAGATTGGTCTCCCAGAACTTTGAGCTGAGCACAGTTTCTTCTGGCTGAATGGCCTGTTCACTGGCTGGCTGTGTTCCCCACCTTTGCTTATGCAGTGCTCCACTGCTCCTATCTACTTAAACCCTTCTCTGCTGCTTGAGCCCGGCTCAAACACTGCCTCCTCCAGGAAGCCCTCTGAGACCACCCATTGAGCCCCATTCTCCTCTCTTGTTGATGTCTCATATGGTCCTTGGTGTCCTGTTCCAAAATTCTGGACATGTTCCAGCCAGACTGTGTGATGAATGCTCTCTGAACACTTTTGGGGAAGGAGGCCTGTCACCAGGATCCAGGGCAGGGACTTGTAGTGAGGGGGACATGCTCACAGCCCCACTTTGGAAGAGGGGGGAGGGGGTGTATGACCTGCTGTGAGGATGACACGTGGCACTGAATGCAGACCTCCAGGCACAGCCCACCCAGAGTCGATGCTTCTGCACTCGAGCTTAGTCCCCGACACTGAGCAGCCCCTCCTCACACATCTGCTGTGTGGATGGGAACAGGGGGCCCCATGTTCAAGGGGTGATGACAGACTCTGGCTGCCACCCAGAAGCCACTACCAGGCTCCTTCTGGAGCATTCCTGGGCATGGCAAAGCCCAGGCTGTTCCTGGAACAAGTAAGATAGAACCCTGACATCCGCTGGGCACAGGCCTGGAGCCTGGGGAGTCTGCATCTGGAAATAGAACCATTTCTAAGACCCACGGCTCTAGGGAGGTACAGGGGAGGAGAGAGGAGGCAGCAGGCCCTGGCTGCTCAGCACGAGTGAGGCTGTGTGGTCAGGGCCAGTCACCTAAGCTCTCTAGGTTTCTTTGTCTTTGTTGCATTCTCCTCCAGGCAGGCCCTGAGATGAAGATTGGAGTGGAGAGTGCAGCTGGGAGGCAGTCACAGGAAGCTCCAGCAGGGAGTAGGGAGGTGAGGCTGGAGGGGAGGAAGCCAGCACAGGGTAGATTACTGAACCAGTTCCCAGCATAGGTCACTGGAGCTCAAACTCACCGGGAAAACTCTAAAAGCAGAAGGCGAACATTCACCTCCCAGGTATCCAGAGCAGAGAGGGAGCTGGAGTATTGACACTCATTCCATCAGTCATCGGTGGGGATGTTTCTGCAGGATGAGTATTCCCCGGCACCTCTGGCCTGCCTGGTGGGCATTATACCCAGCTCAAGGGCCTTGACTCTTGTCAAGGCAGGCAGGTGCTGGCCCCTGAAGCAGGTCACCGGCTCGGAGGGGTAAGGGTGAGGGGATGGGGGGAGCACCAGGAACATCTGCCACCAAAAGGGTAAAAGAGGATCCGTTTCATAGGATCCCTGCAGGAAAAAAAATGAGATAATATGTGCTGAGTGTTACAAGATACTGGACATGGGGAAAATGCAATAAATGGCTGTTCCTAATTTCGAGAGATGGAGGCACATCAGGCAGATGACCTTCCCCTACTTGTGCCAAATGCCTTGCATGGGCTCCTCCAGGCCCACCCCCCACCTGCTTGCACCTGCTCTCAGTCATGGGCAGCTCACTTCTGTGGAGGCAGTAACAGGCCTCCCTGGCCTCTGGTCTCCCATGGGGTTTGGCCAACGGGAGCACAGGCAGGCTACTGAAAGGCAGGAGGAGAGGGTGGGGGCGTTTGTTCACCAAGGCCCTCCCTGGTGGGTCGCTGGGGTTTGACTGCATCCTTCTACAAAGGGCTCCTGCCGGGTGACCCACCCCAAACGCATTCTTGGGTTCCAGTGGCCCTGTCCCCCACCCTGCAGAGCTGGGCACCCCACCTTCCCTGCAGTTTCCCTGCCACACTTTTCATACAAGGGTCTCCGTGTATGAAGCTCCCCTCTGCTGTCTCCTGATGGACCATTAGCTCACCTCTGCCTGCAGTGACCACCTGTCATCCTGTTTGGCCACCTAGCACCCCGTGTTTCAGGAATCTCCTTCCTTTTGTGTTATGATGGGAGAAGGCAATCGCTATAGAAGTGAAAATCCCAGGTAGCTGCTGTCCTGACCTCCCTGGCAGCTGAGAGGTGGACACACAGTCTGGACACTCTGGGCAGACACACCCATGCTGGACTTTAGGTTTAATGCTCCCAAGATGCAGGGGCCATTGCTGGCTCTCCCCGACAGGGTGGCTGGGGAGGTAGGCACTGGACGTGCTGCCCAGGCCCACCTAGAGGAAGAATTTACTCCCTCAGGTGCTGAGAGCACACCCAGCAGACATGGTGTGGTTTTATGATTTCTGTGTGCACAGCCTCTGAGTGTGGTTCTCCAGGCCCCTCAGCAGTGATAAGCTACAGTGTTATCTGTTGATAAATTCATTTTCTCTTTTTATCAGCTAGAGATGGCTTATGTTGTGTTCAGCTAATAACTCCTACTGATGGCTAGTGCCTAATAGTTAAATTCTCATGTGCTAATGCAGGGGTGTCCAGTGTTTTGGCTTCCCGGTCCACATTGGAAGAAGAGGAATTGTCTTGGGCCACACATAAAATACAGTAACACTGACAATAATAGCAGATAAGCTAAAAAGAAATCACACAAAAAAATCTCAAAATGTTTTAACAAAGTTTATGAATTTGTGTTGGGCTGCATTCAAAGCTGTCTTGCCACAGATTGCAAAAGGCTTGTTAATAGAACTGCAGCAGGATTTTCCCAAAAGCCCATGAAAAGGTTGCAGGGGAAATTGACAACCCTCTCCCAATAAAAATGGGATGAAGTTTGCATATTAGGAAAAGGTAAATTATGCACATAATTTCTGGATAGCGTTCACAGCTTCTAATCAGATTCTCAGGGCTTTTGTTTTGTTGGGTGTTTGAGACAGGTTTTGGCTCTGTCACCCAGGCTTGAATGCAGTGGCACCATCTCCGCACACTGCAACCCCCGCCTCCCTACTCAAGGGATCCTCCCACTTCAGCTTCCCAAGTAGCTGGGACAACAGGTGCTTGCCATTGCACCCTGATAATTTTAGTCCTTTTTCTTTTTTTTTTTTTTTAAGAGATGGGGTTTTACCGTGTTGCCCAGGCTGGTCTCAAATCCTGGGTTCAAGTGATCTATCTGCCTCGGCCTCCCAAAGTGCTGGGCTTACAGGCATGAGCCACTGCACCTGGCCCTCAAACGTTTTTGATTGCAGCTTAATGTCCCCACTCTCTTCCTATGCATTGTGTATGATGGATGGGAGGAGTCTGGCTTCCTGAGCTTGATGATCGCTGCATGAAATCTACCCTTAGGTGGCATTCGTAGCCTCTGGCTTATCAGATAGGGTTATGCTAGCTGCTAGAATAAATGAGTTCTCACATCTCAGTGGCTTATCTCAGTGGATCTGTGTCTCTTGCTCATGTAGCTATTCAGTGCAGGTATCTAGGAAGCCATTAGGCGACCCAGGCTCCTTCTACTTTGTGGTGCTGTCTCCCTCGTAGGACGTTGAAGTCCTCTGCAATCCGCGAGCAGATGAGGAAAGAGTGTTGTGAAGGCAGCACATGCCTCTTGCATCCTTACGTCTCAACACCCCTTCCACTTACATTCCACTGGTGAGGGCTGATCATGAGCAATCCCACCTACTTGCCTCTTGGGCCAGGAAGTGTAGTTCCTGGCTGGGCAGCCCTTTCCCTGCAGCAAAGCTGCTCCAGGCAGAAGTAAGCCAGTGTCGGTGCACAATGAGCTGGCTTTGGCGCGCTGGATCGGTGATAGCATAGCAAAAAAGCCCAAGGAAAGGGACCTCCTCCCACACAATGCCCCCCAGCACCAGATACTGTTTGTTGAGTACCGGCTCAGTAATGATCCGCTGAACAAAAAAAAAAAAAAAAAAAAAAAATGAAGGAATGAGGGAGTGCTTGCAGAAAGCCATGAACCTGTTAAGCCCAGGGCACATTTCCAGGTTGTTCTGGCTTTTCGGAAAGGGCTCAGTACGGTTCTCCAGTTGAAAGGCAAAAAGAATTGGCTGGACGAATATGCCATTTTTCTCGGAGACAGTGGAAGGAAGCATTTTGACCATTGTCCAGGATATCCGGAGCCGGGCGGATGGATTCCTGTCCCCAGCCAGGCCTCCTTCCCCCGACGGTGTGTGTTTACTTGGAAGGGATCTGTTCCTGCCGGAGGACAGGTGTCCCGCATGCAACCGACACAAGCATTGGAGACCACGGTTCTGCACAGGCTCGGCTGCCTGGAAATTGACGATTTTCTTATTTTTCTGCTGGGAACTGGGAGTTTCCCAGCAAAAGGTAACACAGCCTGTGGAATATTATTTCCTGAGAAGCACTGGATTTCCCCCCATATTAGTCATCGTAGAATGTATATTATTTTAACTCCCGGAGTTAGACTTGAATTTGAGAGTATTGAAGACAGAGTGGAAAAATGCTGGTAGGACCAGAAGGTTGACGACTCGGGAAGGGGCAGCTCTCTTTTCCTCTCTTAACCCCGATATGATGCCCCCTGAAGGCACACACAAGCTGTGTGCGGGTCCATGACATGTGACTTCTTGGAAGCGGGGTCCAAGTCGACCGCTGGTGTCTTGCAGACTGAATGGGAACGGAGTAGAGGGGAGGTGGCTATTAAACAGCACCTGGCTGAGAGCGGCACCCAGAAAGTGTGAGGTGGTCTCATTTAGTGACCACCTGTTCTGTGCCACGCACAGGCCATGCCCTGGGTTTAGGGAAGTGGACAGGACCTGGTTGTGGGCATAGTCAGGTGACTAAGATATCAATGGTAGGGGACACAGAAGGTTTACAAGCTCAGAGGAAGTGATGATACAGTCTTCATAGAAGGGCTGGATCCCCAGGAGGAGGGAGCTTTCCAGAGGGGAACAAGGTGCCCGGCATCAGGACCAGCGGGGGCAGGGCCCCAAGGCCAGGACGACAAGGGTGCTCCTGAGCCACACGGTCCTGCGCAGGCCGCCTTTGTCTCCCACCCCCAGCCCCCACCGCAGTCCTCCATGTCCAACCAAGTTGTTGGCTCTCTTGGTGGGAGGCCCCAGGCAGCCTCTCACAGCAATGCGGCAGGCTGGGAAAAGGCAGTGACCTTGAGCGCCCCTCCCCTTATCTGTGGGAGAAAGCCAGGAAGACCTGAGGGAAGGCGGAAGTCAGTTCGGGGGGGGGGCCCGGGGCTATCGGAGGTGACCCTGTGCAGGCTAGATGGGGACCAGCTGTTGGGATCGCCAAATGCAGCCTGACCGGGGTCCCCCTCCAGCCCTCTGAGCCCGCTTCCCATTGGAGGGACCCTGGAGACTAGATTAAAATAACTAAATAGGCCGGGCACGGTGGCTCACACCTGTAATCCTGCACTTTAGGAGGCCGAGGTGGGTGGATGACTTGAGGTCAGGAGTTCAACACCAGCCTGGCCAACATGGCAAAACCCAGTCTCTACTAAAAATACAACAATTAGCTGGGTATGGTGGCGTGCGCCTGTCATCCCAGCTTCTCGGGAGGCTGAGGCAGGAGAATCACTTGAACTCGGGAGGTGGAGGTTGCAGTGAGCGGAGATCATGCCACTGCACTCCAGCCTGGGTGACAGAACGAGACTCCCTCTCAAAATAAATAAATAATAAATATTTAAAAAACCCAAAACTAAAAAACTAAAAACTAAATAAATATTAATGGGGAAAAATACAGGTAGACGAACCACAAAAACCCAGGAAAAAATAATGATCCAGCACTGGCCGTTTAGGTCTCCTGACTCCTGCCTGCTCCACTGCAGACTCCGCTGGGGTTCCAGGCACAGCTTATGTGGCAGCCTCTATCCCGGCACCTTCCTTCCCTCCTTGTTTACCCTTGCCACTGCCTTCTTGGTCAGTCTATTACATTTTTTTTCCCTAGGGGGCACCTTTAGATACAACTTATTGCTTGTGGAGAACATACAATAGGCCAGTGTTAAGAGAGTTGCATATTGTAACCCTGATACGTTCCAGGTTGCGTGGGGCTCAGCCTCTGTATGAAACAGCTTTCCAGGAAGCACAGTGAGACCATTTGGATGTTTGTCTCCTCCAAGTCTCATGTTGGAAAGTGATTCCCGGTGTTGGAGGTAGGGACTGGTGGGAGGTGATTGGGGCATGGGGGCGGACTCCTCAAGAGTGGTGTCGCAGCATTCCCTTGGTGATAAGTGAATTCTTGCTCTGAGTTCATGGAAGATCTGGGTGTTTAAAAGTGTGTGGCACCTCCCCCTCACTCTCTGGCTCCAGCACTTTCCATGTGAGGTGCTGGCTCCCCTTTTGCCTTCCACCACCACTGGAAGCTTCCTGAGGCCTCAGCAGAAGCTGAGCAGATGTTGGTGCCATGCTTCCTGTGCAGCCTGCAGAAGCGTGAGCCAATTAAACCTCTTTTCTTTATAAACCACCCAGCCTCAGCCATTAATAGCAACACAAAACTGACTAATTCACACAGTCTGGCTGAAGTGATTAAGAAAAAAATCCTTTCATTTCAGGGGCCAGCAGATTGCTGTGTAAAGGAGAAGAGAGTAAATATTTTCAGTTTTGAAGGACCTAGGAGCTTTGTTACAACTACTCAGCCCTGCCGTTGTGACGCTGAAGCAGCTGTAGAGGACGCCTGTGCAAACAGCGTGGCTCATTCCAGTAGAACCATTTGGAAACGCGCACCTTGGGCTACAGGGGCAGTAGTTTGCCAATCACTGCTTTCTTTTCATCTTTGTAAGTTCATCACCTGGATGCCAATTCACTCTCAGTGGCTGCCCTTCTCAGCGTTGAGCAGTGGCTTCCAGCGCACATGCTGTCTTTTGTGGCTCTATTGTGTGGGTGGTGTCCTCTCAAAGTTTCTATCCTTTCTGGATATGTAATCTCACTTGGAAATAAAGTATCGGCAGATGTATTAGGTTGGTGCAAAACGAATTGTAGTTTTACCGTTACTTTCAATGGCAAAAACTGCAATTACTTTTGCAACAACTTAATAATTATTAAGAAGAGGTGATAGTGGAGTATGTTGACCCTTCACCCAGGATGACTGGTGATACTGGGGTATGTTGACCCTTCACCCAGGATGACTGGCACTCTCATGAAAAGAGAAGAAACACAGACAGACATGGGGGATGGCTGAGTGAGGACCGAGGTGGGGACTGAAATGATGCAGTCACAAGTCAGGGAACGTCAAGGATTGCCAGCACCAGAAGCTAAATGAAGGGCGTGGAACGGATCCTCCCCTGGAGCCTTCAGAGAGAGCAGAGCTCCGCTGACTCGTTGTTCTTAGACTTCTGGACTCCAGAACCGCGAGACAAGGCATCTCTGTTGTTTCAGCCTCCACTGTGTGGTGCTTTGATAGAGCAGCCCCAGGAAACGCACACAGTCACTAAGCCCTGTTGCCTTGGGGTCTGGTGGTTCTGTACTGTGGCCCACGCTAGCCCAGCCTCCAGCGTGGACACTCAGCAGCTGAGCCCCCAGAGCTGAAGCACTGAAGGCCCTGCAGGTGGCTACGGAGACAGGAAGAGGCTGAAATGGCAGCCCTGAGGTCCAACAGAAGCAGCTTCTGAACCCTGCAATATTTGCAGGCTCCCGTTTCCTGAATGCTCGGGAGACCTTCCTGTCATGCCAGAAGGGAGGCTTTGTCAGAACTGAACAGACTAGCCAAGATGGACCATAAGCCAAGGCTCTTGATCCCCTCTGCACCATTTGGGCATGACTTGGCTCAGCATGGGGACCCAAGGATTGGGCCCTTCAGCCTGTTCTGGTTGAAGGTTTTCACAGGGTTGATCATTACATGGAAAAGGGGGAAAGAAAATAGGAAAGAAAGAAGATAGGAGGGAGATATGGGTGCTTCAGGAGAAAGAGACAGAGTTGACTGGGGGAGAGAAATGGGACACAAAGAGGCAGGAGAGCAACAGAGAGAGAGAGAGAGAGAGAGAGAGAGAGAGAGAAGGGGGGAGAGAAAGGGAGGCAGTTGAGAGAGAGTAGGGAGCAGGAATAATAAGGAAAGAGAAGACAGGGAACCAGAGAGAGAGAATCTGGGACAGACAGGCAGACACCCAGACAAGTTACAGGTATTGATAAGGAGACAGGGTGAAGCAGAAAGACAGAAACAGAAAGGGTGCAAGATAGGGAAGGGTGGGGACAGTGTGAAGTGGAGAGAGAGAAAAACACATGAAAAGAGGGAGACAAGAGAGAGGAAAGGAGACAGAGACCAAGGCAGAGAGAAGGACAGAGAGTGCGAGAGAACGAGCCAGCGGATGCTAGGGAAGCATGAAGCGTGCCCCCATGCAGGTTGGCTGTGCTTCTCTCTGTTAACATCCTTTTCCACAAAGACCCTTGTCATGCCACATATCACACCCATGGCAGAAAGTGCCTTCAACCAGCCCCTGAGAGGGAAGTGGGTTGGGGGTTGATTTCAGAACAGCCCCTGGGACAGATGGTGAACTTGAATGCCCCAGCTCCCGGAACCGCGATTTCTGTGCATTCCTGGTGGGACGTGTGTGAACTCCCCCATCCGATAGTGGGACATGGTTAATGTTCTCAAGTCCAAGGGCCTCAGGCCTCAATTTTAATTAGGCATGTCACTGGAAAGGGGAGAGGCTTAGCATTTGCCCTATATCCAGCTGCCAGCCTTATCATGGTCGCCTGCAGGACTCTGCAAAGAGATGGGCTTAAACGAAACAGGAAAAGGGGCGTGTCAGAATTGCCCACTCCCCTGCCCCAGGTTTTATTGGAAAAAGTATCTTAGCTTGAGGGGCTTCTGTGGGGAAGAATGAGCTTTACCCACTGAGCAGGATTCAGCCCAGCAGAAGCTGCTCTGATTGCTCCTCTGACAACGGACCTGGAGGGAGCTAGCCACTGTCAGTGAAGTCCTGGTTGCTTGCAAATGCAGGAGGCACTTGAAAAATGGAATGATTGGCTCAGCTGGACAGATGACATCAGGGCACAGCTTCAGGTCTGGCTGGATCCAGATGTCACGATGTGATCAGCAAGCTGTCTCTCTCCTTCTCTAACCTTTATTTTCCTCCGAAGAAAGGTATCCCCACCCAGTCCCTTCCCAAGGTGGCAAACATGACGACTGGCAATTCTAGTTATCCTACCAGCTCGGTGATCTCCCAAGGTCCTCCAAGTATTCCAAGCTTGACTGTCTTTGGAGTGGCCTGAGTATACCATCACTGTGACCCATGGCTACCTTGGGGCTGGAGGTGAGGCAGTCCCACTGAATTGTGTGGCCTTAAGGTTGGGAAGGGCAATTTCCCTCATGGGGAAATTGGTGAGCCAGGCAGGGACTATGAGAATTCACTACAGTCAATCGGGTCTGACAGCCTGCACGCATCAGTTCAGCTGTGCTCAGGGCTGGATATTGAAACATTTCCAGGCCGGCCGGTGCATAGCTTTTGCCTTGAGTTTTCTACACACTTTCCTCCTTTGCCACCTTGGACACTTTGGCCCCTAAAGTGTGGGTTCCAATGCCTGCTACAGGAGGGGTCTCTGGGGAGCCCTTGTCTATGCCACAGCAGTAGATGAACATCAGGAACACCACCCTTGAACGCAGGGCCAGCAGAACGCCAGGGCTGGGAACGAGGCTGGGGAGCAGTCGGGCAAGGATGCCTGGGGTGTCGGCGGGAGGTGCCTGCATGCAGGCTGTGCTGGCAGTGGGCATAGAGGAGTCAGAGTTAGCATGGGCTGAGGGATGACGTGGGTAGACCAGCAGGCTTCAGTCACTGAGCACTCCCCAGGTGCCAGGACCCAAGCCACGTGTTCACACAGAAGGATGGTTTAGTCCTCCTTTGGCCATGGGTTCCATTCCACCTCCATGAGGAAAGTGACACTCAGAGATGAGTTGCCCAGGGCACCTAGGGGTAGACATCAGAGCCAGTGATCCTCTCTCAGTCCACCTTGACACAAAGTGCTGGGGTCTTCCTACCACAACTGCCTTTTGGCGAGGCTTCCAGGGCTGAGAATGGGACCTAGTGGGGTTGTCAGGGTCATCCTGCTTTTCTCTGTCTCTCCCTCACCCATTTTCTTCTCTCAATTCAGACCTGCCAGAAGCTTCTCGTCATCCCTGCTGATCAGGGAACCAACCCAAGCAGCTCCCAGCTCCTGTCCTCAGGATGTTCCTCCTGCTGGCTGGAGGCCACCTAAATAGGCCACCGTGCCCGGCCTATTTAGATTAAAATAACTAAATTTTATTTATGGAAATGTTTCAATATCCAGCCCTGCAGGGATGCCCACCGCCTCCTGCACTGGCCCTTTCTCACAGTCTGTTGCTGTCTCCCCTTGGAGGGAACCAGGGGGGACTTCCTCCCAGAGCCCACCCTTTGGTGCAGGTGAAAACATGGTGCCCAGTGGGATGAGTTCCCGGTGAAATGTAGAGCCTCAGTGGAGCTGACACCAGTCTCTTGACCACTTGTCCCTCTTTACATGTAGGAAGCACTTTACAGCTTCACCCCTTTGAGCTGTGGACTTTATGTACATTAGCTGATCTCACCCAGCCAGCCTCAATGTCCTTTTCTGCAAAATGGGCATCATAATAGGAGTGTTCAAGTAAGTGCTTGAAGTCTGGGAAGAATCAGGCAACATTTCAGAGCTCTCTGGAATCGAGGTGGACTTGAATAGACTAGGCCATTTTGTTTTCCTTAAGCATCATGGTGAGGATTGTTGAGTTTGGTAGATATTGTTATGTCCATTCTCCAGACTCACCTCTGAATATTCCCAGATGTACTTCCAGGAAGCTCTGGGCTGCAGGGAACACAACATCCAAAAATGTGGCTTAAGTAGGAGGATTATTATCTCACTTAAAAAGAAACCTGAGGTAGGTTGTCCCAGGCTTGGTTCAAAAGTTTAGTGATTCATTGACTCGTTCATGCAACAAAATGTTTTTGAGTGTCTTATGTTGAGACACAGTATAGGAACTGGGGTAGAGCAGTGAATAAACACAGTCCTTGCCCTGGTGGAATTTGCATCTGAGCATATATCATTCGCGACTCAAGATCTTTTTCATCTTTCCCATCTGCTCATGTACTGTGACATCTCCCTTATGAATGGAAGGCAGCTGTCACATCTTTATGAGTCAGCTTCACAAGCAGGAAGAAGGGGATAGATTGTACTACTCCTCACAATCTTTCTTTATCAGGAAAGTATTTACTAGACATCTTCCTGTTCCATTAGAATTCTCATTATTTCTCATTGGCCAGAAGTCTCAATGACCACATCAGAAAAGAACAGGACGGCCATGAATGGCTTAGACCAACGAGGATTCATGCACCCATTCATTCATTCTTCCGTCCACATTGCCTCCCCATAATACTTGCAAAAAACTGGGGTTCTGTCAGCAAGTAAGAAGGGGGATTGGATGGTGGGCTGACAACCAGCAACGTCTGCCAGAGTCTACCAGACTCATCTCTGATGCTGTCATTTCTGCTATCAGATTTTGGTGTGAGGCAGCACAAAGGCAATGCCATCATCACATCTGGGGTCCATGTTTCCTGTCTGTACGATTAAACCTGACACCAGAATAGCAACTGTCCAGCTCTATCACGAGGTATAATTGAAACAGGACACTTGCTGACCCCGGTTCTTCTCTACCAGATTTTCAACTTGGGGCAAATTACTTAGTCTCTCTGTAGCTCAGTGTTCTCTTCTGTGAAATGTGAATACGTGTAGATCCAAGCATTGACCCAACTCTCATCTCCCTCTCCTTCCTGTATCCACTCCTTTTGCCTTGCACCTTCTCAGTTCCTCCATTGTAGGTTGCATAGACTCCCCTATCCCTTGACTTGGAGAATATGGCTTGGTACTTAACTTGGCCAATGGCATGCTAGCAGGGATGATATAAGCAGGGGTTTGAAATGAGTTTGCAGTGGAGCTTACCTTCTTGCTGCTTGGCCATTGCCACAGAGGATCATTCCCCAGGTGGTTGATGTGCCTTCAGCCTTGGCCCCAGAATGGAAACACATGGAGCACATCTGAGCTCAACCACCAGTGAGAAGTCACGCCCAACTGGGCTTGCACCTTGGGCAGAGCCACCTTGCCCAGTCCACCCTGACTTGACTGAGCTCCCCACCCAATCTGTAGACACATGAGTGGAAATAAATAGTTGCTTTTTTTTTTTTGAGACGGAGTTTTGCTCTTGTTGCCAAGGCTGGAGTGCAATGGCGTGATCTCGGCTCACCACAACCTCCGCCTCCTGGGTTCAAGCAGTTCTCCTGCCTCAGCCTCCAGAGTAGCTGGGATTACAGGCATGCACTACCATGCCCGGCTAATTTTGTATTTTAGTAGAGATGGGGTTTTTCCATGTTGGCCAGGCTGGTCTTGAACTCCTGACCTCAGGTGATCTGCCCACCTTGGCCTCCCAAAGTGCTGGGATTACCGGTGCGAGCCACTGCACCCGACCCATGTGAAGCATTTGTAACACAGCTAGAGGATTTTCCTCCCCAAAGCCTATTGGAATCTCACAGGGGCCATTTTGTTTTCTAAGTTAGCAATTTCCTTTCCTCTCTGCTATTCATGATCTCATTCAATCCCTGTGTCTTCCTTATCCAATCAATATTTGTGTGATTGTCACTCTGCAGAGGAGAAAACGGGCTCAAGGATGGAACTCTTCCCAGGCCGTGCCCACCGGCCACATGGCACAAGCAAGATAGGAATCTAGGTATGCCTGACTCCCGCACCGCCCTCTCCTCCTGCACCTCCTGACCCGCCTCCTGTTAAAGTGAGTCACAGGAAGACAGCAGCCAGAGAGCTGGGAGGGCGAGGAGAGCCTCTACCCCAGCTGTGGAGTCATTAAATGCAGCATTGTAAAAAGATCACTTGGCAAAAGATGAGCGATAAATTAAATTACTCAGATCACACACTCTGCAATCAAAGGCACTGTCTCGGAGAAGCAGAGCACTGGCCTTTCTAAGCTGGGCTCAATTACATGCCACAAGGAGACTCCATTTCACATGGACTAGGATCAAGGACCCCCAGAACAATCCTCAGGGGGCTTTCTGGGCCGTGCCTTTTCCGCAGCACCCCTTCGATGATGGTGGACCCCAACCTTGGTTCCGAGGATTCGCTGGGGAGAAGAGCTGGCCATGTTGCCCTTTCCCCACTGAGTCCTGGTTTAAACGCCACTCTACCCAGAAACCACAAGTTTATGAATCCCAGAAGTTTCGCTTGCTCAGGTCTGGCGGAGAGCTTGGCTGACGTTACAGGAGACATTTTTCTCTGTCAGGCAACAGAATACAGCACAAAGAAGCCAGCTGCGAGGCCTCAGAGCCCAAGTCTCTAATTAAAACAGTGGAAAATTAGATAACTTCACAAATTCATCACTGCCGCCACTGGCTGTCAGAGAAGAGGCTCGGGGCTACCCCCCACCTTTTGTTTATATGCTAACGGGGTCCCTTCAGTTGGCCTTTGCCTGTGTGTGTGTATGTGTGTCTTTGTGTGTGTGCATGTGAGCGTGTGTCTACATTTTATCTTCCTCCTGTTCTCCTCTCTCTGACTTTTCTTTTCTTAGTCCTCCTTCTTCATCCCAGCCAATAAAATCTTCATAGCCAAGTGGTTAACCAAGGAAGGAGAATTTAGGAAAACATTAATTTTTATCACCTTTCCAAGCTTGAAGAGACACTGTTCAAGATGATTTTATGCAACATCTCTTTTAGCTCTTCCAATAACCCTGTAAAGTGGTTCTATCTACTTTATTTTACAAAAGAGGAAACTGAGGTTAGGAGAGCTTGACTCACTGCTCCAGGTTCCCCAGTCAGAGGTAGAGCTGAGACTTGAACCCAGCCCTGCTTGATTGAGAAGACGTTGCTCTTCACTGTGCCATATCTGACCTCAACATAGACTCTGACCTTTAGGATGTCCAGTCCCACGGCAGAGGTTACAAGAAGTCCGAGGGATAAACACAGTGGTAGCTATGACAGCTAGCATTTATTGTGCTTTATAATCATAATCTGTTTTTTATCACCCAAAATATCATGAGTTAGGTGCTCTAAATATTCCCATTTTACAGAGAGTGAAATTGAGGCTTACAGATGGGAACAGACTCTGTGGGGCAGCTCTTGTTCCTCAGCCCTCACCATTCCCAGCACCAAGATCTCCCAGCTGGAAGTTTTCTCTGGTGGCTGGAGCCTGCTCTGCCCCACATGCTTGGCAGACCATCATGCCAGGGATTTAACGTCCCTGGGAGCATAAATATCTCAGCTCCCTTGCTTCAGATAAAACAACGCTGAGGCATCCTTTCCATGGTTTCACAGAAGTCCCCAGGAGGGCTGAGCTCTAGTTGCCCAAAATGGTAAATGCCTGGGTAAGGATCTCTTTGTTGGCCGTCTTCCCTGTCTCATCTCCCTGCTCCTTTACAGATGTTTCCTGGCATCTCCTCCCAAATAAACTACTTCTGTTAGAATTCCTTGTCTCAGGAAGGACAATGGCTAAAAGAAGACACAAAGCCAAGTCTGCCCCATTGCTGAGAAGGGGTTTTTATTCTTGCATGTCAGAATTCCCTGGAAACTGTCAATTGACTTTCATGAAAATAATTCAATGCATCATTTTTAAAAGAAAACAAATGCTGATATATATATATATATATATATAATATGAGATATATATATATATATAATATGAGATATATATATATATAATATGAGATATATATATATATATATATATATATATATATATATTACACTAGTAAAGCCCACATAAATAAAAAAGAAAACATTGATACTAGTCACAAGAGTTAATGTTTTCTGAGCATATCTTGAGTACTGGATACTATTTTTATTTTTATTTTTTATTTATTTTATTTTATTTTTTGAGACAGAGTCCCACTCTGTCAGCCAGGCTGGAGTGCAGTGGCATGATCCTGCCTCACTGCAAGCTTCGCCTCCCGGGTTCACGCCATTCTCCTGCCTCAGCCTCCGGAGTAGCTGGGACTACAGGTGCCCGCCACCACGCCCAGCTAATTTTTTGTAGTTTTAGTAGAGACGGGGTTTCACCATGTTAGCCATGGTGAGCCACCACGCCTGGCCGAGTACTGGACACTATTTTTAGTGTTTTAAATGCATTATCTCATTTAATCCCCACAGATATTCTCTAACATGGCTATAATAATCACCCACTTTTAGTGGTGAGAAAATCGAGGTTCAAGAAGTTTTAAGTGTTTCTCAGGGTCACTCAACCAGTGAATGGCAATGCCAGGGCCCAAAACCAGTACCATTCAACTCCAGAATCCACAATCTTTATAACATGGCTTCTAATGCCGTGCTTTCTTCCTGAAAATGTCAGTTCGACTCATGGAAAGTAAACAAAAAACATGAACACACACATGAAGGTATTATAGAATATGGTACATATGTTCATATTTCTTAAGAGTGAAAAAAAGATTTCAAAGATATTTTGAGTTTGTTCTTGCCCTGTGAGTCAATGCCTCAGGTCTCTGACTGATGATTCAGCAACTCTAGCATCAAGGATACTTTATTAAAAGGTTTTCACAGATTAGAAAGTGGGTTACCAGAGATTAAGGAGGTCGTGCAAAGGATTGACGAGGATGATGATGACAACAAAGGCAACAATCATAATGACGGTGATGGTGATGATGGTGATAATGATGATGATGGTGATGATCAAGGGGATGATGATGGCGATGATGAATGTAATGGTGATGGTGATGATGGCGATGATGATGGTAATGGTGATGGTGATGGTGATGGTGATGGTGATGGTGATGGTAATGCTGATGGTGATAGTGGTGGTGATGGTAATGGTGATGGTGATGGTGATGATGGCGATGATGGTGATGGTGATGATAGTGATGATGATGGTAGTGGTGATGATCATGGGGATGACGATAATAGGGATGATGGTGATGATGATGATGGTCATCATGGTGATAATGATGGTGATAATGATGATGGTGATCATGGTGATGATCATGATGATGATGGTGGTGGTCATGATGATGGGATGGTGATAATGATGGTGATAGTGATAATGGTGATGATGGTGATGATGATGATGGTGATGATGATGGGGATGATGATGATGATGATGGGGATGGGGATGGGGATGATGGTGATGATAATGATGATGATGAAAACAATGATGACACAACAACCACCATTTTTCCCTTTTCTTCCTCCTTCCTGGGATGCTCCTTCCTTATATCCCCTCATGGCTCCTTTACTTGCTTCGTTCAGGTCTATTATTTCAGTGAATTCTACCTCCTGCAGGAGTCCTTCACCGGCCACACCATACAATTAACAGCCCCCCTATCCCTCAGCAGCCCCCATCCTCCTTTTCACTTCTTCATTGCATGTGTTCCTAGCTCACATTATATCACACATCAATTTGTGTATTTATTGACTTCCTCCCCACCAAATGTAACCCCGCAAGGGCAGGGGCTTTGTTTTGTTTAATAACTAAAGCAGTGCCTGACATACTGTCCCAAAAAGTTTGTCTCATGAGAAAATGAATGAGTGGATGGCTTTATGGAGCCCTTTGCAGCAGGACCTAGTGCCCAGGTTCTCGCCCTTGGCTACACATTAGAATCATCCAAAGAGCTTTAAAAAAAATAACCAAAGTCTTTCTTCTGTCCTCCAGAAATTCCAATTCTAATTCAGTTGCTCTGAGGTGGGACCTATGCAACTGCATTTTTAAAAAAGTATCCCAGGTCATTCTAATGTATAGCCAGGGTTGAAAGCTGCTGCCCCAGGCTAAAACATCTTACAGACAAAATCTCATTTAAAAACTCCATACTCACAAATACTTTATGGGGTTTCTTTTCTGATTCATTCTGTTTTACAGATTGGATGACAGATACAGATAGACAAGGGGCTAGAGCAAGGCTGTGAGCCCATCAGTTGCAGATGTAGACCCTGTCTGTGTGGCCCTGGGGTCACACTCTTACCTATTGCTCCATGCAGCCACTGAGTCAGAGAGATGCTGTTTATTTTCTGATTCATTCTATTTTACAGACGGGACGACAGATGCAGGGAGATAAGGGACTAGAGCAAGGCCGTGAGCCCATCAGCTGCAGACATAGACCCTGTCTGTGTGGCCCTGGGGTCACAGTCGTAGCTATTGCTCCATGCAGCCACTTTGTCAGAGGGGACCTTCAGAGGACTGGACACATCGTATGTGTCCAGGAAATACCTGTTGACTGGATGAGGTCTTCAATCCATGGTCCCCAACTTCCAGTCTAGAGCTCCTTGACTTCCCATCTACGTATCCGTCACTTGATCTATCCCAGATAGCTCAATAGCCTGCCTTTTAAAAATAATAGCCCGGAAATGCCACAAGATATATAAAGGCAACAATATCATTATAGCTGTTGCTGTGGTTCCTGTCTATTCCATTATTGAACCCCACCCAGTGCAACATTCTAAGAGGCATTTTTACATCTATTAATTCACCACAACCATAAGAGGAGGCTGCCAATCATTTTCTTAGGTTTTTCAAAGGTGCAAACTTAAGGCACAGAGAAATTAAGAAGCTTTTCCAGGGTCACACAGCTAGTGGGTAGCAAAGCCAACATAATGCATAAACGTTGACTTTCCGGGACTCCGGCCCCCATCTTCTCCACTTCTCTCCCTCACACCCACTTTTGAAGGAAAAACACAGCTTTGAAGCCTGAGGCTCCAGGCATGAGCAGCTCTGAGCTATATGAGTCACATGTTTCCTCATCTGTAAACGGGGGATTATTTTTATGCATCCATTGCTGATCTCATGGGGTTATCGTGAGATGAAAGGAGAAGGAATGTGGCAGCATTTTGTGAATTTGCAAGTGCAGTGCACGCTCACAGCCTGTTTTTTGTTACCGTGGACTCAGATATATGCAGGCCTCTGAGCCCAGGTAAGCTGCGGCCTCTCTTGGCTGCCTATACACCACGGTCAGTGTCTGCTGGAGGAGGCAGGTTTTCTTCTAATTTGCCTGCAACGGTGTTCAGTCTTCAAGCCCTCTCTTGGTTAAGGCCTGTGCACAGAGGGGCCCCTGCCCTATGCGGTTCTCCACCTCACAGTTCCCACTCACCCCCGTAGGGATGCAGGAAGGCAGATGTGGAAGATGGGTCACAAGCGGGCAACAAGCAAGACAGGGATGGGGCTGGGCTATGGGGAGGGACAGAATCAGAACCCGACGCACTCGCTCTAATGCACACTCTGGAGCCTACCACAAGGGATACTGTGGGAATCTGTGTCCATACAAAGCTCCCCAGGCACTTCTGCGGCCAGCAGATTTGAGATCTACTAATTCAATGTTTGTTTATTCAACCAAATACATTTCTTGGCC
The DNA here is from genome assembly GCF_000001405.40 of Homo sapiens. Lineage (NCBI taxonomy): Eukaryota > Metazoa > Chordata > Mammalia > Primates > Hominidae > Homo > Homo sapiens. The sequence continues at coordinate 86,391,599 of NC_000016.10, read as the reverse complement.
ACTCCTCTGTGGTCTGCCTTGAGTTCAAGCTGGTTAAGGGATAGGGAGCTGTCATGTCTGGGGTCATACCTGGATCTTTCATAACCTGGGTGAGTGATTTAAGCTCTGTCTTCTTCGTAGTAATAGCAATAGTAGCTAATGCATATTGACAGCTTACTGTGTGCTTGCTATAAGGTGGTTACATCGCTGTGCTGGGGAATGCTTAACAAGTGGTTTTCCAAGGTTAAAAAAACCCTGAGTTATAGCGTTTGCCAGTCTCCATGGTGTAAATCCCCTCCTTACGTCTCATTTCAACCAGTGTGAGGCCATTGAACATAAAGTTGGGAAGCAGTGTGCAAGCTCATCGTTATTCCGTATTTCCACCAAAGTGGAAACGTGAGTATCCTTAAGGGCAGGGAGGAAAGTAAAATGTGGGGAAATAATTAGGAAGTGATGACTTTTGAGTGTTTATTACGTTTGTTTTAAATATAGTTTACTCCACTCTAAGTGTGCATAATGTAATGTTTAACGATGGCAAAATTCTTTAAGCTTTAATAGTTAGCTCTTGCCGGAGTTGGCTCCAGCCCTCACTGGGTGACTGCTGTGATGATCCCTATGTCACTGAGAATCCCGAGACACAGAGAGGCTGAGTAACTCACTCAAGGTCACAGGCAGAGCCAGGGTTCAAACCCAGGTGGCCTGGCTTCAGAGCCTACACGCCTCGCCATTGGGAATAATAATCACAGCAGCCTCCTACGGTGTTTTAAGGATTAGAGCCCATGACCCCGTTAGAGGAGTGCGCAGCACAGAGTACGTGATTAACTAGCGCTGGGTGTTACTAGCGTTGTTCCTGTTAATCCAAGCTGGTGTCCACAGGCACATTGAACACAATTCCTGTCCTTGATGAATGTACTATACAGACAGCGAGCTGCACACATTCAAGGCAAAGCAGTCTGTGTCAAGACAGAAGCACTCACAACACATACACTTCAGGGGCCCAAAGAAAGAGTTGATTGACTTTTTATGGGGCAAGGAAATCTTCATGGTGAAAGGAATGTTTAAACTGGGTTTTGAAGAATGCATAGGAGTTCACCAGGCAGTTTAATGAGTCAGGAGGATAAACCAAGTTACCTGTCTAGCTAGAAGAGCCTTTGGTCAAATTGCTGCCCTCTCATTCATGTCATGATCCCTCTTGCCATGAAGATTGATGCAAACTCCATCTCCAAATGGGGCTCAGTGACTTGCCTTAACCAGAAAGGTGAGCTCTTCACACCTTCAGGTCCAACCTTGCCTGGGCGTGGTTGGCTGCATCTCCCAAGGAAGCTTCCACATTGAAGCAGTGAAGCCTGGTAGTTGTGAGTGATGGAATCTTTGGGCTTGAACCTTGGTTCCTCCACTTCCTCCATGCAATGGGCACATCAAGTAACCTCAATTCATCTTCAATTCCCCATCCATGAATTAGGGGGCATGATAGCTCCTACTTCTCAAGGTTGTGCAAGAGTCCTGAGGCAATGCTTTAATAATTAGTGCAGTGCTCAGTAAGAGCCAGCTCTGCAGCATTGGCCAGCCCTGGGTGCAGGCACTGGTCCGGGCTGCCCAAACCTGGAAAGGTTGCTTTACGTGTGAGGCTCTTGAGCTGGGGTAGGATGTATGGGGAGCTGCAAAGCCCACCCAAATCCAGCCCTGCAGTCCCACGTGCCAGAATCAATGTGGGTATCAGGAAGCCAGTGGCCAGGTCACAGTAACCTGCCACTGTGCTTATTCCCACGAGGTAAAAGCATCATGGGGTAACACTGCCGCACGCACCCTCCATGTCTCAGCCCTGCCTTTGAACTCTGACAGTAATTTCACATATACATGTGGCTGCCAAGCCAGCGCGTTTGATGTCCTTTCCGGCTTTTGTAATGTTATTTCCTGTCTTGGATGGGGAGATGCGTTATTAATGTAGAAGAGTCGCTTTTTGGCATGAAATTCCTGACACGTAGAAAATCAGCATGAACGGACCTTCCGATTCAGATGTTGTGGGCCGTTTAAGAGGTTGCAGGGGCGGAGGTTGTTTCTTTCTTTTTTATTTTTTTTTCCTTCTTCTTCTAATGGGATCACTTTTGGGATCATCGAGTCTGAAAACATCCCTGTGAAAATAGAAACACAGTGGGGAAGGCCATCATGTTCAAGAAGTACCTGTTTCCTTGTAAATTAATTGTTGGTGGGTTTCATTTGAGAATCAAATGTAAACATTTCTCAAATTATAGATACAAAGCCCTTAAACGTTTGATATAAATGATAACATATACACTGAATAGAATAGATAATATAGTATCGGCAGCATAGAGCAGAGTTCAGGAGACATTTACATGAAGGGCCAGATGACAAGTATTTCAGGCTGTTCAGTTCCTACTGTCTCTCTCAATTACTCAGCTTTGCCATTGCAGCAGGGAAGAAAGCCGGAGATGATGCTTTGAATAACGAGTGTGACTGTGCTGTAATTAAACTGGATGTGTTCTCGGAGAATTCTCCTGTTTTTGTGGCAGAATCTGGCTGTGGTCACAGGTGATGGGCCAGATTTGTCCTACAGACTATGGTTTGCTCACCTCTGGCTTGGAGCACTGGCTTAAGCATCAGATTACATGATTTTCTAGCTGTCAGACCTTTGGGAAATTATCTGAGAGCCTCAGTTGTGCCACCTGTAGAATGGAGATAAGGATTCTATGTAAAGCACTGGGTTGTTGAGAGAATTAAATGAGTTGATGTATGTGAGATGCTGAACATAGAGCCAAGCAGGAAGAGTCCAAGGTCATGGGAGTCGTGGCTGAGATTAGGATGATGGAGATGATGATAGAGGGAGGGGAGCTGGGTCTCAGTGGAGCACTGGCTGGGAAGTCAGAAGCCTGGTTTCTATACTCTCCTTAGCTGCTGACTCTGGGGGACCTGGGTGAATCCTTCCTCCTCTCTGGCTTCAGTTTTGTCACCTTGCAGGTGAGGAAGTTGGACTGAGGAGTGTCCAGGCTTCCTTCCTACTCAATAACTCTGGGATTCTATAGTGCCCTTTAAAAGATATGGCATTGCGCAGTCGGCACTCGCTAAAATCAGTGCCATATTAACCATTGCACCCACTGACACCTCAAAGCCAAGGCCTCCCGCCGTCTGAAAACCTGGTCTTCATCAGAAAGTCCCCATCGCTGCTCTGTGAGGCCGCTCGTTCATTTACTCATTGGTGTGTTTGTTCAGAAGTGATCAAGCCTCCTACCACATGCAGCGCAGATGCTGAAGCTACCAGGGCGAGGATAACCAAAGTCTCTGCCCTCGTGTGACTGGCTCTCATGAGAAATCCCCTTTGTAGGGAACAAGTCTGATCCGGCCGTGGTCACTGCAGGGAGCGAACGAGTCTGATCCATCTGTGGTCACTGAAGTGGGTGAACGAGTCTGATCCGGCTGTGGTCACTGCAGTGGGGTGAATTGTGTCCCTGAAAAAGATGTGTCCACATTCTAATCTTCCAGACCGCACGAATATGAACTTATTTGGAAATAGAATCTTCATAGACATAATTAAGATAAGGATCTTGAGATGAGATCGTCTTGAACTTACGGTGGGTTGTAAAGCCGATGACAGGTGTCCTCATAAGAAGCAGAAGAGAAGACACAGACACACATAGAGGAGAGGCCACATGAAAACGGAAGCAGAGATGGGAGTGATGCATCCACAAGCCAGGGAATGCCTGGGGCCACCAGGAGTTGGAAGAGGCAGGAAGGATCCCCGCTGGAGGCTTCAGAGGGAGCAGGGCTCTGCGGATGACTTGACTTCAGACTTCTGGCCCCCAGAACTGGGGGGAATACATTTCTCTTGTCTTTTGCCACCCAATTTGTGGTAACTATTGTGGTGGCCACAGGCCGCTCACGCAGTCACCATGTGTGGGCTGCTGGGAGCTGTTCTCCAGGCCCTCCCTCTGAGTCACTCTCGCCTCACACAGGATGCTTACGTCCCTGGAGGAAATGCCATCTCTTGATAAGTGGAAATACTTTTTGGGTGAAGAAATTGTAAGCACACACTTGTTAGTGAGGTTCAATGCTCTGTTTCAGTTCCTGGGTCAATGGCTGGTGCAGAAAGGATGTTTCAGATTCAGGGTGATACGTGGACCAAGGAATTCAGCCAAGTATGTGTTAAGCCAGGAAGTGATTTCTATGTGTCTGTGTTATTATTTAATTAAAAATATGTTAATATTTTTATTAATAACATTAATTAAAATGTTATTATAGAATATTATTACCATATGTGTTAGTATTTTTTATTTGTTAGGAATCAAAAATAAGTTTTTGTGAAGTTGTGAAAGCTATACAACCTAATGTATAGTACCATAGATTATAATCAATTAACTTTTCATATCATATCTTTTTCTTCTAGTTGTTACCTTTTTTTGGTTTGTTTTGGGATTTATCACTAATTCATTTATTCATTCATTTATTCATTCATTCAATTTTGATCAATAAATTGTTATTATGGGTGCCCAGAGGCCTCAGGAAACCCGTCTGATTATTCCAACTTGGAAAAGTAATTTCACCTTCTAAGCTTCGGTTTCCTTGTTTATAAAATGGAGCTCAAACAAGGGGCTCTAGTTGTGTGAAGATGAAACCGGAACCTACGTCTCTGGGTGCTGTGACGTCGCAGGAGGTGCCCCGAGCTCCCAGGAGGCGCCCCGAGCATGTTTCTCCCTTGTTTTCCCGTTTAGGGCTGACAGTGGTGCTGCTTACTGAAGTAACACCTCTGATGTTTTCTCAAGCTGTTTGCTCGCTCGAGGTCTCAGATGCTGGCCAGTCCTGTTCAAGGTCAAGGTCAGACACCTGGTGGAAGTGGCCAGGTGCGACTGAGACCTAGCTGTGCCTGACTTCTAAGAGGCGCAGCCCTGCTCCCTGAGATTCCCCCTAATCCAAGCCCCCAGCTGGGGCCTGGGGCCACGTGGACATCTCCCACCTTGCTGGCCATGGGCTCATTGGACTGGCACTGCCACCCTTCTCTGGATGTGATGCGTCTTTCTGTGAGCTGGGCAATGTCGAAGACTCTGTGTTGGTTTAAGATGCATCACTTACCTTCAATTATTAGACACTCACTGGGCACCTCCTCTGTTCCGTGTGGGGACAAGAGGCTGAAGCACCCAGTCCTGCCTCCCAGGCTGCAAGTGACATTGCAGGGCCTTCAGCCCTCCCTACAAGTGACTCTCCACCACTCTTCATGAGACAAGGTCATTCCCTGAACTCCCAATTCTGGAGCTCTGTGACCTAGGAAGAGGCCTTGTCTTTTTCAAATCTGATGCTGCTGTTTTTAATCAATTTGTGTATGTTTAACACGTTTCCGTTTTCTCTGGTTTCCCTGCACTGTGGCTGCATTCACTAATTAGGAAATTTTATTATTCGCTTCTACCCTATTTTTTTTTTTCACTGAATGTGAGTAAGGATATACAAAGATGAAAGATGAAAACCAAAAGGGCCCATGATCTCACTGGATCATCGTAACCATCACTGGCATTTTGGTAAAAGCTATTTCCACATCTTTCCTGTGCACAGATACACTGGTGCGACAGTGAGGGTGTATTTGTACCTGTGTGTATAGTTTTTCTTAATAGGATCGTGCCCCTGTCCTGGAATTTGCTGTTTCTTCTCAGCTGTACAGTCAGCCCTGTGCATCTTTGGGTTCCATATCTGTGGATTCAACCTACTGCGGATCTAAAATATTTTGAAAAAGAAATAAAATATAATAATGCAACAATAAAAATAATACAAATAAAAACAATAGAGTTTAACAACTCTTACACAGCATTTACATTGTATTAAGTATTATAAGCAATCTGGAGATTTAAAGTACGTGGGAGGAAGTGCATAGTTATATGTGAATATTGCACCATTTGAGATCAGGGTCTCAGCATCTGCAGATTTTTATGTACAAGGGGGTCCTGGAACCCACCCACACACTGAGTGTTGAAGGGTTAGAAGGCAACAATGGGCTGGATTTTTTTTTTTTTACACCAGCAAGTGTCCAGAAAAATCGATGATCTGCATCATTAGGGAACAGAGCATTTTCACAGGGATTTAAGTAAAGTCATGTTTACCCCACCAAGCACCCACGCACGGACCCCTTTACCCCCAGTGCACTCAAACAAAACAAAAGAAACAAAACCCAAGTTCACTTTTGGTGAAAGTGGCCCTAATGGGACATTTTAGGCCACATTCAAGCAGAGAACCACTTGCTCAAAGCTGATGTTTAGCCTGACAAACAGGCCAGACAAAGAGACCCTGGGGCGAGTGTACAGGGGCTCCCCTCTCCTCCTCCCTGCAAAAAGGGTGCCAGGCTCCTGAGGGTGGTGACACAGCCAAGGGCCTGAGGAGCAAGGCAGGAAATCATAGGGAGGAAGCCCAGGCCCGGGGCTCGGCAGGCTCCTTTCATGGGAAGCGCGTGGGCTTCATGATGGGGACCCAGGCCAGGGATGGCTCGGAGCGGCGGGGAGCTGCCGGGGCAGGGGAGGGCTGAGTCTGCAGCAGCATCCATTCCGGAGTGGACTTGTCTTCCCCCACAAAGGCAGTCATGTGACTTCAGTGGGCCTCAGTTTCCCCATCTATAAAACAGGAACAGAAAACCAAATACCACATGTTCTCACTGATAAGTGACAAGAACACACGATGAGGACACATGAACACACAGAGGGGAAAAGCACACATCAGAGCCTGTCAGAGGGTGGAAGGTGGGAGGAGGGAGAGGATCAGGAAAAATAACCTAATGGGTACTAGGCTTAGTACCTGGGCGATGAAATAGTCTATTCAACAAACCCCCATGGCACGAGTTTACCTATATAACAAACCTGCACATGTACCCCTGAACTTAAAATAAAAGTTGTTTAAAAAGTAACTTGGCGACAAGACAGACCCACAAGACCGCTGGGAAGATGGAATGAGACAAGGTCCGTAACACAGTGGACATAGAGATGTGCTCTCAGCAAACATAAGACCTCCCCTGATTCTAGCAGTCAGGACAGTGCAATAGCCACCCACGCATGTAGTGAGTTCCCCATCAGAGGAAGCATTCAAGCGCCATTGGGGGTGCTGTGGAGAAGATTAATGCATAGAGGAGATAGTTAGCTGGATGACCTCAAGGTCCCATCCCTCAGTGGTCTCTCACATCCTCAGGCACCGTTGAGCAATAATAGCTCCTTGGAGGGCTGAGCCCAGCTATGCACCCAGCACTGCTGGCCCAGCCTTTCCCACGCTCCCCGCTCAGTCCACAGAGACAGTGACCCTACGGCCTGCAACTGGGTCTTACCCATCTCCCTCTAAAGCCAATCCGAAATAACACGAGCTACTAGCACGGAAACAAGCAAGTTAATTTTATAATATTTTATTTGGGTCACTTAAAAAATTGCTACCCTTGGTTTAAAAAGCTATGAATACCAGATCAGCCTGCTTTTATATCCATGGCAATTTCCTGGATCAGAAGCTCTCAACATTGGCCCTCTTGTGACGACACCCCCTTGGATCTTAAGTTTTGAAACTTTTTTTTTTTTTTTGGCTACCAAATGATAACAACTTCCTCATTCTTTACTCATCACACCACACATTTACGGCAGCCAATCAGAGCATGAGATAACCAGCAGAGCCATCGCCAAAGGCAGAGAGACTTGACCTTTAAACCAGTCCCATTTGGGTTGGCGTACAATTTCTATTAGGTTTAGTGAAATTATGAAAATAGCTCCTGGGTTACCACCATAACCTATTTAGAAAGATGGAGGAGCAGCCTGCCGGCCCTCTCTTCTCCCTGCTTCTTTCCCTTCCTCCTTTCTCCCTCTGTCCCTCCTTCCCTCTCTCTCTCCCTCCCCCACTCCTCCCTTCCTCCCTTCCTCCTTTCCTTCCTTGCTTCCTTCCATCCTCCCTTCCCTTTCCCTCCCTCTTTCTCTCAAGCACCATCCCTTTAAGCACACATTTAATTGGACATTCATTCCATTAATCATTTTTGGCTCCACCCATTTGTTCAACAAATCTTTGCTGGGTGGATGCTCCCTGCCCGGCCCGTGGTAAGGTCCTGCTCTTAGAGGATGCTGCCAGGTCCTGGGAATGTGGTGAGAAGCTGCATGAACAATGAGCATTTTGAAACAATGAGATGAGGGACACCTGGCTCCATGGCAGGACGGCAATGAGAGCTGAGGGCACAGGAGTAGGGAGGGCTGCAGATGGAGTCGCAGGAAGGTGGAGCTTGAGTTGGCCCTGCAAGAGGGGAAGAGGAGTTGGAGTTCCCGTGTGGGGAAGGGCGTTTCAGCAGGGGGAACAGCATGTGCAAAGGTTGCACAGGCAGGCTGTGGGGGTTGGATGCTGGGGAGCCGGGAGGATGTGGGCATGTGGATGAATGGTGAAAGGGATGGGCAGGAATTACATGGCACGTGCCCTCGCGAGCCAGGGTGCTGGGCCGGGGGATCTTGGGCAGGGTCTTCTGATCAGGTACTTGGCTGTGGATAAGAGAATCACAGAAGGCTGTGACCAAGAGTGCAGCTATGGTGGCTCCAGACCAAGCTACAGAAGCATGGCGATGTTGAGCGGAGGAATTAACAAGCCCACTCTGGCTCCGCCGCCATCTCAGAGGGGAAGTCCCCTTCTTCCCTTACTGGGAGCTCAGCTCTTGTGTCTGTAAACATCAGGGACTTCCTGGGTTCCCTCAAGAAGCCAAGGTCTGACACAGGAAGCACAGGGCTCAGGAGGACACAGGGAGGGGGCAGCAATGCCGGCTGTGTCCCCTCTGGGATGCTCGTGTGTGAAAGGTAAGTAGGAGTGAGCACCACTGGGTGTGGGGGACGCAGGGCCAGGCAGAGGGAGGAGCTGGCTGGAATGTGGTCACAAGCAGCCTCAGCCGACCCCGGGGGGAGCTCTGGGCCTGGGATGGCCCTCCAGGCTGTCTGCTGAGGGACAAAGCACGTGGACCCTTGTGCCCAGTTCCTGGATCCTGATGGGCTGTGGGGGCTGTGAGTCAGCATGAGGCCGTGCCTTCATCTGGGTGCCGTGGCTGCAGAGCATCACATGACCGACACCCCAGCATCAGGGGGTCCTGAGTGATGCCAGATGGTGGCCCCCACAGCACCCAACTCAGGAACCTCCATCGGCTTCAGGGAGGCAGGGGCTGGACAGCCACTCAGGAGCCCCCGGCGGGTGCCTGTCCCCACTCCACAAGCCAAAGTCGCCGGCCCCTTGACTTCTCCGGCATGGCATGAGGCACCTGCTCTGCCTCTGTCTCTCCTGACACGACCTGGAGCTCCTGCCTCTGCTACCAACCTTTCCTTCTCGTTCTGTCTCAGATTCTGTGCCCCCAGAGAAAGGATTTGGCTGGCGCTGAGTCAGCACCACACCTGTGGGCAGAGCCTTCTGACTGGGACACCGTGCAGGCCACCTGATGGCCTGGCAGGTGGCTTTGAACCAAGCGGCCAGCTCTTTTCCAATGAGCCCTGGCTGGAGTGGATGCCTTTGACTTGGGACAAGGTCACAGGTCCTAGGACTTCTTCAGAGGCAGCTCTTGGTGTGCAGTGTGTTCTGACACTTGGCTAGTCTAGTTCAGTCTTCCAGAATCCAGATTCTAGACTTTTCTGGCTGACTCCAGGAACAGCAAATTCCTTAGAAGCAGCTCACATCTAACTACCTCTAATACATAGATGCCCTATGTTGTGTAGAAACTTCCCTCCCTGACACCTCCTAGAACAGGAAAGCTACATTAAATGCATCCGTTTCTAAATTTGAGACCAGTGTGGCAAAGACACCAATACCCTCCAGCCACACAATCGGTGCACAGCCCAGCCCCCTTGCTAGGAAGGCTCATAGGACTAGTTCTGGCCAGTGAGCTCTGAGCACAGGAATGCACGCTGCTCCCAGGTGGAGGCAGTGGAAAACCCTTGCGTAGTGGGCCTCTTTGACTCTTCCCTGGCTTGTGGCTTCCTGGGCAGCCATGGTTTCCAGATGGTGCAGCTGCAAGATGGCAACACCACCGAGAGCTTGCATTCCTGAATGACCACCTGGAGGAGAGCACACCGGACATGTAACATGAGAAATAAACCTTTGCTGTGTAAAGCCTCGGGGACTTGGGGTTTAATTTGTTCCCAAAGTAGAAACAATCTAGTCTATCCAGACTATTCGAGAGACTGGTGTTAAAATGGGGATGTTGCTATAACAGAAACCGGAAACAGGCCGTGTGGGCTCAGCAGTGGGCAGCGGGAGACAGGGAAGCGTGGCAGATGCCGGAGAGGTGGCACCCCGTGTTAGGAGGTGGCAAAATGTTTTGTAAGAGTGCAGTCCCTCTGGAGGTGGCTGATGGGCAAGATGGCCTTGCAGCTCTAGGGAAAGAGGTTGGGAACACAACGCAAAGGATGGGTGCTGTGATTGGTCACCCTTGGCTACCTATAAAAAAGAGGGAGGAGTCTGGCCAGGCGCGGTGGCTCACGCCTGTAATGCCAGCACTTTGGGAAGCCGAGGCAGGTGGATCATCTGAGGTCAGGAGTTCGAGACCAGCCTGGCCAACATGGTGAAACCCCGTCTCTGCTAAAAATACAAAAATTAGCCAGGCATGGTGTCATGTGTCCCGGCTACTCGGGAGGCTGAGTCAGGAGAATCAGTTGAACCCAGGAGGCGGGGGTTGCAGTGAGCCAAGATCACGCCACTGCACTCCAGCCTGGGGGATAGAGTGAGACTATCTCCAAAAAGAAAAAGGGAGGAGCTCAAGGAGGAGCTGATTGGTTTGCAGCAAAAATGAAAGGGAATCCAAGGCCTTGCAGTATGGAAAAGCCAGATGCTTCTCGGCCCAGCCACACAAAAGCAAGGTTGAAAAGGACTTGAGAGACAAAGACCTGGAAAACCTTTTAACTAATTTTCACTAAGTCCCCTCGGGACCAAGGGCAGACGAATGGTGCTGTGCCTAGTAAACCTTTC